>NC_000013.11:99377979-100002979 GCF_000001405.40 Homo sapiens
TTATTTCACGGAAGCATGAACCTGGTTTTCTGTCCCTACAAGTTGAGTATCCCTTATCCAAAATGCATGCTGCTCTAGTCCTTCAGTAAGCCCATCACATATTTTCTCTGTGTCGTCTGTAGACACTTTTTCTGCAGCGTTAGCATCATCTCCATCATCACTGTTGTCACAGTCACCTTGACTCAGAACCATCTCAGCTATTTCACCATGGGTCAGTTAATGAACAGCTGGAGCCCCCTTATCGATATTAAAAACTTCAATATCTGGCTGGGCTCAGTGGCTCATGCCTGTAATTCCAGCAAGTTGGGAGGCCGAGGTGGGCAGATCACTTGAGGTCAGGAGTTCGAGACCAGCCTGGCCAACATAGTGAAACCCCATCTCTACTAAAAACACAAAAATTAGCCAGGCATGGTGGCACATGCCTGTAGTCCCAGCTACTTGGGAGGCTGAGGCAGGAGAATGGCTTGAACCCAGGAGGTGGAGGTTGCAGTGAGCCGAGATCACATCACTGCACTCCAACCTGGGTGACTGAGCAAGACTCTGTCTCAAAAATAAAATAAAAAATAAAAACTTCAATATCCACTTCTTCTGGCTTACTGACAGACTCGAAGGTATATTTTTTACCTGTTAGGAGGTCAGGCATCATTTTATCCTCATTTGACATGTGGAATCCTTCAAAGTCACCACCTTGTTCGTCATCATCACTGAACATAGCACAGGCCAGAGGTTGTGTCAGGCTTGCATAGCTGTGTTCTCAGTCACTGTGTTCCATGCATTGGCAACAGCATGTGTGGCATCCTTCACGCTAAACGCCTGTTGAAAATCTTCCATACCCATTCATTTGTTGCTAGCATGTTGTTCAAGAAGGTACTTTTATATTTATCCTTCATTGATCTAAGAATACCTTGGCCACATGGCTGAATTAATGGAGTCACATTTGGGGAAAAGTACATGGCATAAACATGATTTTTGATGAGATGTCAGCTGGAGGATGAACAGAAAAGTTGTCAAGGTATAACAAAATATTTCAGTCATCATCCAGCCCAGCTTCCCTGCAGTGAGCACAAGCCACAGGTCCAAAATGTTTGTGAGACCAATCAGAAAAGATATCCCTAGTTAAACATGCCTTTTTGTTAGCATAATAATGGTCTGGTAAGAAATTCGCTGCTTGAAAACAGCAAGGACACAAACTTTTGCCTGTCATGCAAGTTTACGCTTATGCATGCCTGCTGCATTAGCACATCCCAGCAAAGTTGTTCTGCCCTTGATGTCCTCAGTTCCTGGAGGGGCTGTCTCATTAGCTGTAGTTGTGTCTTTCTGGAGCAATAAAACCAAAACAGTGATGTTCCATCAGCATTATAGACTTGTTCTGGCATCAGATTTTTGTCAGCAATGACCTTGGCAAACTCACCAATGAATTTCTTTGCTGCTTCATGATGCTTTGTCACCACATTAAAAAATTTGGTTTCATGTTTTTTCTTAAATTTCTGCAGCCAACATGTTGAATATTCATAGTTCCTTTTCATTTTCAGTTCCTCATCCTGATAGATCCTTGCTTGTTTCCTGACCCACATAGCATTAAGTGGCAGGTGTTCACTG
The DNA here is from genome assembly GCF_000001405.40 of Homo sapiens. Classification (NCBI taxonomy): domain Eukaryota; kingdom Metazoa; phylum Chordata; class Mammalia; order Primates; family Hominidae; genus Homo; species Homo sapiens. The sequence continues at coordinate 99,379,579 of NC_000013.11, forward strand.
CAACACCAAGGGATCCATCCTCGGTACATGATCAGGATCTTCATTTTTAGCTTTATGCAGTGTTTCTCTATTTTTCATTAATTTCTGTTTATCACTTTTAGCACAGAACTTCAACAGTTTATCCTTCTGTTTCTTCAGATCCTATATGGTGGTCACTCCAACACCATACTCTCCTGTAAGACGTTTCACACTTACACTGCTCTCCACTTTCTCCAACAGCTTGACTTTCTGTGCTATAGATAAACATAAATCTTTTTCTTATCACTGTTACCCAGAGGGTATCTGCACACCTTTTAGATATTTTAACAACATTTTTATAACACAGAGCAGAAAGTAAGCAAAAAAGCACAGTGAGTGACGCACGTGGGTTTTGGCCCCATGCAGGTCATTGTGGGGAACCTGCCCACTGGCATGTGCTTGCGTGGGGGAGTCGGGGCATGTGCAGAAAAGGCATGTCACAGCTGAAGGAGGGTGAGAGGGTCTCTTTTCCCTTGGAGACACTGAATAAACTACATGTTGTGGCCTGCATTTTGACTGCAGCCCATCACATGAGGTCAGGTGTGGAACTTGCCATTTGTACTGCCATGTTGGTACTCAAAAAGTTTCAAATTCTGGAGCATTTTCGATTTTGAATTTTCAGATTAGGAATGCTTAACGTGTGTTTTGCTTACCTGACTGCACGTCTGCGCAGGCCTCAATTTCGTCTTTCTGTAATTTGAGCACAGGAGTTGATGCTTCACATGCCGAGTAAGCTTTCCCAGGAGAGACCGTAATGAGATGTGTGGGGACTGGGCGTGCTGGGCTTCTCTGAGCAGAGGAATAGTGAGAGCCACAGCAGTAATTGTTAGTGTCCACCAAAGAGCCCTACAGACAACTGTTCTCTGTGCTGCTAGTTTTTGCTCCAGTTCTTACTGTCTATATGGTGAACCTCTGAAACTACATAAAGAAAGGACAGCAGGGGCCACTTGGCTAACTTGCACGGCTGTGAGCACTGCACTGCACCCCTCCACTGGGGAGTATTGGGTAAGCACCCATCGGAACACCTATCCCCTGACCCTTCTCGTCCTTGCTGGCTGGTTGTCATCGCATACCCAAGCCCAAGCATGCAGTTTCAGTTTGCCATGGATGTTTAGTTTTGGACACTATGGGAAACCTTCAGGTGCCCTTTCTTAGTGTAATTGTTTATTCTTTTTAAAGAACTGTGCTAACATTATTGCTACTTAGCAATAGTTTTTAATCTGGTGAAAATAACAGGTCAGTGGGCAGTGAAAGTTCTCCTGTCACACTTGTCTTCTCACCCATAAAAATCACTTAAAGCTCTGAAGCCAGCTTTGGCTAAAGGGGCATGATCTGCCCCGCAGAGGATGAAGAGCGAGCCCGCTGCAAGCTGTGACAGCAGACGCTCTCTTCTGCCAAGACCTGTGAAAAGCCAGTCTTAGTTGTCAAAACCAGCACCGCGGCACATGTCGTTCATGTCTGAGAGAATGAACTCAGAAGGAAGTCTCGTGTACATAGAAAGCTTTCGTTCTTACTCTAGGATGTCACCTACGTGACTTACAACCCAGCCCAGCCATCCCAGACCTAAGGGGTTCTTCCCTCTCCAGGGCAGGGCCTGCATGCAGTCCATGCTGCTGCCCTGTGTTGGTGACCTGTGTGTAGCCAGCCCATTATCAGCATCCTGTGGATTCCAAACCAAATGTATCATCAGTGGAGGGAGAGCTCAAGTGCCAGGTGGAGCTGTGGCCTAAAGTCACACTTCATCACTCCAGATTATGAATCGTCATTTGCCAGATCTCCAAATTGCTGAGTGTGGACAGCAAATGGATTCGTTTGTGCTGGCTGGGTGCAAAGAAGCAGCCAGTCCTCAGCTGCACTTGAAGTACTACAGGTAGTAGTAAAGGTAGCTTTTCCAAGCCGTTTAAATAAACGTCATTAAGAGTGGCCAAGTTGTTTGGGGGCCATGGCATCATGGTGGTGGATAGTAGGTGGAAGGAAGGCAGGCCAGCTCCCGTTTGGCCTGAGTTATCTCCACCAATGACAATGGTCCTTAACTGGAGGGAACATCATACAGGTTATTTCCACCCAAGATTGGAAAGACCACCTTGATCAGAGAGAGTTTTCCTTCCACATGACACATATCCAGCCTGAGTCCTCCAGCCCCTCTCCCTGCACAACCTGATGGAGGCTTGAGAAAGCACAGGGAGGAACACTTAGCTTGAAAATGTTCCTAAGGAAAAGGAAAGTGTGAATTCTGAGAACCAAGTGGCAGAATTGAAGTTTCACATCTGGCAAAAGCTTAAACAGATTATTATCAAATAGATGGTTTGTGAACGTTGAAAAGACAGCTGTGGTCTAGGACACCAAACCAATCCTGTTGGCAAGAGATCACCAAGACCTTTGACAACATCTCATCAGCTTATGAGAGATGTTGGTGACATGCAGAATGGATAATGATAGTGCAATGAAGTGGGTTTGAAACTGATTAAAAATGTTGATTAACCCCTTGAACACAGAGTTCTGGGCTCTTTGACCTGACGTGTTTGACATTTTCATCAATAATAACTTGAACAAAGTTGTAGAGGTTTACTAATCAAATTTAGGCATGATACAAGTTTGAGGGAGATGATTAACAGTAGATAACAAAATGAGAATTGAAAATAATTCATTTTGGTTGACTGGAAAATGATCAGATGGAATTTAACAGAGATATGTAGAGTCCTAGACTTAAAAGGTCAGGTAGGATTTGAGAGACCTGACTTGACAGCATTTTATGTGAAAATTCCTGAGTGTTTTCAGCAGGCCCAGCTTAACTGGCCACACCAGTGATGCAGCTCCTTACACAAGTGCATGCACAGGCACACACAACACATATGCACACTACTAATGCATTCCTCTGCTCTCATTGAAGCTAAGGGCCCAGACTGTTGGAGGGCAGTGGCCTCACTGCCCTGGTGAGACCACACCCGTGGTGTCACACTCAGTTCTGGGCGCGGTGTTCTGAGACGGTGTGCACAAATGGGAGGGGATGGGCTGAAAGGAACTGGATCCTGAAACACAGGAATGAGCAAAGGCAGCCACAGCCCTCATACTGGGAGTTCACAGTGGTGGGGAGAAGCTATCACCCCACAGACACAGCTGCAGGGAGCCCAGGACAGAAGGCAGTGGGGCAATGAGGACTTCGCTCTGGGGGCCTTCTAGTCTGGGAGACATGGAAAAAGGCAGGGGCCCCAAGACCCACCAGGGGAAGAGGAGTCATCAGGCTCAGGGCAGAGGGCAGAGACAGCAACACAGCAGAACAAGCCACGGTACCCACAGGCCTGGGTGGGGGCCGAGAAAAGCCAGTGGGTTGAGGGAGGAAGGAGAGGGCTGTCACACCCGCAAAGTGCTTTATGTAGGAAAAGAGAATAGGGTTGTTCTCGGTTACTTCAAAGGGCAAAATCAAGAGCTGTGGCATTGTGTGGATGGCAGCTTGTGAGGGGCAGAACACCAGGGTGGCAGCATTCTCAGCCACCTGGCAGTGAGGCCAGGGCACTCAGCCACAGCTGATGTGCATATGATGCATTAGTAGTGTGCATGTGTGTGTGTGTGCCTGTGCACGCTCTTGTGTAAGGAGCTGCATCACTGGTGTGGCCAGTTAAGCTGGGCCTGCTGAAAACACTCAGGAATTTTCACATAAAATGCTCTCGAGTCAGGTCTCTCAAATCCTGCCTGACCTTTTAAGTCTAGGACAGTACATATCTCTGTTAAATTCCATCTGATCATTTTCCAGCCAACCAAATGAATTCTTTTCAATTCTAGTTTTGTTAGCTACTGTTTTTTGTTTTTTGTTTTTTTTATCTACGACACTCTCTCCTCTGGTGGGAAAACAAACTAGAAGGTTTCTGCCTTTGCTCTACGCTGTCCACCAGCCCTGGGCAGCTGAGCATGAATCACCTGAGGGCGCCATAGTGTCCCAGGTGCTGGGCATCTTGCTGCTCCAGGACAGCCCTCCCCACCGCAAGGCATTTGGAAGACACCTGGCAGCCCTTCTTGGCTTCCTAGCCAGGGCTGTGCGTCAGTCCCCGTGCTAAGGGTTGAAAGCAACGTTCCGGGGAGGAGCACGCTCACTGCGTGCATTTGTAAGCCTAGTCCTCACCCACTGAGTGGTCCCATGACATGGGCGGCACCCCCCGTTTGGAAAAGCCCTGGCTGGACTCCAGCTTCTGAGCAGTGTCCACTGCGTGTCCCTGTTGGCCCTCAACTCTTCCCTAAGGCTTTTGGGGGAGGAGGGTCTGGGTGTCTGGGCCTGGGTGGTCACTGGGAGGTTCCCTCCCCCACCTGCCTCTCTACTCTCTGCACCTTCTTCCTCACCTTGCTGAGTCCTTAGGTTAATTTTGCTCAGAATATCCAGAGTTAGCCACTAGGCTGCGGGTGAAGTGGGATAGAGAGGAAGAACAGCAGGCTTTCTGGAGCCACATGCCCAGGCCCATGCCCGGCCCCTCCTCCAGCCACCCCATGCCATAGTCCCCATTCACACCCACTGAGTCCCCTGAGCAGAGGAAGGGGTGGTGATACTGGGCCCCTTCTCTTTCCACCATGTAGCACCAAGTAGCTCGCTCTCTTTCGGAAAGAAAAATTGGAAACTCTGACTAAGTCCTCAGGTGAACCCACAAAAGCCTCTTTAATGCGCAAGTGGCTAAAAAACTCAACATGTACAAGACTGTTGACTTTGATGAGGTGTTACTGCAAGTGCAGTTTATTTTAATATAAGTACAAAAAAAATGTATTCCTGTGGCAATCTGGGGCCATGAATATTTTTGTAATATATTCTTAATTGGGAAAAAAGGTTGCAAATAAGCTTTAGTAACATTGCCAATTTCAATACTGGAGACTGCCTGTAGAGAAAAGTACAGGAAATCTCCGTATTCACAGAATCAGGATTTGTGGTCAAAAACAATGCATGCTTGTTCCTCCCTGCTTCTGGTGGCTTTCACTGCCTCCTTCCTCAGTTGCTGCCCCAGGCTCAGCCCCACTTTGCTGCCTGCGTAAGCCCCAGGCTGCAAGTGGCACAGCTGTCAAAGTAGTCTGAGCACCCAAAGGCAGGCAGTTCTGTGGCAGTGACGCCAGGAGTGCGATGCCAGGGCCGAGCATGGCAGTGACGCCAGGAGTGTGATGCCAGGGCTGAGCGTGGCAGTGACGCCAGGAGTGTGATGCCAGGGCTGAGCGTGGCAGTGACGCCAGGAGTGTGATGCCAGGGCCGAGCGTGGCAGTGATGCCAGGAGTGCGATGCCAGGGCTGAGCATGGGTCACCACCATAGGGAATCAAACGACGCTGAGTCGTGTGTCCTCGCAGTGAGCCTGGGCAGCTCATGCCGACCTGCTTCCAAGGCCTGGTCCCAGTAGGCCACTTTACCCTCAGAAGCCCTGTGTCCTTGTCTGTAGAATGAGGGTTATGTGCGATCATGCATATATATTGGCTACACATAGTGAACATTGAAAAATTTGTACCTGGTATAACTTTTAAGTATCAGATTCCATATTGAAATGAAAATTGGTTTTTTTGTAAACAGTTTTGACCTTTGCCACAAGGCTCACATGAAGAACATTTGGGGCCCAGGGATAAGCGGCAATGTCAGCGCCCTCAGGTTTCTGCGTTTTCTCTGCCTGCAGGTCGCCCGGCTCATGGAGATGGGATTTTCCAGAGGTGATGCTTTGGAAGCCCTGAGAGCTTCAAACAATGACCTCAATGTCGCCACCAACTTCCTGCTGCAGCACTGATAGTCCCAGGCCAACACTGGGACCGGACCGGCAGCCGAGTGACAGTGCGTGGTCCCCACCATCAGATCAGCCCGGGGACCGAGCATCTCTGGTGCTGATGTTCTTGTGGGAAGAGGGAGGTTCCACCGCACCCCTGCCCTCAACCGCAAGACTGTTGCCGTTTTAGTGTGGAGATAAGTTTGCCATTACATTAGCATGTATTTTCTATCTATATTTTTTATTGGGCATTTTCCCTAGGTTGGAGAGTCAGCACTCGTTTTGAATGTGTTTAAAATGCATTAAAATGGAAGATTTCTGCAGGCAGTTGAATGGCACTCCAGATGGGGAATTGCTGTAACCCTCTTACTGTAACATGTCATCTCCTGCGTCGTGATGGGGAGAGGGTAATGTTACTTCACAAAGGACATGTCAGATCCTTCTTCATGGACTTTTTTAGTTACTGTTTTTTCTCTCAAACTTGTTTTCGAATCTCCTGGGAGTGAGGGAGAAACAGGGAGCTGAATCCTCCCCCAAGCTGTTCCAGGCCAGAGGACTCTGCAGTACCTTCTCCTACATCTAGTAACAAAGAATGGTGATAACCATGCACTGGTTCAAGGTTCTGGAGTTCTCCATGAAACTTGGGTTAATTTTGCTCAGAGTATCCAGAGTTAGCCACTAGGCTGCGGGTGAAATGGGATGGAGAAGAACAACAGCAGGCTTCCTGGAGCCACATGGGCTGACTAGGGCACTCTGTGGCTGGCCTGGCATGGGCTCAGCCCAGGAAGAGGAGAAACGATCCCTTGCCTGCCCCTCCCTGTGGCAGGGCTAACTGCCTGGCCCTCCTGGCTCGCAGCCAGCCAGCCCCCTGGCAGCAGGTTCTCCTCAGGGCTTGGGTCTTCAACCTGTGGCGACAGGAGGCAGGGCAGACTGTGGAGGACAGGATGCAGGTCAGGGAGAGGGAAGGCAGGGGTGGACCGCCATGAGCATGAAAAGACCCGAAGCAAGTTGACTCTTGCAATGTGCAACTGTTATGTTCTGCAAAATGAGCAACGATGTATCAAATTGATGCAAATTTAGATGTTGATACTTACAATAAAGTTTTTAATGTGTTTTACTCTTCAGTATTTTTCTATCAGACTTGTACAAATAAAGCCTTGTTCCAGGCTATACATATTTACCAGTCAACCAAATCCTCCGCACTGCTCGTCTTTCTTCAGACGACTGGGTGCTCATTTGAAGTGAGTGAAGTGCTTTTGTTCCTGTAAGTAGCACTGCCCACAGTGGCATTACCTGTGCAAACCTGGAAGCTCGGCCTCACTGAGGCTGCCTGGGGCCACTAGCTGCTCAGAGGGGGGTCGAGGTGACTTTCTTGGAGCCCAGCTGGTCCCACGCACAAGCCCCTCCTTGAATCTGAATTGCGCCATCTCGGGTTGCAAGGAACAGTTGATGGTGGTGGAGATGTCCCTGACTTCATTCCCTAACTAGGCCACAGTCAACACCTCCTGAGTGCTGAGCAAAGCCGTGTGTGTCTGACCTCTGAGGCAAACCAAAATCCACTCTCTGTGTTCCCCGTGCAAAGGAGCACAGGCAGAGAACACCCAAAAATACACCCCCTCCTCCATGCTACCCCTTTAAACAGCACCTAGCCAAGTAAAACCAAACCAGAGGCAAAGGTATCCCTTGGAGACGGGGGCAGCAAATAGCCCCTTTGCAAGTAGCTAATTAGAGGCCTTGATTCACACTTGCCAGCTGTTCTTGAGTGTTTGCTAATCAGGATTCCCTTTGGAATGAGATTGTATTTTGGAGACCTTTGTCCTGCCCACAGGAACCTCAGTGACCCTCTATGTTGGTTGTTTAGAGAGTAGAGGATTGAGGACCTAAATAGTGGCAGAGCTGGGAGACAACTACAGGCTTGGTTTGTTCTCTTTAGTTCTTTCAGCCTCTTTCCCAGTTCCTTACAGCTGCCAAGTCCTCGCCTTTGCAGTGGTGGCCCGTGGTTCTCCATCCTTGTCATGCAACTACCAGGCCACTCTCCCTCCATCACCACCCTCTGGACACACACACACACACACACACACACACACAACACGCCTGCCTTTTCACGCTTGACCATGTTTTCTGTCTTACTGGGGTTCGCGTTGCTCACCCACTCTTGCTTCCTGCAAATATTGACACAAAAACATCTACACAGACATTCCCCGCAGAAGTTTGAATACCTGAGAGCTTCCACACCTCTTGTCAAGACACTGGGACTCTTTTTTCAGGCCGATGGCACCCCCAAGGAAGACCTGCGGAGCCATCCCAGCCAGAGGAGGGCGCCAGTGAGCCACTTGACTGGGCTTCCTGAGGTCTAGAAAAGGTTTAGCCTTTTGATTTTGTGCACGTGGTAACAGATGGGGCTTAATTTTTGGGTGAGCAGATTCTAGATTGTGAATTGAGAAGGTAAGATTTTCCATAGTGACCCCCTGCTCCTGACATTAAGGAAAGCCTGCCTGTGAAGTTCTGATTTGTAAAGCTAGGGTGAGTTTGGGTTAGAAAGGTGGAGATGTTAGGGAAATTGAGTACAAAATTGTGAACACATTCCAGTGTCATTTAGAATATTCTGTGAGTCCCTGAGTTTACGTTCCTACAATTGTTCTTAAGTTGAAATGGAAGTGTCTAAAACCATAGACTTAAGAATTTTATCTTAACCTGAGAGCTTACCTGATACTTAATTTGTGAGAATCAGGAGTATTTTCTTCGCTTCCAAGTTCCCCTAACCAATAGTGTTTTTGTAAAGGGGTGGACCAAGAACGCCAAAATGGGCTTTACAGCTCAGACTAAAATTCCAGCTCTGAGACTGAAATCTTACACATGATAAAAATTGCCAGAAGCATGTGAATTTATAACCTGCCAATACAGCCCTGTCTGATGGAGAAACAACCCCACTAGCTACATTGTAACAATGCCACGGATAGACTTGGGGTTCAGGTAGAAGGGCTGGACAATGCCATGAATAGACTTGGGGTTCAGGTAGAAGGGCTGGGGGAAGTGATCACTGGATGTTGGAAATCAATCTGAACAGAGGCGGGGACTAGAGAGTCAAATCACAAGTCTTGCTCTTGGGATGATGGAGTAAATTGATGACCAGGAATTAGGAGAGAGGAGGGCTGGGGATGGAACCCTGAGGAACTCGGCATCTGGAGTGGAGGAAGAGGTGGAGAGGTGGCAGGAGTATCAGGAGAGGGCAGCCCAGGCTGGGATGTGGGAGTGTCAAGGATTGGGGGGCGGCACTACTGCTGGGAAGGGCCTGGGCGAGGGCAGAGTGGTGGCGGCTTCCAGAGGAAATGTAAAGACTAGTGAGAAAGCGGAGGTGGGGCACAGGCTCAACCAGGGCACTTGGCAGTGGGGAAGGGGAGAGCCAGGGACAGGGACCGTGAGATCCAGGCCCAGAATGGGGTGCACTCAGGAGCCACGAAGCGGGGCACCGCAGAAACCGGAAGCATCCTTCATTCAGTCCCCTGGAACTAGAGGAAGGAGAAAATGAAGGTCGAAGTGAGGACCGAAGGCGAGGAAGCTCCTGTCCTGGAGTCTCTAGCTCCCTAAGAGGAGGGCCTGGGGGCTAACAGAGAGCAGATGGACGTCTTCAAATGAGAGAAACACGAAGGATCTACATTGGCTAGAAACAATAGCTTTGGCCTCTTTTTTATTTTATTTTACTTTATTTTATTTTTGTTTTGAGACACAGTTTCACTCTTGCCCAGGTTGGAGTGCAGTAGTGCCATCTTGGCTCACTACAACCTCTGCCTCCCAGGTTCAAGCAATTCTCCTTCCTTAGCCTCCCAAGTAGCTGGGATTACAAGCGCACACCACTACACCCAGCTAATTTTTGTATTTTTAGTAGAAACGAGGTTTCACCATGTTGGCCAGGCTGGTCTTGAACTCCTGACCTCAGGTGACCCGCCCCTCGGCCTCCCAAAGTGCTGGGGTTACAGGTGTGAGCCACCGTGCCCGGCCCTCTTTTGTTCATTAACTGCAGTGTTGTGGTCTGCTGAACCCCCTGCCTAATGGGAATTTCAAATATCCTAGAAATTTACACAGTGCCAAGAAACTAGCTGGAATGTGTAGGCCCCTTATAGCCAGTCCATAATTCTCAGGGAAGTTGATCAGTTCTGTGACCTTTCTGGAATGTTCTGTGTGAGCTGCCCTGGGAGTCTGAGTAGACTTGGAGTGGGAGGGAAGAAAGTAACCCAGGTCTGTGGAGGAGTAGGGGAGAGAGGTCTGCAATAGGAATCTTCCCAGACTAACACCAGCAAATCAAGTTACGACCCACCATGGTCCTCACCCGGACACAAAAATCGTTTAGGGACAGGGGCTGTCCCCAAATGGCCAGACCCACAGATTCCGGGGCCTCCAACTTCACCACAGCGAAACAGAAGAAGCAGCAACAGTCCTGCGTGAGCTCCACGCAGAAGGACTGGAGAAACCCTCCAGAATCGCACTTGGCCCAGGCACGGGGGGCTCTCCCCAATCTGACGGCACCCTTGCCCAGCAGCCCCTTCTCCCCAAGGGGCCGTCTGTTCTGAAACATAGGGGGCTCGCAGGTTTGTAGAATGTTGGAACTAGAGAGTGTTTATCTGGTGTAGCCCACCTCTTCAGGTGAGGAGACAGATCAGAGAAGGTGCCAGGGTAACTTGGCCGGGATCCCGAGGGCCATGATGGACTTGAGGCAAAGTCAGCTCCCTGGGCCAGGCCTGTCCTCAGCCCTCCCCTGGCTGCTTCGGGCCTCCCCTCAACCTGGGCAGTGGGAGGAGAGCAAGAAGGTCCCCAGGGTTGGCCCTCAAATTCCTCTTGGGACTGTGCTGCTCCCTCATCCCACCCACGCCATGCCCAGCAGCACCCATGGCTCCTCTCAGGCCAGCCCTCCTTGCTGTCTGCGCAAGAAGGGAACCCAGAGGGATGTGGCAGCGAAACTCAGGCCCGATTCTCCCCTGGGGCCAGAGTTTTCTTCCAAACCCACTACATCTGCCTGAAGCCATGTCCACCTGGCTGTCACCACAGACAGAATGGGAGACTCGGGCCTTGTAATCAAAGGTGCTCTCCTGCCACTGAGGAAGGATGGTGGCCCCGTGACATGCTAAAGTGGGCTGGTGGTGACACAGTGTCTCCTGAGATTCAACTCACCTTGAAGACAATTCGCCTTCGCAAATGTGGCCAGGTGGAGCCTCAGCAGAAAGCTGGGTTTGCTGTTGGTTTCTCTCCCCAGATGATGTACAGCCATGGAGCCTCTGCACACCACTTTGCATCCACCAAAGACAGACCCAGGCCCAGTGAAGCATGGAGACTGCGGATGTCAGGGAAGGCCTGGGAGAGCTTCCCTCGCTTCCATCCAGTGTGTTCACCGGCCCACTGTAAAGGGAGGAGTTGCCAGAGGCTCTGGGAACACCAAAGGCGAGGGCCCTGGGAGGTGGTGGCAACGGGCCCCAGGGACTGGCTTCTTGCTCCTTGGGGGCCCAGGGAAGCCACTTCTTCCCCTTCCGATCAGCCCTGCCGCATCAGAGACGGCTCTGCTCCCGGGTGGGAGAAGCTCCCGCCATCCTCTGCCTTCCCCTGCCCCTAGACAATCATATAGGAGCCCACGTAATGGACTTTTCTGTTCAACAAGGCTTTCGGTGCTTCACGGGGCCATAGCCAGTTTTGCTCTTTTGCTATCTTGGCAGTTCTGTGTACGGGGTGCCTATCATACAATGCTAATAGGAGGTTAAACAGAAGCACCATATTATATCCGGAAGCTGATCAGCCTAGAACTATCGATGCAGATTTTGTAAAACCCACATTCATGTAACATATGGCTGACCCCAGTTTTTCATATGAACAAAGCTGTCGGGACCACAGAGATCTTTGGCAAAATAGGCAGTCTCTTTGGAGGGCAGGTTGCCTCCTCTCAGCAGGCAGGTCCTACTGTACTTAAATGTGCACAAAGATGAATGTGATACTAACACTAAGGCCTGTTTAAAGGAGGGGTGCATTTATTTTGCTTAAACATAAAAAGTCTAGCAAATACTTCAAAAAAACCAACCCCCTTAACAGAGTGAGAGCAGCCAAGGCAAACCCTTCTCCAGCCCTGGGGAGACGTGATGAGGCTCCTACTTGGAGATCACCCAAATGCAAACCCAACCGTGGCTGGTTATTTAATTTTTTTTTAATTAAAAAAGAATAAAGCGGCCAAGTGTGGTGGCTCACGCCTGTAATCCCAGCACTTTGGGAGGCCGAGGTGGGTAGATCACTGGAGGTCAGAAGTTCGAGACCAGCCTGACTAACATGGTGAAACTGCATCTCTACTAAAAATACAAAAATTAGCCAGGTGTGGTTGTGGCACCTGTAATCCCAACTACTTGAGAGGCTGAGGCAGGAGAATTGCTTGAACCCAGGAGGCAGATGTTGCAGATAGCGCCACTGCACTCCAGCCTGGGCGACAGAGCGAGACTCTGTCTCAAAAAAAAGAATAAAGCCAAGCACTCACTCCTAGCCTGTCTTATTCCTGATTATGTGAATGGCCATTTCAAATTACGAAATTTCTAAATTCAGAGCTCAGAACTACTTCAAAATGATAAAAGCAAATCAGCATACAGTTGCCTTGGGGGCAGGGGAAGACAGTGGGTAGGGCTGGGGCAGGGCACCCCAGGGCTTCAGAAGCTCCAGTAGTTTGAATTTCTGAAACTGGGTGGAGGTACAGGGTGTCTGTTTTACTGGTTTTTAAATGTCCTACATACCTCCTTTATGTACTCTTCTGTATTATGACGTATTCAATCAAAAGTTGAAATTCTCCAAAGATATATTCCCTCCCCTCTTTTGATTATTTGCCAACTTCTTCCAGAGATTCCTATACACTTGTGCACCCCTTCTCCCCGGGAGAGCTCCAGAACCCTGGAGCTGGGTGGACGGGGTGTAGACCAGGCAGCGTGGTGCAAGGGATTCCAGCCTGGAGCTTGAGCACCGAGAGTCGGGGAGACTCCCGTCTGGGGGAGCCTCTGACACCACTCCTCTCTTCTCATGTGAAGGCTCTGTTTCCAGCCCCTGCTGCGGCCTGGGAGAGGGCACAGCTTTTCCTCGGTGTTTACCCACGGATTCTCACACTTTCCAGATGATTCCTGTTTGCTCCCAAACCTTATCCCTCCTGTTCAAGGTTTCTACCTCGAGGGGAGAAGTAAGGACACTGCGGCTGACCGTCACCCAATAGGCCACAGAGATGAATGAAGAGAAAGGGGCAGCCTTCACTTTCCAGACCTCTTATAATCCAGCCATCTAATGCACTGGGACTCTAGGCAGAGCCCCTCCTGTCCCCCGAGGCTGTGTGGTTTGGATGTCAGGGCCTTCCTGTAAGATGGGAAGACGCCCTGCTCAGCTCCACCCGCCTGGAGAGCTCCCATGGGTGCGAGGGAGATGGGGAGTGCGGCTCTGTTTCCTAAACTGTTGAATGCTGAGTTCGTGGCATATTCTTAGTACCACTGGAAATACCAACAAATAATAAGCTAGGGTCTGATTTTGAAAGTGAATAATAGAGATTTTGAAATACCTTTAATTGGCTGGCCTTGGGAAATGTTCCTGCCAAGCAGGAAAAGATTCAGGAGGACAGAGGCGCCGCCCTCCCCAGGCACTTGCCAGCGGTGCAATTGTCTCTGCGCCCACCACCTCCTCTCCCCTGAAAAAAGGCTTGTGTTTAAAAGGGGTGCTTCAGGAGCCCTCTGTCCATCATCTCCTCCTTCCTCCTCTGAATCTCCCCCTTTGCCCTTATTACTGACACTTCCCTAGCAATTTCTCTGGTTACAAAAAAAAAAAAAAAAGAAAAGAAAAAGGACAATGATATGCTTTGGCTTTGTCCCCACCTAAATCTCATCTTGAAAATTATAATCCCCGGGCAGGGTGTGGTGGCTCACACCTGTAATCCCAGCACTTTGGGAGGCCAAGCTGCGCAGATCAGCTGAGGTCAGGAGTTCGAGACCAGCCTGACCAACATAGAGAAACCCCATCTCTACTAAAACTACAAAATTAGCCAGGCATGGTGGTGCATGCCTATAATCCCAGCTACTTGGGAGGCTGAGGCAAGAGAATCACTTGAACCCGGGAGGCGGAGGTTGTGGTGAGCCGAGATCACGCCATTGCACTCCAGCCTGGGCAAGAAGAGCAAAACTCCATCTCAAAAAAAAAAAAAGAAAGAAAGAAAATTGTAATCCCCATAATCCCCATGTGTCTAGGGAGAGACCTGGTGGGAGGTGACCGGATCATGGGGGCGGTTCCCCCATGCTGTTCTCATGATAGTGAGTTCTCACAAGAGCTAATGGTTTTATAAGGGGCTCTTCCCCCTTCGCTCCTCACTCCTCTCTCCTGCTGCCTTGTGAAGAAGGTGCCTGCTTCCCCTTCACTTTCTGTCATGATTGTAAGTTTCCTGAGGCCTCCCAGCCATGCAGAACTGTGAGTCAATTACACCTCTTTCCTTTATTAATTACCCAGTCTAGGGTATTTCTTTAACGACAAATTCCTTGAAACAAGTTGTGACATGCACTGTCCCCATTCTCTCAGCTCCCGAACACCTGGCCTCCATCCTCAATGGCCAGTTTTTGGCTGGATGCTATGGCCCGCTCTCGGGCTGCTGGTAACCCCCTCGGCTCCATGGCTGGAGCAGCGGCCTCCTGTCCTGGCTCCCACACCACCGCCTCTCTGTCTCTCCCGCAGCTTCCTCAGCCTCTTCCCTCCCCATGAATGTTGGTGCTCCTGGGTCCTTTCTAGCCCTCCGTGTTAGCCAGGGCTTTTTACTCTCTGCATTCCAATGCTTTCACATCTTGGGGCCTTGCTGACCCTGGAGAGACAAACCCTGTACCCCGGGGCCAGCCAATCCCTAGAGACAGAAAAAGGCCTGAAGGGAGCACACTGTTCAGAGGCAAGGCAGCCAACCCAATGCCTGCACCCCCGACCTCCACCACCTGTCTGGGGCTCTCACACTCCAGGCCACTATGCCCCTGCCCTTGTCAAGCAGTACCAGGTACCAGGCCCCTAAGGACAGCCCCTCTGCCCCAGAGCCTGCATGCCCCCCTCCCGTTGATGCTTCTCGTGGAAACCACATTCAAGGTCTTGCCCACGCTCTCCTGACCCTCCCTCTGCCTGCTGACCAGCCCTGGTTCTCCCCTGGCTGGCCTGGGTGGCAGAGTGTGCCCCTCTCCTTGGGAGCTGTGAGTAACGAACTGTCTTTTCAATGGTGCTCGGCCGCTGATCTGTTGGCCTCATCATACCTGAGAAACAATAAAGCCTACAGTTTAGAGAAGCCCCTCAACTCTCCCTGGGACTGTCGTCCACCTCACCCCTCCCAAACCCGTACCCTCACCCTAAATCGCTCTTCCAGACTGCACACCTCGTATGTCCCACTTTATACTGGACACCTCCATGTGCCTGTCCTAGGGCTCCTAAGCCCACGTCTTCCACCCTCAAACTTCATCTGACCCCACGCTCCCTATCTCAGGAAGTGACAGCACCCTCAATCCAGTCCCCCAACCCCAAACTCGGGAGCTCTCCCAGAGTTTCCCTAACCCCTTCTCCGACGTCAGTCTCCACCCAGCACCTAACACACTTCACATGTTACGTTGTAATTGTCTGATTCTGTATGTCCCCTGCTGGCCTACCTGGGCCATGAGGCTGGAGACCACGTCTACCCACTGTGTCCCCAACACCCAGAACCACACGTGGTGAATGTGGGAATGAATGTGGAAGATGAGTATTGGCCTAGAGACAAAATCATAAATTACTAGAGATGAAGAAGGTCCCCGCCCTGCCCTTGGTGCACGCATCCTCTCCCATGTCTCAGAGAGCAGTCCTTTATACGCGGGGATTGAGCTGAGTCAGCCTGGGACTGAAGTTCTGGCAATGTTCTACCTTGGTCAATTTATAGCATTTTACACCTTATTGCAACCTACCCAAGAGGCTTATATTAGGTGTTACTGCACACACACACACACACACACACACACACACGGGCTCCTCACCCCCTGAGACCAGCTCCCCCGCTGCCTGTCCTGCTAATCACAGAGCTCAGCAGACCATGTGTCAAGACTCCTTAGGATCCACAGATCCAAGCCTCAGAAGGTGAAGTTGGCCTTTGGCATTAGAAAATGTAACTTCCCAGATTTCTACAATTATAGTGGAACAGGGCGCCCATACCATGAGGCACTCGCGTTGCCTGAGGTGTGGTCTGACCCATGTGCTATAGGGTTGCTGTGCCCTCAGGTGGCACGGCCTGCCCCAAGCCTGGCTGCCCACAACCATCACAGGCCAGGGGAACTTCTTAGTCTCTGTGCCATCCCGTATGCTGTCACTTGGCGAAGTGAGAACCGCAGTGAAAGCTGGACAGTGGTTACCTGCGGTGTGCAGCAGTGCCCAGGAAGTGGGACTCTCGGTGGAAATGTGCTTTTTGGAGAAAGCCAAAAGCCCATCGGAATATGTGAGCATCTACAAATATGATGTACGAAACTTTCTGTTCTTCCTCCTTAAAATGTCAAGTGATTACAATTCTTAGGTGTCATTACACCATCCTCCAGCCAGTGGTGAAATCCTTGGACATTCTGGTTGGGTGGTCACTGTCCGTCCCCAGGGAACAGGGTTCAAGGCCTCATTACTGTAGAGCAATGTAGAGCCCTGGCTGACAGGGCTTCTCCTGGCCTGTGCCCTGCCTCTGTCCTGATCCTGTGGGCTGAGGAAACCCTTAGAAGTGGTCCCTCTCATGCTTCCATTTTGACACGAGATTATTTTGATAGGGTCTGAAAAACAAAGCATACAAGTTAAACTTTTTTTTTTTAAAGCAACTAATGTTTAAAAGAGACCCCTCTCATTCCTTCTCCAAGCCTCACCTTTGCAGTCGGGCTCTGAGGCAGTGTGTGGGGGCTTGAAGTGGGAGATTAGATGGGACTCAGAGAAAGGGAGAGTGTCTGGAAAGAGGGGTGTTCAGAAATGGGTGGGTGTTGTGGGCTGAATCGAGTCCCCCCAAAAGATATGATGAAGTCCTAACCCCTGGCATCTGTATGTTCTTAAATAGGGTCTTTGTAGATGTAATCAAGCCAAGATGAGGTCATTAAGGTGGGCCTAACCCAACGTGACTGGTGTCCTTATACGAGGAGAGAAACACCAGGTGAAGGCAGAGACAGAGGGGGAGAAGGCCACAGGAAGATGACGGCAGAGGCTGGAGCGATGGATCTGCCAGGTTGGAAACGTCAAAGAGCTCCAGCAAGAACCAGCAGCCTGGGGAGGAATGGTAAGTTCTCCCTAACAGCCCCCAGAAGGAACCAGCCCCACCAGGGCCGTATCTCAGACTTCCAGCCTCCAGAACTGTGGGACAAGAAGTTTCCATTGTGTTTCAGCCTCACAGTTCACAGCACTTTGTTACAGCAGCTCGAACCAACTACCACAGTGGGCCGGAGTCAGGTATTGGCAAAGGTCTTCAAAAAGGGGCCCTGGACCTGGCCTATCAGACTCACTCACATTGTCCCCAAACCCACTTCCCCACCAATCATTCCTATTTTTATTCACATTCCCATAGACATTTGACCTTGAAGTCACCTGTGATGGTTCATTTTGTGTGTCACCTTGGCTAGGCTATGGTGCCCAGCTGTTTGGTCAAACACTGCTGTAAATGTCGTGGGGAAGGTATTATTTAGATGAGGTTAACATTTAAATCAGTAGACTTTGGGTAGAGCTGATTACCCTCCATAAGAGGGGGAAGGTGGGCCTCACCCCACCAGCTGAAGGCATTAAGAGCAAAGACTGAGTTTTCTGGAGAAGAAGCAATTCTACCTCAATCCCACAATATAGAAGTTCTGCTCGAGTCTCCGGCTTGCCTGGCCTCCCTTGTGGATTTCAGATTTGCCAGGTACCACTCCTATGGTGCAAACACACACACACATATGTGTGCGTGTGCCTGTGTGTGTCTGTGTGTGCGTTGTGTGTGTGTCACATTGCTTCTGTTTCTCTGGAGACCTCTCATATATAATCACTCACTTTATTTTTCCAAAAAAAAAACCACAGGCGGGCCTCCTCTCTTGATTTCGCCTTTGAAATGTCTCTTAAATCTCTTCTTTTCTTTAGTGCTCTGGTTCTCAGAATAGGCCACACATCAGAATCACTGGAGACCTTTGGAAAATCCTAACACCAGCCACACCCACAGCAATTACATCACATCTCTGGGGATGGGACCCAAGTGGGCATCAGGATTTTTTAAATGTCCCCCGACGATTCTCATGTGCAGCCAAAGTTGAGGACCAACGGTTTGATAAGGAAAGAAAGCCAGGAGGGAAACAGGTCCCGCCACCTCTGAATGTGGCGTCTTCTGAGCCGTCACTGCTCAAACACAACCCCTGGACCAGCAGCATCAGTGTCCCCTGAGAGCTTAGACATGCAGACTCTCAGGCCCCAGCCCAGACTGACTGGAGAAGAAGCTGCATCTTAACAAGACCCCAGGTGATGCCTGTGTCCACATTAAAGCATGAAAGCTTGAAGAGCTTTGTCTAGGACGAACCTAAAGCAATCAGTGTCCCAGGGCAGGCTGCCATAGATGAGTTCTGTGGAAACCCAGGGGTGCAGGGGGGCTGACCATGGGTCACGCTGATCTTGTCATGAGCTTGGGGTCTGCTCTCACAGCCCTTTTGTGACCAGCGTGAATTTGCACATGGGCTTTGCCATCAGGCGTGGCTTTGAATCTCAGCTCTGCTGTCCACCCCCGTGTGACTTTGATGGCCCCGTTTCCTCATCTGTTGTGTGCCAATAATAGTGATGCCTAAATGAAATAATCACGAGAAATGCAAAACAAGATAGTCTCTGTGAATGGCTTAGCACAGGGCCTGCAAAAATCAAAGCCTTGGTAAATGGGAGAGCTGCTGTCAACAGCGGGCCCAGCAGCCCTGTCAGAACCACCGCGAGCCCCCCAGCCCACTGCAGGTTCTCAGCAGACACTGGCTGCACCAGGAGGGCCTGATGGGCTCGGTGTGACCAAGACGGCCCTGAGGTTCTCCTCGCCTTGACTCGGCTGTCAGCAGGCTCTTTCCTCATTCTAGGCCTTTGACCTCCCTTTTATAGGCCCCTGATGCATTTACTTTAGAAAACTTGCAATTGTCAATTCTTTCTCTGCCTCTATGAGACAGAAATCTTCTCCCAGCCTCTTACCAGTTGTATGAAACAGGACTGTCCTCCTCAAGGACCCAGGAGCCATCTCTTTGAAATGTCATCATCAAGGAAGACAGTGCCTCTGCCTCCTGTTCCCTTTGGCAGGGTGGGCCCCTTGCTCCCTGCAAAACTGTCCGCCATCAAAAGCTATGAGAAGTTTATTTCACCTTTGGAGAAAGCCACTTAGCAAACGCAGATGGCCTTGGACCTCTCCTAACATACCCAGGACTTTTCTGGCTCACTACAGCGTTTAAAAACCCTCCACCCTTTATTTCCACAGAATTGAGTTCCGATTGAGCTTTGGCCTCTTTGCTCTTGCAGCAGCCTTGAGTGAAGTCTTCCCTGCCTGTATAAAATATTGCCTGCTGCAGCTTTACTTTGGTGAGTTCCAGCCTCAGATCTTCTACTCAGATCTTCTGCGGCTGCAGAAGATGGTCATTAGAACAGGGACAGTTGATCTCATCTCCTAATCTCAGCAGGATATCAAGATCAGAAGCCACATCTGTGCTGGAAGAACTGATGGGAACTCAGGTGGGAGGGTCTGTACCTGCCTTACCAGCCAGACGGTTAGGGTTGGGGTGCTGAGTGTTCCCAGCCACTGTCAGCTGGCCTAGCAGAGCCCTGGTGGGATTTGGGGGTGAGTCTGGGTCTGAGTCTGTGACCGCCTCCTCTCTGCAACTTCTTGCTCCTCCCACCTGCCTTCACCTTCTCTCCTGTCTCAACCCCTTTCCTTCCCACAGTTGAAGCAGAAACCCCCTGACCCCACCCTCTGATCTGTCCAAAGTCCAGAAAACACAAACCCTCACTACGGTCCCGCTCTTCCTTCCTTCCCCATCTATTCAGATAATCCTTGAAATCCACCCCAAGTGACTGGGAGACTCTCCTGCTGTCACCAGCCCCTCAGCGGCAGTGGCAGCCCCCATTAGCAAGCGCAGCACAGGCCTGGCACCCTGCTCGCGGCCATCCCGTCCCCCACCCATGCCCACCAGGCACCCGCCTCAGCCCCTCTTCTTTGATGAGGCCAGGCACTGAGTCCATCCCCAGGGCTGTGGACTTAAGTGGAAGATTTAGGAGTGACAGTGGAAGGGGCACAGCCGCCTCCTTCAGGAGTGAACTAAAGTGTGCCTTTGACAAACCTCTTCACCGTTTCTAGCACCTAGATTCCAGCCTCCCACCAAGGTGCTGCCTCCCCTCTCCTACTGCCCCCTGGGAACTCTGCCTTGCTCCCACTGCCTGCAGAGAGAGCAGCGCTCCAGCCCAGGCCCCAAGCTCCCCAAGCTCAGCTCAGCCCCAGCCTCCGCACATCTCAAGACCTACCGAACTGATCTGGGACTACCTCCCGCCGCCTCACTGTTTGTCAGCAAGGCACTGGCTCTCAGCCTCCATTGCTCTTGGGAACCTGCGAGAAGATTTCGAAATAACCTGTGCCTCTCCTCAGCAAATGTAAAAGAACAGAAATTAAAACAAACTGTCTCTCACACCACAGTACAATCAAACTAGAACTCAGGATTAAGAAACTCACTCAAAACCACTCAACTACATGGAAACTGAACAACCTGCTCCTGAATGACTACTGGGTACATAACGAAATGAAAGCAGAAATAAAGACGTTCTTTGAAACCAATGAGAACAAAGACACAACATACCAGAACCTCTGGGACACATTTAAAGCAGTGTGTAGAGGGAAATTTATAGCACCAAATGCCCACAAGAGAAAGCAGGAAAGATCTAAAATGGACACCCTAACATCACAATTAAAAGAACTAGAAAAGCAAGAGCAAACACATTCAAAAGCTAGCAGAAGGCAAGAAATAACTAAGATCAGAGCAGAACTGAAGGAGATAGAGACAGAAAAAACCCTTCAAAAAAATCAATGAATCCAGGAGCTGGTTTTTTGAAAAGATCAACAAAATTGATAGACCACTAGCAAGACTAATAAAGAAGAAAAGAGAGAAGAATCAAATAGACGCAACAAAAAATGACAAAGGGAATGTCACCACCGATCCCACAGAAATACAAACTACCATCAGAGAATACTATAAACACCTCTATGCAAATAAACTAGAAAATCTAGAAGAAATGGATAAATTTCTGGACACATACACCCTCCCAAGATTAAACCAGGAAGAAGTTGAATCCCTGAATAGACCAATAACAGGATCTGAAATTGAGGCAATAATTAATAGCCTACCAATCAATAAAAGTCCAGGACCAGACGGATTCACAGCTGAATTCTACCAGAGGTACAAAGAGGAGCTGGTACCATTCCCTCTGAAACTATTCCAATCAACAGAAAAAGAGAGAATCCTCCCCAACTCATTTTATGAGGCCAGCATCATCCTGACACCAAAGCCTGGCAGAGACACGACAAAAAAAGAGAATTTTAGACCAATATCCCTGATGAACATTGATGCTACAATCCTCAATAAAATACTGGCAAACCGAATCCAGCAGCACATCAAAAAGCTTATCCACCACGATCAACTTGGCTTCATCCCTGGGATGCAAGGCTGGTTCAACATACGCAAATCAATAAACGTAATCCTTCATATAAACAGAACCAATGACAAAAACCACATGATTATCTCAATAGATGCAGAAAAGGCCTTCGACAAAATTCAACAGCCCTTCATGCTAAAAACTCTCAATAAACTAGGTATTGATGGGATGTATCTCAAAATAATAAGAGCTATTTATGACAAACCCACAGCCAATATTATATTATACTGAATGGGCAAAAACTGGAAGCATTCCCTTTGAAAACTGGCACAAGACAGGGATGCCCTCTCTCACCACTCCTATTCAACATAGTGTTGGAAGTTCTGGCCAGGGCAATCAGGCAGGAGAAAGAAACAAAGGGTGTTCAATTAGGAAAAGAGGGAGTCAAATTGTCCCTGTTTGCAGATGACATGATTGTATATTTAGAAAACCCCATGGTCTCAGCCCAAAATCTCCTTAAGCTGATTAACAACTTCAGCAAAGTCTCAGGATACAAAATCAATGTGCAAAAATCACAAGCATTCCTATACACCAATAATAGACAGCCAAATCATGAGTGAACTCCCATTCACAATTGCTTCAAAGAGAATAAAATACCTAGGAATCCAACTTACAAGGGATGTGAAGGACCTCTTCAAGGAGAACTACAAACCACTGCTCAATGAAATAAAAGAGGACACAAACAAATGGAAGAACATTCCATGCTCATGGATAGGAAGAATCAATATCATGAAAATGGCCATATTGCCCAAGGTACTTTGTAGATTCAATGCCGTCCCCATCAAGCTACCAATGACTTTCATCACAGAATTGGAAAAAACTACTTTAAAGTTCATATGGAACCAAAAAAGAGCCTGCATTGCCAAGACAATCCTAAGCCAAAAGAACAAAGCTGGAGGCAACATGCTACCTGACTTCAGACTATACTACAAGGCTATAGTAACCAAAACAGCATGGTAACTGGTACCAAAACAGAGATATAGACCAATGGAACAGAACAGAGGCCTCAGAAATAATACCACACATCTACAACCATCTGATCTTTGACAAACCTGACAAAAATAAGAAATGGGGAAAGGATTCCCTATTTAATAAATGGTGCTGGGAAAACTGGCTAGCCATATGTAGAAAGCTGAAACTGGATCCCTTCCTTACACCTTACACAAAAATTGATTCAAGATTGATTAAAGACTTAAATGTTAGACCTAAAACCATAAAAACCCTAGAAGAAAACCTAGGCAATACCACTCAGGACATAGGCATGGGCAAGGACTTCATGACTAAAACACAAAAGCAATGGCAAAAAAAGCCAAAATTGACAAAAGGGATCTAATTAAACTAAAGAGCTTCTGCACAGCAAAAGAAACTACCATCAGAGTGAACAGGCAACCTACAGAATGGGAGAAAATTTTTACGATCTACCCATTTGACAAAGGGCTAATATCGAGAATCTACAAAGAGCTTAAACAAATGTACAAGAAAAAAATCATACAACCCCATCAAAAAGTGGGCAAAGGATACGAACAGATACTTCTCAAAAGAAGACATTCATGCAGGCAACAGATGCATGAAAAAATGCTCATCATCACTGGCTATCAGAGAAATGCAAATCAAAATCACAATGAGATACTATCTCACACCAGTTAGAATGGCGATCTTTAAAAAGTCAGAAACAACAGGTGCTGGAGAGGATGTGGAGAAATAGGAACACTTTTACACTGTTGGTGGGAGTGTAATCTAGTTCAACCATTGTGGAAGACAGTGTGGTGATTCCTCAAGCATCTAGAACTAGAAATACCATTTGACTCAGCCATCCCATTACTGGGTATATACCCAAAAGATTATAAATCATGCCACTATAAAGACACATGCACATGTATGTTTATTGCGGCACTATTCACAATAGCAAAGACTTGGAACCAACCCAAATGTCCATCAAGGATAGACTGGATTAAGAAAATGTGGCACATATACACCATGGAATACTATGCAGCCATAAAAAAGGATGAGTTCATGTCCTTTGTAAGGACATGGATGAAGCTGGAAACCATCAATCTGAGCAAACTATCGCAAGGACAGAAAACCAAACACTGCATGTTCTCACTCACAGGTGGGAATTGAACAATACAACACTTGGACACAGGGTGAGGAACATCACACCATGGGGCCTGTCAAGGGGTGGAGGGCTGGGGATAGCATTAGGAGAAATATCTAATGTCAATTATGAGTTAATGGGTGCAGCACACCAACATGGCACATGTATACATATGTAACAAAACTGCACGTTGTGCACATGTACCCTAGAACTTAAAGTATAATTTAAAAAATGAATTAAATGAAAAAAACATAAATAAATAACCTGTGCCTGAGTCCCTCTCCTAGAGATGCTGACTGAACGCATCTTGGCCAGTGGTTCTCAGACTTGGGCACTAGGATTTTCCAAAGGTCCCTCGCAAGGCTGGTAAAACAGTGCAGGCCCCACCCTAGTGGGGCAGACTCAGCAGGTCTGGGCAGGGTCTGGAGTCGCTGCTGCTGCTGGTCCCCAGACCACAGTCTGAGAACCACTGCTCCTGGGTTGAGGGAGTGGCCTGGGTGTTCACACCTAACCCCAGTAACAAGAAAAGATGCACTGATATCCCCAGTGACGTGAGGTGGTCTAGCACCCCTTACAAATATCAGTGGCCACAATCTGTTTCCATTTTAAATGAGTTCTTTAGTGTTAAGTAATTGACACACATGTTGCTCCATGGAAACCCCACAAATATTCCACGTGACAAATACAATAGTCCCTTGTGCAGATATTACAGTTTCCTTTTACAGATGAGGAAAGTGAGGTGTGGGTGTGTGTGGGTGCGGATCCTTGGCAAGGTGCCTCCTCCCATCGCCCTGGGTTAGTCTGTTTTCCTTGATATAAAGAAATGTCTGAGGCTGGGTAATTTATAAGGAAGAGTTTAACTGGCTCAGGTTCTGCAGGCTGTACAAGCATGGCACCTGCATCTGCTTGGCTTCCAGGGAGGTCTCAGGGAACTTTGACTCCTGGTGGAAGGTGAAGCGGGAGCAGGTGATCACACGGCGAGAGTGGGAACAAGAGAGAGAGGAAGGAGGTGCCAGGCTCTTTAAACAACCAGATCTCACCTATCTGAGTAAGAAGTCACTCATCACCATGGACAGGGCACCAAACCGTTGATGAGAGATCTGCCCCGTGACCCAACCTTGGGGATCACATTTCAATGCAAATAGCCAAACCATATTCAGAACTGAGACCTCTCTCTCTGTAAATCCAACCCATCGTGGGCATTCCTAAAAAGAACACCCGCCTCCATCCATGGCCAGTACAGCAAGCAGACGGGCATCTCGGCTGTGCTTTCTCTTCCCACCCAGTTCTACCTCTTCTTGCCAGACTTCGCGATCTCGGGCCTCTTTCCTGCTCCTGTTTCGTTCTCAAATGCCCTCTGGTATGACTGTCTCCTTCCGGCTTCCTCATGCTCATAACTGCGGGGCCCCACGCAGCTTTGGAGCTGAGCAGCCCAGCGTGCAGGCCGGGTCAGGTGTGAGAAACGCTTGAGAGGTGGCCCAGGAGGATCTGTAATGTCCGGAGGCAGCCAGACCTCGGTGTCCCTGCTGGAGGCCCCTCTGCAGCCCCTGGGCCCCCCTCCTCATCACACCACTGGCTGGCCAGCCCCTCTCGTACCTTCATGCCCTGTGAGAAGTGCTCGGTTAGTGCAAATGCATCAGGGGTGTGAGCTTTGCTTTTAATCCCGGCCAGGTGTGGAAGCAAACTACTGGGCACCTACAGGATTTGCTCAGAGCAGCCACCAGCGGATGCAGAGGGGACCTTTCAGCTGAGGTTCTTCACTCCTGAATTCACAGGGCCCCAAGAGCAGAGTTCCAAGTTCTTTGAGACTTTGAGCCTCTCTGCCTCCAAGCTGGAAGCAGACATGGAGAAGAAGTGTGCCCAGGACCTCAACATGAGCTCCTGAGGGTTTTTCGTAGGATTTGACAAATCAGACTTCATAAGAGAAATGATCCTCATCCATTCAAACTAGTGGGGGCATCTGGAGCGCTAGCTCCCTGCCTGGGGTAGTGCCAGCTGTCCGGGGCATCAAGCAAGGGTGCCAGAGCAGACATTTCCTTCAGGACCTTGCAGTCCAGTTGCCAGGATGTAAGTGGAAAAAAAGTGCTTTTTTATACACCAACAACCAGTTCTCTGTGGACACCAACTGGATGTCCCACAATTTAATTCGATCCTGACACTAGCTACTCAGAGTTAGTGCAGGCCCCCCCAGGGTTAGGGCCCCATCCCACAAGACTGCCCCCCACTTCAGATGCCAGTCTCAAGTAGTGGGCCCTCAGGTTACCACGCTTCTGTCCAAGTTGGCTACAAATCGAGGGTTCCCCTCCTCAGGTTGGATAATTTGCTATGACAGCTCACAGCACTCAAGGGACACTTTACTTACTATTAATTACCAGCTTATTCGAAAGGATATAATACATAAAGGATATAGACAAGCATCCCGATGAAGAGGTGCCTAGGTTGGGAAAGGGCCTGATTTCAGGGGCTTCTGTTCCCACGGAGTTTGACATGTACCATCCTCCAGGCATGTGGAGTTCACCACCAGAAGCTTCTAGAACTGCATCACTTCGGGGTTTTATGGAGGGTCCATTACAGAGATGTGATTGATTAAATCATTGGTGATTGGACTCAATCTTTGGCCTGTCTCCTTTCCCCAGGAGCTAGGGGATGGGGCTGAAAGTTCCAACCCTCTAACCATATGGTGGTTCCTCCAGCAACCAACCTTATCTTCTGGGTCCAGGCAAGAGTTGCCTCATTGGCATAAACTCAAGTGTGATGGAAAAGGGCTCATGATGAAGAACGAAAGATGCCCTCTCACCCCTGTCTCTTGGAAAATTCCAAGGTTTTAGGAGCTCTATGCCAGGAACTAGGGGAAAGACCAAATACGTATTTCTTATTTTATCACAACGTCACAGGATGAGACATTCCCCACTCAAGAAAGTGTATGTGAAGTTCTGCCTTGAAGAGAGTCAAATGTCCAAAACGTAGCCGGAAATTGGAAGATGCAAGAAGCATCAGGAGAGAAGAGGGTCTCTGGGGGACAGCGACTGGGGAGGGCTTGAGGCAGGACTCCACGCTTATTCCTGTCTGAACCGCCGGAGTGTGGGGGGACGGTGGGGGCAGAGGGAAAGGCCAGGGACTGTCGTCAGGAACATGCGCTTGGCAGGAAAGCACACATTCTATTAGGTTGGTGCACAAGTCACGGCAGAACAGCAGTTTTGCACCAACCTAATGCTTTACGAAACACAAAATCACCCACGTCAAAATGCTCCATAAATGGCATCAGACTTGGCCGGGCGCAGTGGCTCACGCCTGTAATCCCAGCACTTTGGGAGGCTGAGGCGGGTATATCAGGAGGTCAGGAGTTCGAGACAAGGTTGGCCAACAAGGTGAAACCACATCTCTACTAAAAATAGAAAAAATTAGCTGGGCATGGTGGCATGTGCCTATAATCCCAGCTACTCTGGAGGCTGAGGCAGGAGAATCGCTTGAACCGGGGAGGTGGAGGTTGCAGTGAGGCGAGATTGTGCCATTGCACTCCAGCCTGGGTGACAGGGCGAGACTGTCTAAAAAAAAAAAAAAGAAAAAAAAGAAAAAAAATTGCCTCAGTAAGTCTGAAGAAGTTGCAATGAAACTTCTTTCAAAGTTCGGTCTTGCAAAGGTTTGTTTCGATCTAATGTAAGCAGCATTTAAATGGATACAGCCTTTCTGACACTAAACAAATGAAAAAAAAAGGGCCTGCTTTTCTGACTGTTTCCTTTCCCCCTGTTCTTCCCAATGACACGTGCATCCGTGAATGCTTTCACATTGCACAAGATCCAAACCACCACACAAAAGCACACGAAGTCCCTTCCCCACTTGGCACAGTCCCTCCCGACCCTCTGCAGAGGCATCAGCTCAGCGCCTGGCTGTGCATCCTCCCTGTGTTTTCCAAGTTTTTCAGAAAAACCTTGACATTTTAGTAAATGTTAAGGCTAAGAATTGGGAAGTTTCTCTGTAAGAGAAGGGGAAGTGTTCTTGCTCTTTACAGCATTTCACCCCCCAAACGGGAAGCATCCTCTAAATTGCTGATCTAGTGCTCAGCCACTTCTTTCAGGCTCTTCTGCATTTACCATGAAAATAGACTTTTCCTGGAAAAAAACACCCCACACCCCTTTAGGGGCGAAGGAACTCCACTACCATTTACTAAGAGATATTAGAGCTGTGTTTGTCAGGATACTGAAGTCCAAACTTCAGGGCTCCATCCTTACACTGTCCCTTCAAAGACCCTGTCTCTAATTTTGTATTTCTTTCTTTCTTTCTTTCGTTTTGAGACGGAGTCTTGCTCTTGTCGCCCAGGCTGGAGTGCAGTGGTGCGATCTCGGCTTACTGCATCCTCTGCCTCCCGAGTTCAAGTGATTCTGCTGCCTCAGCCTCCTGAGTAGCTGGGATTACAGGTGCCCACCATCACACCTGGCTAATTTTTGTACTTCAGTAGAGATGGGGTTTCACCATGTTGGCCAGGCTGCTCTCGAACTCCTGACCTCAGGTGATCCGCCCACCTTGGCCTCCCAAAGTGCGGGGATTACAGGCGTGAGCCACCGCGCCCGGCCTAATTTTGTATTTCTTATTCTGTATTCTTTTCCTTAAAAAACCTTTTGCCCAAATTGTATCAACTTCAATACCCCAACGCTGGACCCCTCCCTAGATACAGTCATAAAGCAAATGACACGTTAGACCACGTGCTCCGCTAAGAACATAGAACCTCTGGCCTGGGTGATACTTGGTGTTTCTGAAGAAGCTTTTCCTGGGGTGGAGGAGGAGGAGGAGGAGGAGGAGGAAGACCCTTTGAGCTTTAAAATGCCCAGGAGCCATTTCCTGTAATGGGTGGATGCAAAGAAGTAAATGATGGGGTAATGCCACAGTTCATGTTCATGAGGGCCACGGTGGCCTGAAGGGACAGTAAGAAAGCCCTCCGCTCGGCACAGGATGGCAGGTGGAGCATCCCTCTCGCCATGAACTGCTTGATGTTGAGGTGGTAGGGGCTGAAGCAGACCACCACGGCCACCAGCATCAGCAGCGTAAGCAGGCAGCCTCGCCAGTGGCGTCCTTTCCTGCTGGTCACTGGGTCCTCCCGGGCTGTCCCGCCGGTGGCGTCCTTTCCCGCTGGTCACTGGGTCCTCTCGGGCTGTCCTGCCGGTGGTGTCCTTTCCCGCTGGTCACTGGGTCCTCCTGGGCTGCCCCGCCGGTGGCGTCCTTTCCTGTTGGTCACTGGGTCCTCCTGGGCTGCCCCGCCGGTGGTGTCCTTTCCCGCTGGTCACTGGGTTCTCCCAGCTGTGCTGCACAGCTTCCAGGTGATCTTCATATAGCAGGACAGGATGATCCCCACTGGCCCACAGAAGCCAATGGCAAAGGCCACCAGGACCATGAGGGGCAGCCCGAGGACTGACTCCATGCTGCTGTACTCCATGCAGGCCAGCTTGCCCACCAGCGGCTTGGTCATGGGCATCAAGAGCAAGGGCATCGTCTGCAGCAGCACCAAGGTCCAGATGGCCACGCAGACCAGCCTGGCGCGGCCAGCCGTGCGGAGGCGCGGGCCCCAGTGGGCACAGACCACAGCTGGGTAATGGTCCACGCTCACACAGGCCATGAGGTAGACCCCCCGTAGGTGTCGGTGTAGAGCACAAACGCCGTCAGCCTGCAGAGCCCCTTGCCGAAAGGCCAGCTGGAGCCCAGCACATAACACACCACCCTTCCCGGTAAGGCCACGGTGAACAGCAGGTCAGACACAGCCAGGTGCACCAGGTAGATGCCTGTGCAGTTGATCTTCCTGCTCTTTTGACAGGTAAGGCAAAGGGCAAGGATGTTTCCCAGGGCACTGAAGACCAGGAGGGCTGTGTAGAACAGAGAGCGTCATGCGGGCCACTGGGGCCAGGAGGTGAGGACGGCAAGAGCTGGCATTGCCAGGAAGACTACTCACGCCAGCAGTGCCGGAAGCCATCTCACGTGGCTGCCTGGGGAGGAAAAAAGAAAAAAAAAACACTGTATCTGTGGGGTTATGCCTCTGGAATTGTAATAATGAATAGTTTTGCTGAGGCAACATGCACAAGTATAATAAAACATGTCTTTTTCAGTAAGCTTTTTGTTGAAGTGCAACATACTGTTCTGGTTACTATGGCTGTGTAACAAATTACCCCAAAACGGCAACTGGAAACATAGTTTTATCATGTTTGTGGATTCTGTGGGTCAGGATATTGAAGAGGGCACAGTGGGAATGATTTTTCTCTGCTCCCTAATCTTGGAGGTCTCTGCTGAAAAGGATCAACAGCTGGGGGTTACTCTGGGGCACGGGTTGGGGCCTCCTGGAAGCGACTTTGCTCCCGTGTGTGGCTGTTGAAGCTGACTGCTGGCTGGAACCTCGGCTGGGGCTGTCCACGGGAGCATCTGCCTATGGCTTCTCCCAGCATGCCAGCCTCAGGGTAATCAGACTTCTGATACGACAGCTCGAGGCACTGAAAGAGAGTGTCCCAGCAAACAGGACAGAAGCTGCATGTGTTAACCACGTCTTTTATTTTCTGTATTCTGATGCTTTAACATTTGGGGACCTTGCTGACTGTGGAGGGACTGCCCCTTCCCGGGTTAGCCAATTCCTAGAGACAGTAAACAACTCACCCATGAACACGCTCTTCAGTTCTTCAAATGCAAACCTACCAATCCAGAGTCCTTAGCTTCCACGGGCTCCATTTACAGCTCTCACACACCAGGACACTATCCACCTGCCCTAAACACCCCAGGGCCAGGTACCACACAAATGGGGACAGTCCTCATGTCTCAGAGCTTGCTGAAATGATTCAAACCACCCAATCTTAAGCCTGTGTACCCTAAAACCACTCTTGCCCACATTTTCCCCTGCTCCCTTCACCTCCTGACCAACCCTATGTCTCCCCGGTGGCCCTGCGTGATGGGGCGTGCCCTCCTCTTGGGATCTGTGAGTAGCAAACTGTCCTTCAATGGCAGTTATCTGCTGACCTGTTGGCCTTCTTGAACCTCGGCTTTTCTTTTTCTTTTTTTGAGACAAAGTCTTGCTCTGTCGCCCAGGCTGGAGTGCAGTGGAGTGATCCTGGCTCACTGTAACCTCCACCTCCTCGGTTCAAGCAATTCTCATGCCTCAGCCTCCTAAGTAGTAGAGATGGGGTTTCACCATGACTCCTGACCTCAAGTGATTCGCCTGCCTCGGCCTCCCAAAGTCCTGGGATTATAGGCGTGAGCCACAGTACCGGACCCCAGATTTTCTATTAATACACTCTATTCTAAAACACTGCCTCACCTTTTCTAACCTAGTCCTGAAGTGTCATATCATCACTTCCAGTGCCTTCTATCACTTACAAGCAAGTCACAAGCTCATCTAGAATCAAGATAGTACAGGGGCATGGGGGGAGAATAGCCTCCACTTCTCCATGGGAGAAAAGTAGAAGAATTTGGAGCCTTTTTTTTTTTTTTTTTTTTTTTGCTTTTGAGATGGAGTTTCACTCTGTCACCCAGGCTGGAGTGCAGTGGTGAGATCTTGGCTCACTGCAGCCTCCACCTCCTCCTGGGTTCAAGTGATTCTCCTGCCTCAGCCTCCCGGGTAGCTGGGATTACAGGCACGCACCACCATTCCTGGCTAATTTTTGTATTTTTAGTGGAGACAGGGTTTCCCCATGTTGGTCATGCTGGTCTTGAACTCCTGACCTTAGGTGATCTGCCCACTTCAGCCTGCTAAATTGCTGGGATCACAGGCATGAGTCACCGCACCTGGCCTACAGCCATTTTTTAAACCATAACACATACATAGAAAAATGGGTGCAGATCATAAAAGCACAGCTTGTCGATTTTCACAAAGTGAACTCACCCATGTGATCGGCACCCAGATTAGGAAGCACAACCTCACAGCCTCCCAGAAACTCTCCTCTGCCCTCCCAACCTCCACCTTCACTCAAGCGTGGCCCCTCTCCTAACTTCTAAAATCACAACTCAGTTTTGCATGCTTTTGACCCTTAAATAAATGAAACCATGCTATACGATCTTATGTGTGTCGCTTCTTGGGTTCAATGTTAGTTTGTGAGCATCACCTGCATTGTTGGGTGTAGTTGTAGTTTGCTCATTCTCATTGCTGAATGGTATTCCATTGTATTTGCATTTGAAGAACTGAATAGCGTGTTCATGGGTGAGTTGTTTACTGTCTCTAGGAATTGGCTAACCCGGGAAGGGGCAGTCCCTCCACAGTCAGCAAGGTCCCCAAATGTTAAAGCATCAGAATACAGAAAATAAAAGACGTGGTTAACACATGCAGCTTCTGTCCTGTTTGCTGGGACACTCTTTTTCAGCGCCTCAAGCTGTCGTATCAGAAGTCTGATTACCCTGAGGCTGGCATGCTGGGAGAAGCCATAGGCAGATGCTCCCGTGGACAGCCCCAGCCGAGGTTCCAGCCAGCAGTCAGCTTCAACAGCCACACACGGGAGCAAAGTCACTTCCAGGAGGCCCCAACCCGTGCCTCAGAGTTACCCCCAGCTGTTGATCCTTCTCAGCGGAGACTTCCAAGGTCAGGGAGCAGAGAAAAATCATTCCCACTGTGCCCTCTTCAATATCCTGACCCACAGAATCCACAAACATGATAAAACTATGTTTCCAGTTGCCGTTTTGGGGTAATTTGTTACACAGCCACAGTAACTAGAACAGTATGTTGGACTTCAACAAAAAGCTTACTGACAAAGACATGTTTTACACAGCCATGGTAACTAGAAGAGCACAGAGCACCACCATTTATTTATCCGTTCTACTGTTGCTGCGTGGTGCAGTTGCTGCCAGTTGGGATAATTACACACAGTCCTGCTCTTTATGTACTTTATGTGTTTGGTGAAACTTGTCTACATGTTGCTGAGCATACAGCTGGGAGTGGAACTGCTGGGTCACAGGCTCTGCATGTTTCTACTTTTAGTAGGTCCTGGCAAACAGTTGGTCAAAGTAGCTGTTCTTAATCGTTCCAGCAGTGTGGGGGCACTCCCGTGGCTCCTCTTCCTCACCACCACTTGGTGTTGTCAGTCTTTTTCAGGTTAGCTGTTTTGGTGGGTTGTGGTTTTAACAGCAGTTCCCTGATCACTACTGATGCTGGTCACCTTTTCACATGTTTATTGGCCATGTGGTAATCTTTCTGTATGCCTGTACAAATTGTATGCCCCTTTTTCTATTGGGTTGTTTGTTGAAAACGTGTACATATTTTCCTATTTCAAATGCACTTTTCCCAGTCTGCTAAGTAACCTAGCCTTGCCTTCTTTTTACCCACCTCCATTTCTCTCAGCTGCATTCTGATCATCCTTTAAGCCTTAATTTCCAAACTGTGACAAAAAGAAGAGTGGGAGTGGGTCTATGCAGTGCTCTGTGCACAGCAGGTTGGGGTCACGTGATGGTCTACGTGGTGCACACATAGGCACCAAAGTGTACAGAGGGTGTACAGCTCGCCCAAGGACCACTGTAGCTCATGCAGCCAGCACTGAGATCCAGGTTCTGAATGGCTTACTTCTGCAGTCAGATGCTGACTTGAAGGGCACCAGGTCCATGATCCCCTAAACCTCCCTCGATTCAGGACATAGCTGTCCCCTCCTGAACAATTTGAGGCTGGCTGGTGGGGATCCTGCTGTAGATTGTGCCTCATGTCAACCCAGGTATAGACATCTCTGTCTCATCTCTGCAAATAGAGAAGGAGCTTCTATTCAAATGGAAAGGAAGGGAAGCAAGGCTGAAAGGCAGAGAGAGGAGCACCAGAAAGCCCTTTGAACCTCAGGATGGGTGGATGGATGGATGCATAGATGGATGAATAGATAGAGACAGAGATGCTAGATTAGATAGGCAGGTGGACAGATATGACAGATTACTTAGATATAGAGATGATAGGGATGCTAGAGATGCCAGGTGGCTGATAGATAGATGGATATAGAGATAATAGATGAATAGAGGGACAGAGGATGGATGGATAGATAGAGAGATAGATTGGATAGATAGATGATAAGTAGATAGATGATAGAGAGATATAGAGATGATAGATTACATAATGGATAGATGAATAGAGGGATAGAGGATGAATGAATCCATAGATTAGATAGATAGATAGATAGATAATGTCAGATGGATATAGAGGTGATAGATTAGATAATGGATAGACGAATAGAGAGATAGATGGGTGGGTGGATAGATAAAGATAGGTGAAGATAGAGATGATATATCGACAGAGGTAGAGCTAGTCATGCACTCTGAAAATTGAATTTATACATATTTTTAACTTTATCAAGAATTCCCCAAGTGCTGTGCCAGCTACTGGTTGCATTTGGAAGATGCAAAAGCATGGTCTCCTACTGCCTGCGGTAGAGTGTTAGGACCTGTTTGAGAAGAGAAGACGTGCAGGGGAAACATCGCTAAAGCAAAGCTGCGGCTAGAGCTGTTGAGGTTTTGCTTTCTTCTGAGTTTGGCCCTGATAAAATGGCAACACAGTAAGAAATATGT
The DNA here is from genome assembly GCF_000001405.40 of Homo sapiens. Classification (NCBI taxonomy): domain Eukaryota; kingdom Metazoa; phylum Chordata; class Mammalia; order Primates; family Hominidae; genus Homo; species Homo sapiens. The sequence continues at coordinate 99,413,582 of NC_000013.11, forward strand.
AAAAACCCACGCAATGATCCTTTTGCTACTTTGTTTTATATTGTTCTTTCTTTTACAGATTACACTCAAGCAAGAGTTTTTTTTCTAGCATTCTAACCCCTTAACTAAGTAAACAGACATGTCCTGGAGTTGGTGAGAGAAGCCACCTCTGCCCTGTCCCACCTTCAGTTCATGAGCTGCTCCCAGGGAAGGAGAGTGCAGAGAACAAACCGAAGGAATGGCAAGATCTCGGAGCACTTGGCCTAGCTCAAGAGTCAAGGACAGCCCCCAGGTGGCTCCTGCCTGCCCTGGGAAAGCAGCCAGGGGAAGCGATTTCCCAGGACCAAAGCAGCCCAGCTTACAGGGGAGGGGCCGGTGAGGGACGCTGGGCACAGGCCTGCCATCTCCTCTGTCTGGGCCAGCCCCAAACCCCAAACTGCACTGCCTACACACACACACACACACACACACACACACACACACACCATTCTTTTTGACCAAACTTTAGTAAGGCTTCCCTAAGCCTTCTTCTTTGGGCTTTCCCAACTTTGGGCGTCCATACGGAACCACCCAGCCTTGATCTCTGGTCACCTCTCTTATCTGGTCAAATTCCTCACCCCCGCCCTCGACATCAGATCACCCTGGCTTTCAGCAGGAATCGGCTTAGGTCATCTTAACAAGAACCCTCATGTTTCCTTTCAGTAATTTCCCATCCCCCAACTCTGCTCCTTGGGGATGAGCCCCATTTTCCTCGTCCTTTTGGGAATGGAGCCCCGCTCTGTCCTGAGGACTTTTCTCCAATTGCAAGAGTTCCTGAGCAAGATCTGCGTCCACCGCTCCAACTGCTGTCGGCTCCAGTTTTCTTTAATAACACCCACACCCACTCACACACGTGCACACACCCATTTACACACATACGTGCACATGCACACCCACTCACCCTACATACCCAAACACATGCACACTCACACACCCACTCTACACACATGCACAACCACACACACATGCACACACCCTACACACCCACTCACACACATGCATACACCCTACATACCCACTCACATGCACACACCCTACACACCCACTCACATGCACACATTCACCCTACACACCCACTCACACAATGCACTCACACACCCATTCACACGTGTGAAAACACACCCACAGATGTGCACACACACCCACTCACACATGCACACACTTCCCCACCCATACACATATGCACACATTCACACATGTGCACACATACCCATTCACACACTTGTACTCACCATGCAGACATGTGCACACACCTACTCACACTCCACTCACATGCTTGCACACCCACTCATATACTCACACGTGTATACTAACACACACCTGCACTTGCATACATAACATTTCCACTCGCTTACACTCACACACATGCTCATGCACACACACATCCACTCATTCACACATACCCACTCACACGTGCACACACACTACACACACCCATCCTCACAGGTGTGTGCACACACTATATATTCGCACACTCACACAGACACACACACTCCATACACACCCCACATATGCACACATGACACACACTTATTCACAAACATGCACACATATATACACACTATACACACACCCACTCACACCCATGCACATGCACTCCACCCACACACACCCATTCACACACACACTCATTCACTCACATACATGCACACTCACACCCACTTTACACACCAACACACATTCAAACGTGCACACACTTGCACACCCACTCACGCATATTCACTCACACACACTGACGCTTCTCACACACTTGCTCACACACTCAAACTCACTCTGTGGAGAAGTGACCCGGGAGCCCCAGGGGTGGGGCAGGCCAACCAGCCCGCACTGAAGTGACCGCTCTTTGGAAGAGCACACAGACTCCAAGGCCCTCTCGTGAGTTTCACCAGCTCCCAACCACGAGAGAAGGTTCCTCTTCCTCCTCCCCTTCTTTCCTGAACAACTTGCTGGCCGAGCAAGGTGGGAGGCTGTGGGGAAGGGGCCTGAGGCCTGAGCCGACCTAGGGTAGCTCAGGTGGTGCGAACCACAGGTCCCCTCACCTTCTAGAACCGACTTGACCAGGCACAGAGCCGCTATCTGGTGCCTTTGGAAAGTTGTGTGTTCATTTTTTAATTTGTTCAGGCCTCACAGGGCAAAGAGATGGGACTGGCTCCTGACGCACCCCCAACCCTTGGCAATGGGCCCCCCTTCCTGATTTTTCAGGGGCCTCTTCCCCAGGGCACATCTCCCCCAGCCTCAGCTCTGCCTGGCCCTCAGGAATTCCAGCCTCAGGGTTCACCGCGTGCTGTGGCTCCCTGCCTCAGCCGGGGTGCCTCGTGCCCCCTTTGCTGCCAGGACACCGCACTAGCCTCGAGGCCCAGCTAAGGGCTACCTCCTCTCTGAAGCCTCCCCGGCTCAGCAGCATTTGTGAGCCCCTCCACCCTTGGCGCTTGCTTGGTACTTGGTGGGGACTGAGCCTCCGCAGTGACTCACAGGCCTCTTTCACGCCTCTGCACGCTCAGCAAACCCTTAGCCCTTGAGGGGCTGGCCTCGTCTTCTTCCTTTTCTTGGTATTTGGCACAAAACAAGTGCCCAGGATGCTGGGCCCTGCTGGAAGCCACAAAAAAGTCACATCCATACCCCAAGGAGGGGGTGGCAGGTGCTGTCACCACTGCTGTGAGTCTGGGGAGGTCAGCAGGGTTGGACAGCCACATAGACCCAAAGCAGGAGCCATCGAGAGAGGCCAAGCCGCTAAGCCTCACACCTTAATCCTAGCTACCTGTCCTCCTGCTGGTCCATCCCATTCCTTTGCTCATTGATGTCGGTAGACATGAGGACGCAGGGCACTGACAGCTCCCGGACTGTGCTGCGCGGGCTGTGGCCCCACACCTGCCCAAAGGTGAGCTCCTCTGCACCCCGTGTTCTGCGTCTCCACCCCATGGGGTCTCTCCCCACAAGCACAAGCACCCCACCCTTCCCCCATCCCATCTGCTCTCAGGAAAGGACCTAACATCAGTCATTTGTGCCTTTATCTGAAGTTACCCTGTTACAAGGTCCTTTGCCTTCTGAGGCTCACAGTGCTGATTGCAGCGTGCCAGGCGTGCCTCCGCTCAGAGATGATCAATCAGTGCAGTCATGAAGGGGGAGAATTACCAAAAGCGCTTCCAGAAGTGTTCTAAAATTCTCCCCCGGGGGTGACACAGCAAAGGTAGCCTGGTCCTATCGGTGGCTGGAGGCTGACGCTGGCCTCTGCTCCTTCTGGCCTGACAGCAGTGGCCGGGATCCTGGAGCGTCCACGCAGGTTAGGGCGTGCTCTACACCCCGCGTAGGCTAGGGCGTGCTCTACACCGATGACGGGTGGAAGCAGAGTGAGCTGCAGCTCACCAGGCCATGGGGGCAGAGCAGCTGCAATCTGAGCCGTTTTCTTGGAGCCCAAGCACCTTTCCCATGCCCTGGGAAGACCCCCTGGCCCGCTTACCTCACCCACCAAGGACATGTGCAAGGAGGCCAGCAGAGGCCTGTGCAGCAGCCAGCCTGCTTCCTAGGTGGCTCCAAAGCCTCGAAGGGTGTCCCCTGCACGCTGTCCTCTGCAGAAACGGAATCTGTTCATGGCACAAAACTCGACACTCTTCCTCCCTTTACACCCCTGCTGGAAAAAAAAAAAGAGAGAGAGAGAGAGAAAAAACACCCAGGGTGCCAGTCAAGGTGATCTCCCCGCCACAGGATGCCTGCGCACAGCCCCCACCATCCCCTAGAGAAGAGAGGAGGAGGAAAGTCACCCCAGGAGGCCAATTTCCTTTCAGCTCCATTTCCCTGCACACCCCTCAGGCTGGGATTCAGACCATAGATGTGACAGTGAAGCCACCAGAGTCAGGAAATTCAAAAGCAGCCACCATTCTCCCCGCACTGGGGCAGCGAGCAAGGGAAAGCAAGAAACGCCCCCTGGGGACCCAGACACTCTCAGCTCCGTGTGTGAAGGTGGAGGGGAGACCGCCCTGGCTCTGGATTTCCTGGGTTTTGTGACCCAGGCAAGGTGCCTTAATGGGGCCTGAAAGGTGCATTTGCAGCCCAGGCAGGCAGCGCTCCAAGAGCAGCAGTTAGCGGGGGCTGGGCAGCGGGACTGCAGGTTAAACCCACCCCTCCCCAGCAGGGAAAGGCTGCGGGCTGAGGCCACCGGGCCACCGCTCTTTTTCTCCTCTCATTTCAAAGGGCAAGAATGGTTTTCCCTGCCACATCACTGGCTAATAAATGAGGCATCGAGCAGCTCCTTTGATTAAGACTATGCGGCCCTCACTACGTCATTGTCATCATTGACACGGTAAGTGTGCCTGTTCTTTCTGAGGCTGCCTGTGAACCCAGCGTGAAGCCCACCCCAGTCAGCAGCCAGCTGTCCAGCCTAGGGGAACAGCTGCCCCCAGTCCACTGTGTCCCGGCTTCCCCTAGTCTAGAATGTGGTCAACACACTCCCCTACCTGGCCTCCCATTGACAGAGGCTATGGGACCCAATTTTCCCCATATGTAAATCGGGCCTTCAAATATGCCCCCAAAACTCCAGGCCTGTTGGAGATAACTTAGATGAAAAGGTCCTATCTTATCATACACCTTTACCATAAACTTCCCCTCCTGCCACCCCCAGAAGGAAGAGCTGAGGCAGTTTCCAAAGGTGCCTGACTTGTCCACAGACCACAAGCCCCAGGAGAAACGTCCTGGGCGTCCTCACAACATTTAGGATTAAATGTTAAAAAAAAAAAAAAGAGACCTAGAAGGCCCCCACAAAAGGGCAAGAAATTATAGAATACCACCCACACGGGGTTTATTCCTGATTCACTCAATAAGCATTTACTGAGGCACAGCTGGGCGCAGCCACGGGCTCTAAGTTGACTGTGTACAAGTGATGGAGGGCTGCAACCCACACACAGGAGGGCCTGGGGTCTGCCCCGCCCCGTGCCAAGTTATCATCTCTGTTGCCCATCAGGGACCTTGTCTAAGCGGGAGCTGCAGCCCCCACAGGCCCAGCGAACCTGACAGAACCAGACCCTGCCCCAAGTTCTGTGGATCCCCCCACCACTCTTGCGGGTCCTTCCTTCTGTGTTTATCGCTGAGGCCACGCACTGAATGTCACATTGTCTTGGGTTATTGTCTAATTGTTTCCTGGGCAGAGACATTTCATTTCAGCCAGCTGAGTTCCATGGGGTAGAAACGGCAGCAGGCTCTTATATAAATCATCTGCTGGGGTGGAAGAGATTATCCAGCCCGTGGTGGGGGCCAGAATTCAGGGGGGCTGTGAGGCTGGATGGGAAAATGATGCCATCTTTGTTTCCATTAGGCCCCAGCTGAAATGTGATGTTTCAGTTGTGGACACGAGTGGCCAGCCACAGTGGCGGGAGAGTGCCTGAGACTTGGGTGCTGTTTGTTAGAAACCACAGCAAGTCTTTTCATCGCCCAGTGCAGGTGATCCAGGTACCTTAAGGCATTATTTATGCTCGTCACTACCTTGAAATTACAGTCACTATTAGACATGTCAGTAGTGAATAAAGAAGTGTGTAGGACATTATATTAAAAATCTGCTTTTCTTTGGCCAGGCGTGGTAGCTCATGCCTGTAATCCCAACACTTTGGGAGGCTGAGGCAGAAGGATTGCTTGAATCCAGGAGTTCGAAACTAGCCTGGGCAACATAGCGAGAGTTTGTCTACAAAAATTAAAAAATTAGACAGGTATGGTGGTGCATGCCTGTAGTCCCAGCTACTCTGGAGGCTGAGGTGGGAGGATCACTTGAGCTTGGGAGGTCAAGGCTGCAGTGAGCTGTGACTGTACCACTGCATTCCAGCCTGGGTGACAGGGAGAGACCCCCCATCTCAAAAAAAAAAGTACTTTTAAACATTTTGATCACTATATTTTAATATGAAAGGTTTCTTTTCATCTTAGGTGTTTTACTTTATACATTTAAAAACCAGGACTCTGGGAAGGGGTCCACAGGCTTCAGCCAAAAGGGTTGTGGCTCAAGAAAAGGTGAAGGACCCTCGATCTAGTCTAACCATTTTGCCTTCTAAGTGGGGACACTGAGGCATGGGATGTTTCCAAAGCCTCCCAGCTTATCCATCAGACTTGATTAGAGCCTCAGCTGCCTGAAACCCCCTCCGCTTCAGATGCAGTGGCCTTCCATCCCTGCACTCCACACCCTGAGCCCGACATGTGACTTCCTGACCCACTGACTACCCTGGTTCCTCCTCCAGGTGCTTCATCAGCCCCCTTCATCTTAGTCCATCTGTCCTCTTCCACCTGGCCCTGGACAAGGGTCAATAGAGCACAGTGGTTTCCTGTTCACTCAGGTCAGGAAACCAATGGCAAGAAAAGTGACAACGATGGCACCCATGATTGAGGACCTCCTCTGTGTCAGACACTCCTAGCTTTACTTATTTACACCTCACTTTATCCGCAAAGAGGCATCATTATCCCCATTTCACAGATGAATAAAATGAGGCTTAGAGGAGTTAAGTGATTTGTTCAAGGCCAACTGCATGGAGATACGGGTCCTCCAGGTGGGTTCAGTTACAAGGCAGTCGAAGCTGGGGCTGGAGTGGGGAGGTGGCCGAATATAGGCTCTCCCAGATCTGAAGGATGCAGAGACTTTGGGCCAGTGTTCCTGAGGACAGGTAGAGCAGGGGCTGCGGACAGTGCAACTGTGGCTGAGCCCACCTACCGGCTGCTACCCTTGAAGTGGCTTCACAAGGTACTGATTTCTGCCTCGCTCTGTGCCTGCCCCGGGAAAGCGGAGCTGGCACCGCTATCGCATCTCTGTGGTTTGCACGTCTGTGTTCCCAGAGCTGCTTCAGCCCCACACGTGGGCAGAGCAGCAGTGTGGTTGAGCTGTCCAGGTGCTGCCGTTTTTGCTTTTTCTTTCTTTTTTAATGATGAAGAGGAAAAGGAGTGTGGGGTGGGCACAGATGTACTTGTTCCTCTTTTTTTACATTTAATCATTGACAGGACTGCTGACGCTGGAGTAACACACTCACTCACCCATGTAGTGCTCACCAAGTGTCTACACTATGCTGACCTCCCAGAACCACCTAGGTCTTCGGCACTGACAGACCCTCCCTTCTAGCAAAGTAGACAGGTAGACAGGTGAGAGCTCTATGGGGTGACAGGCACGCCGCAGAGATAGCAACTTCAGGGTGCCAAGGAACACACAGGAGGAGGCTCTTCCTGGTCCCAGGTGGCCGAGGAGGTTTCCCAGAGGTCAAGCTTGAGGATGAGACAATCTGCCCAACCCCTCCAGCTGCTGACACAGAGGGAGGGAGAGCACAGGGAATGGTGTGCCGGACCGTTACTCTCCCACCCAGAGGTTTCTTGTCACTTTCTCTCATATTTCCTTGAACAACACAAGTCACGTGGCCACACCTAACTTCAAGAGGTGGAATCCTGGTGGGGCACAGTGGCTCACGCCTATAATCCCAGCACCTTGGGAGGCCGAGGCAGGTGGATCACCTGAGGTCAGGAGTTCGAGACCAGACTGGCCAACATGGTGAAACCCCGTCTCTACTAAAAATACAAAAATTAGTCGGGCTTGGTAGTGCATGCCTGTACTCCCAGCTACTCAGGAGGCTGAGGCAGGAGAATCGCTTGAACCTGGGAGGCGGAGGTTGCAGTGAGCTGAGATGGTGCCACTGCACTCCAGCCTGGGTGACAAAGCAAGACTCCATCTCAAAAAAAAAAAAAAAAAAAAAAAAGGTGGAATCCTGCCGTGTGCTGGGAGCAGCACAAGCAGTGTGGACCACACTACAAATGTGTCCTCTCCAGCCCCAAACTCATGTGGATTCGCCCATCCCCACAGAGCACCTACCCACGGCCATCCTGCCCGCCCCACCTTGCTCTTCCTCATGTGCCATGCCCGCCCCCGCCGTCACCCCAGTTTTCGGTCCTCATTCATCACCTCTGCTGCATTCTCGTGGCTGTGGCCTCAGCCCAGTCCTCACTGTCTCTCTCCAGGACAGCCACAGCTTCTTGCTTCCTGGTCTCCGATCTTAATTCTCCAATCCAGTTTATATTCTACATCCCACTGAGGATTGCAGAATGAGTTTGCTAAAGGCACAACTGATTGTGTTATTCGCTACCTAAAATCCTTTGAGGGTCTTTAGGACAGGATTCGATTTCCATGACCTGGGATATGCTGTTCTCTCTGTCCAGAATGCATTTTCCCTCCCCATGAACCCTCATCAACTCTGCTTAACTCCTTCTCACACAAGACTCAGCCCTCCTCCAGGCAGTCTTCCTTGGCTGCCCCACACCCTGCATCTCATTTTGGTGCTCCCCTTCTAGTCCCCAAATGTCTCTATATTAGTGTACACCATAAATGACTAGTGTCTGTCAGACTGGGAGCTGTTTAGGGAAGTGACAAAGTCTCAATCATCAACTCCTAGGGCCTCCACAGGGGTCAGCCTGGTGGGTGCGTGCTGAATGATTGCTGAATGCAGGGCCAGTGGTAGTTACTGTTCCAAACCTGCCCTCCACAGCCTGTCTTCCCACATCATCCAGAGACTTCTTCCCACAGGACACATCAAGCATCTGCTTAGCTCCCTGTGCTGGCCACTGGGGAGGGGGTGTGAAGGCACACCCATGGCCTGCAAGGAGCTTAAATGTTGAGGGGAAAGTTGAGAAACCCAAAAGTCACTGGGAACCACATGGCACTCAACGTGGGGACGACAGCTGGGGATGAGACACCACCCTTATGTCTTCCCTTGGCCTCATAGAGTCACCACATAGAGGAACCTGATAGAGGCTCCTGTCTAATCCGACCAGGTTGCAGATGAGGATGCTGAGACCCAGAGAGGTGGGCTGAGTCACTGCGGTCACTCAGGTAGCCACCAACGTCACTGCAACCCAGACCAGCCTCAGACCTCCACAGCAAATGCTCTTTAGGAAAAAGCAGACGTGGGCACCTTCCACTTCTATGCAACATGCTGTGACGTAAGACAACCCTCAAATATCTCAAACCAGCGGTGTTTTTCTCCCTGCACTCTTCCTTCAAGAGGAAGTTGCAATTTAATTGAATTATTTCTTCTTTCTCTCCTTTAGTCAAAAATTGTGATTTAAGCACCTTTTATGTTTAAGCCACCCTGCTGGCCACCAGGTGATAATCCAAGAGAAACAAAACCACCCTCACTTCAGAGCTTGGGGACAAGACACATGTCCCTTACATCAGCGAACCAAGATCGGGAGGGAAATGCCGAAGGAGTGGTTCAAGCAGTTGGCAAAAATTTTACAAGAAAATGCCCCAAGGAGCTATTTAGTCAGAAAAGCAACTTCTGGGGAGATCCCTGGATTCAACACAATCCCCTGTCCTGACCATCCCCGACCTGTGATCCTACTGTGCGGACAGCTTCAGAGCCTGAAAGGCGCAGAGTCGGTAACATTAAATGAGAGTCTCTTCACCCGGTCAGACTTCGTTAGGGCCAAGCTCTTCGAGCAAGATGGAGGTGCCGTCCTTCCCCAGTGCCTGACTCAGTTGCCAGCACCCAGTGTGTGCACTGGGTGAACGCAGACACTCTTCTTTCTACAGTTCCCATGGCAGGGGTCAGGGCCCATGGAGTATGATGGGGTTCAGGCCACGCTATCCCAAAACATGGCATCTTGGCATTTAAGAAAACAGGAGGAGCAAGAAGGTCACTCCTACCCCCACCATGCCCCTCCCCACCCCCGAAGCAGCTTATAGACCCTCGTTTGAAAGTTCCCCTCCACACACCCAGAAGAAAGGAACATCCTTACCTCTGAAGGCACCAGGGTCACAGGGAGGAGCCTGAACAAACAAGCCTTGCTAAGTCCCCCAGGGGTTCCCCATTCGATCACACCCTTGTCTTCCTCCAATCTTATTTCTCCAAAATCATCCACTCTTCATCTAACCTAAGCATGGAAAAGTCACAGGTCTCTCTGTTTCTTTAGGTTTCTTCAATTTCCTTTTTCATTTTTTCTTTCTGAGATGGAGTCTCACTCTGTTGCCCAGGCTGGAGTGCAGTGGCACAATCTCAGCTCACTGCAACCTCTGCCTCCTGGGCTCAAGCAATTCTCTTGCCTCAGCCTCCTGAGTAGCTGGGATGACAGGTGTGCACCACCATGACCAGCTAATTTTTGTATTTTTAGTAGAGACGGGTTTTCACCATGTTGGCCAGGCTGGTCTCGAACTCCTGACCTCAAGTCCTCCCACCTTGGCCTCCCAAAGCGCTTACAGGATCATAGGCGTGAGCCACCATGCCTGGTCCTGGAAGGAGGATCTTATGATCTGTTTTCTGGTGAAGTAGGTCAGAGGATTCCTTTATGGCCAGCTGTCACATAGAAGGGTGGGGGAAGGGTCTCATGATCATCTCGTTTCTTTGTTTTATCAGTTGCCAAGGTGCCATGTTTTGGGGTATCAGGCACTGAGCCCAACAGGTGGAACTCATCTACATTGGTAACAGTTGTAGTTCATTCACTCTCATTGTTATATACTATTCATTTGTTTGGCTGTACCAACACTTACACATTCATGCTCTTTTATTTTTTCTTTTTCTTTTTTCTTTCTTTCTTTCTTTTTTTTTTTTTGAGACAGGCTCACTCCGTCACCCAGGCTGGAGCACAGTGGCATGAACATGGCTCACTGCAGCCTTGACCTCGAAGGCTCAAGTGATTCTCTCACCTCAGCCCCTCAAGTAGCTGGGACCAGAGGTGCATGCCACTATGCCTGGAAAATTTTGTATTTTTTGGTAGAGACAGCGTTACGCCATGTTGGCCAGGCAGGTCTCAAACTTCTGAGCTCAGGCAATCTGCCAGCTTCAGCCTCCCAAAGTGTTGGGATTACAGTTATTCTCCTTTTGATAAACATGAGTTGTATTTCATGCGGGGCTATTACAAACAGTGCTGCTGTGAACATTTCTGTACACATCATTTGGTGAACTTACATACTCATTTTCTTTAGGATGTACCCAGATTGGGGAATGCTGGGCCACAGGGTATTTTGGTTTAGCTTCAGTTGAAACTATCCTTGGTTGATTTTTTAAAAAGAAAACATTTTAAAACTTGATTTTTTTAAAAACTGAAAATAAAATTTAAAATGATCAATGTTTTGTCAAAGCGGCACTTTTCCTCTGTGATTGAACAATTAGGTTTTTAAAAATAATTGGAGGAGAACTTAAATATGTGTAGTCTGGTATTTTTCAACCATTGGGTTAAAATCCACAATTAGTTGGTTTAAAAAAAAAAACTGTTTTGGGCCAGGCAAGGTGGCTCATGCCTGTAATCCCAGTACTTTGGGAGGCCAAAGCAGGAGGATCCCTTGAGCTCAGGAGTTTGAGACCAGCCTGGGCAACACAGTGAGACCCCATCTCTACAAATAATTTAAAAATTGGCTGAGTGTGGTGGTGCATGCCTGTAGTCCTAGCTACTCAGGAGGCTGAGGCTGGAAGATTGCTTGAGCCTGGGAGATGGAGGCTGCAGTGAGCCATGACTGCCACTGCACTCCAGCCTGGGTGACAGACAGAGCAGGACCCTGTCTCAAGAAAAAAAAATTGTTTTAATTGTGATAAAATATACATAAAATTTACTACTTTAATAATTTATTGTGGGTTTCGAGATCATTTTAGTGGGCCATGATCAGAACTTTTTAAAAATGAGATAGAAGAGAAAAGGAAACAGAACAGAAAAGAAAATACATCGTAATAAGGACAAATACTGTTTCATAAGACTTCTGTTTCCGTTGTGTGTGCTCTGTGTTTTAAAAGTTTGTAAAACACGGGTCTAGTCCAACTCTTTTAATTTACAGAGAGGGAAATATACTCAGAGACAGAAGTGATATCCCAAACAGAGCTTGAACTAGAACATGGCATCAGGCTTCCAATTCAGAGTCTGATATTTTCCAACTCCCATCTCACCATCTTTGCTGTTGATCTCTCCAAACTCACGTGCTAGATCAGGCTAGACCTTCATGGCCCCATATTTTCTTGGTGGAAAAGGGTCTCCTGTTCCCTGCCCCTTGAGTTAGTCCCAGACAGGCTGCAGAGAGGAGCCAGGACTCAGCCAGCACCTTCTGAACGCCACTGTGATAACCCAAGGATGCCCCATTTGACCTTGTCTACTCTGGGGTCAACCAGGAATAGTACAAACCTAGATCTTAACGGAAGAGAGGGGAAAGGACCTGTGGTTTGACATTTTTCAGAATTTTTCTCTTCTGTGTGTTTCAAGAGCACTTTTCTCGCGGAGCTCAAGAGAGGAAGCGCTATAAATAGAGGGCCTGGAGGAGGGGCGGCCGCGGGAGGAAGAAGTTCTCAGAACACCTGCTTGTCTCAAAATCAAGGCCCAGTGGGGTTTTTCAGGGGGCAGTTCCCAAGCAGGCCCCTACCCAATCCCCCGGCCAGAAACTTTTCCAGGCTCTTCTCCAGCTCATCGAAACCAGGGCTTAGCCCTCTGGCCTGGATCCCTACACCCCAAATGCAGCCACAACCCCAAGTCCACCCCAGAGCCCTGGGAGGGGTGACCTTGCCCCTCTGGATCTAAGGTCCCTGGTCACTCAGCTCAGAGTCACGAGCTGCTCCCAGCCCATAGTTGACCTAAATGAGGTCAGGGCAGACCCCAGTCCACACCTCAGCAACGCCTTCCCGTGTCTGAGGACAAGACCCACCAACGGCAGATTGGTCATCTCTGACCCGCAGGCGGGATGGGGAACGGGCTCTCTTGAGGCTGTCCCTGCAGCAGCTACTGTTTTTACTTGGAGTGTGTTTCTCTGGGGGCTGCCTTTGGTGGGAGAGGAAAAGGCCATGCAGATTGCTTGGGGAGGGGCCAGACTCCCCCCTCATTCCTCCACTCCCTTCTCCCCTGCCCTCTCCACACCCAGCCCTGCACCCCTCTCCTGCCACTGGGTGGCCTATGGCCTTTCTGCTGCCATGCTGCCCGCTCTCCTCTTCTCTCCTCACCTGGGGGCCCCTCTTGCCTTGCAAGTCTCCACCTCAGTATCCCCTTGGCCAAGAGCATTTCAAGGACCTCGCTGTAAATTACACCCCGGGTTACATGGCAGGCTCGTCCTTCAGACACCATATGTGTTCAACTCAGGCTTGGATGTGTGTCATCATGAGGTTAATCTGTCTCTCCCTCAGCGAGCTGCGAGCTCTGAAGGCGAGGCCAAGTTGGTTTTGCTCCCTGCTTCTACCACCTTCCAGCACAAGGTCCAGCAGGAGTCATGCCCAGCACATTCCTCCAGCCAGCAGGGAGGGGAAGGGAGGGGAAGGGAGGGGAGGATGCAGGAGAGATGAGGGGAAGGTGGGAGGGGAAGAGAGAAGGGAGGAGAGAAGAGAGGATGCAGGGGAGAGGGGAGACGGTGGAGGAGAGGATGGAAGAGAGGAGGGAGGAGAGGGTGGAAGGGACGAGGGAGGGGAGAATGAAGGGGAGGAGGGAGGAGAGAGGGGAGGGTGGAAGGGAGGAGAGGGGAGGGTGGAGGGGAGGAGGGAGGAGAGGGTGGAAGGGGGGAGTAGGGTGAAGGGAGGAGGGTGGAAGGGAGGACGGAGGGTAGGGTGGGAGGGAGGGCAGGGTGGGAGGGAGGAGAGAGGGCAGGATGGAGGAGAGGGTGAAAGGGAGGAGGGAGGGGAGGATAGAGAAGAGGAGGGAGAAGAGATGGAAGGGAGGATGGAGGGGAGGGTGGGGGGGAGGATAGAGAAGAGGAGGGAGAAGACAATGGAAGGGAGGACGGAGGGGAGGGTGAAGGGGGGAAGATAGAGAAGAGGAGGGAGAAGAGGATGGAAGGGAGGATGGAGGGGAGGATGAAAGGGAGGAGCGAGGGCAGGGAGTCAGTTTTCAGCAGGAATTGAACAGCTCTCTCCCTTCTGGTCACTCCATGAAAAATAGTTTGAGAGTTTTCCCCTGTGCTAGCCAATCATGGGGCTGTTTCAGCATGGAGCCCCACTTCCTCTCAGGGCACACTCTTTCTTCTTGGAAACCGCCAGGAAGCAGCCGGAGCCAGCAAGTGGTGTGCCTCAGCCTCCCTCTGGAGAACAAGCGTCACAGGTTTTGCATCTGCCATCCCTGGGCATTGCACAGCCCTGGGGAGGCCAGGAGCCCATAGGACTCATCCTTTTCAAGTGAAGGTGAAAAGAGTGAGTCCTATGTACCACAGGACTCACCTTTTCCAGTGTGATTCAATAATTTCTAGTTAATTCCGAGTTGTGCAGCATTACCACAATCCAGTTCTAGAACTTTCCAGTCACTGAAAAAGAGCCCTGTGTCCTTTTGCAGTTATTCTCGGTTCCACCCTAGCCCCAATCAACCTCTGATCCACTTTCTCTCTCTATGGATTTGCCTTTTCTGGACACCTCCTATTATGGACTCATACAATACGTGGTCTCTGGTGTCTGGCTTCTTTCGCTGAGCACGATGTTTTCACGGTTTACATTGGAGCATGCTCCTATGAGTAGTTTGTTTCTTTTTATTTTGCTGAATGGTATTCCCAGGACTTGGTTTTTTATCAATGGGGGGAAGATATTTTTAGTCATATAGAAGCCATTTCTTCCTACAAGGACACAACTAAAAGGAAGATTGGCTCGGGTGAGGCTTCCATGTCTAGGAAACCCAGAGATGCATCTCCTTATGGATATAGACCTCGGAAAGACGTCCCTACAGAAGCATGGCTGTCCTAGCCCGAATGCACTGGATGGCAAAACGGATCAGATCAGAAAGATCCCAGTGGGAGAGAATGATGAGCAGAAACCAGTTGGGTCAAATATTCTTTACAATTCTCCTATTTGGTTTCAAATATCAATTGCAAAAGTTGCAATCGACACACCGGATAGCACTCTGGGGGTTCAGGAGAGCGGTCCTTAGAGCATCGCCCAGAGAACTTTTAAGAATCCCAATGCCAGGGCCACTCTTGGAGCAAATAAATGAGAATCTCCATGTGCAGGCCAGGCATCAGTAGTGTTTAACCCTCCCAGGTGATTCCAATGTGCAGCCAACATCAAAGTCAAGGACGACCGTGCTAAATGGTTATTAGGCACCTAAAGTAACTGACTGGCTTGTGCCACGAGGCAGAATCCCATGCCTTCCTTTCCAGGGAGTGGAATATCTGGTCCTGCCCCAAGCGGTCTCACCAGACCTCCTCTTCTGGAAGCCCACCCGGGAGGTCACAGCTATGGTCCCTCACATCCTCCACACTAACACTGATCCCAAGGAGATGGGCTGGAGCAAACACCATGGTGCGGTGCCATCTGAAACCCTTAGCCACCCTGCTGGAGACAGAGACAAGGCCAGCTTGTCACAGCACTAAGAAGCCTGGGTCTTACTATTTTATTTAAAAAGAAAATAATTGACAAGTACTACATGAATACATTGTCATAGAAAATTTCTTTTTTTTTTGAGACGGAGTCTGGCTCTGTCGCCCAGGCTGGAGTGCAGTGGCGCAATCTCAGCTCACTGCAAGCTCCGCCTCCCAGGTTCACGCCATTCTCCTGCTTCAGCCTCCCGAGTAGCTGGGACCACAGGCGCCCGCCACCACGCCCGGCTAATTTGTTGTATTTTTAGTAGAGATGGGGTTTCACCGTATTAGCCAGGATGGGCTCGATCTCCTGACCTTGTGATCCACCCGCCTCGGCCTCCCAAAGTGCTAGGATTACAGGCATGAGCCACCGCACCCGGCCATTCTCATAGAAAATTTCTAAAGGAAATGGCCCCCAGAACTAACCACAATAATGGTTTGACATGTATCTTTCCAGGCATTTTTCTATGCAATTACCTCTATCCATAAATATATCAACATATAGTTTTTTTTATGCTTGAGGAATTATATTAGAACTTGCTTTTCAATATACCACCGAGATCATTCCATGTCAGAACTCACAGCAATGCTTCCTTTCTAAATAAAACACTGCAAATGTGATATAACATTATTCATTTAACCATTCTCCTGTTGATAAAAACTCGCATTGGCCTCAATGTTTTTGCCCTTGCAAATGTTATTTCTGAGCCTCTTTGTACGTATACCTTTGTGCACATGTCCACTTTTTAAAAACGGCAGATTCTTAGGAGTGGAGTGGCTGAGAATTCTGGACTCTCCACTCAGCTTTGTTCTTTTATTTGCCCGTTCTAATCACAAAAACTCTATATTCTGGTTTCATTCTTGGTTATAGTACGGATCTTGTTGCTGTTGTGAGTAGCTTCCTTTCCCGCTTCATTTTCTCATTAAAAATGAGTGATTTTCAGCCAGGGGTGGTGGCATGTGCCAGTAGTCCCAGCTACTTGGGAGGCTGAGCGGGGAGGATCGTTTGAGCTCAGGAGTTTGAAGCTGCAGCGAACCGTGATCGTGATCGCTCCACTGCACTTCAGCCTGGGCGACGGAGCAAGAGCCTGTCTCAAAACAAAAATGGTTTTTGAAAAATCATTGATGTTTGTATTGTGGTAAAATACATATAATGTAAAATTTACCATTTAAACATGATTACATAGCATTAAATACATTCACATTGTTGTGTAACCATCACCACCATCCATCTCCAGAACTTTATCTTCCTCCCAAACAGAAACTCTGTACCCACGAAACACTGACTCCCCATTTCCCCTCCCCCAGCCCCTGGCACCCCCCATTCTACTTTCTAAGAATTTGATGACTCTAGGGACCTCATACAAGAGGATTCATATAGTGTTTATCCTTTCATGATTGGCTTATTTCACTTGGCATAACATCCTCAAGGGTCATCCTGTTGTAGAATATGTCAGGATTTCCCTCTTTTTGAAGGCCGAATCATATTCTGATGTAAGCATATATCACGTTTTCTTTATCCATCCATCTGTTGATGAACACTTGGGTTGCGTCCACCTTTCAGCTAAGGTGAATAATGCTGCCGTGAACATGATTGTGTAAATCTCTCTTCAAGTCCCTGCTTTCAATTCTTTTAGATACATACCCAGAAGTGGAATTGCCAGGTCCTAAGGTGATTCTAGACTTAATTTTCTGAGGAGCCACCATAGTGTTTTCCATAGAGGCCGCACTGTTTTACATTCGCACGAACAGCGCACAGGGGTTCTGATTTCTGCCCCTCCTCACCAACACTTGTGATTTTGTTTTGACAATAGCCATCCTAACGGATGTGAGAGCCATTGATTTTTGTATGGCAATCTTGTATCCAACCATGTCACCAAGCTCTCAGATTAGGTTTTCATTTGATGTCTTGGATTTTCTAGGCATATTGTCACATCATCTGGAATGGTGACAATTTTGGTTTTGTTCACTTTAGTATTCGTGCCCGTTTTTCTGACTTTACTACATTGACAATGACCCACATTACAAGGTTGGAGAGAAGCAGTGATGGCAGGCACCCCTGTTCTCTTAGATTTCGCTGTTATATGTCTTAATCTCTGAGAGTCTCTGTAGCCACCCTTACCAAGTTAGGAATGAGGTGTTCTGAGCCTGGATTGCTAGGAGTTTCATCAACAATATTCACATTCGCCAAATGCTTTTTGGGGTGTCTATTGAGATGCCTGTACGACTCAGTGCAGTGAATTACATTATCAATTCCCTAATGATTCCTCCTGCTTGCGTTTGTCAGAAAAACCTGTTTGTCATAAACTACTCGTGTCCCACCCAGCGTCCCGATGAGATAAGGACTCCACAGGGACTCTGGGCTGCCCTAGGTTGCCCCAAATGAACAGGTGTCCAGTGATTGCAGAAAAAGAGGAGATGGTGATAGATATGGATCATGTCTTTGCCCCCAAAGAGGGCACATCCGTGGGAAAAAAGTCCCAAAGGAGCAAGATTCTTCAAAGAACCGTTGACCCTGTTGTAACAAGATGGAGAAAATTGTATTCATCAAAACTAACCTTGAGGAGAGGTCTGGATGCATTCAGGAGAAGTCCGTTGATTAATAGCTTGAAATGATTGAGCTGACTACCCAAGGAGACCCTCGTGTTGGGCTGAGAACCTGAAGGCTGGGCTGAGCGAGCCAGGACAGGAGCTTGGACAGAGCCTCCTTGTCTGTGGAGTGATGGGAGAGGAAGCAAAGAAGGAAGGCACAAAGCCAGAAAGCACAGCAGTAGTTGGGAAAAAGGAGAAAAAGAAAAGATGCGGCCGGGCGCGGTGGCTCACGCCTGTAATCCCAGCACTTTGGGAGGCCGAGGCGGGCGGATCACAAGGTCAGGAGATCGAGACCATCCTGGCTAACACGGTGAAACCCTGTCTCTACTAAAAATACAAAAAATTAGCCGGGCGTAGTGGCGGGCGCCTGTAGTCCCAGCTACTCAGGAGGCGGAGGCAGGAGAATGGTGTGAACCTGGGAGGCGGAGCTTGCAGTGAGCTGAGATCGCACCACTGCACTCCAGCCTGGGCGACAGAGCGAGACTCCGTCTCAAAAAAAAAAAAAAAAAAAAGAAAGAAAAGAAAAGATGCAAACCCTGGCATTGAGGCCCCCCCAAAGCCACCAAGGAGGGCCCCTGGGAGAGCGCGAACTCTGCTCCGGCTGCGGGTGGTTGCTGTGGTCTGTGCCTGTCACTCCCTGCTTGCTGAGGCTTTCGTGCCTCGGGTCCACTGGGGAGCAGGAGAAAGTGCCCAGTTCTGTCTGTAGAGAGGACGTCACTCAGGGAGAGGGGCAGGAGCTGAGGGCACGTGACTTACACCAAGGCTAAGGTGCAACGCGAAGGCCCTGACACCTGAGCCCCTGGGAGTTGAAAGGTGACAGGCTAACTTGGGGGATGAGCGGTAGAGTCCGGAGGTTCTAAATGGAGCACAAGTGGACCCTCGAGCGACCTGAGAATACAACCCAGAGGGCTCATGAACTGACATGGGAAAACAATGACATCTGTTTTCACTCACCTCTGGTTGAAACTGAGCAGTTCCTTGTATTATGAACATAGGTGGCAACCACTTAGTGTTAGCCAGCAGAAATAACGGGAAGTTTCATTCCACACTTTCGTTGTTGCCAGTATCTCAAAATGTTATTCAGGCTCATTGCTATTTCAAAATCCCATGGTCAGAGACCCATCCTCCCGGGTATCAGAAAGCATGGGAGCCCTGACCCTGACGGCCACCAGGCTGCAGGCAGAGGGGCATGGCCCACTTGGACCTGAGGGTGTGTCATTCAATCCAGCAAACATTCATTGAGCACATTCTCTGTGCTGGCCACCAGGTCCAAAGATGAACAAGGCCGAGACCCCGCCAGGAGGAACTCAGGGAATGCGACAGGCACAGATGAGCAAGACAATAGTGACAACGCAGCATGATTCATGCTGAGAGTGCCGGGGAGGGCGGGAGGCCAGGCAGGGTTTCTCACGGGAAGTCACATTTGAACTGGCTTTCTCACACTTGTGAAAGTGCGCCCAAGGACGCAGGACTTTCCTGAACCAGAAAAATCCCTGCTCGCGAGTGTGCACATCTCCGCTTAGAGTGCAGAGGAGCAAACAGCAGAAACTTCCCCCGGCTGTGGAGCCGAAACAGGAAACCACCCAGGAGCCCTGTGCAGAAGCGGCCGGGGATTCCCAGTTCCCCAGGACCCAGTGGGCGTTTTCACAGGAAGCCTCTCTGGGTGAAGCCCCTGCTGTACCCGTCCCGCTAGGGATGGAGGCTCCATGAGGTCACAGGTTGTTTTCTGTTTCGTTGGCTAATGAATCTCAAGCATCTATGCCTGGCACGGATTTGCTTTCTACAAATATGTGTTAAATGAATGAAGAAACACAACTGGATCCTTCCAAAATTGACAGGGGCCCAGCACAGTGTCTCATACCTGTAATCCCAGGACTTTGGGAGGCCGAGGCAGGAGGACTGCTTGAGGCCAGGAGTTTGAGACCAGCCTGGACATTGTATTGAGACCCTGTCTTGACAAAGAAATTGTTTTTAATTAGCTGGGCATGGTGATGCACATCTGTAGTCCCAGCTACTCTGGAGGCTGAAGTAGGAGGATCACCTGAGCCCAGAAGCGCAAGGCTGTAGTGAGCAGTGATTGCACCACTGCACTCTAGCCTGGGCAATAGAGTGAGACCCTGTCTAATTTTTTAAAAAATGCTGGGGGCAGCTGGATAAGGCAGGCCGTGGCTCTGTCTCTGTGTGTGGCACTTGTATCTCCAAATCGCCATGGTGCCCTGCATGTAGGTGACCTAGGAAGACACCTCCTCCAGGTCCAGCAGATGTGGAACTGTTTCATGCCATTGAGCAGGTGGAGTGCTGTTGAGGTATGGCTTACTCTGCCCTCTCCCGGGACCACAGGGTGCGCTCTCGCGGGGGTCTGGAGAATCCTAGCAGGTGTCTGAGCTGCCTGGATTAGGGATCTCTTTCCTCAGAGTGTGATCTGAGCTGGAAGGATGGGTTCCAGGCTAGTGGGGGAGGGCTGGGACTATCTTCTCTGGGAGCCTCCATCTTTGGCTCACAGTGGGTGGGCACAGGCACCTCACAAGGCCTGACAGAGGCCAGTCCCCGATCAGTGTAGGGAGAGCAGAGCATTGGAAACCATTGACCAACTTCACCTCCATCACTTCCAGCGAAGTCAGGGGCATACTGCACCCCCACATATTTGTAGGTTGAAGTCCTAACCTCCAGTACCTCAGAATGGGACTGTATTTGGAGACAGGATCTTTAAAGAGGTGATTATGATTAAAAAAGGTCCCATGACTCGTGTCCCTACAAGAAGAGGTGATTAGAACACAGACGCACACAGAGGGAAGACCACGTGAAGCCCCTGGTGGAAGACACTGTGGAGAGGCTCAGGGGAAAGCAGCCCTGCCCGCACCTTGAACCAGGTCCTCCCAGCTTCCAGACGGCGAGGAAATACATTTCTGTCGTCAGAGGCCCCAAGTCTGCTACGGTGGCCTGAGTCTGTTACTGCAGCCCTGAGTCTGTTACAGCGGCCCCGGAGACCCGGCCGAGTCTTCTCACTCAATGAACTTCTTCAATGGGCTCCTCAAGGTGACACCCACATTGTCACCACAAAGAAGAAATAAACAGAGCTGCCCTCCAGAGTCATAGGTCAGAAAGGCCTCGTGACTCAGGAGTGGGTTATCTGGGTGACCTTACTGCTCACTCAGTAAGAAAAACAGCCTTTCAGGCCTGCACTTCCCAGCAGCATAGCCTGCTCCTTCCTGGCTGATGTCAGAGGGCCCGAGTTCCGATAAGCCGCTGTTTGCTAACGTAGGTCTACACAGGTATAACCGCGGGCCCTGAGTCAGGTGAAAGGCCTGATGTCTGCGGGAAGCTTAGTGGGTTTTTATGTGAAAAAAGAAAAGTCTTACGCCATTGGCTGTCTTTCAGCAGGGCTGTTAGAAACGCACCTGGCTCAACAGCACCAAGAGGATGATGAAAGTAAGTCCAGTCTGGGAGTTCCGTGAGGGATTGGCAGCCAGTCTTCACATTTTAAATACATTTTACTTATTAACTGGAAATGCCTTGGGGAACTCTGGCAAGCATGCAGGGACCCCATTCTCTCCACCCCTCTCAGCTCACTGTTTCTTCATTGCTGGGCCTGTCTCTGCCTCCAGCTGGGCTCCACTTTTTTTATTTTTATTTTTATTTTTATTTTGAGACAGGGTCTCAATCTGTTGCCCAGGCTGGAGTGCAGTGGCAGGACCATGGTTCACTGCAGCCTCAACCTCCTGGGCTCAAGCCCAGCTCAGTCACTGGGACAACAGGTGCGCGCCACCATGTGGGCTCCAGTTTAACACGTCCAAACCTCCCTGTACCTTTGGGAAAGTCCAGGCAATTTCTTGGTTTCCCAAATAAGAGTCACTGACGGCCAAAACTCCTTTATCCTTCCCATTGGGGCATTTCCCCTACCATGGTCCACACTGCCTGCCTGACATTGTTAATGAATCCTTCGTGGGCCTAAGCCTGGCAGAGCAGGGCAGGTAGGGATTCCGGAGGTGCAGGTTTTGCTCTTACCTGGCAGAGTAGCTTCCCATTCTGGGCTTCAGTTTGCTCCTCTGCAGGATGAGGATCATAATAACAGCTCCTCAGAGGTCCTTTGTGAATATTAAGGGAGTCACATGTGTATAAACTGTGTCTGGGGTACAATAAATGCTAAAGGTCCCTTCCCTTCCATCCCTTTCCTCCCCCTTGATGGCAGGACTGTGGCTCCGCCTCCTGTCTCCCCTCCTCACCAAGCGCAGTGCTATGCACACACTGAGATCTGAATACAAACGTGCTGATGAATGGATTCCCTGACCTCAGCATGCACCCCATCGTGTATCACTCACCTGTATCTGCCTCAGCTGGGACTGGCTTTGATGAATGTGAATCTTTAAACTATAATAATTCATGCTCTTGTAGAAAGCATGGCACATGTTTGCAAACACAAAGAAGAAAATAAATATAGTCAAGACCACAGAGTCTGTGTTCCTCAACTGCCTTGAGCTCTCCATGATAATTGTCCCAGAGCATTTTAGAGTAACCGCTTGGCTTCTCAAGGCTCCAAGAAAAAGAATTTCTTTATAGCAGAGCTACATTTAATAGCTTTTTATCTTACAACAGATGAAGTACCTGTATATACCAGGTCCTGTCTCACACTTCTGCCCTGTGAACAATAAAAATCTCCTCCTGCACCAGAAACACTATTGTGAAAGCTGCCTGGATACTTCGGCCTCTCAGCTGACAATGAGTACCTTTTAACCCAGGTTGATAATTCAGAGAAAAGAATTTCTCAAGGCTGGGTGCGGTGACTCACACCTGTAATCCCACACTTTGGGAGGCTGAGGCAGGAGGATCACTGGAGCCCAGGAATTCAAGACCAGTCTGGGCTACAAAACTAGACCTTGTCTCTACTAAATAAATAAATTAGCCAGGCTTAGTGGCATGTGACTGTAGTCCCTGCTACTCAGGAGGCTGCGGTGGAAAGATTGCTTGGGCCCAGGAGGTTGAGGCTGCAGTGAGCTGTGATCACGCCACTGCACTCCAGCCTGGGCGACAGAATGAGACTGTCTCAATAAATAAATAAGTAAATAAAGTATTTTGGTCCTGAGAATATCTGCTTCTCTGTGCAATTTTTCTTCATCGTGTTTATGCTGTGCACTCCACTCTGAAATATACTAAATACCTAGAATATATTATATGGGCATATGTACATATGATGTGTGTCTGTATATATGCATGTATGTACCCACAGGTGCTTGCATGCACACATGTGTGCACACACACACAGACACACACAAACATGCACACTCACACACAGACACACACAAACACACACAGAGCCACGCACAGACACACAAACACACAGACACACAGTCACACGCACACACATAGATACACACATAGACACACACACACACACACACAGACCCACAGACACACGCACACACACACAGAGCTTCACTCAGAGCCCAGCAGATATGCAATAAATTACAGCTATTTTTATTATTGATGCTTCCGATGACAGTCTGGACTTTAGAACCCTGTTCCTGGGGCTCCAGGAAGGCGGACCCCAAGACGCCTAGGAGCGCCGCCTGCTGCGGACGCAAAACCTGCGCCCCCCAGCGGACGCTCTGGGTTCTTGCTCATAAAATAAATCAAACTCGTGCCTGCGCCTCCTTGTGGTGGGAAGGGAGCATGACGCGGTGACTGGCCCGGGCGCTGACAGTTTCCTTGCTGTGATGTCAGCCCCCGCCGCAGATGTGGTTACCCCCACGCTTTCTGCTGGCTGACTGGTATTCATGAGCATAATATAACATTAGCTATATAGCGGGCGCTGTGCTAAGGAAGCCCTTTCCAAACCCCATCTCATGAAATATTTATGACAACGCTATTGTGTAACTATTGTTAGCATTG
The DNA here is from genome assembly GCF_000001405.40 of Homo sapiens. NCBI lineage: Eukaryota > Metazoa > Chordata > Mammalia > Primates > Hominidae > Homo > Homo sapiens. The sequence goes on from NC_000013.11 coordinate 99,437,319, forward strand.
CCATGTAAAGAGCAGAGAGCCACAGCTCAGAGAGGTTGAGTTGCCGGTCCAGAGTCACGCAGCACAGAGGAAATGGGTATAGGACTTAACCCCAGGCCAGGCCCACTCTCTGAGCCACTTACCCTCTGCACGAGTACCACCAGGTATGGTTAGAGTGGCCTGTCTTAAACGCAAGATCCATGCAGGCCCCTTTGAAAGAAAATACTTTCTTGTGAATTAAAAAAAATAAAAATAAAAAAATAAAAGGAGACTTCAGTTTGAGAAACTGCATTAAAAATAAAACCCTGCAAGGGCAGGAGATCGGCAGGCACATCCCACCATCAACACAACACGGGCCTGACCCTGCAAGCATCGTGCTTCCCTAGAACGCACCATCCAGTTGGTCCAAAAAAAGACCTACTCATTTTTTAAGATTATCATGGACTTGAAAACATCACCAAATTTAATTCCCGAAGGACATGTGACAAGGCACCACCTTCCTCCCTCCACTCTGCCAAGCATTTTTAATGGGCCTTGGTGTAATAAACCCTAGTCTAGAATATGGGAAAAGAATAAAGTCATAGGTGTCACTTTGTCCAGTTAATAGTGATCATAATCACACTTCTGGTTGGCTAGTCCTTTAATCTTCCATTTATAAAAATTCCCTTAATATCCACATGCAGAAGAATGAAATGCCTCTTATCTCACACCATATACAAAAATCAACTCAAAATGGATTAAAGACTGAAACATAAGACCTGGAAGCTGTAAAAGTACTAGAAGAAAATATAGGGGGAAATCTTTATGATGTTAGTCTGGGCAATGATTTCTTGGATATAACCCCAAAAGCACAGGAAACAACAGTGGAAATAGATAAACAAAACTGCATCCAATTAAAAGGCTTCTGTGGAGGAAAGGAAACAACAGAGAGAAGAGATAGCCTACAGAATAGGAAAAAATATTGTAAACCCATGCATCTGATAAGGGGTTAACATCCAAAATATATTCGGAACCCAAACAACTCAATAGTAAGAAAAGAAATAATATGATTTGAAAAATGGGCCAAGGACCTGAATAAACATTTATCAAAAGAAAGCATACAAATGGCCAACAGGTCTATGAAAAATTGTTCAACATCACTAATCATTAGAGCAATGCAAATTAAAGCCACAGGGAGCACCACCTCACACCTGTTAGAAAGGCTATTACCAAAGAGATGAAAGATGTGTTGGTGAGGATGTGGACAAAAAGGGAACCCTTGCACACTCTTGGTGGAAACGTAAATTTGTACAGCCATAATGGAAAGCAGTATGGAGGTTCCCAAAAAATGAAAAATAGAATGGATATGATCTGGCAATCTCACTACTAGGTATATATCCAAGGACAACAAAATCAGTATCTTGAAAAGATACCTGCATTCCCATATTTATTGCAGATACTTGTTGCCCTCTTCCAAGGGCTCTAGGGGAGGATCCTTCCTGACCTCCTCCAGCTAAGCTTGTGGCCACGTGGGCTTGTCACTCTGACCTCTACCTCATCTTCACATCACCTTCTCCTCTGTGTGTCCTCACATCTTCCTCTGCCTCTCTCTTAAAACAACTCTTGTGATGACATCCAGGGCTTATCTGGCAATAAGACGGGACGCTCTCCTCATCCAAAGGTCCTTAGTCACATCTGCAAAGACCTTTTCCCGAAATAAGGCCACATTTACAGGATCCATGGACTATGATGTGGACTTACCTTTGGGGAGCCATTTTTCAGCCTACCACGTGTGGGACGCAACAGACAAGCTGCGCTCGCTTGAGCTGAGACTTGTTGGAGCTGTTCACCCTCCCCAGGGCTGGAATCAGAGGTGAGGCTGACAGCACGAGGACAAGAGGCTTTTGACAGGACAAAGTGGGACAGAACTGTGCACCTTTGGCCAAAACAGCAGAACTGGCATGATAACCATGCAAGCAAGTCTCTGCAATGTGAAGGACTGCGCAAATGTTCCTACTCAAGTGCACCTACTCAAGTGTGGCACTGGCTTGATTCATTTCTGCAGGAGAGAGCCAGTTACCACTTACCAGTTCTGTCCAGGGAGGCATAATTAAGATAACCTGGGATTGACAGCTGCTACAGCTTCTTCTACACGGGTTTGCTTTTCACTCACCTTTGACGTTACTGGAATAATTGCAGCAGGTGCCTGCCTGGTCGTCAAATCTTGTCCCCAAAGGGCAAATCTGCCCGTGCTCCATCGTATCGGGGACATCAGTGGCTCCCAGTGCCCACCGTCCTTCTACAGTGCTACAGGGTAGCGCTTCTTTACACTGGCAACCCCTTAGTTTCTTAGTCCCCTGCTTATGGGAAGTGGGGATTTGAAGACACGAGGGGCAGAAAGACAGACTTTCATAGCATCGTAACACACTGCTGTTGAAAGTCAGTGAATATTAGACAGAGGAGGGTTTATGGTGCGAGATTCTCCACTCTGGGACACCGGAAGCTCTGAAGACTTCGGACCAGAGCAGCCCTTCCGTGATGGTGCTGGATCGACCCCTGTTCTGTGCTGGCTACGTAACCACTGGCTGAATGGATAAATGTATCAAAGACAAGCTAGTAACAGCATTCGTAATTCAAAAGTACTACCAAATTGTGATCAGCTTACTGCATATGGTTATGCATTGATGTCGTCCAAAATTCGGAAGGTGCAGAAGGATGCACGCCCCTCCCCCAGGTCTTGGTAGTGGCAACCAGTGTCACCAGCATCACGTGTATCCTCGCAGGATATCTTCTGCATCTATGAGCAAAAACGTGCACGCACCGCTGCTTTTTTCATTCTTGATAGCTTAGAAATCATTCCGTAGGAGGGAGGGGCATTCAGGATGCTACCCCAAAACATGTACCTTGGCATAGTGAATATTTTAAGCTGAAGGAATTTGAGAACTGGTAAGTAGAGAAAGGGTTCCCTGACTTTCCCCTGAAGCAGGTCAGGAGACCCTCATGTGAGAGGGAGACAGGGGGACCCCAGGAACAATCTGAATGCACAGACCTTGCTAACTTTCCCCCAGTTTACTACTCTTAGCTCATACCTTTTCTGTCCTACCACATTTTTCTATGACTCAGCATTCTATCAAATCAAGGCTAGAAACACTCAGGTTTAAGCATTTCTTCAGGTCCCTATTTCCTTATGAAGGCTCCCATGTCAGGTAACATTTAAATAAATTTGTATTCTTTTCTCTTGTTCATCTGTCTTTTGTTACAAGGGCCCCAGCTGAGAACCTAGAAGGGTAGAAGGAACATATTTTTCCCCCACCTACAGTAGTGTTTTAAAGGAATTCCTTTATTCTTTTTTTCTTTTACAGTTGCCTATTGTTTCACTGTATAGCTGTGCTATGTGGACATTTTGTTTCCAGCCTTTTGCAAGCCAAAGAGCAATTAATTACCTTTTCAAAATAATATTCATTCATGCAAGGGTATCTGCAACAAAAAGAAGTGGATTTTCAAAAGGTTTCAAAAGGTATGTGTATTTGCAATTTTGATAAATATTGCCAGAATGACTGCCAAAGAGGTTATACCAATTTACACCCTCCCCCTGCAAGAAATAAGAGTTGCCAACAGAGTATATTATCAAATGTTTTAATCTTTGCCAATCTAATAGATAAAAATGACATGAGTATAATTTTAATTTGTACTTTTCTTATGAGTAAGATTGCACATCTCTTTATATGTTTAAGACCCTTTTGTACCTTGTATCTGTGAGTAGGTAGGTCATTTCCTTTGACCATTTTGTTGTTGTTCTTTTTTTCTTATTGGTTTGTATCTAGAGCTCCTTATCTACTAGGGAAATTAAGCCTTTGCTGGAATATTTGTAGAATGAAGTAGAAATTACACAATGTTTAAGCATTTAAAATGTTTCTTCTCTCATTTTGTGTATAGTTAATTGTAATAGCATAATTGATTATGCAAGGTCGTTTTCTTATTTATTTCTGGAGATTAGATCAATCCATTGATTTTAAATGTGGTACACTTTCCCAAGTTTCATTTTTGCATGAGTTAAATCTTTTTGTGGTGCTTAACTTGCGTTCTCTGAGATTTTATTAATATTTTGGCTCATGCTGTTTCCACCACCTGACATATGTCCTGATGGGACCCATCCTCCCAGCATCCTAAACCCAAACCAAGCCCCCCGGCCTTCCTAAAACGTGCCCCACTGCTCCCATCCACACAGTCTCTCCCTTCTCTGGGCCTCTGGAGGGATGAAACACTGAAATTCATGCCACAAAGTCTCACACTGCTGGGTAGTGTTCTTGGTTGTTTTGCATGTATAAATCTCATCCTACTTTGACAGAAAACTTCTACCAAGAAAGGAAGCGCATCTTTCATGTCTTCACATTCCTTGAGATTCTCCTGGGGACAGAGTATGAACATGAGAAATACTTATTAACTTAAAATAACTTCTAGAGGATCTTAATCTATGCTCCAGGGATACAATTCAGGGTGTCCTGAATTATATTATTATATTACATTTTTGTGATATTAATTTATATGCTATTACTGCTGGTGTCCTCATAAGAAGAGAGAGACACAGAGTGAAGACGGCCATAGAAAGACGGAGGCAGAGATTGGAGGGTTGCCGCCACAAGCCAAGGAATGCCTGGGGCCGCCGCAAGCTGGAAGAGGCAAGAAAGCCTCCTCTTCTGCAGGCTGCAGAGGAAGCATGGTCCTGCTGACATGTTGTACTTAGACTTCCAGCCTCCAGAACGGTCAGACCATACACTTCTATTATGTTAAGCCACCTAGTTTGTGGAACTTTTTAGGCAACCCTAGGGAACCCACAGACACACTGAGTATAAGTTTATCACCAATAGAAATCACGGATGTTTTCATGCAAGATTATGGTTGCTGCAGATATCTGCAAATGTTGTTTAAGCTCATCACTACTTTGAAATTATAGTGGTTATTAGACCCAAAGCGAAATATTTTAACTTAATTGGGTAATAAATAACTTATAAATTTGTTTTTAAATATTTTGATATTTTCATAACTTTATTCAATATAATGATTTTCCTTATGATTCTCTTTATCTTATGCATTTTAAAGCATAATTCCGGGAGGAGGTCTGCAGGCTTCACCAGAATGCCAAAGGGGTTCCATTAAGTTCGGCCTGAGATGCAGTACTCCAACATATCCAGAAGAGGGCACTAGAGCACCTAGGCAAAGTTTCCCAGAAATTAACACTGATCATTTTACTGTATTTCCCTATATTGCAGATACAGAAATGTGCTTTAAATTCATATTGTCTTTAGAATATTATGTGATCAGAATATGGAAATACTTTCAGGCCTGCCTTCCTATTTGTTTGTTAACTTAAATTTTCCATACCATTTTTTCCTTATTTTTTTTTTATCGAGGTAAAATATACATACATAATTTACCGTCTTTACCACTTTTAAGTGTGCAATTCAGTGGTAATAAATACATTTATATCTTTTTTCATACCATTAAAAAATGCTGACATGAACAGTTGGTGTTGAAGTTATTTTTAAACTGTAGCCCATAGCTGGAACTACTTTGTAATTCCCACGTCTTAATGAAAATACGAAACGAGCATAAAATGGAAATTAAAATAAAGAATAGACCGGTCGCGGTGGCTCACGCTTGTAATCCCAGCACTTTGGGAGGCCAAGGCGGATGGATCATTTGAGGTCAGGAGTCGGAGACCAGCCTGGCCAATATGGTGAAACCCCGTCTCTACTAAAAATACAAAAATTAGTCGGTCATGCTGGCGGGCGCCTGTAATCCCAGCTACTTGGGAGGCTGAGACGGGAGAATCGCTTGAACCTGGGAGGCAGAGGTTGCAGTGAGCCAAGATGGCGCCATTGCACTCCAGTCTGGGCGACAAGAGTGAAACTCTGTCTCAAAAAATAAATAAATAAATAAAATAATAATAATAATAAAAGAATAGCCTGAGCATGTTACAGATGTACACAAAATACGCACTAGTGTGCATCCATAGTGATGATGGCAGTGTGGGTGCCCTGCAGGAGAGAAGGACCTTCTAGGTTCCTGTCGAGCCCAAATAGAACATTCTCCAGAGACGCCCTTAGTGTATGCAATGTACTGCAGCCCTTTTTTTCTTTTAAAACAAAAAAAAACAAAACAAAACCTTTCAAATAGCGTTTTCTGAGAGTCTGATGGCTTTGATATTTGCTCAGTTATCCCAAAGAACTGACTTGCTGAGCTATTCACCTGCTTATGGTATGCAGCGATTTTGACCTGGAGGCCAGTTCGAAGGCAGGACATTTTTTTCCCCTTCTCTTTCTCCCATCATCTATCCCAGAACCCACGGCCCTCCAGAGACAGCAAATTCGCAGCTTTCTGTCTGGAAGAACAAGATTGGAGAAGGAGGACCAGGCACTCCTAGGGGGAGCCCCACCTAATTCTGGCATTCAGCATGCTGGGCGAGGCCTCTGAATTAACAGCAAAGTTTCCTAAGCATCGCAGAAGTGCGTCCCAGCCCCCGGCTATCCCTGCGGTCAGGATATAGGGGAGAAATCGTCCCCAAACCCCGAAACTCTACATAGAGCAGGGCTCCCTCCTCACCGAACTGGATGGCATAATTTTGGTTTTAATGGATACGACTTCAAATCCTAATGTAAATCCTAAATGATATTGGTGTTGGGGCTCAGAAAACGATGCGCCAAAGTATGGCGCTTTGGCAGGCCGAGAACCGTGAGCTAAAGCAGATTGGAAGGCCTCAGAAGAAGCCTCAGAAGCAACGTCTCTCTGACCTTCTCCTGCCTTCCTGACCTGCCACCCGCCCCCATCACCCCCAGACAAGCCCTAGAAACCAGAGTTCCTCTTCCCCAAGGCAGCCATAGAAACTAGAGCTCCTCTCCTAAAAATAAAAAGCAAGCCGTGGAAGCTAGAAAGATCGCTCTCCCTTCTCTCTGGAAGACCCTCATTCCAGAGAGGTTCTGCCCACACCCAGGAGGAAGGAATGTTGCACAGAGAGGCCGAGAAGTATCTGGAAGACAGACCCTGCTGGGTTCCGCACGCAGTCTCTCGCCGTTAGATCACACCCTTTCGTCCACTCCCATTTCTGCATGGCTGTTCACTCTTCATTGAATTTAAGCATCAAAACAGTATTCCCTGGTCTTAGAACTTCCTTGCTGAAGGCTCTGTGTCACGTAAAACTTTGATTACATAAACTTGTGGCCGGGCACAGTGGCTCACACCTGTAATCCCAGCACTTTGGGAGGCCAAGGCAGGTGGATCGCTTGAGCCCAGGAGTTCAAGACCAGCCTGGGCAACATGGGCGAAACACCATCTCTACTTTTTTAAACAATAAATACAGGCCGGGCGCAGTGGCTCACGCCTGTAATCCCAGCACTTTGGGAGGCCTAGGCGGGAGGATCACAGGGTCAGGAAATCGAGACCATCCTGGCTAACACGGTGAAACCCCGTCTCTACTAAAAATACAAAAAAACTAGCCAGGCGTGGTGGCGGGCGCCTGTAGTCCCAGCTACTCGGGAGGCTGAGGCAGGAGAATGGCGTGAACCCGGGAGGCGGAGCTTGCAGTGAGCCGAGATCGTGCCACTGCACTCCAGCCTGGGAGACAGAGCAAGACTCCGTCTCAAATAATAATAATAATAATAATAATAATAATAAATTAAAAAAATAAATACGTGCATAATGAAGTTGTTATGCTTTTCTCTGGGTAACCTGCCTTGTTAGAGCCGTGTTGTCTGTGATCCTTATGATGGGGAAAAAGGGATCACACTTTTCCATCCCTACCGTTTCTGCCACCAACCCTGGGGTGCCTGAGACACCTGACTCCACCGCAGAGCCTGCAGACGCCATGCTGGGACAATTGACAGAATGCCGGCAAGGAAAATCTAAGACTCTTTAAAAGTTTTTTTAACCAAGGCCAGCTCTCCCAGATCTCTGCTTGCAGTGCCCGGTTGAGAATGGAAGGTAAAATTTTCTCTTTATTCCTTCCTTCGCAAATTCAGATTAGCAGGAGAAAATTATTTGTATGAACTAGTTTTTGGGGATTGTGACTCTGGTGATTTTTTCTTGGCATGAGAACTCTTGTTTTATGATCCCTTCCCTCTCAGAGATGGTCTTTGTTTTACAGAAACACCAAGAAGAGAGCCTAACAGAAACGCGGGTGGGACCCCGTATGCAGCTAGCGTGCCAGCTGCTGCCGGCTCTGGGAGTTACCTGTCCCTCTTCTTCTGGCTGTCTTTGGGAGGGCTGTGTCTTTGCGCTTCTTTAGAGAGACTCCACGCATCCTTGGTTAAGTCATAAAAGGCTTATTGGTTTCGATTCCAAGTCACTTGGTAGATACCTTTGGTTTTCTTTCTTTTTTAAAAAGGCGGAAAAGTACAATACTGCCAGGAATATTTGCTGTTTGTCCTGGCTAAAATCTGATAGTGCAATATTTCAAAGGATTTTTTTTTTTTTTTTTTGGAGACGGAGTTTCACTCTTTTTGCCCAGGCTGGAGTGCAATGGTGAGATTGCAGCTCACTGCAACCTCTGCCTCCCAGGTTCAAGCAATTCTCCTGCCTCAGTCTCCCTAGTAGGATGGATTACAGGTGTGCGCCACCACACCTGGCTATTTTTAGTACAGACAGGGTTTCACCATGTTGGCCAGGCTGGTCTCGAACTCCTGACCTCAAGTGATCCACCCACCTCAGCCTCCCAAAGTGCTGGGATTATAGGAGTCAGCCACTGCACCCGGCTAGGTTTTTTTTGTTTTTTTTTTTTGTTTGTTTTTTTTAAGTGCTCTATGGTCAGAAGTCGGCTTGACTGGAAGATGATATTGACGCTGTGCTTTTTTTCAGGCCTCTCTGCTCTTGTTCTCTCTTTGGGATCCTGCTTCTCCCATGGGAACTTCTCAGTTGACTGAGAATCTCTTTTCGAACCACTGATAATTACATCTCGGGCCCTCAGCCGCTTCCTTTCTTCTTGGTGTGATTTTTCCTAAGGATAATATAGAACTTCATTAGTCTTTTCGGGAAATGTGAGATCGCCCCAAATTGGCTCCTGGAAGACCTCTTCTTTCCTTTGCTTCCGCTCTTCCTCCCTTTGTCCACTTTGAGCTTCTATGCAGCTCCCTTGTACCTTTAAATACGTTCCACTTTGAGCCCCCACCTCCACCTGGTGGTCAGTGGATAGAAAATTGCTGAAAGGAAACATCGGAGGTAAAAAGGTAAGAAGGATTCTGGTCTCTACGGCTAAACTTTAGTTAAGATTCAGAACCTTCTCCCGGGCTTCTTTGCGGACTTCCTTGCAAAATTCTGTAGTGAAGTCGAGTTTATAGCCACTCTCCAGAGAGCCTTAAGACCAAATTAGAGGGAAATGTAAGTTTTCTCAGAAATGAATGTCTTGTTCATTCACATGGGTCTTTGGAAACATTCAGACAGCCCTTAGATGTCTGCTCAGTCACCAGCCTAAAATCTGGTCCACAGCCTCCGTGAGATTGACCTCTGGTTAAGAGGCTTTCCCTGTGCCCTTGAGACATAAATTTCCCACCCGTCTTCTCTAGAATTTAGTAGTTATCTTTTGAAAATACAAACTTCAGGGAGATGGTTGTCATCAGGAAAAAAAAAGGAGAGGGAAGAACCATGTTTAGTTTTTAGTTTTTTTGCTTTTGTGATATTTTGGATGCTTGCCTGATATGTCAACAAGAAAAATACTTAAGATAGTGACTAGCTTTGTTTAATATCTCCTAAAATATTCATGAACTGTTCAAGAATAATTGTTAATAAGTGAATTGAATAAGATGTGAGATAAAAGTTTGTACAAGAATTTTTCAATAATAATTATAATATACGTCTTCTTTTTTTTTTTTTTTTTTTTTTTGAGACAGGGTTCTCACACTGTCACTCAGGCTGGAGGGCAGTAGCCTGATCATAGCTATAGCTCACTGCAAGCTTTGAGCTCCTGGGCTCAAGTAATCCTCCTGCGTCAGCCTCCTGAGTAGCTGGGACTAAAGGCAGGCACCACCATGCCTGGCTAATTTTTAAGTTTTTTGTAGAGACAGGGTCTCACTATGTTGCCCAAGCTAGTCTCAAACCTGGGCTCAAGCAATCCTCCTGTCTCAGCTCCCCAGAGTGCTGGGATTATAGGCATAAGCCACCATGCCCAGCCTATAATATATGTCTCATAATAATATATGTCTACTTCAAAATAGTTTCAAAAGGCCGGGCGCGGTGGCTCACGCCTGTAATCCCAGCACTTTGGGAGGCCTAGGCGGTAGGATCACGAGGTCAGGAGTTCAAGACCAGCCTGGCCAACATAGTGAAAACCCGTCTCTACTAAAATTACAAAAAATTAGCCAGGACTGGTGGCAGGTGCCTGTAATCCCAGCTACTTGGGAGGCTGAGGCAGGAGAATCGCTTGAACCTGGGAGGTGGAGGTTGCAGTGAGCAGAGATCTCACCACTGCACTCCAGCCTGGGCAACAGTGCAAGACTCCATCTCAAAAAAAAAAAAAAGAAAAGAAAGTGGAATTTACTCTTCTCTGTTGACATGATAAAGTTTTTTTGAGGTATTGATCTGAGAATGTATGAAGGGGTTTTTTTTTCCTTTTAAAGTAATTGGCCTAGGAAACAGATTTTGTGCTTTATAAAGATAATTTCTTGTGCTTATGCTGTCTTTTATTAGGTCTTTGATTACTTAAAAAAGTGAGGCCAGGCACAGTGGCTCATGCTTGTATTCCCAGCATTTTGGGAGGCCAAGGTGGGTGGATCACTTGAGGCCAGAAGTTCGAGACCAGCCTGGGCAATATGGCAAAATCCCATCTCTACCAAAAATACAAAAATTAGTCAGTCTCATAACCTGGTCTCAAAATAAATAAATTAATTAAAATAAAATTAAAAAAAATTTTTAAGTTAGTCTTCTCAATTAAAAGAGCTAAATTTTTGTTCACAACTATGGAACTTTCTGTATGTCTTTAAAATCTTTTATTGTCACTTTAATTAAATAGATAACCAAGATCACATTTAATCAAGTGTTTTAAACCTTCTGGCATTTTTGGCAGATTTCCCAAAATCAAAGTCTAAATTAAGTCTTTATGACCGCTAATTAACTCTGGGATTTTCCAACTGGGTCCTTGAAAAGTTCAAAGGGGTCTCTTACTTTGTAAAAGAGAAATACTGAAATGACTAGGCTTTTTTGATGAGTTGAATTATATGGGAAATATTGTCAAAGAATAGGTGTTGCTAAAACTTCAAGTTATATGTATGGGTATGTTATTCACATGAGTGTTCCAAAAATTGTATGCGAGTCCTAGAAATCTAATGCTATCGGTCATAATTTTAGTTACTATGTTAAATGCTATATGCCACAAAAATAACCACATTTCCTTGCTAATTTCTGAACTTTCATCAGAAACTTCATCAGAACTTTCATCAGAATTCTAACCATCGCTATTTCAAGTCTTTGTCATCTAGTTATTGTTTTGATTCTTCTCTAAAAGCATTTACAATCAGCTACCATGTCAAATTGCGTCTCTTCATGGAGATTCATAGAAAAGACTAATGAGTACTCTTGAATACAAGTTTCGAATCTCTTTAAGATCACACCATGAGATTGGATAAGAATTTCTAGAACTCTAATGAAGAAACTGATAGCTTTATGAAACTGCTATCCTAACATCAACCAGAACAAGAATTAATTATGTGAGACTAAATGAACCTATGAGGATAATTTTTTAATGACTTTTTATTTGGAACATTGCTGATTCTTTTTTTTTTTTTTTTTTTTTTGAGATGGAGTCACTCTGTCATCCAGGCTGGAGTGCAGTGGCGTGATCTCGGCTCGCTGCAACCTCCGCCTCCCGGGTTCAAATGATTCTCCTGCCTCAGCCTCCCAAGTAGCTGGGACTACAGGCGAGCGCCACCATGCCTAAATAATTTTTGTATTTTTAGTAGAGACGGGTTTTCCCCATGTTGTCCAGGTTGGTCTTGAACTCCTGACCTCAAGTGATCCACCCGCCTTGGCCTCTCAAAGTGCTGGGATTACAGGTGTGAGCCACCACTCCTGGCCAAAAAAACTTTTTTCTTTTAAGCTACCTATAGCTTACATCAATTTGGTGAAGTATATTTTTATGAACAAAAATGGAGGCATTTACTTTTTCTCCCTACCTCATCCCTCCAGAATGTAGTAGCTATTTGTGAGTATTCTTATTTGTATGGTAATATAGTTATTTGCCTAACTTCAATTAGACTGTGTTCTCCTTGTAACAGGATACAATTGGAAACCCTGGTTATATTACCAAGGCTTTGACTGGAATGTCATATTTTCAGATATGACCAGGTAGCTTTAAGGAACTAAGGTTGACTTTACGGAGCTAATAAAGATGCCCTTGGTAAAAATGGCCTGAGGGTTCCCAGCCTTACAGGTGAGTAAGGATTGTCACTTCTTGGATGGCTCAGGAACCTCACGATATTTTGGGGCCATCGAGAAGAGAAGAATTCACCCAAATCTATAAGTGTTATAGACATAGTCTGTTGGTAAGTCCTTACTTTGGCTTCCTAACCTTGGGAGGTCCAGCTTTAGATTTCTTATGAAAAGTTCCAGCAAAGCAAATTTTACGTGGCCCATCACTATTCTCACTGCACCTATGTAAATAATCAGGCCAACTTTCATGAGACTAAACCTATTTTACAAACAAATCAGTCTTCCTTTGATTATCTTTGGTAGAAATGGGAGTGACTCTAGAGAGAAAAATTGTTGTGGAAGAGACTATACTGCACTCATTATTAGACTCTACCTCATTGTTTTTGTGGGTTCATCATCTACCTAAAATCTAGACTGAATCCTAAATTTTTTAGTTTCCTCCAATATCTGACTACAACTCTCCAAACAAATGTTCCAATTTTCCTCCCATCCCCTGGCTTGGAATTACTGAAATTAAGACCACTCTGTTTCTGGATCCCTGTGAGCTGAAGTTGGGCCACTTGTTGTAAACTTCAGGGAAAGCGCCTCAATAGCTTATTTATGGACAGCCTCACGGTGTTACTGTATGAACTACTCGGAAAGTTCACTAAGACACCTGATGCCAACTGCAGACCAGGAAAATCTGTCAGATTCCCACTGACTGGTCTTACTCCAGCTGAAGATGCTTTGAGCCTAACATCTAAAAATCCCCTTAACTGGCTGCCCTCTGGACTCAAAAACTGAGTTTATAGTTTGTTCTAATCACAAATCTTTGTTTTTCTTTGTTTTCATAGAAATGCCTCTTCTTAAATGCTTGATTGCTGTAACCACATAGAGGTGGAAGCCCATCTGCAAAACCACCTCCTAAAATGAGACACAGCTGTTAAGTGTTTAACTGAACTGAACTATTTGTGGAACTGAGAGACTGGTTCAGTGGCCTGTGGGACAATCCACCAACCCCATTTCTGGACTTTTCCCAAGAAGTTTCAGACAGGGGAATACTGGGGCTCAGAAAATGATGCTTCTAAATCTGGTGCCTTGGCATGCTGAGTACCTTGAACTAAAGGAGATTGTGAAAGCCTCAGAAGCAAAGTTGCTCTAAGACCTTCTTCCATCTTCCTGTCTCCTATCCCTCATTCTCCCCTGAAACAAGTCATGGAAACCAGAATTCCTCTTCCCTAAGGCAGATCATAGAAATTCAAACTCCTCTCTCCTAGAGCGAGCCATAAAGCCTAGGAGGCCACGCTTTCCCTTCTCTCTCTTCCCTCCTCCCTGGAGGACCCTCATTCCAGAGGTGCTGCCCCATACCCAGGAGGAAGGACTGCTACAGAGAGGCCAAGAAGCATCTGAACAGACAAGCCTTGCTGGGTTTCTGCTGTCAGTCTATTACAATTCGATCACTCTTCTGTCCAATCGCATTTTTACATGGCTGTCCATTCTTCATTGAACAGAGGCATAAAAACAGTTTTCCTTGGGTCTTTGGGTCTTCGTTTCTGAAAGCTCCTGTATCACATAAAATTTTGATTAAATTAATCTGTTAAGCTTTTCCCTTGTTAACTCCCTCTTTCATTATAGGAGTTTCAACTATGGCCCTTATGATAGCTGAGGAAAGATATCATACCTTTTCTGCCTCTGCATTGGGCAAATTACTTCTTTCTGAACATTATCTCTGCGTAATGCTTGTCACTGAAATAATACTTACCCCACAAAATACTTGTCTCTGAAATTAACTCTGAACATCAGTTTCCTACTCGATAAAATGGTGTAGCAATTGCTGTTGCATGTGGTTGTTTTAAAAATCAAATTCAAGCTGGGCATAGTGGCATGCACCTGTAGTCCCAGCTATTTGAGAGACTGAGGTGGGAGGATTGCTTGAGCCCAGGAGGTCGAGGCTGCAGTGAGCAATGATCGTGCCGTTGTACTTCAGCCTAGGTGACAAAGCAAGACCTCATCTCTAAAAAAAAAAAAAAAAAGAAAAAGAAAGAAAGAGAGGGAGAGAGAGAGGGAAGGAGGCAGGGAGGGAGGGAGGGAGGGAGGAAGGGAGGAAGGGAGGAAGTGATATGGCTTGGCTGTATGTACCCATCCAAATCTCATCTTGAATTGTACTCCCTAATTCCCACGTATTGTGAGAAGGATCTCCCGGTGGGAGATAATTGAATCATGGGGGTGGTTTCCCCCATACTGTTCTCATGGTAGTGAATAAGTCTCATGAGATCTGATGGGTTTATCAGGGGTTTCCACTTTTGCATCTTTCTCATTTTTCTCTTGCTGCCGCCATGTAAGAAGTGCCTTTCGCCTCCTGCCGTGATTGTGAGGCCTCCCCAGCCATGTGGAACTGTGAGTCCAATTAAACCTCTTTTTCTTCCCAGCCTCAGGTATGTCTTTATCAGCAGCATGAAAATGGACTAATACAGAAAGAAAGGAAAGAAAGAAAAGAAGAGAAAGAAAGAAGAAAGAAAAGAGAAAATTAAATTGTGTTTATAAAGTCATCAGTAGACAGTTAAGTATCTAGTCAATGTGAGTCCCCATTCATTCCTGCTCCCCCAAAATACACACTTTCCCCTTTGGAGACCTACCCAGACTATGTGACCTCATGATCTTAGAAAGACATAGAAAGAAGCAGAGTGGGGCTGTTTAAAGATAATTTTCAGGAAAAGATAAAATCAAGAGTCTCATTCATATATTACAACACACACATGTTAAGTGTTTTATTTGCTCCTTTGATGAGGAATTCAGGCAGATTTTACAATGGGCTCAAAAAAGAAGTCAAGAAGCACAAGTTAATATGGGTGTAAAGGAACTGTTGAATTGTGAGCGAGGCAAAACTGTTTTTTTGTTGTTGTTGTTTTTGTTTTGTTTTTTTTTTGAGATGGAGTCTCGCTCTGTCGCCCAGGCTGGAGTGCAGTGGTGCAATCTCGGCTCACTGCAAGCTCTGCCTCCCAAGTTCACGCCGTTCTCCTGTCTCAGCCTCCCAAATAGCTGGGACTACAGGCACCCGCCACCACGCCTGGCTAATTTTTTGTATGTTTAGTAGAGAGGGGTTTCACCCTGTTAGCCAGGATGGTCTCGATCTCCTGACCTCATGATCTGCCTGTCTCCGCCTCCCAAAATGCTGGGATTACAGGCGTGAGCCACTGCGCCCGGCCTAAAAACTGTTTCTTTTTAACAGGTTGGAGAGGGGAGTCAGCCAGACCTCTATCAGACAGGACAGAATTCACATGGCTGTTTTCTGTTATCTGTAGTTTGCAGAGTTGTAAAATAGCTCAGAATATGACTCAGAATCAGAAGGAAAAAAATCCTACTCTGACAAGGCATAAGAGTGGGTTAGAGATGATGCATAGTTTTTCATCGGAATACACATTTTTTTTTCTACCACTGAAGGTGTGTGCTGCAATATTTTTCTCCCTTTTTATTTCCTGCTTCCAAGACTTAGATCATACAGAAACCATCCTGCTGTGGCCCAGGCCTGTTGTGAGATCACTAAAAATCAAGGTTCTGGGTTCTGGAAAAAAAGCTTCAGACTCCAGAGACAAGCGAAGCAGTTTGCTAAGAATCAATGCATCTTGCAACAAAGAAAGCCCCAGCCGTGCAGCGCAGCCCACGCTCCTCCTCCTGCCCTGGTCCAGGTTCAGTCTCCCTGGCTCAGGCTGGCTTTAGGTCTGCAGCCCTGGGCCTGCTGGGAGGCAAATTGACCAGTGCAGCGGCTCCTACTCAATTTCACTCCCAGCAGGCTGCTCAGGGAAAACTCTCTGACCAGCAGAGCCACACCACTGGCTCCCAGTTTCAAGCCCTAGCGCTCTGCTCAATAATAAAAAAACACATTCTTTTCACACCTCCAATTCTTGAGACTCACCAGAAGGCCATGCACTCTAATTTGGGACCCCTCACCCTCACCCATTTCTGAGCTCATGAAAATATTAGTCCTAACATGGCATCATCATGTTGACAGTGGATGGGCATCTTGCCTGTGACTGTCCTTGCCAGACAGTGCCTTGCTTACCATGCAGGGTTACTAATTAAGTGCACAAAGAAAGCGATCTGGAATCGTGTGTTTTTTTTTCAATTGATTGAACTACCTGGCTTCTATGGATTAGCAAGTGGATTGGCAAGTGGATTCAGCTCCTCTTGTTGCTCCATTCCAGTCTTTTGGAGGGGATCAGAATATGCCACCTCCAAAATATGCCACTGTGGCATAAGATTATTTCGAGTTGAGGGCAATTAAGAAACAGCAGACACCAAAGGAACTCTCTTTCCTTCTGCTGTTTCCAAGTAGGCCATAAATTTCCCTTTGTAAAGGTGACATAAAATTCCATTTGTAAAGTATCCCCCTCTTCTGATGTCTCTCATACCATGAGGAGACTAACTCCAAATGGTTTTTATCTGCAAAACAAACCTTATTCACCATATGTTTCCTAGTCACCTTTCCACAATTTTCCACCCCTAGAAGCCCAAACCCTGCCTCCCTTTCTCCTTTGTTGAGTCGCCTCTCCACAGTCTATTTCCCTTCGTTAAAATGGTATATAAAGGCTGGGGGCAGTGGCTCACGCCTATAATCCCTGTACTTCGGCAGGCCAAGGCAGGAGGATCGCTTGAGGCCAGGAGTTCAAGACCAGCCTGGGCAACATGGTAAAACCCCATTGCTATAAAAAATACAAGAATTAGCTGGGCATGGTGGCATGTGCTTGTAGTCCCAGCTACTCCGGAGGCTGAGGTGGGAGGATTGCTTGAGCCCCAAGAGGTTAAAGTTGCAGTGAACCAAGATCATGCCACTGCCCTCCAGCCTGATCAACAAAGTGAGACTCTGTCTCAAAAAAAAAAAAAAAAGTTTATGGGAGTCCACTGTTTTGGACTTGCCTCCTACACTAGGTAGCCCCCAGTAGACCAGACCAAACCAGGATAGAGTCACTTGTGCTAAGTTCCACCTAATCAAACCAAACTTTGAGATGGAGCAGAGTTCCAAAAAACATCAGATTGGGGTCAACCTGAGTCAGCAAAATAAGGAAGTCCTCTCTGTTTTATCTGTTTATCTGTTGATGGACTTTTAGTTGTTTTCACTTTGGGGCCGTTATGAATAATGCTGCTAGGAAGAGATGTCTGGAAGTTTTTGTGTGAACATATGTTCTCTTGGGTATCTACCATGCAGTAGAGTGGTGGAGTCACGTGATGACTCTGTGTTAACCTTCTCAGGACCCGCCAGGTTGGTTTCCATACCAGCTGCACCACTTTACAATCCCACTGATGGGCTATGAGGGTTCCTATTTCCCTGCATCTTCACCAACACTTGTTATTATCTGTTTTTTAATGATAGCAGCTGGTTTTGATGTGTCGGGGATGATTGATGAGCGTGGCAGATCTAGGTTGGAGCGGAATGGGCGTCCACGTTAGGCTCAGTATGTATTGCACACCGTGGCAGGGAGTGTCTTCTTTTGGGTTCCCTCAGAATCAGACCCCAAGAAAAGGATTCCAATGCAAGTAGTTTCTTCTGGGGGAAATAAACTGCAAATGGACATGAGGGATCTTTTAAGGTGATGAGAATGTTCTCAAATAGGATTGTGGTGATGGCTGTGCAGCTCTGTAAATGTAGTAAAGATCATTGAATTGTACACTTAAAATGAGTGAATTTTATGGCATGTAAATTATTTTTCAATAAGGCTTTTAACCAATGGCACAGAAAGACTTAAAACAGGCACAGGGATTCAGAAACAGCCTGCCTCTTCATCTATCTCCATTAACAGACATCTTATTGCCCCTAAATCAGAATCCATTCTGCTGCTGGGGCAAAACAACATTTTTTTTTTTTTTTTTTGTAAGAGATGGGGTTGGCCGGGCGCGGTGGCTTACCCTTGTAATCCCAGCACTTTGGGAGGTCGAGGCGGGTGGATCACGAGGTCAGGAGATCGAGACCATCCTGGCTAACATGGTGAAACCCCGTCTCTACTAAAAATACAAAAAAGTTAGCCGGGCGTGGTGGCAGGTGCCTGTAGTCCCAGCTACTCCGGAGACTGAGGCAGGAGAATGTCGTGAACCCGGGAAGCGGAGCTTGCAGTGAGCCGACAGCGCGCCACTGCACTCCAGCGTGGGGGACAGAGAGAGACTCCGTCTCAAAAAAAAAAAAAAAAAGAGAGAGAGAGAGAGATGCGGTCTCATTATGTTGCTCAGGCTGGAATTGAACTCCTCCCATTAGCTGGGATTATAGGCACGCACTACCAAGTGCCTGGCTGGCTGCAAAACAACTTTTGCTGTTGGAAATCCATCAGACATTGATGGCTATAAGCTGGACAAGTGACCTAACTGCCTTGGGCCTCATTTTCTCCACAAGGACAGTAGTGGGTGTTCCTTACAGATCACAGGAGTGCCCAGCACCTCTAAATCTGATAACATTATACGTGTTACATGGTGCCCTCAGGGATGATTTCTTGGTGTTATTGGGGCATAAATACAGTAATGGGATCGTCATCCAAACAAAAGTGGATTGGAAAAGCATCCTAGTCCCAAGACGCTTTATAAAATGAATGTGACTTTTAAAATAAATAATATAACAGTGCTAATAAAGAAGAATGCAGCGCAGGGCATGCATAAGGCCAAGTACATTGGGGAAGAACGTTGCAGTGCGTAGCCTTCTGGGGGTGAGGCTTTTAACAATTTATAGGGTTATAGCAACTCAGCTTCAGGAAACCTCTAACTCAGCTTGATGAAGAATGAGAGGAATTTCCATTAGTTACTCCAGCTCTTACCCAGTACTCCTGATGATAAAAGAAAATGGAAACGACTGAAGCATGCTTTATATAACCAAGATTATTGATTTGATGAAAGCGGGTAATAAACTGCAGTAATGCCAGATGTGATTGGTTGAATTAGGTCATATAAACTCATTAGTTTTAGTCAAACTCTCTTTTAAACACAAGTCCAGAAATTTATCTTGCATTAGAACTTTTAGTAGCCCAGGTTTCTGTCATAATTTTCCCTCAACAGTTTTATAGTCAGTTGTGATTACCATCAGTGTTTTGAGATTGTACTTTATTAGCTGCTAAAAAAATTAAGTCAACCAATGAAAGCTATTTAGAGGTAAGTTTCATAAAATACTGTCTTCTGGGTGTCTTAATTTCAGAGTGAAGCTTATCAAAAGAAAAGAATATTGCACATGACCAACTTTTAAATGATTTTGTTTTCAGAAAGTGACAATTCTACTGGTGATTTTTATTATTTTCTTCATTTTTTCTGAATTTTATAAATATGCTAAAATAAATTGGAGGCTAGGACTGTTGGCTCACACTTGTAATTCCAGCACTTTGGGAGGACAAGGTGGGAGAATTGCTTGATCTCCGGAGTTAGAGACCGGCCTGGGCAAAATAGTGAGACCTTGTCTCTACAAAAATTGAAAAAAAAAAGTTAGCCAGGCATAGTGGTGCATGCTTATAGTCACAGCTACTTGGGAGGCTGAGGTGGGAGGATCACCTGAGCCTGGGAGGTTGAGGCTGCAGTAGGCCATGGTGGTGCCACTGCACTCCAATATGGGTAACAAAGCAAAACCCTGTCTTAAAAAGATGAAATAAAATAAAATAAAATAAACAATTGGTATTATTTTACTTTAGTTTTAGGCATTTTAGTTGGTTTAATTATGGCAAACAATATCCAAATATACTCCAGTCATAAAAGATTTCAGCAACCCTAAATTGCCTGCAGTAAAAAGTGAAGTCCTACAGCACTGTTACCACCAACCTCAACTTCCTTTGTGCTATAGTTGTGACAACCGTAACAATTTAATATGCATTCTGCTAACACTTTGCACTCATATGAAGCTTTCATGGCATTGTATGTTTTCATTATATAATATGTTGTGATTCACCTTTCGGCTTAACAAAATCTGGGTGATCTGTACATATACGTACTTCATTTTTTTTTTCATGGCTGCATAGTATTCTGGTGCCGTAGCTTATTTCACAATCCTCACATTGATGGACAGTCCCTTCGTTTTCCAGTTCGCTGGGCATTCTTTGTACATACACGTTCGCGCACAGGAACAAATATTTTGTAGGAAAGATTCCTAGAAGTAGAATTGGTGGATCAAAGGGTATTTGCATTTTTAGTTTCTGTAGATGCTGCCATATTTCTGTTCACACAGTAGCACAGTGGCCGTTCCCCAGGATGGGAGTGACTAGCATGCCAGGATGGGGGAAGCCTTCACAGAGGTGGTGAGGTGGGTTTGTTTTGTTTTTGAGACAGAGTCTCACTCTGTTGCCTAGACTGGAGTGCAGTGGCACGATCTCAGCTCACTGCAACCTCCACCTCCCAGGTTCAAGTGATTCTCCTGCCTCAGCCTCCCAAGTAGCTGGCATTACAGGCGTGTGCCACCATGCCCAGCTAATTTTTGTATTTTTTAGTAGAGACGGGGTTTTGCCACGTTGGCCAGGCTGGTCTCGAACTCCTGACCTCAGGTGATCTGCCCGCCTTGGCCTCCCAAAATGCTAGGATTACAGGTGTGAGCCACTGCTCTCAGCCTGAGGTGGTTTAAAAAGGTAAATAGGGATTGATTTGGAAGACAAGGGACAAAGTGGAAGGCACCATGCAAATATATTCCAGACAGCAGTAACAACATGTGTGAATGAAGGGAGAAATGGGCTGGTGGAAGTATAATCACAACGACAGAGTTTAATTCCCCATTTGTAATGGGCAAACAGATGGAGTAACAATAAATAGCCCAAGAAAAAGGGATCGAAACAATATAGCTAAGAAGGTAAATTAATCTATACCAGAACTTGTATGTCACAAAGAGAGGTTACATATTTTTCTTCTCCTTTTATTTGGAAGATGTTTACATCTGGAGAAAAGGGGAAAGAAGCAGACTTCTCCAGTGGGGCACTCAGTCTGGTGCCAGAAAGCATATCAAATCAGAGCACAGACCTGGCTGAACATGGGGCTACTTCCCAAGGTGTCAATTTTCTTTGAAGATTTTCAGGTGAGTAAAACATTGTTTTCATAATAAAACCAAATTGAATATTTCTGAAGCAGAATGCAAACTTTTTGTTACTTTTTAAGATGTCACTCAAACCTTCAAAGATGATTTTCTAAACCTCAGGAAGTGTACTAATTCCCCTTGGCCATCAGGAAGGCTTTGGTGGAAATGTTTGAAAAGCAGAAAACCAGAATGTCTCATTTGTCCCAATTTTACTATTTGGCCCCACCAGATCTTCAACTTTATTGTCACCATTTCTCTCCACTCCATGTGACCTGGCCTTTTGGGATTTTTTCTTATTTTCCAAATATTCCTGCATTAGCATCTATTTCACCCCTGCCTGGAATCATCCTTGAAAGGCCAATTCAAGCCTTACTTCTCTGAAACTTTTCTAAGCAGAATGGAAAGGCAAGAGTAAACCTTTGGCGACTGATAAATTGTATTAATGTATTGTTTCCAATTGTTCACTGCCTTTACCAGTAAGATTTCCTTACCAGTTTCCCTGTCATTGCCATGACCTGTCTATAGAAGGCGTAGACCTCTCTGCTGCCACTAATAGCGGGCTTGGCCAACTGACTTGCTTTGGCCAATGGTAGTGAGTAGAAGTGATAAACTGCACATCCAAACAGCAGCTCTCAGAAACAGCATGGCTCAGTCATTTCTCTTTTCCTTCGCCACAACAAAATGACAAGTCTGATGGCTGCCCTTTCAGACTGAGTCCAGGAATGAAGAGGACACAGGAGCAGCACTGTCAGCAAGACATAGCCGATGTGTGGTCTGAGTGAGAAACAGATTTTTACAGTTAGAAGCTAATGAGATTTGGCGATGGAGAAACCCACTCGGAACCCCAGAGATGGTATAAAGATTATTTTAAGCAAAAGGCATTTCAGTTCAACAGTTAGAGAAAAAAAAAAAAAAAGCCTTCTTAGAGCTTCTCTTATCTGACTAAAAGCAGCAACTTCTGGAAAATAACGCTGTCATAAATGCTTCTTCAGGGTGGATCTACTTCAAGAAAAGAGACCGTGAATAAACCGACCCCAAATCCTCTCTCCAGGGAAGTTTCATTGTCCTGAAGGAGACATGAAAGAGGAGGCATATCACTCATAACTGTATAGAAAAACATTATCACAAACTTCCTTATCTCCTGTTTGTTCTCCTCAAAACCCATTTATCTTTTTTTTTTTTTTTTTGAGACAGGGTCTTGCTCTGTTGCCCAGGCTGAGTGCAGTGGCGTGATCACAGCTCACTGCAGCCTCAACCTCCCAGGCTCAAGCAATTCTCCCACCTCAGCCTCCCAAGTAGCTGGGACCACAGAAACGTGCCGCCATGCCTGGCTAATTTTTGTATTTTTTGTAAAGATGGGATTTCACTGTCTTACCCAGGCTGGTCTTGAACTCCTGGGCTCAAACGATCCTCCCATCTCAGCCTTCCAAAATGCTGGGATTACAGGAGTGAGCCACCACACCCAGCCCCATTTACCTCTCTGAAAAGTCGTTGTTTTCACATAAGTGCCTTTCTTTTCCTACTCATTCCCTTCTAAGGTGGTATGTAAGCCTGTCTATCCACTCCTTTGAGTTAGTCACTCACCGAAATCAGAGTTACGTACTGACTTCTGTGTGTATATGAATTACATGCATAAATAAACTCTCACGTTTTCCTCTTTTTAATCTGTCTTTGTCAGTTTAATTCACAGGCCTCAGGCATGGAACATGAAAGAATAGAGGAAAAAGTTTTCCTCTGCTACCAGAGCCATTTGTTATTACAGCAAACTGATACAAAAACTGGTGGGCCTGAATTTCCGCTTATGCTTGCTGAGAGAAATTTATGTTCTGAAATGGCCTTGGTCAGATGTTCCTCCAGCTTATAAATTAAATATGGGTAATGTTCTTTCCTTTCTGGTGAAGAACAAATAGGATGAACAAACTGTGTCTGTTGTGTTGGTATTAAGTCACAGTAATACATCTTCTTTTTCAGAAGATAAGTTATACATACTGCAGTAAGAAAAGACACTGGATAATATTTGGCAAATTTTGGGAGAAACTTCTCCATCTAAACATTATTCTTCCTTTGCAGTTTTAATGTTTCTGTTAAAGAATAAATAAGAAAGTGCTCATTAAATGTGCTTGAAACCCTCACTTAGAATTATGACTGGAAGTCCCATGGCCAATTGTAAGGGCCTAGGTTGGCAAAGAGAAATCAGTCCCTCCCCATGCCCTCCAGTTTTTAGGAGATGCGGTCTTGCTCTGCCTCATGCAAGAGGCTGTTCCCCCATGCTGTTCTCGTGATAGGGAGTGAGTTCTCACAAGATCTGAGGGCATTTTAGAGGGCTGTTTCCCCTTCGCTCAGCACTTCTCCTTCCTGCTGCCTTGTGAAAAAGGTGCCTGCTTCCCCTTCACCTTCTGTCATGATTGTAAGTTTCCTGAGGCCTCCCCAGCCATGCTGAACTGTGAGTCAATTAAAGCTCTTTCCTTTATACATTCCCCAGTCTCGGGCAGTTCTTTATAGCAGTATGAAAATGGACTAATACAGTGGGAGAATTGCTTGAGCCCAGAAGTTTGAGACCAGCCTGGGAACATGAAAAAACCCTGTCTCTACAAAAATTACAAAACTTAGCTGGGCATGGTGGCATGTGCCTGTAGTCTCAGCTATTTGGGATACTGATGCAAGAGTCTTGCTTGAGCCCAGGAGGTCAAAGCTACAATGAGCCATGATCACGCCACTACACTCCAGCCTGGGTGACAGAGAGAGACCCATGACTTGATGCTTGTTATGCCTGCGTGATGGGTACGTGGAGAGTTCTTGTATATTCTCCCAATTTATGTGTAATTTAAATCTTTCCATGAGAGAGAGAGAAAAAAAATAGGCCTATTTCAGAGAAGGGAGTCATCTGATTTGACAAATGTTTAAAACAACTGAGTAAACTTCTTAACTTACTGAACCTCAGTTTATTCATCTATGATATGGGATTAATGATAACTATTTCACTGAAGAGTATTTTAATAAGAGAGTGCAAGGACAATACCCCTTTGTCCACATAATAAATACCTGTTTGTAATGAGACTTTTTTGCTTTGGTTACTTAAATAACCCACTAAGTATTTGATATCTCCAGGTAGGAAGTCTGCTGTTGCAACTTGATTGCAATAAATCATTTGGATTTGGGCAGCTTGCTATTTTTAATATAAATATGTGATTGGCTCCTGGCTTAGTATTTTAAATGGCCAGTGGATATTTTTTCCTGGACATCTCCAGCCCATAGTTGTCTGCCTATTCTCTATGAATTTGTAACCCCAGCCCCGCTGCTTTGTAGACCTCTCTTTAGAAGGATAAGGGCCACACTCAGCCCTCTCATAAGAGGGAAGACCCAAAGGCCATCTCAGCAGCACAGCCCATGGACATCTGCATTGCTACATTGAAACTGCTGAGGTTCGCTGGTCAATGCAATGATCCTCCACTGACCAGAGGAGGGGGGACATGAGTTCCCTGAGGACCCCTGAATCCCTGTCCACCATCAGCATGCATGAGCAGGCTTTGGCTCCTGATGGTTAGAAGTTGTAACCTTTAACTGCCTTGTTTGGAAATGAATTCTTCCCATATTTTCCCACTGGCTCTTGGAAGGATGAAAAATCATTTTGAAGGGAAAGAACCTGCTTATAATTTCACTTTGCAACTAGAAATGTATTTCTTTACTCAGACAAATGCAGATAAATTGGGAAATAACTTATTGGGAAAGAACTTAATGCTGTTCTCAATCCATGTGCGTTTTCTTTCTGAGTTCTCTCAGGTGTTTAAGCTTTCAGAATATGTAGTGAAAGGTGGCTTATGCCTGTAATCCCAGCGCTTTGGGAGGCCGAGGTGGGCAGATCATGAGGTCAGGAGTTCGAGACCAGCCTGACCAACATGGTGAAACCCCCGTCTCTACTAAAAATACAAAAATTAGCTGGGCATGGTGGCACACACCTGTAATCCTAGCTACTCAGGAGGCTGGGGCAGGGGAATTGCTTGAGCCCAGGAAGCAGAGGTTGCAGTGAGCTGAGATCATGCCGTGTCCAGAATTGATGGGTTCTTGGTCTCACTGACTTCAAGAACGAAGCCACGGACCCTCGTGGTGAGTGTTACAGTTCTTAAAGGCAGCGTGTCCAGAGTTTGTTCCTTCTGATGTTCAGATGTGTTCGGAGTTTCTTCCTTCTGGTGGGTTCGTGGTCTCGCTGGCTTCAGGAGTGAAGCTGCAGACCTTCGCGGTGAGTGTTACAGCTCTTAAGGCGGCGCGTCTGGAGTTGTTCGTTCCTCCCAGTGGGTTCGTGGTCTCGCTGGCTTCAGGGCGATGCACAACAAACAAACATTAATTGCATGGATGGATGGATGGGTGGATGGATGGGTGGATGGATGGATGGGTGGATGGATGGATGGATGGATGGATGGGTGGATGGATGGGTGGATGGATGGGTGGATGGATGGGTGGATGGATGGGTGGATGGATGGGTGGGTGGATGGATGGGTGGATGGGTGGATGGATGGATGGATGGATGGATGGATGGATGGATGGATGGATGGATAGATGTGTGGGTAAGTAAGTGACCATATGAATCAATGGATAGAAGGGTGGATTGATGGATGGATGATTAGGATCCACTTTCTGTGTGTAGCTATCCCTCTGTGATTTCCGCATAAGATCTATGTTATGGGCTAAATGTTTGTATCCCCCACAAAATGTATATGTTGATGCCCTACCCCACAATATGATGACATTTGGAGGTGGAACTTTTCAGAGGTAATTAGGCCTAGATTAGGCCACAAGGATGGGAGCCACATGGTGAAATTAGTGCCCTTATAATAAGTGGGGGCACCAGAGCTTTCTCTCTTCCCATTTACATAAACCAAGGAAGGGCCATGTGAGCACACAGCAGCAGGAAGGTGGCTGTCTACAAGCCAGGAAAGAGCTCTCAAAAGAAGCAGATCTGCTGGCACCTTCCCAGGCTACAGAACTATGAGAAATGAATGTCTGTTCCTTAAGCCATCTATGGATAGAGGGATAATCTATCCACCTGGTTAACACCTTCCAGTCTATGGTATTTTGTTACAACAGCTCAACCTAAGGCAATCTGCTTCTGCCTGTAAGTATACTTCTGCATCCAGCTCCAAATGCACATGTGACTGCTTCTGTTCTGTGTGCCTGTGTGTCTGTGTATGTTTCTCCTTCTTCTGCATGTGGTTTCATTGAAAGGGCCAGTAATACTTTAGGCATTTCTGTAAAACAGTTATGATTATGGCTCCTATCTTATAAGATTGTTATAAGTGTTTGATATGATTATTATTTTATACTTATCACTATCGATCAGTAGACTTGAATTAAAGAAGTTCAAATTTATTTTGTCTTACATTATTATTCATAAAGGCAGTTTTAATGGTTAAGACTGGGTTTGTATCTCAGCTTTACCCACCATTCATCTATCTATCTATCCATCCATCCATCCATCCATCCATCGACAGCCTCAGTTTTTCCATCTGTAAAATGGACACAATAAGACTATTTCCCTAATAGCATAGAGTGAAATAATCCATGTAAACTGCTTAGTACAATGTCTAGCACATAGTAAGCACATACTGTATGTCAGCCAATAGAAAGAGCGGAGTTCAGTGGGAAATTATAGTACTTGAAGGGAGAAAAATCTACAGATACAGGTCATGATGAGGATGCAGTGGTGATGACTCTGCAGGCATCTTCCCAAGGCTCTGACTCCTCATGGGAGGACGGGGAAGACAGGTCACACTGAGTCTGTAATGGAAGGCATTCCCCACCCTCCACCCCAATAGATGGGATCGATGGTCATGGGTGTCGAGTGTTGCCTTTCTTCAGCGAGCAGGAATGCTGGCTTGTAGCCCTGTGGCATCTCTATGTTGAATGTCTCCCTCCAGAACTAGTTTGAACACTGATTCGTTCTGTGAGGACAGACCTCTGTGGATCCTTTATTGCGTTTTTCAACTGAATTTCTTAGCACATTCTTAACAAAACTGAAAGCAGATGTCTGTGTTTATAAAGTAAGATGAACTAGACACAGGAAATGTATTTACAAGAAACGCTAACGTATCAAGTTGAGGAAGGAACTTGTTCTCTTCTGTTTTTACGAAGTGAGAAGGTTAGAAGGTCAGCCATAGCCTTGTGTCTGGTTTTCTGGGGTGCCCCTGGCACTCTTGTTGGGGCTTCCTAATTCCTGGATCCTGTCCCTGTTGTGTGCAGACATGCATTTCTGTGTTGTTTCGAAGAAAAAACTGTTATTAAAAGACAATTTGGCACCATCTCTCAGGTTCAACTACCTGCATTTTCCTCCTTTGTCCCCCTCTCCACGATAATGACTAGAGGGTCCTGAGGTAGGTAATGACCGATGGGCAGAAGTGGGGAGAAAGGCCAGGGAAGCTAAGTCGTCATACCACCTGAAGATTCTGTCTGTATAAGCCCTTCTCAGCGCTGGGGCTGATGGCCACACCTGACATCCATCCTCTCCTCAAGGAACCTCGAAAAATCTCTAGGGTGTGTGCTTTTTGCCTATTGATAATAATAAAAGTGTAAGCAGGACTGTGATCCTATTACAACAGCCAGCGTGTATGGAGTCTTTCCCATGTGCTGGGATTACACTAAGTAAGAACTTTGCAAGCATTCTCTCAGGCCCTCTCTTTCAAGACTGTTGGTAATCAGGGCTCCTATCAGCTCATTGGCGTTGTTACAGCTGTGCCACTTGTTAAAACCTGGAGATGATGCCTGAACACATCAAGTGCCTCCAACACACCCATTGCTCTGGGCTGAGGTAGGGCGTTCTGAAGGGCTGCCCTGGTGTCTACCCCTCTCCAGCAACATTCTGGGCCTCCAACAGCTCCCATCTGCATTTGACACTCCCCCAAACAGACTGGGCCCAGACCTTGGAGGGGGAGAGGCCACTCTGGAACCCCAGTGGGAAAAGCCCAGTGCCCACCTGGCTCTCTAAGCTGTGTTTACATGCCACCATCTGGTGCCCTCTGTAATTACTACAGCTGCTTATTAGAGCAGCCTCCACAGTGTAGAATACAGCATACAAAATATTTTGAATGTCACCTTGCCTTTCTTTTGCTTTTTGCATCAACTACAACAGAATTAAGGCAAAATCAACTAAGCGTTTTCTAAAATCTCCCCAGAAATTAAATGTTTTTCTTTTAAAAAAAATTTTAAATTGTTTTATATGTTGTTCAAGCTAGTCTTTTTTTAAAAAAACTTTTATTTTAGGTTCAAGGGTCCATGTGCAAGTTTGTTATATAGGTAAATTCCATGTCATGGGGTTTTGGTGTACAGATTATTTTGTCACTCAAGTAATAAATAAGCCTAGTACCCAATAGGTAGGGTTTTGGGGTTTGTGTGTGTTTGTTGGTTTTTTTTTTTGGTTTTTTGTTTGTTTGTTTGTTTGTTTGTTTGAGATGGAATCTTGCTCTGTTGCCCAGGCTGGAGTGCAGTGGCGCATTCTCGGCTCACTGAAAACTCCACCTCCCAGGTTCAAGCGATTCTCCTACCTCAACCTCCCAAATAGCTGGGATTACAGGCATGCGCCACCATGCCCAGCTAATTTTTGTATTTTTAGTAGAGACAGGGTTTCATCATGTTGGCCAAGCTGGTCTTGAACTCCTGACCTCAGGTGATCTGCCTGCCTCTGCCTCCCAAAGTGCTGCGATTACAGGCGTGAGCCACTGCGCCTGGCCCTCAATAGGTAGTTTTTTGATCCTCACCCTCCCCCAACCCTCCACCCTCAAGTAGGCCCGAGTGTCTGTCTTTCCCTTCTTTGTGTCCGTATCTACTCACTCTTTAGCTCCCCCTTATAAGTGAGAACATATGGCATTTGGTTTTCTGCTCCTATGTTAGTTCGCATAGGATGATAGCCTCCAGCTCCGTCTGTGCTTCTGCAAAGGACATGATCTCATTCTTTTTCATGTCTGTGTAGTATTCCATGGTGTACAGGCACCACATTTTCTTTATCCAGTCTACTGCTGATGGGAACAGGCTAGTCTTGAACACAGGCTGTAGCTATCTTCCCTCCTCAGCCTCCCAAAGTGCTGGGATTACAGGCGTGAGCCACCACACCTGGCCTTTTTCATTTTTAGCTATTGTTTTAGAGACTTTGTTTGTACATATCCATAATTATTACACAGTTGTAATCACGGAAAAGTTTATTTTTTAAATCTTGCTTCTTTCATGGAACATTATGACATAAGTATTTTCTCAAATTGTTACAGATTTCAAAATTATTATTTTAATAATTTATCAGATCCCACTTGGAAGGGATCTCATAAATCAGAGATCTGATCCCATACATTTCCCCAGCAGGTATTAGCTAGCCAAAGTTCTCCTGATGGGCCAAATTCATAGTCCTGAAGAAGAAATCCCTGTAGAACGTCACAAGCAGCCATAATTACAATGTTGCCAAGACACCTGGTTCTTTGCTTCTACATTGTTTGTTTTACTGCCCTTTTCTTGGGGAAGCTCAATGCCTGCGTTACTTTGAAGCTTTTGGTAGAGGTACTAAGCCTTCAACTAAAGCAAGGCAACTAGAACAAGCTGTTAGTTTTGAAAACACAGCCTGTCCACTAGGTTCCAGAATGAGGCCACTAATTTCTCAGAAACATCACTTCATGATCTCAAGGAGACTAATTTGTTGATTTATGAGAACATTTTTAAAAATCGGGTCACCCTTTCCCATGCCCTAAATCAATTGTCACTACACTTTGCCATGTCTTTTTTCAAGTCAGGAAAGTAATAAAGAAAAATAAGAGAACGCTTGAAAACACTTGATATTCAGCACACTTTCCTGTGGCTAAGGTTTTAGATTTTTTTTTTTTTTTTTGGTAGAACATAATATTATCCCATGCTTAGCTTGCTAAAGGCAATTTAGCAGCAGGATTTACCTAACAGAACAGTTTTGGCTTTATCTAATTTTAGGTAATTACCTCTCTTTTCAAAGCTCATTTCTCTTGTGCTTTTGCTGGTCTTGATGTGTCACACAACAGCATTCACCCCCAGGATCTACTGCTCTTAAAGCAATAGAAAGAACAGCTCAATTTCCTTTATCAAATATCAAGCATGAAATATAGGTCCACGTGTAAAATAAGGAATTTGATACCAGTCATAAAAATCTACCCACAAACAGGTGGAGAATAAAAAAAAAAAGCAAAATGCCTAGATCAATAAAATATTTCATAAACCCAAGCAAACACTAACATTACTGAGAGCTGGATATCTAATCTGAGTCATTACCCAAATAGGGCGACTCAAGCTATGTTCACCCAATCCTGGATATTTTCATTCGAAAGGCAAGGCTTTCCTGGAACAAGGTTTGCTAATGCCTTAATAAAGTTAGTCACTGCAAACAGAGGGAACTCAGCTAGCTCCACAGCAACCGCTCATATATATATATATGATAAACATGTTTTTCCTTATAGAGCTTTTTTCAATCTTTGAGCATGTTTTAAAATGCTTTATTTCAGGGTGGGTGAGGTGGCTCACGCCTGTAATCCCAGCACTTTGGGAGGCCGAGGTGGGCAGATCATGAGGTCAAGAGATCGAAACCATCCTGGTCAACATGGTGAAACCCCGTCTCTACTAAAAACACAAAAATTAGCTGGGCGTGGTGGCACACGCCTGTAGTCCCAGCTACTCAGGAGGCTGAGGCAGGACAATTGCTTGAACCCGGGAGGCAGAGGTTGCAGTGAGCTGAGATCGTGCCGCTGCACTCCAGCCTGGCGACAGAAGGAGACTCCATCTCCAATAAATAAATAAATAAACAAATAAATAAAAATGCTTTATCTCAAGTAAAGGGGTACATTTGCAAAGATTCCCTGCAGGGAAAAGGGGGAAAATATCACTTTTTTCAGGACTTCCTTTGTGCCAAGTATTGAGATGGTATCTTTGCAGTGCTGTCTCACAGAAATTGGCCAAAGCAAAAACAAACAAAAAAAGAAATTGGCCAAACCACACCTGAAAACTGTTCCCAGGGGCTCCACAGCACTCGGCCAAGATGCCCTTATAGTCTCTTGGCCAAGGAGAGAGCACATGACCTTAAATAAATCAATCATCCTCTCTCCCTGGAACTTGACTCTTGAGTAGAGTGTCAAAAAGACTGGAAGTGATGGAAAGTAATTTGTCCCCATGGCAATATCCTGAAGAGATTCTCCATTAGATCTATGAAGTAGCTCTGATTCCTCTAAGTATTTTCTTATCTTTTAACTCTTTGAATGACCCCCATCCTTCCAATGTATTTTTTCCTCCTTAAGTTAATTAGGGTCGGTTTCTGTTGCTTGCAATCGAAGATCCCTACTTGCTACCTCTATCACTCTGTCTCTGACATCTCCACTCCCTGGGGCTGCCCACCACATAATTCCAAAAGGCACCATTCACATTGCACTGCATGGAGTTGTGAATGGTCTCCTTGGCATTGTGCAAGTCATGGCTCTGTTGCAACAGTCTATTCTAGACACTCCTGCCAGGGGCTGTCTTTCTAAAGAACACATATCAATCTGTCATTTCTTTCCTTGAAAACCTTCAGTGGCGCTCCATTACAATAAATACTAAGATCCAAAAGGGCTTCAAGACACTGCATCTGCCTCCCGCTGGTTTTCTCAGCATCACCATTCACTACATGCCCCTCCCTTTCACACCATCTGGCTCCCAAGGCCAGGCCAATTAAACAAGCCATTCTACACCCTGCATTCTTCATCTTCTGTGCCTGATCCAGCACAGGAATCTCTTCCCTTTTTTCTCTCAGTACCTCATCGGTCAACATTCTAACCACCTTCAGAGACCTGCTAACATCCTACTCACTGACTTCCTAGACCTACCTGGTCAAATGACTATATTTCTTTATCTTGCAGTTGACCAGTTGTACTTTGTTTGTGCCCCTAATTATTGCACTTCCATTGCTTGTCTCTAATGAGAGTCTTGATCAAAAGTCTTTTCTTGGCTGAGTGTGGTGGCTCATATAAGCCTATAATCCCAGTGCTTTGGGGTGGCAAAGTGGGAGGATCCCTTGAAGCCAGGAGTTCAAGACCAGACTAGGCAACATAGTGAGAGCCCGCTGGGCACAGTGGCATGCACTTGTAGTCCCAGCTACTTGGGAGGCTGAACTGGGAGGATTGCTTGAGCCCAGGAGGTCAAGGCTACAATGAGCTGTGATGGTGTCACTTCACCCCAGCCCGGATAATAGAGCAAGATCCTGTCTCAAAAAAACCAGACCAAAACCTTCTTCTCCCCTATTTTATTGCAAACTCCCAGAGGACAACAACTACACTACCGGCCTGGCATCTCCCACAGCTCCCTAGCAGAGCACCTCACTCGGTTCATGTTTTCTATTCAACAGAATGGAAACCTTTACAATTCTCTTCAGGGAGCTGGAAAGAGTTAATATCGGGAATCCTAGGAAAGTAATTTTTATGAACTAGGCTTGTTCTCTTATGTCCCCCACCATATAATTCTCTCTCTCAAGCTCTGTGTCCTCAATGCCACTGGGGGCTCTGAGTCCCTATCCAGCTTTATGATGACAATGCAACTTACAAGAAACAGTCTTTACAGTCCTTTTTTTTTTTTTTTAAGACAGCATCTCACTCTGTCGCCCAGGCTGGAGTGTGCTTTGGGGCGATCTCAGCTCACTGCAACCTCTGCCTCCTGGGTTCAATCGATTCTCCTGCCTCAGCCTCCCATGTAGCTGGGATTACAGGCACGTGCTACCACGCCTGGCTAATTTTTTTGTATTTTTAGTAGAGACGGGGTTTCACCATGTTGGCCAGGCTGGTCTCAAACTCCTGACCTTAAGTGATCTGCCTGCCTTGGCCTCTCAAGTGCTGGGGTTACAGGCGTGAGCCACCGTGCCCGGCCAAGAAACAGTCTTGATCTTCAGGTAAATTTCCTTCACTTTATTACCAGAGAGAACTATGCAAAACACCTGAAAGAGTGAGTGAATTCAATGAATAAATGTGTTAAGGAAAGAAAATTTTCTCAAAAACAGATGCTTTTCTTCAAATGTCAAATGACCCATCATCATTCTTGGAACTTTATTTTCTGAGAGACACCGAGTATGCACGTCATTTTAATAATGTCTTGGACAGTAATATATTAAATTTTAGGGCTGGGCATGGTGGCTCATGCTTGTAATCCCAGCACTTTGGGAGGCCGATGTGGATGGATCACGAGGTCAGGAGTTCGAGAACAGCCTGACTAACAGGGTGAAACCTCGTCTCTACTAAAAATACAAAAAATTAGCCGGGCATGGTGGTGGTGCGCACCTGTAATCCCAGCTACTCAGGAGGCTGAGGCAGGAGAATTGCTTGAACCCAGGAGGCAGAGGTTGCAGTGAGCTGAGATAATGCCACTGCACTCCAGTCTGAGCGACACAGCAAGACTCCGTCTCAAGAAAAAAATATATATATATATATTAAATTTTAATAAAGGGGGAAAATACAATTATGTATACAAAAGAGGGTCATATGAAATATTATATTACTTTTTTTATTAAAATATGTCACATTGTACCCAGCATAAAAACAATAGTAGAATTTAAGGGCATCATCAGGGAGTTCAAATTTCTCAGTTGGAAATCTTGCACAGTTAGAAGTGGGTTATATTTAAGAACAATGGCATTTTATTTTAGTAACTTGTTCCCTTCCTGGTAGAACATTCATCCCTGTTACTTTTGTGAATTTCTATTGCTTTTAGCCTAATATAGTGACTCATTTTCCTGCACTGAATCACTGACTGTAATTTCCTAATAAAAGATCATTGCATTATCTGGCATGGCCTCTTTGAAACGTCCTCATTCTGGATTCTCCAAAAAAAGGAAAGAAGGAAGGAGAGAAGGAAGGAAGGAGAGTAGGAAGGAAGGAAAAAATACAGGAAAGAGGGAAGGAAGAGGGAGGAAGGAAGAGAAGGAAAGAGAAAGGAAGAAAGAAGGGAAGGAAGGTAGGAAGAAGAGAAGGAAGAAGGAGGAAGTGAAGGAAGGAGAATGGAAGGAAGGAAGGAGATGGAAGGAAGGAAGAAAGGAAGGAAGGGGAAATAAGAAAGGAAGGAAGGAAAGAAGGAAGGAAGGGAGGGAGGAGAGGGAAGGAAGGAAGGGAGGGAGGAGAGGGAAGGAAGGAAGGAAGGAAGGAAGGAAGGAAGGAAGGAAGGGAGGGAAGGAAGGAGGGAAAAGCCACTATCTTCCTTTGAGCTGGCACACAGCTTGAGTGATGCTCTTTCTCTAAGGCCTTATACAGCCCCTGAAGCTCCTTTATGTGAAATCTCCACCCTCCTATGGTGGGGATGGTTCTGAGTCTGTCCCCTACCGTGGCCAGCTGCTTGATTTCCTGTCTTCATAAACTGCCCTCCACAGGCGCCCTCCCAATCTCCTCTCTTCTCCTTTGCCTAGTGCTCTTTTTTCTCTTCCCTTTATTTCTGGGTATTCTTCCTTTTCACATTCACTCAGCAGGAAGAACAGACAGTCCCATCTGAGGACTATTTGAGTCTCTCCAGAAATCGACTCCCATTGCACCACTTCTCCAAGGTCCTCTCCACTACCAAGCTCCCTTCCCTATTCAGTGCCAATAAAACCCCAGTTCCTTCTTTGGGTGCTGTGTAACCCTCAAGACTTCCACAGCTAAGGAAGTAAAGGAAGATCCTTACTCCTCTCAAATCTATCTGTCTTTAACTCCTCAGAACACCTGCTCTTATACAACAAGAAAATGGTGAATTTATTCATCTTTAAAACAAAAAAAAAAAACAAGATTCTAGCCAGGTGTGATAGCTCATGCCTACAATTCCACCACATTGGGAGTCCAAGGTGGGAAGATCACTTGAGCCCAGAAGTTCCAGACCAGCCTGAACAACACAGCAAGGTCCTGTCGCCACAAAAAATTTAAAAGACAGCTGGGCATGGTGGCACATACCTGTAGTCCCAGCTCCTTGGGAGACTGAATTGGGAGGATCACTTGAGCCAGGAGGTCAAGGCTACAATGAGCTGTGTTCCCACCACTGCACTCCAGCCTTGGGGGCAGAACAAGACCTTGTCTCAAAAAAAAAAAAAAAAAAAAAAGATTCTAAAACTTAGGTTGTTTTAAATTAATTTTAAATTACACAAATAATATAAATAACTTCAAGAGTTATAGATAAATTTAAAGTCTTCTCGCTTCCAATCTTAATACCTGCTTTCACTAAGCTGTTGTGTATCCTTCCAGATTATTTCCTGTGCACTAACATATATATTTGGGTAGCTGTTGAAGCATGTAGAATTATTTGATTGTGGGCCAGGAGTGGTGGCTCACGCCTATAATCCCAGCACTTTGGGAGGCTGAGGCGGGTGGATCACCTGAAGTCAGGAGTTTGAGAGTGGCCTGGCCAATGTGGTGAAACCCCATCTCTACTAAAAATACAAAAATTAGCTGGGTGTGGTGGCACGTGCCTGTAAGCCCAGCTACTCGGGAGGCTGAAGCAGGAGAATCACTTGAACCCAGAAGGTGGAGGTTGCAGTGAACCGAGATCGTGCCATTGCACTCTAGCCTGGGCGACAAGAGCAAAATTCCATCCTGAAAAAAACAAAACAAACAAACAAACAAAAAAAAGAATTATTTGATTTTATTTTAGGTTCCAGAACTAATAATGGGAGTCGAGGCCAAATCTTTAAGAGGTTACAAATGCCTGTTAATGGCTTTAGTGATATCTTTGTGCTGTGTGGTGTCATTCTCAAAGGCAGACAATTGCTCTACCAAATTGCCAACTTGAAGCATAGTGTCTGATAACAACTGTGGATTTTTGAAAAACAGCATTGCCCTGTGGGATGCCTGTGGCCTCACTTACTGCTGGTAGTCATGGCAGGAATGGATGCGGGAGGCTGGGATCCCCCAGCGTGGCTGGGAGTGTTGACTGCCATCTTCCCTTAGGGGTGTGCATCTGAGGTCCATGCTGCTCCTCAGAATCTCAGAATTCTGTCGTGGGTGCTGCAAAAACTGACTAAGGAGGCCAAATGCACTTGGTTTACATTCTTCTCTCTAGATCTTTGGATAAAACAATTTAAAAATTTCGCCCAGTGTAACTTTGTTTATTTTTGTGAAGCAAAATCAAATAAGCCAAGTGCCATTGGAACTCCTGGCAGCTTCCTAATACTTAATACTTGATGAAAGTCCTGCAAGACAATCCAGACTTGATGAGGACGGGAAGCCGATATTTAGTCGATGATGGCATCATCACGTCGATGTTTTTTTCATTTCCTAAGGAATGCTGGCTGCACACCAAGAAATGAAAGTTGTTGGTTAATGGATGCTAATGGGAAACCTAATGAGGCAGTGGAGGCCAGCACTTTTCACGCTATGGCCCATGGCAAAGCAGAAGATTGATGGAGAGATGAGAGCACTGCCAGTTCTTCTATAAGTAAAAGAAACATCTCATCCAAAAGATGTTTCTCCAGTAATGGGGTGAAGCTCCTTTACCCACAGAAGGCTGAACCAGTATGAAACAAGGCCAGGCATCACTCAAGTTAGTCCAATAGCAAAATGCATTTACATACGTAAATAAATATATATATTACCTTTCTATACGACGACATCTCTCTTTTTTTTTTTTTGAGATGGAGTTTTGCTCTTGTTGCCTAGGCTGGAGTGCAATGGTGCGATCTTGGCTCATCGCAACCTCTGCCTCCTGGGTTCAAGCGATTCTCCTGCCTCAGCCTCCCAAGTAGCTGGGATTACAGGCATGCGCCACCATGCCCAGCTAATTTTGTATTTTTAGTAGAGATGGGGTTTCTCCATGTTTGTCAGGCTGGTATTGAACTCCCAACCTTAGGTGATCCGCCTGCCTTGGCCTCCCAAAGTGCTGGGATTGCAGGCATGGGCCACCACGCCCGGCCGATGACATCTCTTTACAAAGAAAACGTGTGTTCATTATTTCTAAAAATAGAAATATTACATAGTCAAAAGGGGGGAATCACCTTTATTCAACTATCACCTTTATTCAACTGCAAAGAAATAACCCACTGTTGGTATTTTCACGTGTGTCTTTCCATTCTTTTTTGTTTAAATATATATGTATATTTTAAAAAATCTTCCTGTGAATTTTAAGATATGTATAGATTTGTGTGGCCCCCACCAAAATCAGACTATCCAACAGTTCTATCACCCCCTCAAAATCCCCTCTTATATACCTCGATAGTCACACCTCCCTCCCTTGAATCTCTGCATCTACTGATCTGTTTTCAGTCACTGTGGTGTTAGGTTTTTGAAATGTCGTATAAATAGAGTCATAGAGAATGTAACCTCCTAAGACTCAGTGTGTATGACATTAATCCGTGGTGTTGTATGTATCAATAGTTCATTCCTTTTTATTGCTAAGTACTATTCCATTGTATGACTGTTCCCATGGTTTGTTTATTCATTTACTGGTTGAAAGGCATTTGTGTTGTTTCCAATTTTGGTGATTGTGAATAAAGCTGCTATAAGTAGTTACACACAAATTTTCGTGTGAGCATAAGCTTTCATTTCTCTAGGGTTTAAATACCTAGGAGTGGGATTAATGGGTCATATGGTAAGTGTATGTTTAACTTTGTAGGAAACTGTCAAACTTCCCGCCTAAGCAACAGAGCAAGACCCAGTCTGATATAGTTTGGATGTTGTCCCTATCCAAATCTCATGTTGAAATGTAATCCCCAGTGTTGGAGATGGGGCTTGGTGGGAGGTGATTGGATCATGGGTGCAGATTTCTCATGAATGGTTAAATATCATTCTCTTGGTACTGTCCTCGCGAGATGTGGTTGTTTAAAAGTGTGTAAAAGGAAAATATCTTGGGGCCCCAAAAATCACTAAGTTAAAAGGAAAAGTCAAGCTGGGAACTGCTTAGGGCAAACCTGTCTCCCGTTCTATTCAGTCACCCCTCTGCTCACTGAGATAAATGCATATCTGATTACCTTCTTTGGAGAGGCTAACCAGAAACCCAAAAGAATGGAACCATTTGTCTCTTATCTACCTATGACCTGGACGCCCCCTCCCCACTTTGAGTTGTCCCGTCTTTCTGGACTGAACCAACGTTCACCTTACATACGTTGATTGATGTCTCATGTCTCCCTAAAATGTATAAAAGCATACTGTGCTCTGAGCATTTTGGCCACATGTCATCAGGACCTCCTGAGGCTGTGTCACAAGTGTGTGTCCTCAATGTTGGCAAAATAAACTTTCTAATTTAACTGAGACCTGTCTCAAATTTTCTGGGTTCAAGTTTTGGTAACCATGAAGGGATTCTGAGCGGAGGTGCCCCTGACCTTTGACAAATCTATTGGTGCTTGGAACCAGCATGAGCTAATTTTATGGCTCAAGCCAATAGGACAATTTGCTGAGGTCTGGGAGAACCCCCTCCAGAGAATCCCTGATCTCCCAAAATTTGGTCAAGATCTAAAGTTTATTTTGCTGTACAACTCCCTTTTTCTTTTGAGTTTTACTTGCTTCCAACAAGGAAGGCAAGTTTTTCCTGCTTCCATGACAACGGAAGGCAGGTAACTCCTTTATGGAGTTTGAGCTCACTTCCAACAAGAAGGATGAGGGTTTTTTCCTGCTTTTAGGGTGATAGAGAGCAGTCTTCAGCCTGAGACCCATCCCTAGGTAAGTAACTGAATTGGGGTTTGTCTTGGCTAAAGTTAAGATTAACAACCAGCTTGTCTTAATTTCTCCTCACCACTAGAGCGCTCAATAGTTGTATAAGTTGTGCGATCATTTGTTTTGCTTAACTGCGTTTTTTGTTGTTGTCGTTTGTTTCTGTTCTTGTTGTTGTTTCAGTCTTTTTCCCACTGGGTTTGATCAACTCTATCCGGCTTGATCAAATCCAAAGGAAAGTTCCAAATTATGGGGAACAAGGCCTCTGAAGTGGCTAAATTCCACCCCGCCACCCCCCCCCCACACACACACAAAAGGTGGTATGGTGGGGGAGAAAAACGGCCGGAAAAGGAAACCAAAAAAAAAGAGGAAAGATTTTTCATTTTGACTACTAAGGGACTTTATTTACATAACAAGGCCACCTTTTTGCTAGCGAGGCCCAACCAAGAGAGCAATGGCTGTACTTCTGAAATAGCAGCAATTTGTCCTAGCTGAAATATGGTGATGAGATCTTAAAAGATTTTTTTTAAAGGAGCTCAATGATGAAAAGTCAGCTTAATTAAAAGCTAACATTCAAGAAGTGTGTGTGTATGTGTGCGTGTGTGTATGTATGCATGTGTGTGTGCATATGTGTATGTGTGCATGTGTGTGCATGTGTGTGTACGTGTGTGTATGTGTGTGTGCATGTGTGTGTATGTGTGCATGTGTGTGCATGTGTGCGTGTGTGTATGTGTGTGCATGTGTGCGTGTGTGCATGTGTGCGTGTGTGTATGTGTGCGTGTGTGTGTGTGT
Source organism: Homo sapiens (assembly GCF_000001405.40). NCBI lineage: Eukaryota > Metazoa > Chordata > Mammalia > Primates > Hominidae > Homo > Homo sapiens. The sequence goes on from NC_000013.11 coordinate 99,477,081, forward strand.
GCGTGTGTGTATGTGTGCGTGTGTGTATGTGTGCGTGTGTGTATGTGTGCGTGTGTGTATGTGTGTGCGTGTATGTGTGCGTGCGTGTGTGTATGTGTGCGTGTGTGTATGTGTGCGTGGGTGTATGTGTGCGTGTGTGTATGTGTGCGTGTGTGTATGTGTGCGTGCATGTGTGTATGTGTGCATGTGTGCGTGTGTGTGTATGTGTGCGTGTGTGTGTATGTGTGCGTGTGTGTGTACGTGTGCGTGTGTGTATGTGTGCATGTGGGTGTGTGTGTGCATGTGTGTGTATGTGTGCGTGTGTGTGTGCGTGTGTGTATGTGTGCGTGTGTGTGTATGTGTGCATGTGTGTGTGTTTGTATTTAAAAGGCCTTCATATTTTTGCTTTTGTTTTTCCCCTAGGATCTTGTCTTTTTTTTCAGCAAAAGTTTTTTTCTTCTCAGTTGACCGAATTCTGTTTTCTTCATTTACTTCTGCTGTGTCTTCTTTCTCTTGCACTCTCTGTAGCATGGGTAACCTAAAATAGTTTATAATAGCCTGGGGTTCCTTAAAGAAAACTGAGAAGGCGCCAGACTCCCTCTGAGGGAGAAACCTGTTTTTCCTTATGGAACCCCAAGAATGTAAACAGACAAGTTCATCTCAGCTCTTAAACGGCTTACTTTTGTATTGTGTTACCTGGTGTGTTTTTCAACTAAAATAGTTATTGCAACAGAGGTTACTCTCGGGTTTTTAAGGAAGAGTGTGGTTTAGACACTTAGAAATATGTTTGTTAAAAAAAAGTTTTTTTCTTTAAGTGCACTGTAAGAGCATCACATGGTCTAGCCTCATAATAATTCTCCCTTTTTGGAGACCGAGATTCAATTTCATACCTATCCCTACCAGATACTACAAAGCATCAAAATTTGGCATAGGGGTTACAAAACTATAAACCCAACCCAAAACAGAATGATCTTTGCTTGTGTAGTCTTTAATAAATAAGACATTGATATTGGTTTAATAAAAATAGCTACATCTCAAATTTAGTAAGATTACCATAACTTCTAATCTTATGGCTTTAGGTGGTCTAGTCCACAGCCAGTAAGGTTTGTTATCATCTTTGTTTCAAGCTAAAATATAAACTAAGTTCCTCCCAAAGTTAGTTTGGCCTATGCCCAGGAATGAACAAGGACACCTTGGAGGTTAAAAGCAAAATGGAGTCAGTTAGGTCAAATCTTTTCACGTCTCAGTTACAATTTTGCAATGGCGGTTCCATAGCTTTAAATGATGACTATCACAGTTTTCATAAATAATCTAGGTAAACAATTAAAATGAAATAATTAGGTAAATGTAATAGGATAAATACTTGTAGACAAACTCATAATTTAGAATCTAAAGTTATATTAAACTAAATGATAAATATTTCATTATTTGGGTATTTTCCAATAAAAATATATTTATAGGAAAACATTATTTCTAAAAAAAAAAAAAAAAATCTGTCCTTTTAAAAAAGGTGAACTTAGCTGGGCACGGTGGGTCACGCCTGTAATCCCAGTACTTTGGGAGGCCGAGGCGGGTGGATCATGAGGTCAGGAGAGCGAGACCATCCTGGCTAACACGGTGAAACCCTGTCTCTACCAAAAATACAAAAAATTAGCCGAGCATGGTGGCAGGCACCTGTAGTCCCAGCTACTCGGGAGGCTGAGGCAGGAGAGTGGCATGAACCCAGGAGGCGGAGCTCACAGTGAGCTGAGATTACGCCACTGCACTCTAGCCTGGGGGACAGAGCGAGACTCCATCTCAAAAAAAAAAAAAAAATGGTGAACAGTGGCCGGGCGCAGTGGCTCATGCCTATAATCCCAGCACTTTGGGAGGCCGAGGTGGGCAGATCAGCTGAGGTCAGGAGTTCAAGACCTGCCTGGCCAACATGGCAAAACCTTGTCTCTACCAAAAATACAAAAAATTGGCTGGGCATGGTGGCGGGTGCCTGTAATCCCAGCTACTCGGGAGGCTGAGGCAGGAGAATCACTTGAACCTGGGAGGTGGAGGTTTCAGTGAGGAGAGATTGTGCCATTACACTCCAGCCTGGGTGACAAGAGCGAAACTCTGTCTCAAAAAAAAAAACATTTGAACAATTTTTTGTCTAATTCAAAGCTTATTTAAAGGTCATGTATAAAACAAGGTAAAAGGAACCAGGAAATAAGAGAGATGTAAAGAAAGTTATAAAAATAATGAGGGTTTTTTTTGGTAAGAAACTTAAAGAGAAATAATTTCATATGAGAAAGAATCTTGTATGATAAATTTAGTCCTAGGGTAAAATGACTGGTTGTTTAAGAAGGAGGGATGTTCAGGACAAACCAGAAAGTCCAAGCATATGATGAACCATCTGTGTAAGTCACAATAAGAGGATTTATTTTTTTAAAAACCAAAAACTTTTATATGGTCAAGTTGTCGCATTATTATTAAGTTTTGGTTTGCTTAGGAAAAAACTGAGATTTAAAATTTTTTTAAATTCAGGTTATTACATCCGTGTATCTCTCTGTATGCACTTTTAAAGTACTTGTGACATTGAGTTACAGGGCTTTGACTCCTGGGTCTAAAAAGGACATCAAGTACTGCTAAATTTTAAATGCTGACAGTAATTGAAGACCCATCTTCAGGTCCAGTAGAAGATGCCAATCAAAATAAACTGCATACAGGGCCAAAACTTAAAGCTATTCAACTCCTCAAGGCCCAGGGACTATTGCGGAAGAGGTGGACGAGTGAGATTGTATGGGCCAATTTTGAGAGATAAAATATGTTCAATTTCTCTATAAATTAATCATTAATGTTAAAGGCACACTGATGCAAGACCAGCATATGGGCCCCTGTGTCAGATTAACAAGGTTTTTATGAAGCATTCACCAACTCCTTAATACAGGCCACCACACAGGCCAGTTTCTATTTTTTACTAATAAAAACATTATACTGATAAGCATACTTGGAGCTAAATTTTTTCATATATTCTAAATGTTTCCCTAGGACTGATTCTAAGAAGTATAATTGTTCTTTCAAATTGCATATTCTTAAGGCTTTTAAAAAATACGTAATGCCAAACTGTCCTACAGAAAGGCTATTAGACACTTGTCACAGGCCAGGTGTTGTGGCTCACGCCTGTAATTCTAGCACTTCAGGAGGTGGAGGCAGGTGGATCGCTTGAACTCAGTAGTTCAAGACCAGCTGGCCAACATGGTGAAACTCCATCTCTACAAAAAATACAAAAAAGTTAGTTGAGCATGGTGGGATACACCTGTAGTCCCACCTACTTGAGGGGCTGAGGCAGGAGGATCGCTTGAACCTGGGAGGTCAAGGTTCTCAGTGAGCTGAGATCGCATCACTGCACTCCAGCCTGGGTGACCAAGTGAGAGTCTATCTCAAAACAAACACAACAAACAAACAAACAAAAAACCACTCATCATCAGGGTGTGAAATAAGTTGGGTATTATCACTGCTTCCTTAGTAGCTTTAAAAAAAGTATTTTTTTCGTTTTCTTAAAAAATATGCAATTACGTTAATACAATAAGGCTGAATATTTATTTAAATGCTTTTTGCCATTTATATGTCTTTTTTTGTGTGTAAATTATCTCTTCATGTCCTTTGTGCATTTTTATATAGGGACAGTTCATCTGTTTCTTACTGTTGTGTAATAACTTAATTTTATTGCAAGTGTTTTCCTCCCAGAGTTTTATTTCAATGCATCTAAATTGTGTGGGCCCCTTTTGAGTCTTTGCTATAAACCTTATAAACCACGGATCCAGATTTAGAAAATAAAAATAAACAACAAATAAATTGTTTATTAATTATGCCCCAAATAAACATGGGACATACCTATACTAAAAATTTATTTGCTATTTATATGAAATTTATTCTTTTTGTTTGTTTGTTTGTTTTTGAGATGAAGTCTCACTCTGTCACCTAGGCTGGAGTGCAACAGTGCAATCTCGGCTCACTGCAACCTCTGCCTCCCAGGTTCAAGTGATTCTCCTGCCTCAGCCTCCCAAGTAACTTGGATTACAGGCACATGCCACCACACCCAGCTAATTTTTGTATTTTTAGTACAGATGGGGTTTCACCATGTTGGCCAGGCTTGTCTCAAAACTCCTGACCTCAGGTGATCTGCCTGCCTCAGCCTCCCAAATTGCTGAGATTACAGGCGTGAGCCACCACGCCTGGACTTTTCTGAAATTTAAATGTAACTGATAATACTGTATTCTAACAGCCCTAGCTAGAGGCCACAACTATAGTGGAGTGTGGCTGAATTGGGTATTAGGTTTTAAAATCAGCACATTTGGCAAAAATACTGAAGGCCAAAACTGCCCTTAAACGTTCTTTAAGTAGCTTTCAACATTCAGCTTGGAGTTTCGCCTTCCATTCTATATGGTAATTCTCATGCACAATAAAGTTAAGAACCTCTCAGGGAATAAAAGGTCATTCAAACCATCTCACTCTTGTGACCACAGGTATGAGGAGGAAAAACTTGGGGAAGTCAACATGTTCCTGCTCGCCTACAGGCTTTATTATGTTTTATATCAGCTGTCTAAAATGTTTAAACAAGTATTTATTGGTAGTTTTGCTGGTTAAACAAGATAAAATAGTAAAGTTCCTCTCACATGGGCATAATGTTCTCAAGTCAGCTCTCAAGAAAAACATGACCACAGTGTGACTCCGTTGAGTTATTTTTATACAGTTATCCTTCAATCCATGCTCCCCCAAATCCCTTAGTCTAAATTTTACTTTCAACAAACATCCTACCCTCAAATTACTTCTAGATATTTTTCTTTTGGTAAAAATTGTGTATTTTGGATCATTCAGTAGCTACTTGAGAGCAATGGTGGTGAAGGCCTCATATCTCTCCTGGTGCAATAGTATCCTGTTCTGGGCCCATTGTTTCTTTTTATGGATGCTTTTCTAAAAAGTTTGCCCAACATTTTATTTCAGCAAAATATACCTGCTCATACGCAGAAGTTTCAAAGCAATCATTAGCCAGGAGTCCAAAACAAAATGTACAGAATGATGTATTCATTTCTCTTGAGCACTGTTCATAAATGACATTTAAATCTTATTTATTTCTAGCACATTCAAAATATTCCCATGAAACAAAAAAATTGTAATCCTAGCCAAAGTTGTTTGTTTGTTTGTTTTTTGAGATGGAGTCTTGCTCTGTCACCCAGGCTGGAGTGCAGTGGTGAAATCTTGGCTCACTGCAACCTCCACTTGCCGGGTTCAAGCAAGTCTCTTGCCTCACCCTCTCAAGTAGCTGGGGCTACAGGCACGCGCCACCATGCCCAGCTAAGTTTTTGTATTTTTAGTAGAGATGGGATTTCATCATGCTGGGCAGGCTGGTCTTGAACTCCTGACCTTGTGATCCACCTGCCTCGGCCTTCCAAAGTGCTGGGATTACAGACGGGAGCCACCACACCTAGCCACCAAAGTTCATTTTAATAGGATTTGGACTGTAAAAAAGACACTGTCAGATTGTCTACATTTCATTCAATATATTTATATCTATATCTACAGTTACATATATAGTCAATATATTTATATTAATACATGCATTTAAATGTTCACTTAGACTTTTATCTTACATGTTAGATATATTGCTTTTGCTGGTTAATGTTATCTAAGCACACTGACTTTATATGTCTGGTATAAAAGAATCACCTGGCTCTATTCACACTGCTATGGTCTCTGGGAAATCTTGTTCACTTTTGAATAGATTGGCAGGACAAGGAGAAACTTAAACATTCACAAATACATATACATAAATACACATTCCTATATACATACACATATATGCATATAGATATGTGAAACATATATATATATATATTTGAAGTTTGTATTTATCATGAAAAAATTCAAATGCACAAAAGTAGAGGGAATGGTAAAATCAACTTCCATGTACCCAATACTCAATTTCAGTGATTATCAACTTTTTCACAATAATTATATCTATTTTAGTAAATTCTTTTGCAGTGTAACATACATACAGAAGAATATACAGATCATAAGTGTATAGTTTGATGAATTATCACAAAGTGACCACATCCAGATAACCACTACCCAGATGAAGGTAGTGGTTTAGGTAAAGGTAAAGGTAAACTTTACCAGCACTGCAGAAGCCCCAGGCTCTCCTACTCACTACATCCTTGTAATTCGCACAAGGAAACCACCTTCTTGACTTCTAACATTCCAGATTTGTTTTGCCTGTTTTTGAATTTTATATAAATGGAATCATGCAAGTGTTTAACTTCTTTTGCTTAACATCATATTTGTGAGATGGATATATGCTGTTGTGCTTAATAGTAATTTTACGAAACTACGCTACAAATTCTTTATCCTTTCTACTATAGATGGACATTTCAGTTCTGTTTTGGTGAACATATATTTTAGTGAATATATGTAGGCATTTAGAGCTAGGAGTGGAATTTCTGGGTTACAGAATAGGTGTGCCAAACAATTTTCCACAAATTTACACTCTCATCAGCCGTGTGTAAGCATTCTAGTTGTTCTACATCCTTATCAACACTTGGAATTGTCAGTCTTTCAAATTTTAGCTATTTTAATGCTTGTGTTGCTGCATCTCATTGAGGCTTCAATTCGTAGTTTCTTGATGAGTAATAAGATTGAACATGTTTTCATTTTTGTTGACCATTGGCTATCTGTAGAAGAAGAATATTTGCTGGCTGGATTCAAGTAGCTGTTCTCCTCTGGATTATCATTGTTGTTTTAATAACTTCATTGGGCTATAATTTACATACCATGCAATTCATTCATTTTAAGTGTTCAATGATTTTTAGTAAATTTACCAAGCTGTGTGGTCATCACAATAATAGTTTTTAGAACATTTCTATCACCCCAATAAGACCACTCATGCCCTTTAACATTTAATTCCCCTTTCCACACCCACCTTCAGGAAACCATTCATCTACTTTCTCACTCTATACATTTGTCTTTTCTGACTCTTCCAGGGCTTTATTTCATTTTTATTAATTAACAAATTAGTAATGTTACTTATCCATCAGTTTCTGTGTCTGTGGCTAATACAAATTCACCCTTGAGAGATAGGTCTATTTTTAGTGTCCTGACAAGTAAGCTGTCTCCAGCTCTTGAATTGTCCTGGATTCTCCTGGATTCTGCAGTGTCAATGCTCTTCAGCTAAAGACCACCAGGAACACAACTATAGTTGGGTTTATTTCCTTGTTGCAGCAAGGGAGAACGCACACTATGAGGAACGATGGGACATCTCAGTAAGAGGGGATTGGAAAGAAATTTATAAGAATTGAGCTTGTGTTTTGTGGTTTGGGGAGCGTTTTAAAGAGGTGGAGCTTTGCTCTGGATCAAATGCTGTCAGGAAGCAGGGGGTAATTCTTAAAATTAGATATCTAATAACTCTTATCTAGAAGGAGGGCAGACTAGTCTGAGGCTTAAGTTGTGATTGCTAAAGAGGCAGCAGTCACTACTCTTAGGCAAGACAGAGGATGTTTGGTTATTTTGTGGTTTGGACCACATTCGGGTTGTAGTGGATTGTTGAGACATGATTACAGAGGGTTACAGTGTTTTCGTCTTGCTACATCAACATCACAACACGGCGTTGTCTAATGTTCATGTTCTGTGAAATTGCTTATATTTGACAGGAGAATGCCAAGTCCTATCTGTAAGAACCAGGCCAACTCCTCATGTCAGTGACTGCTTTTCTCTTTCTCTTTTTCACCAAGATAATGGCATCCAGTGGGTACCTTGTCTAGACAACCTCCAGCCACTCACTCCTCTGTACTATATAATTTTGCCCTTTTTTTTGACATTTCTAGAGAAATACTAGATTACCGGGTAAACTCTAACATTCAACCTCAAATTGAGACATTGTTTATAGATTGATAAATGGTATGCATTTTATCTTATAAGTGAAGCAATGAACCACAATATTAGCACTTTGTTTGCTTTCTTTCATGACTCTAGGAATCTTTTGATAAAGCAATATTTGCAATTCATATAGCTAACAAAGTGTTTCTATGCAGAATATAAAAACTCTTATAAAAGTGTTTAAAGATTATTAAGTTAAAAAATGCATACGAGACAAGAAAAAAGCAGAAAGTTGGTTTGTGGGCATAAATTTGGAAGAAGTAAAATTAGTTTTATGATTAGAATATATCCATCTATGTCACAGAGCTACACTCTTGTCTTTCCTGAGTGATACTTTAGTATTTGCCTCTGTGGCTTTCATTTTTCCAGGTTCTGCTGGCCAAAAGAATCCCCCTTCTGGTTGCAACTTCTATGTTAGCTTATAAATAGCTTGTATGTTAGCTAAGTTATGTCCTGAGAACCATTATTTATCCTAAAGCTTAACGTTTTTCATACCTCGGCTCCAATCTACCATGAGTTGCATTTATTTAATTATTTTATTTTATTTATTTTTGAGTTGGAGTCTTGCTCTGATGCCCGGGCTGAAGTGCAGTGGAGTGATCTTGGCTTACTGCAACCTCTGCCTCCTGGGTTCAAGCAATTCTCCAGTCTCAGCCTCCTGAGTAGCTGGGATTACACATGTGTGCCACCATGCCCAGCTAATTTTTGTATTTTTAGTAGAGACAGGGTTTCTCCATGTTGGCCAGGCTGGTCTTGAACTCCTGACCTCAGGTGATCCACCCGCCTCGGCCTCCCAAAGTGCTAGGATTACAGGTGTGAGCCACTGTATCCGGCCGCTAGTTGCATTTATAAGCCTACTGTTCAGGATAAGTTTTATGTCCAAGCTATAGTATTTAGACTAACAGGGAAGGAGGTGTAGGAGAGGAAAAACTTTTACTCTCTCTCTCTCTTTTTTTTTTTTTTTTTTGAGATGGAGCCTTGCTCTGTTGCCCAGGCTGGAGTGCAGTGGCAAGATCTCCGCTCACTGCAAGCTCTGCCTCCCGAGTTCACGCCATTCTCCTGCCTCAGCCTCCCGAGTAGCTGAGACTACCGGCGCCCGCCACCACGCCTGGCTAAATTTTTTTTTATTTTTTAGTAGAGACGGGGTTTCACCATGTTAGCCAGGATGGTCTCGATCTCCTGACCTTGTGATCTGCCTGCCTTGGCCTCCCAAAGTGCTGGGACTACAGGCATCAGCCACCGTGCCCAGCCTTTTACTCTCTTAATTATGTACTTGGGGCCTGTAATTTAAGTTGATAAAAGACATACAATTAACAGGAGAAAAAGCACACAAATTTTATTAATATTTTTACATGCATCGTAGCATCAAAGATAAGAAGTGAAAACCCAAAGATGTAGTTAAATGAAGGAGCTTATATATCATTTTAACAAAGGGCAATAAATTGTGGAGAGGTGATAGTCAAAGGAAAGGGACTTGGGCTCCTAAGGGCAGTAAATTATGGGAAGGTGACTATGAAATGTATGGTAGCTAAGAATTGTGCAGTAAGGTTTGTTAGGCAGATTCATTTTGGTGCCATCTCAGATCTTCCTGGTAGAGGAGAAGGGAACACCTTTATAAAGGAAAATGTATGTCATCTTTCCAAAAGGAAATTTATTCTCTGCTTTTAGGTAAAAAGGGGAAAAGCAGAGAGCTCTTCCTGTGTCTACTGTTTCTCAATTGCCTTCAGTGCAAAATAAACGTGGCATATTTTGGAGTGGCATATCCTAATCCTTTCCAGGGGTGATCGATAACTCACATTTTATCTATTGGGCTATCACAGTTTTATGTCAAAAAATGAAGGACAATGAGGTGATCTTTTTCTTCTAGAAAATCTTCAAAGCCCATTCATTTACAGGGATACAACTAGTGTTACTGGTAGAGGGTCTTGACTGCAAGTTGTCCAGGTTCTTGGCGTTTTGAACAAAGAATTGGACAAAATACACAGCAAAGCAAGGAAAGAATGAAGCAACAAAAGCAGAGATTTATTCAAAGTGAAATTACACTCCACCATGTGAGAGTGGGCAGAGCAGCAGCTCAAGGGCCCCAGATACAGAATCTTCTCAGGTCCAAATACCCTCTTGAGGTTTTCCATTGGCCACTTGGTGTTCACCTCACGTAAAGGAAGTGGTGGCCCACAATCAGTCTGATTGGTTGTGGAAAGCAACCAATCAGAAGCTGAAGTGAAGTTACAAAGGTCACACGCCTATGCAAACATCTGATTGGTTGCAGAAAGCAACCAATCAGAGGCTAAGATGAAGTTACAAAGTTGCACTTCTATGCAAACGAAGACTTGGCCTGCAGAATTTCCAGACTGCAGCAACCAATCAGAGACTGAAGTGAAATTACAAAGTTACACTCCAATGCAAACATCTGATTGGTTGCAGAAAACAATCAATCAGAGGTACTTTCAATTTCCCATATGCCACACAGAAAAGGTGGGGGTTTGCAAAGGGAGTAGCCTCTGGTCCTTTTGTTACTTAGGCATGGAAAATTAGGGTTTTCCTTTCAATTTAGTTCTAAGAAGTCAGTGTGAAACGGCCTTAGGTTCCCTGCCTCCAGACCCTATTCTCCTGCCTCATCTCCCCTCTGAGAAACGTGATCCCCATAAGTCTTTATGTGAGACAGAGGGACTGATGGTTTTTCTTCCGTAACTTCTTTATGCTGACTTGGGGCATAATCACTACCGGTTGGAGATCACGGAACTCTCACCCTACTCTGTCTAGTGGAGACCGGGTGACTTCTTGATGGCCAGGGGTGGTGTCTTCACCTGGAACTGGCTGGAAACCCTGTCACATGATCATCTGAAGCTTGATGGTCTCTGTGCAACAGGAAATGAATTTGGTTAAAAGATTTAATGGGAACTTTGGGGGTGGATACCTATGCCGTCAGGAATGTTTGTTATAGAAATGTATTAAAACATTCTGCTTAATTACTACAAAGGAAGTGATTCCATCCATTTGGAAGAAGGCAATGAAACTGCAAAAATAAAACATTTTTAAAAATGGCACTATTATCCAGCCTATAGTAACTATGCAACAAAGACACCAAGGAAAATTGGTAGGCATTTACTTTTCTTTTGACTGTCTTCTAAACAGGTACTTCATGAAGTCTTCCACAGGTTCACAGGTGTAGAGGCAGATGGCAACTTCGGGTTCCTGGTCCAGGGCTTCTGGTATCACTCTCTTGATCCTTGAAAGATGTATCCAGCTATCTAATCCTAGTACTTTCACTGCAGAAGGCATGGCCAGTGCCACTGAAAACAGTCCCTTCCGTTTGGGTTGTAATTGTTGAGCAGGTGATCCCTCTTTCCATGTTTTAAGAAGTACCTTATTTCCTGACCTGATTTTAAGTTGCTGATTGTTCCCAGTGTGGGGAGACTTTGCATTCCAAACGTTTGTAAAGCCTGTTGAAACTGTCCTAGATTGACTAGGTATTTTACTAAACCAACTGTTTCTGGATCAGTAATTAAATCATTAGTTAAGAATGGCCTTCCACATAATATTTCATATGGGTTTATATTAATTTTTGCTGTAGGGGTATTATGGGTCCTTAAGAGGGCTATGGGCAGTAAGCTGACCCAAGTTTCTGATGTTTCCTTACATAGCTTAGCTAACACTCGTTTTAAAGTTTGGTTAGCCCTTTCTACTTTCCCCAAGGATCGAGGCCTTCATGCTGAATGTAGATAGTACTTGATTCCAGGAGACTTAGCAACCCCTTGAGTTAGCTGGGAGATAAAGGACGGGCCATTATCAATTTGGAGGCTCTGAGGTAACCCAAACCCGGGGATTATTTCTTTTAAGAGAACCTTTATAGCCTCATTAACCTTCTCTGTTCTGGTAGGATAAACTTCGACCCAACCAGTAAAGATATCTATTAGTACTAACAAAAACTCATGTCCTCTGCAAGCTGGCATATGGGTGAAGTCTAATTGCCAGTCTCCCCCTGGATAAGTTCCTCTCCTCTGCACTGGTTCTATTAGAGGAGGCATGTTGTTTCCTAGGTTGTTAAGTGCACACAGGGAGCAGGCCTAGCAAACCTGCTTAGCCACTGAAGCTAAGTTAGACCCAGTAAAGAGCTGGTTTAAATGGCCAGAGTTGCATCCCTCCCCACATGGAAAGAGGCATGCACGGCTTTTATAACTTTCCACTGGGCTGTCTGAGGGAGATATGTTTTTGACCCCATATGCCACCAGGATCCTTTTTTTGTGTCCCCCTTGTTCCTCTATTAACTGTTCTTTCTGTACTGTGTACTCAGGTTCTGTTGGGAAATCATAGAAAGGAAGTAGGGCTAGGGTCTGTTGGGATGGCACCCTGAGGGATGCGGCTTTGGTTCTTTATCAGCCTTTCTGTTCCCTTGTGCTATAGGGGTTAAGTCCCTTTGATACCCCAACAATTAATTAGAGCTACGGCCTTTGGCAAGTGTATTGCTTCCAATAGCTGAAGAATTTCAGGCCCAGGCTTTATAGAGGACTGTTTTCTAGTTAGAAATCCCTTTTCTTTCCAGACTGTAGCATGAACATGAACCACAAGGAATGCATATTTAGAATCGATATAGATGTTAAGCTTTTTTCCTTGTACCAACATTAATGCTCAAGTAAGAGCAATGATTTCAGCCTTTTGTGCTGATGTGCCAAGGAGCAGTGGCTGGGCTTCGATAATTACTACTGCATATCCAGCTCAGTGCTGTGTCAAACCCCATTTGACACAAAACTACTGCCATCTGTGAACCACTCATCCTCAGAATCTGGGAGAGGCTTGTCTTTTAAAGCAGGCTGGCTAACATTGTGTATGTGCAATGACCTGCTTGCAGGAATGATCAGTTATTGGGCCTGTGGGCAGCACTGAAGCTGGATTCAAAGTGTTGCAGGTTTTAAGGGTTACATCTGGATTGTCTAGGAACATGGCCTGGTATTTGGTTCATCTTTCCCCTGTCATCCAGATGTGTCCCTTTATCTCTAAGACAGACTTAACCTGATGAGGGGGTGAGAACTTCCAGTGGTTGGCTCAGAGCGATTTCAGTGGCTTCCTCCACTAACATAGCAGTGGCTGCTGTTGGCCGCAGGCAACTTGGTCACCTCGAGGCCACTCCATCCAACTTCTTTGGAAAGTCAGTGGTTAGTCTGGGTTCTGATCCTAATGTCTGGGCTAGTACACCCACAGCTATGCCCTTCTTCTCTGCTACGTACAAAGAGAAGGGCTTAGGTAGGTCTGGGATGCCAAGAGCGAGAGCCTGTTTTAACTTGGCAAAGGCTTTTCTCAATTCTGGGGTTCATTCCTTTAGCTCGTCTTCAGGCCCCTTTGTTGCTTCATATAGGGGCTTTGCTATGAGTCTGAAATTTGGTACCCATATTCTGCAAAACCTGGCCATTCCCAAAAAAGAACAAAGCTGCTACTAGGTGTGGCAGGTGGGGGGGTTGGGGAGGGGGCAGGGGGCAAACCACCTATGGCTTGCTCTCGTTCTGGGGATATTTGTCAGGCTCTGGGTGTTAAGACATACCCTAAATATTGCACCCATTGGAGGATAATCTGTGCCTTCTTGTCGGACACTTTGTATCCCCTGTCTGCCAGGAAATTCAAAGTTTTTATAGTAGTTTGGTCAGAAACCTCCTGGGTTTGGGCTACACACAAGAAAGTCATCCACATACTGGAGTATATTCCCATTTTTCACTTTCAGATCCTTCAGATCCCTCTCTAAGGCTCGGGCAATCCAATGGGGGCTATCCTGAATGCCCTAAGGGTGCACTGTCCAGGTATATTACTGTTTTTCCCTCATATTGATTTTCCCATTCAAAGGCAAAAAGGTATTGGGACTCTGGGGCCAGAGGGATGGAGAAGAAAGCATCTTTTAGGTCCAGGACTGAGAACCATTTTGCATCCCCTTGTACCTGAGCCATAAGGGTATATGGATCTGCCACCAGTGGGTGGACGGGGATAACAGCCTCATTAATTATTCTCAGGTCCTATACTAACCGGTATTCTCCAGTCCTATACTAACTGGTATTCCCCCAAAGGCTTTAGAACAGGTATTGCAAGGGGAATTACAGGATTTTAAGAGCCCATGTAATAAGTAATACCTCAATTATGGGTGCTAGGCCTTTTCTTGCTTCCTGCTTAATTGGATATTATTTTCAATTGGGAAACTAGCTGAGGTCTTTAAAATGTATTTTGACTGGCACTGCTGTTTTAGCCTTCCCTGGTTTTCCAGTATACCAATGCCAGCGGGTTAACCTATTTATTAATGTGGTCTGGAACACTGTATTTTTGACTATCAGCAATTTCAATGGGTGATGCTTAAATTGTAGTAGTGCCTCCATTTTAACCATAATATCTCTTCCCAACAGGGGGATTGGGCAGCTTGGTACTACTAGGAAATCCTGTTGGAAGAGTTGTTTCTCAAATTGACAAATCAAAGGAGGAGTAATGAATCTTGTTTGTCAACCCCATCAAAAAGTAGGCAAAGGATATGAACAGACACTTCTCAAAAGAAGACATTTATGCAGCCAACAAACATATGAAAAAATGCTCATCACTTGTTGTTAGAGAAATGCAAATCAAAATCACAGTGAGATACCATCTCACACCAGTTAGAATGGTGATCATTAAAAAGTCAGGAAACAGGCTGGTGAGGCTGTGGAGAAGTAGGAACATTTTTACACTGTTGGTGGGAGTGTAAATTAGTTCAACCATTGTGGAAGACAGTGTGGTGATTCCTCAGGGATCTAGAACCAGAAATACCATTTGACCCAGCAATCCCATTACTGGATATATACCCAAAGGATTATAAATCATTCTATTATAAAGATACATGCACATGTATGTTTACTGCAACACTATTTACCATGGCAAAGACTTGGAACCAACCCAAATGCCCATCAGTGATAGACGGGATAAAGAAAATATGGCACATATACACCATGGAATACTACGCAACCATAAAAAAGAATGAGTTCATGTCCTTTGCAGGAACATGGATGAAGCTGGAAACCATCATTCTCAGCAAACTAACACAGGAACAGAAAACCAAACACCGCATGTTCTCACTAATAAGTGGGAGGTGAACAATGAGAACACATGGACACAGGGAGGGGAACATCACACACCAAGGCCTGTTGGGGGGTTGGGGGCAAGGGGAGGAAGAGCATTAGGACAAATACCTAATCCATGTGGGACTTAAAACCTAGATGATGGGTCGATAGGTGCAGCAAACCACCATGGCACATGTATACCTATGTAACAAACCTGCACATTCTGCATATGTATCCCAGAACTTAAAGTAAAATAAAATAAAATAAAATAAAATAAAAACTCGTTTGTGGCTTCCATTCTATTCCCATAACACTTGTGGACTGGGAGGAACGCCTTACTGCATAAGCAGTAAGAACAGAGTAATTTGCTCCTGCATCAAAAAGAAACTGAATTTGGGTGCCCATGACGTCCAGAGTTACCTGGGGCTCCTCAGTAGTAATTACAATGTTCCTGAACAGGGGCAGTGAGGAAGACCTCAGGCCCCTTCAGTCTTCATCTAATTCCTCCTTTTGCACTGCTAGAGTTTTGACTGACTGAGCCCCTCAGTGGGAACATGGGCAGTCAATTCTCCAGTGCCAGGGGTCATGACTGGTGCCCTTGCATTGACGGCAGGGGCCTGGCGGGGACTTAGCACAATCCTTTGCCCAATGTCTTCTTTTCTTGCATTTGAAGCAAGAGCCTTTGCTGGCATTATCTTTATGGCCCTTCGGGTTTCCCTTAGACACTCTTTGTACATTCAGGGCATCGTCAATGATGGCTGCCATACTTTTGGCTTGCCATTTTGTTTACTCTGTTCCCTTTTTCCTTCCTTCAGGTCACGATTGTTATACACCATAAATGTGATATAAGTAAGCTGATTTTGATTAGTTTGTGGCCCCATCTGTAGCTTTTGGAGCTTATCTCTAATGTCTGGGGCAGATTGGCTAATGAAATGCTGTGCTATTAATATTTTGCCTTCGGGAGAGGAAGGGTCCAGATTAGTATATTTTTTAAAGTCTCCCTCCAGCCTGCCATAAAACATGGCTGGATTTTCCTCCTTGCCTTGTGTAACCTCCCTTACTTTATCATAATTTACTGCCTTTAGTTATTCCCTTTCTCATTCCTCCAAGGAGAGCCTCAAGAAATTTAGCCCGGTTGTTCATTTCCTCAGGAGTGTTATAGTCCCAATTATGATCAATAGTGGGAACTGTGTCTGGGCCGGGATGATTGCCCTGAGAGTTTTGGGCAAATAATTCATTGCTTGCAGGTGGGCGGCCTCAGAGATTCATTCCTTTTCTGAGGGTGTGTAACAGGTTGCTAGAATGAATTGAACATCTCTCCATGATAGATCAGAGGCTAAGGTCAAACGCTGGAACCCATCTGCAAGTTTCTTAGGATTCTCAGAATAGTTTCCTAGCTTTTCCTTATATTGTATGTATAAATTATAGAGAAGGGGGCCTGCACTAGGACTGGCCCCTTGGTTCCTGCTACTTCCCTAAGAGGTAGCAGGGCTGGAGAGAGAATTGAATATGGCATTCCTCTCCAAGTGTGAGGGGGATTTAGTAGGGTCCCTGGTGTTTGCTCCTGGGTTTTAGCCTCAGGAGCACTTGGCAAGGGGCTTTATGGGGATGGTTGCTGTTCACCCTGAGAGACAGCTAGCCCTTGTAAAAGAGGGTCATCTATAATATCTAGTTCTGCCTTAGTACTTTCCTTTGGGGGGTGGGTTCTGGGAGTTTCACAGATTGTTAGGTTTTTGATATTTTGATAAAAGCCTGTACATATGGGACTTCTGACCATCTTCCCAGCCTCTTGCAAAGTAGGTCTAATTGCAGGATGGTGTCATAATTAAGGCTACCACTGACTGCCCATTGCTGGGGGCTGGGCAGCTCATAATGGGGCCAAACAGTATTACAGAAAAAAATTATACATTTTCCCTTTAGAGTGTCAGGGTCAAATTGATTCCAATGGTGGATGATGTAGCCAAGTGAGGAATCCGGTGGAACAGGTGTAGAATTGCCCATAGTGGAATCAGGTCGAATAGATAGAGAGTTGCCCATAGTGGTCTGGAACAGAGAAGAGGACTTTGAAAAGTAGAGGGCCCATTAGGTGACCCAAACTTTACCCAGGGCATCCCCCTGAAAAAATTCTGAACCCAGACTGGGGTCCCCAGGGGCGTCCCTACTTTAGGGCCCTGATTTAGTCTGTCAGATGTCTCTGACCTTAGATGGGGGCTGGCACTGCTTTGGGATGGTTCCCTCCACTATCGGGGGAAATTCAGCCCCTGATATTTCACGTGGGTCCTTTTCTATTTTCCCTAAGTGTTGGCTGGTCTGAGAAATAAAGGGAAAGAGTACAAAGAGAGAAATTTTAAAGCTGGGTGTCCAGGGGAGACATCATATGTCGGCAGGTTCTGTGATGCCCCCTAAGCCGTAAAACCAGCAAGTTTTTATTAGTGATTTCCAAAAGGGGAGGGAGTGTATGAATAGGGTGTGGGTCACAGAGATCACATGCTTCACAAGGTAATAAAATATCACAAGGCAAATGGAGGCAGGGTGAGATCACGGGACCACATGACCAGGGCGAAATTAAAATTGCGAGTGAAGTTTCGGGCACGCATTGTCATTGATAACATCTTATCAGGAGACAGGGTTTGAGAGCAGACAACCAGTCTGACCAAAATTTATTAGGTGGGAATTTCCTCGTCCTAATAAGCCTGGGAGCACTATGGGAGTCCGGGGCTTATTTCTTCCCTTATCTACGACCATAAAAGACAGCCGTCCCCAGAGTGGCCATTTTGGAGGACTACCCCTAGGCACACATTCTCTGTCTCAGGGCTGTTCCTTGCTGAGAAAAAGAATTCAGCGATATTTCTCCTATTTGCTTTAGAAAGAAGAGAAATATGGCTCTGTTCTGCCCGGCCCATAGGCAGCCAGACGTTAAGATTATCTCCCTTGTTCCTTGAACGTTGCTGTTATCCTGTTCTTAAGGTGCCCAGATTTGATACTGTTCAAACACACATGCTCTACAAACAATTTGTGCAGTTAACACAATCATCACAGGGTCCTGAGGCGACTTACATCCTCCTCAGCTTACGAAGATGACGGGATTAAGAGATTAAAGTAAAGACAGGCATAGGAAATCACAAGAGTATTGATTGGGGAAGTGATAAATGTCCATAAAATCTTCACAATTTATGTTCAGAGATTGCAGTAAAGACAGGCGTAAGAAATTATAAAAGTGTTAATTTGGGGAACTAATAAATGTCCATGAAATCTTCACAGTTTATGTTCTTCTGCCATGGCTTCAGCCAGTCCCTTCATTCAGGGTCCCTGACTTCCCACAACACTCCACCACTGAGGACCTACTATGAACTTTCCTTAAGGTTTTTCTATCCCACTTAAAGCAACCCTTTAACCCTTTAAATTTAGGCAATAAATTGCCTTTCATGAATTTTCCCCCCACCCCATGCCCCACACAGACCACCTCCGACATGCTCAGACCCTCTGACTTGTATAACCTTTTTTGCATAGTCTGTCCTTTAGCCAGATGAGTAGGGGAAGGGAAGAACTTAGCATAAGAAAAGGTTTAAGTCTCCTGAAAAGTGTGTGAGTTCGCCCAGGATGAGCTTCCGCTGCCAACCGCATCACATGTAGGGATCAGGGACTATAGCTGGAAAGGATAGAAAAGAGTCCTTCCCTCTTCAAGGCAGGGCAGCCATCCCTGTTCACTCCTTGGCCTTCAGACAGCACTGGAGAGTGGTCCCAGCCAGTTCCCCTCAATTGCCAAGGAGCTACTAGAAAACAGCCACTGAAAGACTGGAAAAGAAAAAAAGGGAAATAACTCAGAAAAAGGAAAAAAGGAATAGGACTCAGAAAAACAAAAACAAGGAAAAGGACTCAGGTCCCTCACCCAAACCCAGTGGTGTTACTCAGACGCTTCCACATGGAAGCCTTTCAGTTTCACCAGAGAGAGGCTCTGGCCAGAAACTTGCAGTTGTCACTATGCTTAGGCACTGTTCACCAAGAGTCCCGAGTTGGAAAGGAAAAGAAAGAGAGAAAGATTCCCCTGTATGTAGCAGAGAGGAAAAGAAGAAAGGAGAAAAATAAATCCCATACTTTGGGCTTCCTCCTACCTGGCTCGCCAAACCCGTAGAGGGTCTTGAGTGCAAGTTGTCCAGATTCTTGGGGTTTTGAACAAAGAATTGAACAAAACGCACTGCAAAGCAAGGAAAGCAGAGATTTATTGAAAGTGAAAGTACACTTCACAGTGTGGGAGTGAGCCCAAGCAGTAGCTCAAGAACCCCGGATACAGAATCTTCTCAGGTCCAAATACCCTCTAGAGGTTTCCCATTGGCCACCTACTTGGTGTTTGCCTCATGTAAATGAAGTGGTGGCCCGCAATCAGAGGCTAAAGTGAAGTTACAAAGTTGCACTTCCATGCAAATGAAGATTCAGCCCACAATCAGTCTGATTGGTTGCGGACAGCAAGTTGTCCAGGTTCTTGGCGTTTTGAACAAATAATTGGACAAAACGCACAGTAAAGCTAGGAAAGAATGAAGCAAGGAAAGCAGAGATTTATTGAAAGTGAAAGTACACTTCACAGTGTGGGAGCAGGCTGAGCAGCAGCTCAAGGGCCCCAGATACAGAATCTTCTCGGGTCCAAATACCCTCTAGATGTTTCCCATTGGCCACTTACTTGGTGCTCACCCCATGTAAATGAAGTGGTGGCCTGCAATCAGAGGCTAAAGTGAAGTTACAAAGTTGCACTTCTATTCAAACGAAGCCTTGGCCCACAATCAGTCTGATTGGTTGGGGACAGCAACCAATCAGAGGCTGAAGTGAAGTTACAAAGTTACACTCTATGCAAACATCTGATTAGTTGCAGAAAGCAACCAATCAGAGGCACTTTCAATTTTCCAGCTGCGGCACAGAAAAGGTGGGGGTTTGCAAAGGGAGTGGCCTCTGGGCCTTTTGTTACTTAGGAGTGGAAAGTTAGGGTTTTCCTTTCCAAATGGCTCTAGGAAGTCAGTGTGAAACGGCCTTAGGTTCCCTGCTCGCAGACCCTGTTCTCCTGCCTAACTACTAGAGTACAGTGTGCACTTCCTAAAAACGGAAGCACTTTTGCTAATAATTTTAACTTGACACAAAAGTAGGGTGATCAGATAAAATACCCTTATGTCCCATGTAATAGTTGGAATGTACTTATACTAAAAAATTATTCATTGATCATCTGAAATTAAAATTTACCTGGGTATACTGTACTTTTATTTGCTATATCCGACAATCTTATACAGAAGTCGTCATGGGAAACTCAGAAAAGGCTGTCCAAATTATTCTGGCAGAGAGGAGTGGAAGAAACAAATGCCATTTAGGTTGGGTGCAGTGGCTCACACCTGTAATCCCAGCACTTTGGGAAGGCAAGGTGGATCACGGGGTCAGGAGATGGAGACCACCCTGGCCAATATGGTGAAACCCCATCTCTACTAAAAATACAAAAATTAGCTGGGCGGGGTGGTGCGTGCCTGTAACCCCAGCTACTGGAGAGGCTGAGGCAGGAGAATTGCTTGAACCAGGGAGTCAGAGGTTGCAGTGAGCCAAGATGGCGCCACTGCACTCCAGCTTGGTGACAGAGTGAGATTCTGTTTCAAAAACAAAAGAAAAAGAAAAAAAGACACAAATGCTGTTAAAAAAAATTTAAAAGACAAAAACAAAAAACTGTGGGGCCCGGCGTGGTGGCTCACGCGTGTAATCTCGGCACTGGGGGAGACCAAGGCAGGCGGATCACCTGAGTTCAGGAGTTCGAGAACAGCCTAGCCTGGCCAACATGGTGAAACCCCATCTCTACTAAACATACAAAAATTAGCTGGGCGTGGTGGCTGGCACCTGTAATCCCAGTTACTTGGGAGGCTGAGGCACAAGAATCGCTTGAACCTGGAAGGCGGAGGTTGCAGTGAGCTGAGATCCTGCCACTGCACTCCAGCCTAGGCAACAGCGAGACTCTGTTGCATTTAAAAAAAAATTGTGGTAAAATATACATAATAGAAAACTTACCGTCTAACCATTTTTAAGTGTACACTTCTGTGACATTAGCATATTTGCATTGTTGTGCAGTCATCACCATTCATCCCAACTTTTTCACCAACCCATACTGAAACCGTATGCCATTAAACAGTAAATCCCCATCCCTCCTTCTGCAGACTCTCTCTACAACCACTGCTCTACTTTCTGTCTCTATGAATATGACAGCACCATAGTATTGGCGGTAAATCAGAGTTGGCAAATGCAATCTGAAGCAGAGGAGAGGAGAGAGTCATATCCCTCAAGTTTTACAGTCCCATTAAAAGTATTAGTACTTTGAGAAAAGGACCGTCACGATCATGGGGAGAATGAAGGAAAAACTCCATTTCTTTCCAGTTTGCAACTGGAATTGTCACTTTCGTCTTTCGGCACGACAGCGCCCAGGCCACAAAAGCCCACAGGGCAGGGCCTCCATTTTGTGGCCTGCGTGGAGGGCGGGGCGGTCTCTCTCCGCCACGCCCCAGCACCGGGTAGACACCGCAGCCACGTAACCAAGGAACCCCGAATGAGGCGTTGGCCAGGTGAGGCCGGATCCGGAAGTAGGGGGACCACTTCGCCCCGCGTACGAGCCCCGCCCCCGGCCCCTCCCACCAGACCCAGGCCGACCTAGATGACGTGTCCGAGTAGGAGTTGGCGAGGTGCGGCCGGGCGGCCGGCCCTGCGCATGCGTGATACTTGCACCGGTCGAGATGGTAGCATGAGTCTGGAGGTCATTTTCTTTGAGAAAGGCTCCGCTTCTCCGGGTTTTTGCTGATGCCGATCCCGGGGGATTGAGGAAACATTGAGCTCTGGAGTGGAAAAGGTTGCAGACTTTTAGACTCCCAAGTCGTTGTAGTCTCAATCTCTAGTGGCTGCGTTACTGCAGGAAGTCACGGAAGCCTCTCCCCTTTCTTAGGCGCATCCTTGGCTGTAAAAGGAGGTTAAAAGCCCCTGGAAAACCTCAGGTTTATTTCAGCTCTGAAAGTCCGGTTCCAAATTTAGATCCAGCACTCTTGTGGCCTGGCCAGTGATGGTCGTGGAGTGCTTTCCCCGCGCCTGCGGTCTCTAGGCTCTGTGGATGTAGAGGTGTGGGATGTAGGAGCAGGCCCTTACCCGTGGAATTCACATATAAATGGGGGAATGAGACAGCAAACAAACAAACGTGATCCTTCCTGATAGTGGTAAATGTGGGATGCCGAGGTTTAAGCAGACGAGTGGTATTAAGGGATTTCAAGGTTTTATAAAATTGATTTTGCCAAGAGTGGAAGCTGAGAGGCTACTGCAGTAAGAAGTCCAGGGGAACTAAGAATTTGGCTTGGACCAGAGTGGTAGCTGTGGGCATGGAAAGTACTGAAAGGATTTAGCCCATAGTTTAGCAGCCCAACCAACGGGACCTGCTGAAGGACTGGAGGTAGGTAGTGAGGAAATGAGAAATTTAGGTTCTTCTCCAGGGTTGGGGCCTGAAAAGAGATGGGCAGCGATGCCGTTTCCTGGAAAACTGGGAGAGGAAATGTTTGGGATGAGGGCAGTGAGATATAATGAAGGTCAAGTTTTTTTTTTGTTTTTTTTTTTTTTTTTTTGAGACGGAGTCGTGCTCAGTCGCCCAGGCTGGAGTGCAGTGGCGCGATCTCGGCTTACCGCAAGCTCCGCCTCCCGGGTTCACGCCATTCTCCTGCCTCAGCCTCCCAAGTAGCTGGGACTACAGGAGCCCGCCACCACGCTCGGCTAATTTTTTTGTATTTTTAGTAGAGACGGGGTTTCACCGTGTTAGCCAGGATGGTCTCGATCTTCTGACCTCGTGATCCGCCCATCTCGGCCTCCCAAAGTGCTGGGATTACAGGCGTGAGCCACCGCGCCGGCCGAAGGTCAAGTTTCAGTGGTGCTAGGAAAAGAAGATAGTGAGCAAAAATGTTAATTTTTGTTTCCTCCTCTTAATATTTGGAGAAAACGTCTGCTTCCTTTTGTTATATTGGAAATCTCCATGACTTCCAAATACAGAATATTTTACAATTTTTCCCTATCCCAAAGTTCAGCGAATATGTTGATTTATTTGAGGGAGAGGACATGAAAGGGAAGCCACCTAGGCACAATTTTCTGCTCAGGCCCTACCAGATTAGTTTTTGTTATCAAAAAAAAAAAAAAAAGTGCCATTCCTTGGGCCAAGCTATGTGCTCAGCACTTTCCCTCCATTTTTGATTTAATCTTCACAACAACCTTAAGATGAACGTTCTTTTCTACTTCCCAGTTCTCTTGATTAACTTGGCTACCCCACTATATGGATCAATTTGCAGGGTCCTAGGTCCCTTTGAAAATCTGATGAAAGTTATAAACCTTACCTGGGAAAAAAGTACAAACACCCGCAAGAACTTGAAATAGGAGTTCACTGGCCCTCAACTTTCTGAGCTTACTATTTCACAAACCTGCCTATTCTTGAATTCTGAGCTGGAGGTCATGATTCTCTCTTATGTACTTTAAGATGATGCACTCTTCCGAAGTTTTTGATTGAACTCTAGTGGCTAACTGAATTGACTTTTTCAGATCACTAAAAAGCTTCTCCTTGAAAAATACTCAGAAGATGCAACACACACACACACACACGTGTGTGCACTTACACACGCGGACACCGTCTCACATCATCAGTGGGAAAAGTGATAGAATCTTGCTAAAGGCTGATCATACCATATTAATCCGATTCGCCAGAACTACTTTCTTCACTGAGCTCTCAGGTATGCTCGGGTCTTCCTTTAAAGAAAATAAATGTCAACGCTACACTCTATCCTACTCCCATTTTCCTCCTCACCCCATTTCCACTCTCCCTTAAAGAGATGTGTGCACACAATCACTGCCCAATGCAAGAATGCACCACTGCATCCAATGCTTGGAAATTGTCCGTGAAGATGCCTTTGAGTAGCTGTCTATTTGAGGATTTGTGGCTAATTCCTCCCCATTTGTTTCCTTAGCCTGCTCCCAACCAGGTGTCTCCAGAACTTTTTCTCTCCGCCACCAACTCCGCCTCCAGACAGACCGCAGGTGCTTTCTGTCATAGGGACTGGCGTGCCGCGGACAGTGTGACAAAGAAACTGTATGATGGATATGAGAACTTCGTAAGACCCAGCAGCAAACGGGGAGCGGCTGGCGAGCGCTCCACAGCCCCCAAGCGTGGGAGCTCTAGATCGGAATTTGTA
The DNA here is from genome assembly GCF_000001405.40 of Homo sapiens. NCBI lineage: Eukaryota > Metazoa > Chordata > Mammalia > Primates > Hominidae > Homo > Homo sapiens. The sequence continues at coordinate 99,501,244 of NC_000013.11, forward strand.
ATTTGGAATTGGAACGTGAGCGCCGGAACAGCTCTCCCAGCAACCACCTCTCCCAGCAACCACCTCAGCTGGCGCGCGGAAAACCCGGAAAGTGGATTTCGCCCCCGCTCCCTCCCGGAAACTCCTCCTGGTGCCTGCGACCGTTCTCACTGAGCATGTGCAGACGGCGGTGCGCATGCTCTGTTGCGGTCCGCTTCGGTTTCTGTTGCGGGACCCGGGGTGTCTCCTAGCGCAACCGGAACTAGCCTTCTGGGGGCCGGCTTCCTTTATCTCTGGCGGCCTTGTAGTCGTCTCCGAGACTCCCCACCCCTCCTTCCCTCTTGACCCCCTAGGTTTGATTGCCCTTTCCCCGAAACAACTATCATGAGCGCGAGGCTGCCGGTGTTGTCTCCACCTCGGTGGCCGCGGCTGTTGCTGCTGTCGCTGCTCCTGCTGGGGGCGGTTCCTGGCCCGCGCCGGAGCGGCGCTTTCTACCTGCCCGGCCTGGCGCCCGTCAACTTCTGCGACGAAGAAAAAAAGAGCGACGAGTGCAAGGTGGGTGAGGCCTGACGAGCCCTCTGATGCACTGTTGGAAGGGGAAGTCGTCCCTATCCGGGGGAGCTGATCCTCGGGTGGGAGCGAGGGAAGGGGGCGTAGCAGCGGGTGGGGTTGAGTTTCCCCAGAAGCTTTTGGGGTCTGCTGGGCTGTGGGTGGGGGGCTCTGAAACAGCCCTTGCAAGGGTAGTTTCTGGAGGACGCAGTGGGCCTCAGACTCGCCTCCCGTCTTGCGGGCCAAGTGGCACGAGCAGCTGTATTCAGTTTTCCTGGAACAGGGACCGTGTGGAGCGCCCTTGGAGTTGGGCTTCACGCCTCAGAGCTTTGGAGTTGGATGTATGCAGGTCCACGCGTGAGTGTTCGCTCACAGCCCTGTAACATGTACGCTGAGGAAGCGGGTGACCGACTCCCTACATGTGAGCAACACTCAGCCTAGTTAACAGTTTCCATTAGCTTTTAACTTCATTGCTTCCTGTTTAATTGCATTTTCCTGGAACCTTCTAGTTGGTTAGGAGAGCTTGTTCTTTCTAGGACTTTGATATCTCGCTTCACAATTAGAAGTTGGTTCCTTATTTGTGGAGTATAACACCCAGAGCCACACAAAGTGCATTAATAAAGAGTTGCTGTAATGGTTGAGGCACTTGATTTCTGAGTTTTAAGTGTAAAAGATTTTAATACACAAAAAAAGATACGAGGTCTCACTATTTTCTCTGAGATGGTTTTAAACACTTAAAAGGGGCAAATGGTGGGAGAAACTGGTGTTTTCCTAGGGCAAGTCTTGAAAACTTTGATCTCTTACAACATTCACACTCAAGGTTTTCAGTTTAATTGCTAGTAAAAGAGGCGTAAATAAAGTAACCTGCTTTTAGGTTATATGGTGTAGGGCTTTACAGTATACATACACAATTATTTCGTTAAGTTTATTTAAAACTTAACATTTGGGGGATGAGGATCTCTTTGAAACCTTTAATGATTTCAACAATTCAAATAATCGTTCAACAAACGTTTACAATCTATAAATAGGCTTATTTATTAAGTTTGATTTTTTTAAGCTGGTGTTTATTACAGTTAGCTTTACTATAGCTGTGAATTTTGAGGTTATTTTAGGGCATTAGATAAGCTTTAAATTTTTCATAACATTTTGCAGTTTCTTTTTAGGTTGTCAGCTATCTTGAATGACATGTTTATACATCTGTGCAAAACCTTGTATCTGAAAAAATATCTAAGGATATTTAAGGTTTACTCAAGTCTGCAGTTAGTGTTTCAGTACTTAAGTTCATACTCTGCAGTGCAAGAAGCTTTCACTCCTTTTTGAGGATTCTGACTGAAAGACTGTTGTTGTGCTTCCAAGTGGAAGATCTAGACTTGCAAGTACACTGGTTTTTCCATTAAATATTTTAGTAACCAACCTTTAAGGCCTAGTGTTTGGTCTTACTTTAACAGCAGTTGTATATTCTATTCCTAGTGCCTCAAAGATGAAAAATATATTTCCTGCCCTCTGGGAACCTCAAAGTAAGGGACATAAGCTTATGAACAGATTATTGAAATCTGATCTGTTACACAGGATGATGTCCAAAGTGTGCTAAAACAAAATGAGGAAACATCAGTGGACTAGAGTCTTTAGGGAAAGCTCTATAGAAGAAGTGACAGGGCCAGGTGTGGTGGCTCACGCCTGTAATCCCAACACATTGGGAGGCCGAGGCGGGTGGATCACCTGAAGTCAGGAGTTTAAGACCAGCCTGGCCAATATGGTGAAACCGCGTCTCTACTAAAAATACAAAAATTAGCTGGGCGTGGTGGCGGGCATCTGTAATCCCAGCTACTCGGGAGGCTGAGGCAGGAAGAATCGCTTGAACTCTGGAGGTGGAGGTTGCAGTGAGCTGAGATCGCGCCATTGCACTCCAGCCTGGGCAACAGAGCGAGACTTTGTCTCAAAAAAAAAAAAAAAAAAAAAAAGAAGAAGAAGTGACATTTGAGATGGACTTAGAAAATGAATAAGTGAAACTTATAGGTGGTCTTCCAGTTAGATGATTGTTTTCTCAACAGGTCCTTTGGTAAGTGGCTAGGTTGTATTCTAGTTATTTTTTAGTTAATCTTGGGAGTCATTTTGGATGTTTAATTTTCATAGGTATAGGGATAAAACAGGCAGAGCAGATCATTTTTCCGAAATGTTTGGATTTTTATCTTTATTGCCAGCTACACTCACATCTGGTTAATGGAAACAACTCTTAGAAGAGCAGGAGGGTGTACTTTCAGCTTTTTTCCTGCGATATGACTAACTGGTGTAGAGAATTTGAAATACACTTTAATATTTATTTTCTTTGCCTTTCAAAGAAGATGCTATAAATAACAGTAAACAGTTGAAATTTGTATTACTTCAATCAGGATGTTAATAATTTATTCTCATCTATTTCGTATTTGTTAAGGAGGACAGTCTTGTACACATTATTCAGAAAAGTGGAAGGAACTTCTTTTAAAAATTAGAAATGAGAGTTGTGAAATGGAAATAATTTTTTCCAAAAGATGCTGTTAAGTTAGTGAATCTGAAGTTGGAGAAATTGGGCAGGTCATTGATACTGTTACCAACAGTTTTTCCATCTGTAAAATAGGGATAATCATATTTGATTATGACATATTCCCCTTGAAAGGTATTTTGCATTTCTTAGAGGAAAAGTGCAATATTTGTCATTGTTGTGATAGTGTAGAGATGAAACAAATATATCTTCAACTTATATATAATTTAGGTAGTAGAGTGTTTTTATGTACTGTAAAGTTTGTCTCATGCATTTAGCTCAGGATGTAAATTGAGAGAGAATCAGAAGAATGCTGAGGATTTAGTAATTTTCTCTCTTTAAAAATTATCTTATGTTGAATTTACTGGCAGAGAAACAGGAGTCCAGTGAATATAAAATTCTATTTATATTGCTGTAACTTCTGATTAATTTTCTTAGCCTTCATAGATACTGTGAGTATGTTTTCATGGCCTCCTTTTTTTAACTTATTTTACATGTGCGTGCATTTGGATATTGAGGAGGTGCACATTCTTATTGCTTTTTATAGCCGATACTATTTCATTCTGTTCCTGTACAATCTGTGGTTTGCCTGACCATTCTTACTTGTAGGGCCTTTAGATTGGGCCCAATTTTTCTCTATTATGAATAGCTTTGCTACAGTGTATTTAGCAGTAATTATTTGCATATCCCCAAATATAAAATTCTAGGTAAAGACAAGAAGAAGTTTTTAGTTCTGTTTAGTATTGCCAGATTTCTTTCAACAATGATAGGTTTGATTTCCTTTAACTAAATAATACCTTGTGTTGCCACATCATTTTAATTTTTATTTATCAATTTAATAGTGATGTGATGGTCCCTAAGACTTTTTTTTTTTTTTTTTGAGACGGAGTTTTGCTCTTATCACCCAGGCCGGAGTGCAGTGGCACGATCTTGGCTCACTGTAACCTCCACCTCCTGAGTTTAAGCAATTATCCTGCCTCAGCCCCCTGAGTAGCTGGGATTACAGGCGCCTGCCACCATGCCCGGCTAATTTTTGTATTTTTAGTAGAGATGGGGTTTCACCACGTTGGCCAGGCTTGTCTCGAACTCCTGAGCTCTCAGGTGATTCACCCACTTCAGCCTCCCAAAGTGTTGGGATTGTAGGCGTGAGCCACCACGCCCAGCCTGTACACTTTTTAAATGTTTTACTTTCATTGCTATTGAAATTTCTGTGTCTTTTAATATTTTTCTTTTATTTGCCTTATTTTGTTACGTTTTGAAACCATAGTAATAAAAGATTGAGCTATGGTATTCCTTTCCTGTAGAATTCACTTTACTTTCTTAAAATCAAGGGACACTGTGTGACTGAAATAAGTAGAATAAAGCCCTGATTATAAGTGACTAGATATTCCAGGATAAAATCCACAGTTCTAATTTAGTTTGTAAAAGTTTTGACTATTTCAGTTAGCTTTGTGCTTTTTAGCTTTAAATCAAATCTTAGTGTGCCGAGTGGCATTCTGATGGCTAAGAGGTGAAGATTAGTGAGCAGTTCACCTTTGCTGCTTTCAACTTTCAAGTAATTACTGGGTTGTCAACCAGAATTCAGAACTAAGAACTAAAAATAGTATTAATTCTCCAAAATGTCTGCCACTTTTTTACTGTTTGATGGATAGATCACGTTCTTAGATGAAAGATTAAGATTTTTTTTCCTTTGCTGTAAGGAAAAATGACCAATTATACCCCCTAGTGGTTAAAAACAATGTTTAAATGAATTAGTTTAACAACTTTTTAATAAAAAGGAAAATTACTCAGTCATACTTTCCTTTCTTGGTAGTTATTTTTAGAAGCATTTTATAAGTTGTGTTTGTTATTCTGGGAGCAGTTGTGTATAAATATTGGAATGAGTCAGCTTTAAGAAAATAGTCCTGAATGTTGATCTGAACGGACACAGAATGAATATATATGTACCTGTTTTAATTTGACCATAGAAGTAGTTTGAAGATTTTGAAATACTTAAAGAAAAAAAATCTGTATGTGTATTTATTGGTATAGTGATAAATATTTATCGATATGTAGTTTCACATTCTCACAGTTCTCTCTGGAATAAGAGCATTGATTCTTAGCTTCTGGGAACTCATTAGTGTTTGGGTGTTGCTCTTTCAAATCTGAAATCTGGCACTGGAAGGACTTACTTTGACTATGGTAAATATACATTCCAGCAATTGTTTCTTCTTCTTCTGAAAAGGTATGTTAAACTGAGATAGTTTGCCTTTCAGAAATTAGATTTTTAAGTAAAATTAAGACTGTAATTGTTCATTATAGTGAATCTGAGAGTTAGAATCAAGAAAGCAACAAAAGTCTATGAATAAAATTGTGTCTTTCTGCCTGTGGCCCCTCACCAAAGTGGGTGTAAACTTGAACTTCCAAAGGTGTAAACTGGAACGTCTGAAACAAATCACAGATATATGTTCCACACCTCACACCCCCAACACAAACACACAGACACACATCGGCACTACAGAGATTGGTCTGTGCACTGTCAGCCTTAGAGCCCAGCTGCCCAAACCCTTACTTCCCTATTCTCTCCTGTAGCTTCCTGTCACCATGGTCTCTCAGTAAGTTTTGTAGTTAATTTTAGCTGCTTTACATGTATCCAACAATTTCATTCTATTTTCATTAAAATTAACTATCTATGAAAGGCTTTGGAGGAAATTTGTGAATTTTTTCTCTTTTTGCTCCTCTTCTCACTTTTCAAACCTGTTTATTGCCCTTTGCTAATAATAATGGTAAAGACTACGATTTGTGTGTGTTGTATATGCCTTAGCTAAATTTCATAACATCTCTGTGATATTTAGATGAGGAAACAGAAGCTCAATAAGATTTAGTAGCTGTCTCAAGTGTACAAAGCTAGTAAGTATTAAAGCCAGAATGCAAACAAGCCCAAGACTGAGTCCAAAAAGCCTAGGCTCTTCGCCACTGCCTTCTACTCTGAGCACTCTTCTTCTTGTTTGCCTTTCCCCTGGGGATCCCTGACCGCTTATCACCCTGGACTTTGACAGTTCCAGAAAACACTCTGTATCTATTATATGTAATTTTCATTTTATTTTATTTTTTAGAAACAGTCTTGCTCTGTCACCCAGGCTAGAGTGCAGTGGTGCAGTCATAACTCATTGCAGCTTTGATGTGTCTGTGTAATTTTTAAGTAGTCAGGTTTTATATTTACTTCTTTCGTTGATATAGTCTAAAATTGAAATTGTATTTTTCAGGGCTTTGGGGAAAGAACCCTGGTAATTATCTAGGAGATCAGTTGCTGGGCATTGCTGATCGGATAACTCAGAGCTCATAAATAAGCATTTGTGAGTCCCAGCATTGCTTTTGAGACTTTTATTGTGCCTGAGTTAAGACTTCCCTTCTTCAGGAAGGCGCCACTGTGGACTGCTCTAATATTAAGGAGTTGAAGCTTCCATAGATTTCCTTTTTTATGGCCTCCATATCTCAAACCCTTTTGTGACTTGTCATTTGCCATGACCCTTGTACAGTCACATCTCTTCACTGAAATTTCTTTCTCCCTTGAAAATCCAGTTGTAAGTGTGGGGTGGGACAGATGTGATGATAGCAGAATAAGGTGGGAATAAAAGCAGAAACGAACTAGGAAATGGGAAAAAGTGTAGTCCTGTGGCATGGCCCGTGTGCCTTGTTAAAACAAAAAAATAGACTAGTTGTGACCATAGCTGGGATCAGGTATGGAACTGGCAGATTAGGACTAGAAATAAAATTGTACATTTAGGAGAGAAATTTAAAAGGAAGACTGTAGAGTTCTAAATAAAACCACTTCTATAAAACATTTCATAGTACAGGATTGTAATCAGTCTTGCTTTCTCTAAGTGACATAGGATTCTGCAACTTCCTTAAAATGTTTCATGTTGTCAAAATTTTGCATGCTTGAAATAACCTAGGTGGGGACAGTTTGAAAGTGGGAATGTGAAGCAAGTAAACCTTGAAGTTCTTTCTAGTCACATCAGTGATAATCTAGAGTCATCTGTCTCTATTTAAGGCAAATTTCTGGGAGGAGATGGACTTAACTCTTTTGGATGGTGAATAAAGATGTTTAGAGTGGGAAAAAAAAGGCAAACAAAACACACACACACACACACACACACACACACACACACACACCCCAGAGATTCAGTAGCTACTCCAAGAACATATAAATAAGTGCTGTCATTTTTTTTTTAATATATGCTGTATTAGGCTGTTCTTGTGTTGCTGTAAAGAAATACCTGAGACTGGGTAATTTATAAAGAAAAGATGTTTAATTGGCCCACAGTTCTGCAGGCTGTACAAGCATGGCACGGACATCGCTCGACTTCTAGTGGGAACCTCAGGAAATTTTTACTCATGGCAGAAGGTGAAGCAGGAGCAGGCATGTCACATGGTAAAAGCAGGAGTGAAAGAGTTTTCTGTTGAGCGAGATGCCACACTTTACAACAAGCAGATCTCACAAGGACTCACTCACCATCATGAGGGCAGCACCAAGGGAGTGGTGCCAACCCATTCATTAGACATCTACCCCCATGATCTAGTCACCTCCCACCAGGCCCTACCTCCAGCATTAGGGATTACAGCTTGACATAAGATTTGAGTGGGGAAAAATACTCAAATCTCATGTCCTTCTTATATTGCAAAATACAATCATGCCTTCCTAATAGTCTCCCAAAATCTTAACTGACTGCAGCATTAATTCAAAAGTCCCAAGCCCAAGTCTCATTTGAGACAAGGAAAGTCCCTTCTACCTATGAGCCTGTAAAATAAAAAAGCAAAAACAAGTTACTTACTTCCAAGACACAAAGGGGCTATAGGCATTGGGTAAATATTCCCAGGCCTTGGGCAGCTCCACCATTGTAGCTTTACAAGGTTCAACCCCCACAGCTGTTCTCACAGGTTGTTCAGTGCCTGTAGCTTTTCCAGGCACAGGGTGTAAGCTGCCAATGAATCTACTATTCTGGAGTCTGGAGGACAATGTCCCCCTTCTCACAGCTCCACTAGGCAGTACCCTGGCGGGGACTCTGAATGGGGCTCCAACACCACATTTCCCCTCCACACTGCCCTACTAAAGGTGCTTTGTGGGGGCTCCATCCCTGCAGCAGGCTTCTACCTGGGCACCCAGGTTTTCTCATCCTCTGAAATCTAGGCAGAGGCTGCCAAGCATTCTTCGCTCTTGAACTCTGTGTGCCTGCAGGCTTAACACCACATGGAAGCCACCAAGACTTACGGCTTGCATTCTGTAAATGGCAGCCCAAGCTGTACCTCAGCCTCTTTGAGCCATGGCTGGAGCTGGAGTGGCCTGAATGCTGGGATCCCAAGGCTGCACAGGGCAGTGGGGCCCTGGGTCTGACCTATAAACCCATTCAGTCCTCCTGGGCCTCTGGGCCTGTGGTGGGAGGGGCTGCTGCAAAGGTCTCTGAAATACCTTTGAAGCCTTTTCCCCGTAGTCTTGGATATTAGCACTTGGCTCCCTTTTAGTTATGCAGATATCTGTAGCATGCGGTTGCCCCACAGCCTGCTTGAATTTCTCTCCAGAAAAAACTTTTTTTTTCTTTGCCACATGGTTAGGCTGCAAATTTTCTGAATGTTTGTGCTCTGCTTCCTGTTTAAATATAAATTCCAGCTTTAAATCATTTATTTGACCCTTCAGCTAAGATAGGCTGTTAGAAGCAGCCAGGTTACCTCTTGAATACTTTGCTGCTTAAAAATTTCTTCTACCATATATACTAGGTTGTCACTCTTTAGTGCAGAGTTCCACAGATCCCTAGGGCATGAATAGAATGCAAGTCAAGCTCTTTGCTGAGACGTAACACGTGTGACCTTTGCACAAGTTCCCAGTAACCTTCTCATTTCCATCTCAGACCTCAGCAGCCTGACTTTACTGTCCATATCACTATCAATGTTTTGGTCACAACCATTTAAACAGTCTCTTAAGAAGTTCCAAACTTTGCCTCATCTTCCTATCTTCTTCTGAGCCCTCCAAACTCTGCCTGTTTCCCAGTTCCAAAACCAGTTCCACATTTTCAGGTATCTTTATAACAACACCCCATCCTCGGCACCAATTTTCTTTGTTAGGCTCTTCTTGCATTGCTATAAAGAAATACCTGAGACTGGGTAATTTATAAAGAAAAGAGGTTTAATTGGCTCACGATTCTGCAGGCTGTACAAGCATGCACCGACATCACTCTGCTTCTGGGGAGGCCTCAGGAAGCTTTTACTCATGGCAGGAGATGAAGCAGGAGCAGGCGTGTCATATGGTTACACAGGAGCAAGAGAGAGTGGGGGCAGGTGCCACACTTTACAAACAACCAGATCTCACAAGAACTCATTATCAGGAGGACAGCACCAAGAGAGATGGTGCTAAACCATTCATTAGAAATTCACCCTCATGATCCAGTCACCTCCCAGCAAGCTCCACCTCCAACACTGGAGAATACAATTTGACATGAGATTTAGACAAGGACATATATTCAAACACATGCGTTGTGTTTCCATCTGGATTATAAATTCTTTGAAGGCAAGTGTTCATGAATTTGTATTATTTTGTCATCCAAAATGTCTAGTATAGGACTTTGTGGGCATTAAATACATGTATTGGCTGATTGAGTTTCTCGTGGTCTTCAGGATCTGTTGTTGTAAATGTTCTTTGGTTTTCAAATATATTGCAAATTCTACTATTTTTTTCCTATTTAATAAATTGGCTTCTCCTGAGATCATCGTTCCTGCTCCTGGAACACTTTTCCACCCTAAATTTTACTTTTTAAATCTTTCTTATTGTTTTTGTTTGCCTTCTGTTGCTTTACAGTGAGACTAAGGTCTACTCTCAACTTCAAAGCCCTTTTTCTGGCTTTTAATTGTGACAGTTTTCAAAATTCAAAAAGTTGAAAGAGTAGTGTAATGATCACCTTTCACTCACCTAGACCACCTAGAATCAACAGTTGTTTACATTTTTTCATACTTGTCTTATTTGTGTGTATTTATGTTTTATAGGGGTGAATGTCATGACATCTGTGGCATACTTTCACATGGTTCAGCTTGAAGCTCTTTATTGAACTATATAAACTCCCCGGCAGTCTCATTTCCTTTCTTCCAATTTTTAACAATTGTTCCACTGACATATTAGGAGGATCTCATTCTTATGACACTTTTGAAATTTCTTTGTCTTGCTGCAAGAGTTGATATTTAGAGTTATTGCAAATGTAGCATATTTACAAATATATTGTAAATGGCTGTATTCTATATTCTGTGTTAAGGTTGACTTTAATTTTAATTGACTTCACATTCCTCAGCATGTGTGAGATGGTAATTCTTGAAATTTCAGATCCTCACAATTTAGAAAAGGAAGAATAAAAGTGCTGTGAAAGCTAAGATGAACTGAATATTCAAGCTGTGTTTGATTACTTTGCTGAACATCAAAAATAGGTCCATAATTTAGTGTTGATATCTATGATAGACTTTCTTACAAAAGTAGTGTGGAAAGGTGTCAGAAGAGACAAGAAGGAAGAAAAGTAGAGGAATAAAAGCATCAGAAATAAAAAGTTACGGTAGCAACAGTTGAGTTTACCTACTTTGTTTCTGCAGTCCAGCTTTTTAACTTGTTTCCTCGTGTTAAAGAAGCAAGGAATCCCTAGTTCATGAGGCTACTATCAGAATTGTGCGTGATAGTTATTATCTTCCTTTTCCCTAGACTAGTGGCCAGGACAAGTATAATGGATAGGCATTAATAAGGTTCAGAAGGCTGACTGTCTTAGTGTCCTTTAAAAACACTGGAATAGCCTAGTTGCACTACTTGGATGGATGGGAGACGAGAGGAAGGAAGAGCCTTTCACAGAAACCCTTATGCTGATAAACCTTTATTCAGACTCAGGAATGGCAGTTTCTTTAAGATAATAGATTACAGCTGCTATGTTTATTATTTGTTATAGTTATTGTGTGCCAATTATGGACCAGCTTCTGCGTGTACTGTTTTCTATTTTATTATGATATCATTCAGTTCCCACATTCAAAATTATTACTTGCCCAAGAGCACTTAATAAAAGTAGACCTAGGATTTGAAGTGAACCCAGCATTCTGATGATACATTCTTTCTAAGGAGAATTGGAAGCTGCTTCATCAGATCAGGAAGGGTTGACAAATAAGGTACATTTAATGGGTATTAGATATTAGATGAAATGCCAAACGTAGATGGATAAAAACTAATAACATGTAGATAAGAAAATGAGGGAGGAAAGGGTGTGAAAACCCCCCGTGGGCTATGTACTGAAATGGAATAAGAGTGATAGTAATTGGTTTAAATGACACCAAGTTTTATAAACAGAAGATTAACATGGTTTCTGGAAAAGAAGTTTTCCTGGTCTCTAGAGTTACTGGAAGATTTGCTGTAGTTTTAGAAGGAGCCAATGAGTTTGATTTCTAAAGTTTTGACAACATTGTTTTTTAAAGGTTAAAATGGAATTTAAAGGAAGTGTGGCTTGGGTTGGCTTAAGGGCTGAGTGAGGTGGAGTGAGAGAAATCCATGGGGAGTGCTGACAGTGGAGATTTCCAGGACTGGTGCTTGAGGCTAATTTGGGTTTTAAATTTAGAAAAGAGAATGCACATGAAATACTTTAATTTGCTAGTGGTACAAATCTCTGTATGTAGCATAATGTAAAGCTAATGAAAATATATTTTCAGAAGCTCTCTTCAAGTTATATGAGACAGCAAAAAGTAAATTAATTTGCTCAAGGACAAATTGAGAAAGTATATCTGAAGAGAAACAGTTACCATGTTTTTGAGATGATGAGCTCCAAGCTGTCAGTTTAGAACATAGGAAGGAAATAAAGAACTGTCCATGAAGAATTTAAGCTTCTGGGTAGAAAGGCTAATGAAAGTAACAGTGTTATTCTATACTTACATGAAACTTTAACATGTAAATCTTAAACTTTGCTGTAATTCTCTATGACATGCCTTTTAAGAAGGATATGAGAATAGGGCAAGGTCCTGAGAAGAGCAGCTGGCATGATCAAGGAGATAGGTGATTCAGAAGATTGAGACTCAAAGGAGATAGGAGAGAGTGCAGAAAATGAGAATAATGTTTTCCCTCAATCTTAGACTCTTAGAGCCAAAAGTTGTCCCATGAAACTTCAGAGAGGACATCATAAGCTAAGCAAAAATTTGTATTACTTCATCAATTGGGTAGAAATGGGAGAAACATTTACCCTAAATTTATATGCCCTGAGACAGTGTCCTAAAATTTTTCACATGGCCTCAGGCTTTCAAACTTTATGCCTTGTGTTCGACCCTCTGAGATTTGAATTCAAATAATAGTGAAAAATACCTGGAAAACAGTGCTGAAGGAAGTACTAGAATTCTAATCCAGCTTACTGCTTGTTTTTATAGGGCCTTCAGGCTAAGAATTATTTTTACATTTTTAAGTGGTTGGAGAAAACAAATCAAAAGAAGGATAATATTTAGGGATGAGTGAAAATTACATGAGAATAAAATATCAGTGCCGTAAGTGAAAGTTTTATTGGGCTACAGCCATGCTCACTTGTGGATGTAGTGTCTACGGCTGCTTTTGCACTACGGCAGTGGCAGAGACCCAATGTCCTGTAAAGCCTAAGACATTACTCTCTGGCCCTTTACAGGAAAAGTTTGCCAGCCTCTTGGATAGACTAATAAAATTAGCGTCATTTTTCCAGGAAAAGAAAAGATTGTAGTGGCTAGAGGAAAAATGTTAAATAGATGAAGAAACACTGTATACAGTCATGAACCGCATAACGTTTTGGTCAACGACAGACCAGTGGCCTTATAAGATGATAATGGAGCTAAAAATTCCTATTGCCTAGTGACATCATAGCCATTGTAACATCACAGTGTAATTACCTTATTTTTAAAAAATTTAGCATAGCCTAAGTTTACAGTGTGTAAGTCTACAGTTGTGTACAGTAGTGTCCTAGGCCTTCACATTCATTCACCGCTCACTCACCCAGAGCAGCTTCCAGCCTTGCAAGTTCTATTCATGGTAAGTGCCCTATGCAGGTGTAACATTTTCTCCTTTTAGACTGCATTTTGATTGTACCTATTCTATGTTTAGATGTGTTTAGCTACACAAATACCATTGTGTTAACAGTTGCCCACAGTATTTAGTACAATCCCATGTTGTTTAAGTATGTGATGGACCACACCATATATATACCCCCAGGTGTGTAGTAGGCTACACCATCTAGATTTGTGTGGGTATGCTCTGTGATAGTCCCACAACAAAATCCCCTAATAACACGTTTCTCCAAACACATCCCTGTCGTTAAGTGACACATGGCCGTAAAGGGTGCTGAGCATCATGCTGTTCTTTCCCGTGCTGTTCTTTCTGTTTCTGGTCTAACACAGAGGCCGTTAGCCTCCTGGGACTATTTACATTTAATTAAATACAACTTAAAATTCAGTTCTTCAGCTACATTGACTGCATTCCAAGTGCCCAATAGCCACATGTGGCTGGTGGCCACCATATTTGAAGAACATTTCCATCATTGCTTAAAACTCTGCTGGACATGGCTATGTAATAGTAAATACGGTACTTTATGCCAGGTGCTGCTCTTGAATCTTCTCAAAAACTTCTTGAAGTAGGGATTATTATCACTTCTGTTCTACAGATCAGAACGTTGAGGAACAGGGAAGTGAAGAAACTTGCCTAGAATCACACAACTAGTGTCAGAGGCAGGATTTAAACCCACACAGCCTAGCTTCAGAGTCTTGCTTCTTAATCATTTCGTGCTGAGAAAGGTTGAGAGTGAGGAATACGCTTAATTGTAGCAAGAGGGACATGGCTTATGTGTTGACAGTGCTGTACAGATTTTGAAAAACAAAACATAGAAAAGTTGTGTAGAGTATAATAGCTGCATTCCTTCCTAGAAGGAAATCGAGAGATAGGAACTGGACTAGTATTTTGGAGACCCTTCAGTCTTCTTTATGTTAAATGGATCATTTGAATTCTGACATATCTTCATAGCAGTGTTGACCCTTTCTAATTAGTGGAAATTATTTTGGCAAAGGAAGCCATTAAATGGGAATTTTGTCTTCACAACGGTTGTATGTATTTGTGTTAATTCAAGCATGCTGTATTGCTACAATATCATGTCCTATTACCTTGTTAGCTGTGTTGAAGTCTGTGTTGCTGTTGCATTATAATTTCACTTGAGTAGAGGTGTAGGGGCCACATATGATGCTGTTGTCGGTATTACATGCAAAGGCTAATGCCCTCTGTTGTATAGCATGAATATTGGGTGAGCATTTTAGTGGATGAACACTTCCCTCTTCTGAATATTACTAAATTTATTTGGTTTTATTTTAACAAATGCATAGCATTTCATGTGTCAGGCACTATTTGGAGTACTTTGTAAACGTTAACTTATTTAATCTCCCTATCCCTATGAGAAATACTGGTTTTTTTTTTTTTTTTGAAACGGAGTTTCGCTCTGTTGCCCAGGCTGGAGTGTAGTGGTGTGATCTTGGCTCACTGCAACCTCTGCCTCCAGGGTTCAAGCAATTCTCCTGCCCCAGCCTCCCCAGTAGCTGGGATTACAGGTATGTGCCAATACACCCGGCTAATTTTGTATTTTTAGTAGAAACGGGGTTTCGCCATGTTGACCAGGCTGGTCTCAATCTCCTGACCTCAGGTGATCCGCCCGCCTTGGCCTCCCAAAGTGCTGGGGTTACAGGCATGAGCCACTGTGCCCAGCCGAGAAATACTGTTATCCTCATTTTGCAGTTAAGGAAACTGAAGCACCCATGAAGCACATTTGACCCATGTGGTCAAATGTTTAATAATTTGACCACAGTCACACAGTTAGACAAGTGATGGCCCCGGGATTTGAACCCAGGCAGTTTGACCACAGAACCTGTAATCTTGCCTGCTGTGTTTTGCTGCCTTTCTGGTGGCAGTGGACTATTGATTTGTTTTGATTGTACACCAACCGTCTCGTCTTGCTTTGGGGGATGTTAGCAAGTGTAGAGGACTGTTGACAGCACTAGTAAGTGAAATCAAAATGACAAGTGTGGCTCCGTGGCACTCCCAGAAGCCTCATGACTAGTCCAAAGGCAGTGTACAGCTCTAACTCTATAAAATAAATACTTGTCCCAGCTGAACAGCTCTTAATCATTTTTTGATTAGCACCAAAGGTACTTCAGGGCACACGTGACTTGCTGGCTTCTTCAGCTAGTAAATTCTGTCATGAGTAGCCTGAGCTCCTTTTTTGAGAGGGTGGGTCAGTGTTATGGGTCCTGTAGGACTTCAGCTACACCTGGGAGAAATTTTGGAAGCTTCAGTAGGAAAGTGTAGCTTAAAATTAGCCTATATTTCCCAGGAAGTTGATACAGCTTATCTCCCTCTACCCTGTTGTTGAGCTTGATCTGGTCATTGCCACCTTCTTCACTGCTACTACCTTGTAGTTCAGTGTTCTTAAATTGATGGAAGAGGTCCTTCAAAGTTAGACCATGTGGTCATTGGCTATCCCTGTGTGTTTAAGAGTACATGTGCATGGAATTGTATTTCCAGTATAGTTAATCTAGAAATTTCTAACCAACTTGGCAGCATTTCTTGGTTGCTTGCTGTGAAAATGCTAAAAAAATTTGTTTAAAAATTTTTGTGCTGCAGAGTGTAATACCAAATTTGGAAACCAGATTTTTAAAAACAGCATCTATATTAATATGATAAATGCTTTTAGTTAAAATATCTTATTAATTTTTTAGAAAATTTAGAAAGCATTTAAAAACTATTGGAGACATTTGCAACTCTGAAAATTATTTGTGTATTTTTAAAATTAATTATTTAAAAAAATTTTAAGACACAGCCTTGCTCTGTCACCCAGGCTGGAGTGCAGTGGCGCCATCATAGCTCACTGTAACTTCAAACTCCTGGGCTCAAGTGATCTTCCTGCCTCAGCCTCACAAGTAGCTAGGAATACAGGCTCATGCCATTGTGCCCAGCTAATTTTAAAAAATTAAAAAAAAATTTTTGTAGGAACGGGGTCTCGCTGTATTGCCCGGGCTAGTCACAAACTCCTGGCCTCAAGTGATCTCCCACCTCAGCCTCCTAAGGGGCTGGCATTACAGGTGTGAGCCACCATTCCTGGCCTTACTTTGGTATATTTTAAATGTATATAAATCCAGTCAGTGAATGGATTTGTAAGAGAATTGTTTAAAGTTGACTGGAATTATAACATTTTACATTTCAGACATGTCAAATTCTTTTTTAATTCTAAGCATGACTTAAGGCTTTGTGTCCTGTTGTTTATATTCTAATTTTGTGTTTCCTTATTTTCAGGCCGAAATAGAACTATTTGTGAACAGACTTGATTCAGTGGAATCAGTTCTTCCTTATGAATACACAGCGTAAGTTTTTCAGCTTGGCTTTTATATAAAATTTTATGTGACTCATCAGAATTTTGTACATTGAGAACTTTGTTTTCTCACAGTTATGGACAAGCCTGAAAATATTTTTTAAGGTGTACTCTTCCAAGGTGTGGTTAAAAATGTGATCTTTTTTTTAATGTTTCTTTGTAATACAACAGAAGCACTGACTAAACAATGGATTTCTTTTTTTATCTGACTAAACAAAAAGCTATTTTGTTTTCTTAACATTTTAAAATTATAAATAGCTCCACATATTTTTAAACAAAATTTTTATGTCCCACATAATCAGTTCCCAGAAATAACTACTTTGATGTCTACCTCCACATTTTTTCTCTGAATAAATAGTCTAATCTATATAATCACATTTATACATTTTTGTTTTAAACAGAAGTAGATTCATAGTATTTATTTTTATTTTTATTTTTTTGAGACAGAGTCTCACTGTATTGCCCAGGCTCAAGTACAGTGGCGCAATCTTGGCTTGCTGCAACCTCTGCCTCCCGCGTTCAGGCGAATCTCCTGCCTCAGCCTCGCAAGTAGCTGGGATTATAGATGCATGCCACCACGTCTGGCTAAGTTTTGTATTTTTGGTAGAGATGGGTTTCACCATGTTAGCCAGGCTGGTCTCAAACTCCTGGGCTCAAATGATTCACCCACCTTGGCCTCCCAAAGTGATGGGATTACAGGCGTGAGCCACTGCACCTGGCCCATACTATTATTTTTGATTGGCACCTTGTTTTTCTCATTGAATACATTGTGGGCATCTTTCCATGTCAATACATAGCTACCTCACTCTTTTTAGTAGCTGTTATTATTTCCATTTTAGAAATTGTATAGATTCCATGTACACTTACTTTCACTAGTTTCCTATTTACCAACATTTGATTATTTCCAGGTTCTTTGTTTGCTTTTGAGACAAGGTCTTGCTCTGTTGCCCAGGCTGGAGTGCAGTGGCACGATCATGGCTCACTGCAGCCACAACATCCTGGGCTTAGGTGATCCTCTCATCTCAGCCTCCTGAATAGCTGGGACTACAGGCGTGTGCAACCATGCCCAGCTAATTTTTTTTTTTTTTTTTTTTTTTAATTTTTTGTGGTGATGGAGTACCACTCTGTTGTCCAGGCTGTCCTTAAACTCTTGGGTTCAAGTGATCCTTACACCTTGGCCTCCCAAGGTGCTGGGATTACAGGCATGAGCCATTGTGCCTGGCCCAGTTTTTTGATATTGTGAAAAACGCTGCATGAATATCCTTTATTCATTTGACCATTGTATACCATATTGGGTCTAAAACTGTTGCTAAAATTTAGTTTAATTTCTCAGCTGTTTAAGAGTTTTAAAAGAAAATAGTTTGCTGTAGAGAAAAGTATACACAAAAAAGTTACGACTATCCTAAAGAATTCATATATCTAAGTATGTCTAAGAAAAGAATACAGAAGACATGAATGGGTAGACTATAATTCATCTAATTATTGGATACTTAAATTTTTTTCCAGTTTTTGTTTTGTTAAACATCTTTAAATCTTTGTGGATATTCTTAGGAAAAGTCAGTGGATCTGTGGAGAATCTTCATTTGGGAACTTCCCAGCCCCAGTTTTTTTTTTTTTTTAATCACCAGAGACCCACCTTCCTCTTTAGGAATCTCACTAATCTGTTACTATTACTGTACTGATCTCAGATATTCCCCATATCATTCCAGAGTGAGCACAGAACTGCCCTTTAATTTTCTGTGGCAAAGCTGAAATTAAGCTGTAATGTTTAAACAGAACTTTATTAAAGTTGGTTAGTAATACAAGGGAATTACAACACAGGGAATCTTATAGGTGACTGACTACATCTTCTCCACAGCACTCTTCACAGAGGGTCTTTTTAGCCATGCTTCACATATTGGGATGTGTTGGCAAGTGTACTGAGATGAGACAACTGCAGGTAGACTTGACATACATTACTGAAATGTCATTTTTAATTAAAGATTTGAATTAGATAATAGCAAGGAGATAAGTTATGCAAAATTTGCTTGAATAATAAGGATCTAAATAATTTTATTATTGGAGTGAACAAAAATGAATTATAATGAGTCAATTAAAAGATATTGTAATATGCATTCTAATAAGAGAATGTTATTTAGAAAAAAATATTCGAAGGCATAATTTTAGGTGTTTTGTTTTTTTATGAGGAGAGATGTGGTACATAGGACTTGGAGTATGGATAGATTTCTTACTCATCTACTAGAGCTGCTACAATGATCAGTACCTAATCTGCTCTCAAGATTGGCTAGGTGTTTGATATTTCATCGTTCCCTTTTATGTGTAAAAATTTAAATATTCTTCTCCCAGGTTTGATTTTTGCCAAGCATCAGAAGGAAAGCGCCCATCTGAAAATCTTGGTCAGGTACTATTCGGGGAAAGAATTGAACCTTCACCATATAAGGTTTGTATTTAGTGTTACATAATAATTATTTACTTACAGCTTTTGTTTTTGTTATTTAAGAAAAGCCTGAGATAACTCAGCTATCATTGCTAAGGAGGAGTTCATTTCTCTTTTTCATCTAGGAATAGGTTCTTAAAATCAAAGTTAGAAGGATCCTTCTCCTTCTCACAGTGTGTCATTGATAAGTCTGTCTTAATGAACATTCACGCAACTAATGTTAGGAATGTTAAGACGGTGGCTTAAAGGGCAGGGCTCAGATGCTCTGCCTCCTTTACAGAGGGTCCTGAAACCCGGGTCCTGGAACCCAGCTTCCAGTCATGAGAGGTTGTCTCAGCTGCTCTGTGTCTCTTTCCCCCTGTTTTCCAGCAGTATCTAGAGACACTCTCCGTTAGCACGTACAATGCTGCCTGGGCTCCCGCACTGGGATTTTTGGAAGCTAATCTTTCTTTTTTTTTTCCAGACAGAGTCTTGCTCTGTCGCCCAGGCTGCAGTGTAGTGGTGAGATCTCAGCTCACTGCAACCTCTGCCTCCCGGGTTCAAGCAATTCTCGTGCCTCAGCTTCCCGAGTAGCTGGGACTATAGGTGCATGGCACCATGCCCAGCCAACTTTTTGTATTTTTAGTAGAGATGGGGTTCCAACATATTGGTCAGGCTGGTCTCAAACTCCTGAACTCAAGTGATTTGCCCGCCTCGGCCTCCCAAAGTGTTGAGATTACAGATTTGAGCCAGTATGCCTAGCCTAACCTTTCTATTTTGATGTATTTGGAACATCTTTGGTACATTTTTCGAACACCAGTTAAACCAAACTAAGCACAATATAAGGTATTCTTTTCAACATATGTACTTCATCATCTCTCAGAATTCTTTTGCCTTTAAATCTGTTATCTTTTAAGCCTATTATCCTTCCACATTGCATAATCCCTGTTTGTTTTGTATCTGTTCTCCTACTGTACAAAGAACAATGGTCTTTTGCTTTTAGAAACATTAAAGTAGTTTATTATAATAATGTATCACCATATAAAAAAATTAAATGATGCAAAAGAATAAATAATAATAAATGTGCAGTTCCACTTCACAGTTTGTTATTAAAATTTCCTGAAAATTTTCATACACCTATAAGCTTACATTAAATAGATTAGATTTACTTATTTGTTTTAACATACTATATGCCACACTTTGCATTTTTCCTTTAACTCTCTACCATGGGCATCTGTCCACATGAGAATGTGTGTTCTGATGGCTCTAACTTGACTCCAGGTGTTATTCCCCAGCCCGACAGCTTCCTCTCCTGGCTTCGCGTCTCTGCTATGTCTTAGACCTCATCCATAGCCACCTTCCCTGCTTTCTCACGAGGCACCCCCATCTCCCTCGACATTTTATTACATGGAGCACAACATTTATTATCTGTCCAGCAAATCCCGAAGCCTAGATTCATCTCACCAACCGTCTTACTCCCTCCAGCACCTGCACCTACACTGTGAAGCCCTGGGGGAAAAGAAACATCACTGTGCAAATTTAATCCACTACAAGTTGATTGGTTTTGACTGTAAATATATCCTCTTCAAATATTCTTTTTTTTTCTTTTCTTTTTTTAAGAGATGGAGCCTTGCTCTGTCACCCAGGCTGGAGTGACGTGGCACAATCATAGGTTACTGCAGCCTCAGACTCCTAGTCTCAAGTGATCCTCCTGTCTCACTCCCCTGAGTGGCTAGGACTACAGATGCATACCACCACATCCAGCCAATTTTTAAATTTTTTATAGAGACAGGGTCTCACTCTGTTGCCCAGGCTTGTCCTGAACTTCTGGCTTCAAGCAATCCTTCTGCCTCAGCCTTCCAAAGGGTTGGGATTATAGACATAGACGTGAGCCGCCGTCTGACGCCTTTCAAATACTTTTTTTTTCTTTTTCGAGACAGAGTGTCACTCTATTGCTCAGGCTGGAGTGCAGTGGCAAGATCTCAGCTCACTGTAACCTCCGCCTCCTGGGTTCAAGTGATTCTCCTGCCTCAGCCTCCCAAGTAGCTGGAATTACAGGCGTGTGTCACTATGCCCAGCTAATTTTTGTATTTTTCGTAGAGATGGGGTTTTGCCAAGTTGGCCAAGCTAGTCTCAAACTCTTGACCTCAGGTGATCTGCCTGTCTCGACCTCACAAAGTGCTGAGATTACAGGCATGAGCCACCATGCCCGGCCCCTTTCAAATATTCTAATCTGAAATTGTCTACCCTAAAATTGCCAGTAACTTTTAAAGTTTCCTAAACACAGTAGATTCAAAGGCCTAATGGGATGAAGTCATTGAGGAGGAAGGAACTCAAAGTGTATGGACATGGGTGCCATTGAGCAGGGCAGGCATGTAACTTGCGAAACACCTCTTCCCTCTTGGGGTATTTGGAAGATTACTTTGAATGGTATTGCATTCTTCTTATAGCAGATGACTGTTTTCAGGCATGCTTTTTAAATTTTACAATCTTAAATATTCCAGCAGCCTCTCAGCCCCATCTCTCTACTTATGTCTTGCCCTTGAGAAATGATGGGTGGGAAGAATATCAGTAATGCCCTTAGTGAACTGGGAAGACAGCAGGAGTCCCTAGCAGGAAACAGAAGGAAACCCAGCAAAATACTCAAACCCATGGGGAGGTGTTGCCCTTTGGGGCAGACTTTGAAGGCAGGTTACTCCCCTTAGTAGGATGTCATTGGGCACATTTCTGTTTCTGTGCAAGGACTGTTCCTTGCTCATACACAGGACCCTTTTTGGGGCCTAGTGCTTTTCAGATTTAATCCTTTGTTGTAGAAGTTGAGGTTAAATATAATAAAAGGAGAGCTTTAGAATGGAGAAATTGTGTACCCAACATTTTCCCTGAGTCTTCTGGAATGTTTCAGGATCCATATCTGTACTAAAACAAATTCTCTAAGCCCCAAACTTAAAGGGACAGAGCAGGCACATTTTAAGGCCAAGGTGTAAGCCAGCCATAAATGTATTGACCAACATTTTTCATTTCACTATTGATTCTTTATTTTCAAGGATTTTTATCTTTATGTATGTATTTATTTATTTCTTTTTTGAGTCTCACGCTGTGGCCTGGGCTGGGCCACGGCTCACTGCAGCCTTGAACTCCCAGGCTCAATAAATCCTCTCACCTCAGCCTCCTGAGTAGCTGGAACTACAGATATGCCCACCATGCCCAGGTAATTTTTTTATTTTTTGGAGAGACAGGGTCTCACTATGTTGCCCAGGCTGGTCTTGAACTCCTGGGCTCAAGCAATCCTCCTGCCTTAGCCACCCAAAGTTCTGGGATTATAGGTGTGAACCACTACACCCAGCTTTATCTTATTTTAGATCTGCTGTAAAAACTGAGGTAACAACCAGCAACAAAATAAAATCCCAGTCTGCTTTGTCGTCTTTTATATTTGACTTCTGTTTAGGTCAGGAAAACAACAGTGCAAGACATTGTGTGTATTATGTGAAGCTGGAACCACATTTCATAGGACCATAAAATCTCATCTCAGATCTAAGCACTCATATTCATTCACTCAGTTAACACATTTGCTCAGTACCTTTCATGTGCCAGGCACTGTGATGGGATACAGCAGTGAGCAAAACAAAAATCTCTGTCCTCATGGATCTTTTATGCTGATGGGGAAAAGGAGACAAAATAAATTACCAGAATATATGTTTCAATTACTGAGGAAAGAACTATTGAAAATAAATCTGTGAAGGTGTGTGGGGAATTTCTAATTTTAAATAGGCTTACTGCAAAGGTGGATTTAAAATCTTAAAAAAGCCTTACCGAGAAGGTGACATTTGAGCAGAAGACCTGAAGCAAGTAAGGGAGTGAGCCATGTGAATATGTGGGGGAGGTGTTCTAGCTGAAGAGAGGCCCCAAGGTGTGTAACTTGAGCAGGTGAGCAAGATAGAGCATAGTAGGCAGTGGGCACAGAGAAGTAACAGGACCACATTATAGAATGACTCAGAGGCCACTGTGAGGATTGGCCTTTACATCTGAGCAAGATGGTTAGTTAACACTGGAGGGTTTTGAGTAGGCTTCGATTTTACCAGGGTCACCCTGGCTGCTGTACTGAGAATGGACCGTGGGGGTGCGAGGGGAGAAGCCAGGAGACCAGTAGGAGGCCTTCTCCCTCATCTAAATATGATCTGACTTGGGAAGGGTGAGGGGGTGGTGAAGAGGTCAGAATCTGTGAATCTGGCTGTGTTTTGAAGGTGGCCGACAGAATTTGCCAAGGGATGGGATGTGGAGTGTGGAGTTTCTATTTTCTAAGATGGGGCAGTCTGTGGGAAGAGCCAGGTTGGGGGATGGGGAAGAGTTAGTTTTGGATGTGGTAAGTGAGAGGTGTTTATTAGGTGTCCAAGCAGAGATGCTGAATAAACAGCCAAATATATGCTTTTGGAGTTTGGAGAAGGGCTTCATCCTGGATATACACAGTATATATTTGAGAATCATCAGTGTATAGATGGTATTTACAGCCACAGAATTGAAGAGATCCCCAAGGGAGTGGGTATAGATGAAGAAGACAAGATTCGAAGAGGCACAGGACTCTCCCCATCCTCCTGACCTATAAAATCAGGTGCCCCAAGGGCTCCTGGTATTGTATTTTTAGTAGAAACAGGGTTTTACCATGTTGGTCAGGCTGGTCTCGAACTCCTGACCTTAAGAGATCCGCCCCCTCTCAGCCTCCCAAAGTGCTGGAATTACAGGCGTGAGGCTCAGACCCTTGGGGCACCTGGTTTTATAGGTCGGGAGGATGGGGAGAGTCTAGCAAAGGACACTGAGAAGGAGCCACTGATGAGAAAGAAGGGTAACGGAGAATGTGGTCCCCAGAGGCCGAGGCAAGAAAGTGTTTCTAGGAGGAGGGATTGGTTGATTTGTCACTGATGGGTCAGGTGAGATAAGGACAGAGGATTGACCTTGGGTTTAGCCTTCAATGTTGAGGTCATTGATGTGAAAGCAGCCGTGATAGAATAGCCAGGTGGAGAGAGAATGGAAAGAGCATTTGCAGGTGGACACATCTACAACTGTCTTGAGGACTTTTATTTTACTGGCAGTGAGAAAAAGAGTGGAAACTGGAGGATGGCGTGGTTCAAAGAGGACTGTTTGTTTGTTTGTTTGTTTGTTTAGAGACAGTCTTACTCTGTTGTCCAGGCTTGAGTGCAGTGTTGTGATCTCAGCTCACTGCAACCTCCACCTCCGAGGCTCCAGTGCTTCTCTTGCCTTAGCCTCCCGAGCAGCTGGGATTACAGGTGCCTGCCACCACACCTAGTTAATTTTTGTATTTTTAGTAGGGACAGGGCTTTGCCATGTTGGCCAGGCTGGTCTCAAACTCCCGACCTTAGGTGATCTGCCCACCTTGGCCTCCCAAAGTGCTGGGAATAAGCCAAGGCACCCGCCCCAAAGAGGACTTATGATAGATTTTTTTTTTTTTTTTTTTTGAGACAGAGTCTTGCTCTGTAGCCCAGGCTGGAGTGCAGTGGCGTGATCTCGGCTTACTGCAAGCTCCACCTGCCGAGTTCACACCATTCTCCTGCCTCAGCCTCCCAAGTAGCTGGGACTATAGGCGCCCGCCACTACGCCCAGCTTATTTTTTGTATTTTTAGTAGAGATGGGGTTTCACTGTGTTAGCCAGGATGATCTCGATCTCCGGACCTCGTGATCTGCCTGCCTCGGCCTCCCAAAGTGCTGGGATTACAGGCGTGAGCCACCGCGCCCGGCCAGGAGGACTTGTGATAGATCTTTAAGCAAGGTGTGTATGTGGATGAGTGTGATCAGTAGATACGGGAAAAGTGATGATTTAGGAGAGGGAAGGATTGCCGTGGGTGTCCTTGCTCTGGCAAGAAGGGATGGGACCTAGTGTACTGTTGGAGAGGTTGGCCTCAGTGAGCTCGTTCATCCGTGGTAACTGGAGGGAAGGCAGAGACATGGGGCATGATGCTGGGAGGTAAATGTGGCAATTGCTCCTGATTCCTCAGTGAAGTAGGCAGCATGGCCACCCCACCTGTGAGTGAGGAGGGAGGCAGCAGCCAAGTAGGATCCAGGAGAGCTAATAGAGCAGGAGTGTGGAGCGGCTGCTAGGCTGCATCAGGGACCCTCTGGCCAGCTGGTGGTTTGAAGTAACAGCAGCCAGCGTGCTTAATTGTGTATCTCCAGCTATTTCCAGCTGTGCTGCTGAGTTGGATTTAACCAGGTTTGTGGTTTTAACAAGTGAATACCAAAAAAGTGAGAGAAGAACACAGGATGTGAGGACATCTTTGGATGTTATGAAAGATGGAGATACTGTTGAGCTTGGAGTTTGAGCTTGCACAGGGGGCATGTGAGGCCACAAAAGGAGTAAGAGACAGTGAAAAGACTGTAGGATCTGTCGATTTAAGTGGAGTCCAGGGCTTGTTGGAGGTGATGAACATTTGAGCCAGTGAGTTGGAACAACGGGAGGAGGTGGTTTGACACTGGGAAGCTTGAAATGGAGATAATGGCTGGGACTGCTGTCATTGATAAAGGCAGGGTGGAATGCGACCAGAGGAGGGAGTGCTTTGAAATTGGATGAAGACCAGAGTCGCTGGAGGAGAGGGCAGAGGATCAAAAGGTCATTGTTTTGGAAGGATCGTTGATATAGATGTAATCACCAAGAATCAGGAGCGAGGAGGAGTGTTGCAGTGACAGTGAGCCAGGAGCTGAGGGCCAGTGACCTGGGGTTGGTAGATGACAAGAACAGGAAGGAGTAGGGGCGGTGTGGTCTGATCACATGGGAGTCAAAGCTAGAGGTTTCTGGAGGAGGGAGAATGGTCTGGCCCAGCGCTGGGGCCTATGAGAGAAAACAGGCACCACCAGCAAGACTCCAGTGAGGCAGCATCCGTCAGGGACAGCCAGGTTTTCATCAGAACAGGCTCCAGAAAACATTCTGAGAAGAGGTTGAGGAACTAGAGGGTGTTCTGCTGGTGACACATGAGTTTCAGGGCATAGTGGAAGGGATTAAGCAGTTGAGGGGGGATACATTTTGGGATTCATATGTGGGAATGGAAGGATGACATGGAAATCCTGGACTTCTGGTGGTGACTAATATTCAGAGGGTAGAGGGCATAATGGGATTAGTCCTGCCCATTAGTCCTAGTGGGTAGTAGTCCGTTCTGACGCTGCTGTGAAGAAATACCAGAGGCTGGGTAACTTATAAAGAAAAGTGGTTTAATTGACTCACAGTTCCATATGGCTGGGGAGGCCTCAGGAAAACAATCATGGCAGAAGGGGAGGCAACCATGTCCTTCTTCATGTGGCGGCAGAAAAGAGAAGTGCAGAGTGAATCGGAGAAAGCCCCTTATAAAACCATCAGATCTTGTGAGAGCTCACTCACTATCACAAGAACAGCGTGGGGTACCGCCCCCCATGATCTAATCACCTCCCACGAGGTCCCTCCCCCAACACGTGGGGATTACAATTCAGATCACAATTGGAGATAAGATTTGGGTGGGGACACTGAGCCAAACCACATCAATCCTGATGGTCTCAGGCTGCATGGAGGAGAAGTCTTGCCAGAAGTGTGCAGCCTTATATGATTTCCCTCAGATATGGACTTTGATATAATTTTTCTGCTATTTGCTAAAAGCTGGTGGTGAGATACATAACAATAACTGTTATTTAGTGAATACCTATTTTCATCAGTCAGCATGCTAGGTGTTTTGCACACACGTTTCTGTATTTAATCCAACAACCCTGCAAGGCAGTTACTGCGCCCATTTTACACATAAGTTAACTGAAGCTGAGGCAGGGTTACGCAGCTTTCCCTGGTCTCCTAACAAGATGGAGTTGACTCGTACCCAGGTCTGACTCTAGATTGATATTTTGATTTTCAGAATTATTCCAAGGAGAAGGTTAAATCCTCACTGAAATAATTTAGGAAAAATTATAATCCCACGTTTTCCCGAATAGAAACAGAACAGTGCTGTGCTTGCGTGTTATAAGGAGGATTTGTTTCCCTTGGGAGCTAAGAATATTTAAAAATCCTTAGCAAAACATAAATAAAATACAATTCCATCCATAACCAAACATGATTTAAAATATTATAAAATTCCCAACTAAACACATGACAGGGAGAGGCTGCAGGGTGTTGTGCTGAAGAGCATGTTCTCCGGAGCTCAACTCACTTGGCTCAGATCCTGGCTATGCCGATGCTCAGTTGTGTGACTTGGTGCTCCAGTTTTCTCATCTGTAAAAGATGAATAAGGGTTGTTTGGAGGATTACATGAGGCTTGATATATACAAAGTACATGGAACATAGGAAGCACTAAACAGATGTTACCTATTACTACATTAATGTCACCTTAGTCTTGCTATTTCCTTCACAATTGAACACACAGGTTGACTCACCTAATGAAGTGAGCACTGGATTGAGGTGTCAGATTTGCCATTTTGGTGTAATATTGTCTCTCTGCTTAACTTATTTTAAGTTTGGTGTCTGTGCTTCTGATTTCTTAGTGTGTATACTTTTTTGTTTTTCCATTTTCCACTTTTTAAGAATGAATCTTTAAGGTTCATATAAGGTTTAAAATATCAACTAGTGGTACAGATATGGCTGTATTGGAAATAGCAATGCAGACAGAATGAAAACATTGGCTGACAGGTGGCAGCAGTGGACTATGCTTAAACATTCACTTAGCTGCTTCACTGCACCTGCTTTAGGGATGTTAATAAATACATACATACAAAAGAGTGGGCTGCTTAGAAGTGAACCATGCCATTTTTTTAATCACCTTATGTAATAAAGTTTGAATTTATTAAAAGATGGAATTATGGCTGGTTGTATAGCTGGTAAATTTCAGCCTTCTGGAGTCATGTTTAGCCTGATTTTAGACATCTGAATGTCACATGCTCTCTTGTTCACTGCTGAATCTCTATCACCTGACACTTAAGGAGGGCACTTAACATCTGTTGATTATTTGAACATAAAAATTTGTCTGCTTGTTACTAGAAAGCCATTAACTCCAGAATTCCTAAGACATGACCATGGGATATTACTAGGAGAGACTAAAGTTCCATTTTTGTTCTACATGGGATTTTTTTTTCTCTTCTAGAACTTATTTACATTTAAAAGGTAAGTCGATTGAAATTACCAAAAAGAACGTATCAAAGGAAAACTTGATGACGAGTCTTTAGAGAAACACAGTAGGATTAAAATTTAAATCTGATTGAGCTATGAGGAATTTAAAAATTTATTTATTACCAATATTAATGCACTTAAGTAATTTAATGGGACCAGCACTTTTACTCTATTTGTGATATTGGTATGAAAAACCTGGATATTTTTTCTGAATTTGCTTTCCACTTCCTTTTAATACAGTTTACGTTTAATAAGAAGGAGACCTGTAAGCTTGTTTGTACAAAAACATACCATACAGAGAAAGCTGAAGACAAACAAAAGTTAGAATTCTTGAAAAAAAGCATGTTATTGAATTATCAACATCACTGGTAAGGCATGAATATTTTCGATTTTGGGGTTTATCCTTTCCATATGAAATCTTTGTTGCTTTGACTATATAAATTACTTGATTGTGTAAAATATAGCAAATTAATTGATTTCCTTTTTTTTGTTACTAGTGGTCGTAGCTTGAAGTAGTGACTCTTAGTTAAAGATGACAACATCATTTAAAGTATCATCTTTTAACTGTGTTTAGATTACTGTAATATCTGGTACTTCTTTTGATACATAGATCTGGTACATAGAGTAGTTATTTTTATTCACATACAGGCATACCTTGGGGATACTGAGGTTCAGTTCCATGCCACTGCAATAAAGCAAATAACACAATAAAGTGAGTCACATAAAGTTTTTCTTGGTTTCCCAGTGCATATAAAAGTTATGTTTATACTACATATAGTCTATTAAGTGTGCAATAACATTATGTCTAAAACAACTCTGTAAGTACCTTAATTAAAAAATACATTATTGCTTACAAAAAAAAAAAAGGCTGACACAAAGACAGAAAGTGAACACATGCTGTTGAAAAAATGGCACTGATATAGGCATGGTGGCTCACGCCTGTAATCCCAGCACTTGGGAGGCTGAGGCGGTTGGATCACGAGGTCAGGAGATCGAGACCATCCTGGCTAACACGATGAAACCCCATCTCTACTAAAAATACAAAAAATTAGCCAGGTGTGGTGATGGGCTCCTGTAGTCCCAACTACTTGGGAGGCTGAGGCAGGAGAATGGCGTGAACCCCAGAGGCGGAGCTTGCAGTGAGCTGAGATCGTGCCACTGCACTCCCGCCTGGGCGACAGAGCAAGACTCTGTCTCAAAAATAAAAAAAAAAGAAAGAATGGCACTGATAGATTTGCTTAACGCAAGGATGCCACAAACCTTCAATTTCTAAAAAACACCATATCTGCAAAGCACAATAAAGTGAAGTGCAATAAAACGAAGTATGCCTGAATAGTTAACAGTAGCATATTATGCTTTGGGGAAAAGGACCTGGGTCAGTCTTCTAGTGAAAACATTGTTTTATACTTGTGGGCTATGAAAAAAATCACAGGAAAACAAAACTTAACTTTTGTTTGATAAATAGCATCAACTTCAAATAAAACGCTTACATTTTGCTTAGCCTTTCATTTTGTAAACATGACATAACATTAACAAATTCTGTACCAGTTTGTATCAGAATCAAAAAGTATTTAAAACTGTCCTGTTTTTCCTTCCAAAGTAGTATATACTTATTATACAATATTCAAACATAGAATTTTTTTTTTTTTTCTGAGATGGAGTCTCTCACTGTTCCCCAGACTGGAGTGCTGTGGCGTGATCTCGGCTCACTGCAACCTCCGTCTCCTGGGGTCAAGTGATTCTTGCATTTTAGCCGCCTGAGTAGCTGGGATTACATGTGCCCGCCACCACACCTGGCTAATTTTTATAGTTTTAGTAGACACGGGGTTTTACCATGTTGGCCAGGCTGGTCTCGAACTCCTGACCTTAAGAGATCCGCCCCTCTCAGCCTCCCAAAGTGCTGGAATTATAGGTGTGAGCCACTGCGCCCGGTCAAACATAGAATATTTTTAAAGACTTTCAAAATCCAACATTTGAAGTATAACCATTGCTATTCTTCTGAGTAATTTTGCTTGGAAATGCCTATATTCTGTGGGGATCATAGTTTACATATGTTTTGCCTTTTCTAGAAAGTGTAAGATGCTTTCAGTGGCGAACAGGAGGACTGTGTTCATGCACTTCCTTTTGGATATTTGTCCTGTCAGTATATTAGATCACATTGTTTGCTCACGCCAATAAGGTTAGGAACCGTGGATCTCAGCTGAGACCTGACCAGATCCTGTGGCCTCGCATTCCCTCCTACCCCTTAGTTTTCCTCCTCCTCCACCCCACCCAACCCCCATATGCATAGAACCCTGGGTTGCTGAGTCCTGTGCACAGCCATGAGCTAGTTTGTGATGGGAAGGATTCATTCTGACTGACCAGACCTGGGTAACATCTACCTGAACCCCATAAGAATGGGTTCTGTGTAGGCTAGTGGGGCTCTGTTGGAAGGAGGGAGATGGTGCTGTTAGAAACCTGCCTGTTATGCTTGTGTCAGCTTCTTTGTCATCTGACCCTCAGTGCAAATAGGAACTTTAAAGACTCCTTTGTCTCCCCATTTCTTTCATTTCTGGTAAACGAAGAGCTTGTTTCCCCTAAACTACCATAGAAATACTGCTTATTTGCTAGATCAATGCATATCAATTGCATATCAACCTGGGATATGTTTACTTATTGTTAAGTAATTGAAATTTCCTTGTTGTTTTTCTTTGTAATCTTCAAAATAATATTTAAGCCTCAGTTCTTATCTTCTCATATTAGCCCTATCCACCTGCGTTTACTGCAATAGCTATCAGTTTGTTGACTAACTGAAAGAATGACTGTTAAGGTCTGTGGATGATTTTTTTTTTTTCTTTTTTTTTGAGACGGAATCTCGTTCTGTCACCCAGGCTGGAGTGCAGTGGCGCAATCTCGGCTCACTGCAAGCTCCGCCTCCCGGGTCCACGCCATTCTCCTGCCTCAGCCTCCCGAGTAGCTGGGACTACAGGCGCCCGCCACCATGCCGGCTAATTTTTTGTATTTTTAGTAGAGACGGGGTTTCACTGTGTTAGCCAGGATGGTCTCGATCTCCTGACCTCGTGATCCGCCCGCCTCTGCCTCCCAAAGTGCTGGGATTACAAGTGTGAGCCACCGCGCCCGGCCTTGTGGGTGATTTTTTAGCTCTTTCTTCTACCCTCTGTGCTTAGAATACTGTTTAGTCAGCCCGGCACCGTGGCTCATGCCTATAATCCCAGCATTTTGGGAGGCCAAGGCAGGCAGATCACCTGAGGCCAGGAGTTCGAGACCAGCCTGGCCAACATGGCGAAACCCCATCTCTACTAAAAATACAAAAATTAGCCAGGTGTGGTGGCAGGCGCCTGTAATCCCAGCTACTCGGGAGGCTGAGGCAGGAGAATTGCTTGAACCAAAGAATACTGTTTAGTCTTGCTCCTGAAGGTAGTAGAAGCAGTTCTTCAGTAGCCTCCTGACAGGAAAGTACTTAGAGATATTTTTAACTAATTTATGATGCAGTTAACAAAGATTTCATTATAATGCCAAGATGCTTAATAACAAGAAAGAATAAATACAGTAGTGTACAAACTAAGCAAGCATCAGACAGTAAAATTTACTGAATGATTTGTAATCAGCATATCAATTGCAAACTTCAACTATTCTGCTTTAAAAAAATTACCTGAGAAAGTGCTGGTAAATAATGATTTTGCAGTTGAATCAGAAAAGTTGATGATTTTAAGTGTAACCCTTAAATCAGTTCAGTATACATTTGGAAAATGTTGATTCACATTGATGAATTTATTGAAACCATTATTTGAGTATATTCTGTCCATGACCTATTTCAGAGAGATTTTACTGTATAACTTGATTTTAAGCATAGACAGTAGAGTTGACACATAAAATACCATGTACCCATGGGAATTTACAGTATTCTGTTAGGGAGTTTGTGAATATAGCACATTTTATTTTATACTTTGCACTAAGACATACTAGGGAGAGCATAATCATTTTCTAAATCATAAAGCAATACATGCCGATGAGAAAACACAAGCAGTACAAGAAAATATTAAGTAAAAGTAAGTCTTCTGTCAGTCTCAGCCTCATTTCTATTCTACAGAACTAACACTATTATTTCTCATGTGTGTTTCTATATTTACTATGCATATGGAGGTATAGAAAAGGGTGTGTCCCTTTTTAAAATAATGCAACTAAAATATTGTACACGTTATTCTGCAACTTGCTCATTTTATTTAAGAAAATATTATGGACTTTTTTCAGGTCAAGTAACATTGTAAATCTATAACCTCCTCCGTCTTTTCCATAATTTCATAATTCACTGCATGAATCAATCATAATTTCTCACCCATGACATTGGAACCGTGCTGTAGTTTATTATTCTCACTATAAAGAACAGTTAATAATAGTTTCTTATATAAATTGACGAATACTTTTTATTTTTTTATTTGTTGTTGTTGTTGAGACAGAGTCTCGCTCTGTCTCCCAGGCTGGAGTGCAGTGGCACAGTCTCGACTCACTGCAACCTCAGCCTCCTGGGTTCAAGTGATTCTCCTGCCTCTGCCTCCACCTCCGCCTCCTGAGTAGCTGGGACTGCAGGTGCCCGCCACCACGCCTGGCTAATTTTTGTATTTTTAGTAGAGACGGGATTTCACTATGTTGGCCAGGCTGCTCTCGAACTCCTGACCTCTTGATCTACCCACCTTGGCCTCCCAAAGTGCTGGGATTACAGGCGCGAGCCACCGCTCCTGGCCATACTTTTTATTCTTATTTGGGGCTTTAGCACATAATTTGAGGATCTTTTTGGCTTACTCTGTCAGTAGCTGCTAAGCTATTTTGTGATTCCTGAAACTATTGCTTTGATACCAGCACTGGACACTTAAAACTCTCTTCAGCTGTGCTCTGTGTGGTTTGTGATTATACTTCTTGCCTGAATTTCCAAATCTTGATGACATTTTATTTATAAAAATATAATTAACTAGTTATCAGAGTACTTACCATTTCTTAGTATCATAGAACCACTGGACTATAGCTTATTGAATTATAAAGGGGTCTTGAAGATACTTTAGTGAGTTCCAATCCCAGATCCCACCAAGTTAGCAAAGGAGAATGATGTGCTGTTTTCAAAAATTCAAAATCCTAATGAATACTCCAAATGTACTCATGTTAAAACTACATAGAAATGCCAACTGTGGGCTACCCTCTTTGGGTCACCTCCCTTTGTATGGGAGCTCTGTTTTCACTCTATTAAATCTTGCAACTGCAAAAAAAAGAAAAGAAAAAAAAATGCCAACTTGTTAAATGCCAACTTTCTTTGCTTTGGGCTGTAATTTTCTGAGTGCATTGTGACAATATGGGTTATTCTGATTAGAAACTTTTGGAATTAATTTATTGGAAAAACAAGTAGTTACTAAGTGAAGCTTGATTGGTAGAACTGTTTCAAATGGAGTCCTTGGAGAGCAGACAGAAGTAAAGGAAAGGAGTTCTTCGTGATAAAAAGTTGGGAGTCATTCAGCCTTTATCCTTGCGAGTCTTCTTCCCATTATTCAGTCTGTCAGATTGGAAATAAGAGTTTTAATTTTTTTGATATTAGAAATTTAAATAAATACTACTTGTTAATTTAGGAAGACAGTAATTGAAAATCATATTCTTTGGCCAGGCGTGGTGGCTCACACCTGTAATCCCAGCACTTTGGGAGACCAGGGTAGGAGGACCACTTGAGCCCAGGAGTTTGAGACCAGCCCTGGCAACATAGTGAGACCCCAACTCTACAAAAAATATTTAAAAATTAGCCAGGTGTGATGGCATGCACCTGTAGTCCCAGCTACTTGGGAGGCACAGATGGGAGGATCACTTGAGCCTGGGAGGTTGAGGCTGCAGAAAGCCATGATCATGCTACTGCACTCCAGCCTGGGTGACAGAGCAAGACCCTGTCTCGAGGGAAAAAAAGATATCCTTTAAGTTTTCTTAAATTTATTTCAAAGGGATTTTTTTTTAAATGCTTCCTATTACCAGAAAAAGCTATTGTGTCAAGGTATTATATAAATGATACATTTAGGATGTTGGCTTTTATAAAACCTAAATTGTGCTTTAATTTCTCATTTTGTAACTAGCACTATAATTTTTATGTAGTACTTTCCCTCCAGTATGGTAGCATGAAGATACTATATATTGCTAGTATATATTCATTAATTGAACTTCATCTCTATCTAAAAAATTAAAGCAATTAACGGATTCGTTAAGCTTTCAGAAAATCTGAATTATTTATTCTATATAACAATGCGTTTATGCTTCTAATATTTTATAGTCTTTTCATTGGAACCACTAGCCTGCTGATTATAATAATAAGCAGTTTAATAGTATAGGTGATTCTAAAATTTTGTACACTGGGTACTGTTAAATAGCATTTAAAGGTGACGAGACATGTTTTATTAGGTCATTAAGGTACACCTTGGGTGAATATAGAATCATAATTTTACTTCCTAAGGCACACATTAATTAACAAATAAAACATGCCCTGGAGTGTCGTCTTATGACTGTAATATAGCTGCTATATTTTGAGTAGTTTTTTTATTTGTATCCCGCAGTGTACTCTGGGCGCAGGGGGCCACATGCTTGGACTGTAATGTAGTTATATGGTGCTACAGAACTTTATTTTCTGCTTTTATTATTTAAGTCCTTTTTCACTATAGAACTTGAAAGATTTGGTTCGCTAGCTTTGCAACAGTATTTCTTTTAGAAATAACTTGGATTTATAGTTTTCACAGAATTTTTTTGTATAGCTTTCACTTTTCCTCCTGGCTCTTTAGTTTAATGTTTTCCTATATCTTGCAATTGTATTCCTTTTTTATTGAATAACCTGAGTAATAAGAGGCATTTCCTTCTCTACTGTCTAATAAACTGTTCCTGAGGAACTAGATATATTGCTTTGTGTACCTATTTAGAGCTGTGAGTATTCTGCTAAAGGTAAATTACAGTGAAGTGTCTAAATAGTATTGTTAAATTAGCAATTACAATAAATTAGTTTATAAAACTCTTTCCTACCTACCATTTATCCTTTCAAAAAAGGTACGAAGTTTTTTTTGTTTTTTTTTTTTTCTTTTTTTAAGGCTAGTCAAATGAAGCAGTGCTGTACCTGGTTGTGATCAATTAGTTGTAAACACCACTGCACTCGGACCAGCCTGTAGTTTTTTCCATCACTGCAGTGTATCAGATACTGGCATATTGTTATTGCTTATGAAATAGCACATTTCATTAACATTCTTTGTGGTTTTTGTAATCTTAAGGCATTTACACATTTAAATTTTACAAAGTGATGACACTGATTTGGGCAGTAATTCTTTGTCATGTTTGGTGGGTTCTTTTCTAACTTAACTCCTCTTTCCATGTGTAGGATTGTGGATAATATGCCTGTAACGTGGTGTTACGATGTTGAAGATGGTCAGAGGTTCTGTAATCCTGGATTTCCTATTGGCTGTTACATTACAGATAAAGGCCATGCAAAAGATGCCTGTGTTATTAGTGTAAGTTCATGATAAACTCTTTGCTGCTTTTTAAAACATGGCTTTTGATAGAATTCAGTCTTTACCTGGACAAAAATTGTTATATTCATTGAATGAGTGTACAGTTCAGATGTTCTGAAGTACAACTACTTCAATCTTAAACTTACAGCAGATTAATAATGTATAAGTTGAGGTTTAGAATTGGAATAATTCAGATTCAGTTCAACATTTACTGAGATTGTCTGTTGTATGTTAAATGCTATGGTAAGGTCTAGAAGTTTGTCCTAACTCTCATAAATCTTATATATTACAAAATGTACATAGTAGAGTGTCAAAAAAGGCTTCATTATAAGTTAACTAAATTTGTATTGCAGAAGTCAGATATTATAACCTTTTTAAGACCTATGTGTCTTTGAGGCCATTATTATATTTAAAAATAGATTAATCAAATAGAGACATTACTATAGAAGGTAATTAGAACTAGGTGGGGATATATATTAAAATGAATTTTGTGTAATCAGATCAACCTGATTTAAATCTCTTAATGGATCTGATTCAGTGGAAGGTAGCATGAGTTAATCATGAAACTGATTATATCAGTTAGTGCTTTTGTGAGTGCTGACCAGAGATACTTGAATAATTTAGGTTATGAGTTTAGTCCAAACTTATAAGCTTCCAGGCAGGAAAAGTGTTTAAATGTATAAGCATTAGTGTGCTCATAATATTTTAAATTTTATTTTGTTTCATTTTAAATGAAAGGCTAGAAAATACTAGATTAGTGTTCTTTTGAATTGGTACTTATTAGATTTTATGTAAAAAAACTGTAAGAAGCATATACCTTCCCCAATTAATTTTTGGCTTAAAAAGAGTTTAAGTATAAAATTGAAACATGTTAATGTGAAAGGCTTAAAATTCCATTCAAACTTAAATTTTCTTACTTGTTGTAGCCCATTTTAAAGTTTTAAGTTTTGACTCTTATGTAGTCAGTTTTCTACCTTTAACTTTTAAGTTCTGTTCTGCAGTCAGATTTCCATGAAAGAGATACATTTTACATCTTCAACCATGTTGACATCAAAATATACTATCATGTTGTTGAAACTGGGTCCATGGGAGCAAGATTAGTGGCTGCTAAACTTGAACCGAAAAGGTAATTATATTAATGATAAAAAGTAAACAAGTATAAGTGAAATTTAGACCCAAAGAATAAGTATTTGGGGCTCAATTACTCCTTAATATTCTGACATTTCAGGATTGATTTCACTAAAACTCCCTTTGGCATGATTTGTTATTGTTATGGGTTGTCCAGAAAACCATACCAATAGTTATTTTCCTGTCATGATAAGCGGTCAAGCCAAGGTGCCTTAGTGTTTTGTTTTTCAGTCAGGAGGTTTTGACAGCTTTTCCACGTGTCAGTGGGGAGGGAGAAGTTGAGTGGTTGGGACAGTGGTCCCCTTCGTGGTGGAAAGAACACTGCCTCAGATAATGTGTGGCTTTCCTCTGGTCAGAGGCCCAAATGAGTGGACAAGTACTGTGATTTCTCAAGCCCCTATGCAGTGTTAGATGCCACTATGAAATACGAGCCATTGAAAGAGATCTCTTCAACTTATTATTTTTTATCACGAACGTACATATCAGTTATTTATGAGATTTTTTTTTTAAATATTTCATTTTTTTTCACGACTTTTTCTGCCATTGAATTAGCCTTTTTCTCATGCACTGGTGGTCAAGAAATACATGCCATAATAAGATGGCAGTTAAACTTCATCAGTATTTTTTTTTTTTAAATAAGATTATTTAGCCAGGCACAGTGGCTCGCACCTGTAATCTGAACACTTTGGGAAGGCCAAGGCAGGAGGATCACTTGAGGCCAGGAGTTCAAGACCAGCCTAGGCAACATAATGAGACCCTGTCTCTACAGAAAATGAATTCGCTGGGCATGGTGGCATGTGCCTGTAGGAAGCTGAAGTGAGAGGATCACTTGAGCCCAGGAGTTCAAGACCAGCCTGGGCAACATAGTGAGACCCTGTCTCTACAGAAAATTTAAAAATTAACTGGGCACTGTGGCCCGTGCCTGTAGGAGGCTGAAGTGGGAGGATCACTTGAACCCAGGAGTTTGAAGCTGCAGTGAGCCAAGATCACACTACTGCACACCAGCCTGGGTGACAAAGCAAGACCTTGTCTCAAAAACAAAACAAAAAACAAAAAAGGCCAGGCATGGTGGCTCATGTTGTAATCCCAGCACTTTGAGAGGCTGAGGCAGTAGGATTGCTTGAGCCCAGGAGTTCAAGACCAGCCTGGGCAACATAGCAAGACCTTGTTTCTACAAAAAATGAAAAATTAGCTGGGCGTGGGGTGTGGTGGCACACACCTGTAGTCCCATCTACTTGGGAGACTGAGGTGGGAGGATCACTTGAGCCCAGGAGTTTGAGGCTGCATTGAACTGTGATGGCACCACCGCACTCAGGCCTGGGTAAGAGAGCAAGACCCTGTCCCAAAAAAAAAAAAGAAAAAAAAAAAGATTATTTAAATGCTCTTCAAGTATAGTGTTTTCAAAAGTATGTTTATAATTTTGTACACATATGATGTAAATATTTATGCTATTAAGTGTGACATGAATAATTTCACCTTTGTCAGCAGCATTTTAAAATACGTACAAAATCTGTAACCTTTACCTCATTTTTAAAAAGTTGTACTTTATCAGCATCTTGCCAAAATGTTTCTTCCCACAGCTTCAAACATACCCATATAGATAAACCAGACTGCTCAGGGCCCCCCATGGACATAAGTAACAAGGCTTCTGGGGAGATAAAAATTGCCTATACTTACTCTGTTAGCTTCGAGGTGAGTCTGTTGTTATCTTTAGTATAACTCTGAAATTGATTTTAAATTTGTACTACTTAAACTAATTAAAATGTTACTGATTATGCTTGTCAAATAAAGAAGCTATTAATGAGCTGATTTTTAGGATAGTTTGTCGGTGTACCAAGCAACATAATCACTCTTGTAACTGAGTCTTAGTTTAAATGAGAATATAGAGGAAGTTGAAGACTTGAGCCTGATTTAGTGTTAAGCATAAGAGATACATATAAGACAAAAGTAGAAAACAGGCCTAGAGGACGGGATGGAAATGCCAGAGATATATTCAGAAACCATTTGGGAAATCAACACCGTACTTTAAAGGATTTAAGTGTGAACTTTAAATGGAGAGCTTCCAATTGGTAGATTGTCTTAGAAAATTGAAGGGAGTGTTTTCATTAACGAAGTTTCTTAAAATGCAAATTCATTGTTATGAGAATCTTAGTATTCTACCTTTATTTTTTCACCATTTTTAAAATCAAGATTTAATTATGAACTTTAAATGAAGAGTTTCCGATTGGGAGATTGTCTTAGAAAATTGAAGGGAGTATTTTTATTAGCGAAGTTTCTTAAAATGCAAGTTTATCATTAAAATGCAAGAATCTTAGGCAGTGTTCCAACTCTATTTTTTAAAACTTTTGGCAATCCAATATAGTTGTGATGTTTAATATCCCCGTATAATGTTTCATTTTGCAAACCTGGTGCAGTAAATAGTATATATTTCTAGATATTAAGAGCTCAGTGTGCCTGGAATGACTGGTCTGGTTAGCTGCCCCCGGCATAAAGAAAAGAATAATTATTCCATTCCATTCCATTATTTTCTTAAAAAAAAAAAAAAAACCTACATATAGGTCTAAATGTTGACATCTAAACATCTAGTTATAATTTAAAGCAATACTTTTAGTAGGTATTACTAGGAATTCTTTTTTTTTTTTTTTTTTGGTTGCATAATCTTACTCTGATTTCCCCTAGACTTTAGTAAATCTGAAACTCTCCAAATCTCAGGACTAACCAAAGTTAGATAATTTAGAAATTGCAGTTGTTGACTCAATGGAAGGACAAGCTTTGAATGGGATTTTTTTTTGTTCTTAATGTGCTGTCAGCAGATGTTTACTTAAAGAGATTTTTTAATCTCCTCTAGGAAGATGATAAGATCAGATGGGCGTCTAGATGGGACTATATTCTGGAGTCTATGCCTCATACCCACATTCAGTGGTTTAGGTAAGAGTACAGAGTTAGCCTGCTTTTGCTTTCTACTTTTCTACCCTCTGTCCCTTTGAACATCTCATTTACTCTCAAATCCTCTCTACTTTATTCAAAAGTCTGGCCTTGGGTTCAAATCCTGGCTTTCAGCCACTGATTGTGAGTCACAGCAGGTCCCTTAATTTCTCAGCGTCTGTTTCTTTATCTAGAAATACCCACCTTATGGGATTGTTGTGAGGATTAAAGGACATCATGGGACAGAATATTTGAGGACATTGTCTGGCACATAAGAGTGTTCAGAAACAGAAGCCGCTGTTGTTGCTATGACTTTATTATTATCCCCTTCAAACATGATTCAAAACTTTTATCTAGAGTTGTTCATGTTGCCATAACTCTCCTTTTCCTATTGCTGTCTGATCTTTTTGACACTCACTAATTTACTGAGTAAAGTTGTTCTTCAGTAAATTTCTTGAGGGCACAAGCCAGTCCTTTGTTGTGGCAGTGATTTGGGCACAGTAGTTATTTCATAATATTGACCATGTACCAAAAAATTCTAGTTCTAAACAGACTATGAAACTGTATTATGATAAGTATATAATGTTATTTATCTACTGGAGGGAAACATGAAAGAACACAGTTCATTGAATTTGTTGGATTTCAGATAGCTTTCATTTTGATTTTGATCAAGACTGTTTTAATGTTACTCAATAAACAGTTTTTAAAAGAGTTTTACTGTTCCTAGGATTAAGCTACAGATTACTCATGATGTGCTTATTTCTACAGCATTATGAATTCCCTGGTCATTGTTCTCTTCTTATCTGGAATGGTAGCTATGATTATGTTACGGACACTGCACAAAGATATTGCTAGATATAATCAGATGGACTCTACGGTAAGTGGAAACATTTTAGTCTTTAGTCTGCCAAGGACACTGTTTATTGTTATTTTGCAAAAAGGTAAAATAATAGCTTTAGAATCTGCTTTTAAAACATTCTTCAAAAAACAAAAACAAAAACAAAAAAATTCTTCTCAAAAGTTATCTTGAATTCACATTTTCAAATAAGAAAGTGATACTTAAGAATTAATATTCTTGGCTGGGCGCGGTGGCTCACACCTGTAATCCCAGCACTTTGGGAGGCCGGGGTGGGCGGATCACCTGAGGTCAGGAGTTCAAGACCAGCCTGACCAACATGGTGAAACCCCATCTCTCCTAAAAACACAAAAATTAGCTGGGTGTGGTGGTGGGGACCTGTAGCCCCAGCTACCTCGGGAGGCTGAGGCAGGAGAATTGCTTGAACCCAGGAGGCGGAGGCTGCAGTGAGCCAAGATCGTGCCACTGCACTCCAGCCTGGCAACAGAGCAAGACTCTGTCTCAAAAAAAAAAAAAAAAAATAGAAATGGAGTCAGCACAGCCTTGGGAGCTGACCTGTTCACAGCCTCCTGTGTGGGAATGGACTGGTGCAGCGTGGGGTGTAGGTGCACAGTTACAACTCTGTAAGGTTTCTCCATCCCTGACACATACCTGTTTGTGAAACCACAAAGTTGAATGGAATAACTCCTAAGCAATTTTTATTTGTGTGGTTAATTTTTTAAAATTAATCTTAACAAATTTGTATCATTTCAACCTTTTGATATATTTAAAATAATTGCATGTTCCAGCCTCTTTAGTCTCAAACTTTTTAAGTTGCACAGTGTTACACATTTTCTACTCTTCATTTCATGGCAGCATAATAAAAGAATTTTCACAAGAATCACAGTAATTTGGAATGAATGCAAAAAACTCAGGTTTTTATTGTATTCTCTTCCCCCAGCTTCTTCAGCCTCCTGTCCCCCAACCTCTCTGACCTGTTCTGATTGGGGAAAATATATATGAATATTCATAAGCTTTTAACGTTTGTACTCTATAGTCTCTTTCCTATGATTTTTATTGATTTTATGTCTTATTAAATATTAAAATGATTTTAAAATACTCTGTTTATAATTGGCTGTTCCACATAATTGCTGTTAATGGAGTTTTATCTTAATTTGCACAGCGTTGCCATGTGGAACCAGGCCAGTGGTGACTCTGCTTCCACAACCCTGTCCTACTTCCCATCTCTTAGCACAGCAGTCAGAGTGAAACTGCTCAAACAGAAGTCAGATCATTTCACTCTTGAGCACGGCCCTCCAGGGACTTCTGTTCAGTCAGAGCAAGAGTCAGAGGCTTTACAGTGGCTTCTAAGGCCCCACGTTACCTCAGCACTCTGCTGCACCTGTGCCGGCTACCTTGCTGTTCCTCAGACCAGGCAGACATAGGTTTCCACCTCAGAGCCTTCACGAAGCTCACTGTTTTATCTGCTAAGAAGGTCTGCCCCTCATTTACATGGCTAGTTCCCTTACCTCCCTCCGATCTTTACAAAATGTGATCTTCCCATTGAACCCCTCCCAGCCATCACATATGTTACATCCTGTCCTGCACACACCCATACATCCTGTTTTTCTGTACAGCGCTTATTACCATCTAATGTACAGTATACTTTCCTGA
The DNA here is from genome assembly GCF_000001405.40 of Homo sapiens. Classification (NCBI taxonomy): domain Eukaryota; kingdom Metazoa; phylum Chordata; class Mammalia; order Primates; family Hominidae; genus Homo; species Homo sapiens. The sequence goes on from NC_000013.11 coordinate 99,543,300, forward strand.
CTTATTTTGTTTATTGTCTGCCTTCCCAATGAGATCATGTACTCCTGAGAGTAGGAATTTTTCTGTTACACTCACTGTGGTATCTGGTGTTTTAAACAGAGCCGAGCTTATAGTTGGTGCTCAATGAATGTTTACATCCATGCTTACTGTATTAGCAAAGTAGCTAGAATATGAGAGCTAATGCCATTTGCTTATTGTGGAGATCATTAAGAGTAGGATGAAGAGGATAGAATGTGACTAAAAATCGTCATCAAGTCAGATCACAAAGCTTGACTTAGAGTAGAATTAGGTAGCAATCACATTGTCTTTGTAAAGTTTCTCAATAAGTATATTTGTAGACCTTAATGTCATAAATTTAAGAAACTGACATATAAGACAGTTCAGCAAAGCCATATTAAGCTCCATGAGTCAAGCTGTATTCTTCAAAATTGAAATAGGTACTAACATTTTTAAGTTTAAAAAAAACCTGTTTTCTGTAACAGCATATTCAACAGTGAACAAACTGTCTATAGTTGTCTTGTTGATACCATGAGACAATCGAACTGATTTCATTCCCCTTTTAGGAAGATGCCCAGGAAGAATTTGGCTGGAAACTTGTTCATGGTGATATATTCCGTCCTCCAAGAAAAGGGATGCTGCTATCAGTCTTTCTAGGATCCGGGACACAGATTTTAATTATGACCTTTGTGACTCTATGTAAGTGTTAACTGAAAATTTTCAAGTAGAAAATACTTTCTAAATACAGTAATTGCTTAAAAACCAGTTTTTCTGGCCGGGCATGGTGGCTCATGCCTGTAATCCTAGCACTTTGGGAGGCCAAGGCGGGTGGATGACAAGGTCAGGAGTTTGAGACCAGACTGGCCAATATAGTGAAACCCCGTCTTTCTACTAAAAATACAAAAACTGGGCATGGTGGCAGGTGCCTGTAATCCCAGCTACTTGTGGGGCTGAGGCAGTAGCTTGAACCTGGGAGGCGGAGGTTGTAGTGAACTGAGATTGCGCCACTGCACTCCAGCCTGGGTGACAGTGCAAGACTCCATCTCAAAAAAAAAAACAAAAAACACCACAGTTTTTCTAAGTGGGTAGGTAAGCCAGATTATTTCTGAGCATCCTTTAGGTTCTCAAAATCTAAGTGACTTGGGGCAGGTTTAGTTGCACCCAAAGACTGACTCTTGGTTTCTCCCTTCAGCTCTTCCTAGACCAAGCCTTTGTCAGGGAGGCACTGGGCTGGAGATGAACAGGTCCTTAAGACCATCAGCATCTGAGTCTAAACAGCCCAGAACTGGGACCATTTAGGGTCTCTTTTACCCAGGCATCGTGGGCAGGCACAGTCTGGTTAGGGTTCCAGGATATTCTTGGCTTCCACGGAGGGAGGAGGGTGGGAAAAGAAGGGATGGGGCAGGAAGCACTGTGTAGATCCTTCTCATCTGGGGAGGATTTGGGAAGCAGGATCTCTCTCCTCTAGGGAAAGCGAGTGTGTAGGAAAGACCTTCCTTCCTCCATAAAAAGATTCTCTTCTTTGAGCTACCTCAGCGACTTCAGAAATTGTATTTAAATTTTTGCCAACTAGGACAATTTTTTTTTTTAAATAAATGTTCCTTAGAGGTATTGATAGCCACAGGGATTGTTCTGAAACTACCTCTGGGTATATGTTAATTCCACTGTCTTCCAGTTTCCTTAATTGGAAGATAAAAAAGGTTTATGAATAGAATTTTCTAAATTTTACCTTTATTTAATGTATTTTACTTTATTGATGCCTGCTACTGATAAATAGCAACAAATGAATATACTGGGAGAATTCAGAAACTAACCTTTAATAATTTTTTAGTAAACATTTATTTTTTATGTTTGATTACATATTAAATACATAATACCACAGTTATTTTTGTTAGTAAAGTTGTTCCAAATTTTTATGATAAAATTAATTATATAAATGCTTTGCAAAGAGCAGTATCATTTTCAAATGTCTGGCACTGAATAAGTTTGGGAACCAAACTCACACCTTCAGGTTCAGTTTGAAGACTGACTAGGATATCTTTTTTTTTTAATCTACTAACAACTTAAGGAGATACAATTTTGATAGGTAGAGCTAGAATTTGTAACTATATCATACTAAAGAGAAGTTAAGTCATACTAAAGAGAATAGGTCAGGAAAAGGTGTCATAAAAAAGGTTTGGACAGAGGGTGGTAGGGTGAAGGCACTGGGTGACAGAGAGCCAAACTAGACTTAGAGCAGAATGAATGTTTGAAGATAAACTTCTGCTTTCTTTCTTTCTTTTTTTTTTTGAGACGGAGCCTCGCTCTGTCACCAGGCTGGAGTTCAGTGGCGTGATCTTGGCTTACTGAAACCTCCACCTCCTAGGTCCAAGTGATTCTTCTGCCTCAGCCTCCTGAGTAGCTGGGATTACAGGCGCCTGCCACCACGCCTGGCTGATTTTTGTATTTTTGGTAGAGACACGGTTTCACCATGTTGTCCAGGATGGTCTCAATCTCTCAACCTCGTGATCCGCCCGCCTCGGCCTCCCAAAGTGCTGGGGTTACAGGCGTGAGCTACCACACCCAGCCAACTCCTGCTTTCAAATCTTATTAGGAGCTGTCTTCTGCGATGCTCTGGTTTTTATTGCGGTCAGCTAGAAAAGTGAACTTTTAAGGAAGGAAAGTTTCAGAGAGTCTAGGATAGAATACGATGGGAATAATTTTCCTTAAGTCCTCAAATAGGAACTTTCTGCCGAAGGGCAGTCCATTTTTCAGGTCGAGGAGGAGAAAGGGGTTGCATTTTAGCTGAAATCTTGTACATCTTCTAAAGCTACCCTGATGTGTTTCCTGCTCATCATGACTCTGGTGCTTGTCAGAGGTGTGTGCGCGTGCTTGCTCACATACGTGCTTGGTCATGCACGTTTTAGGGGAAACAATAGGGGGGGAAACAATGGGGATTTTCTTGCTGAGCCTCCTGAAACTCAGTTCTCAGCAGTATCCTACTCACCTTGGGATTCTGAGCACCTTATAACTTCTGAGCCCCAGCTTAAAGCTGGGAATTTCTATGAATATAATATAGCATTTTAATTCTCATTAGTAGGAAGGCTTACATAGGGAAGAGCAAACAAAGCTAACCACGTGAATAAGGTAGGGCCAGGGTTTCCCCGTATTGCTGACAAGGTCCTTCCGTAATTTGTGAAAAGCTAATGGCCGTATGAAATCTTTCTCCCTCATTTTGTTCTTTCATTAGATTATATATGTCTCTTCTGTTTGAATGTTGTAAGGTTTTGGGTTTTTTTTTTTTTACCCCCAGAGGACCCCCATATTTTTTAATGAAAGAACAGTGGGAATATTTTGTAGTGGAAACATTTTCACTTATGTCAATTTTAAAGGCTGTACTTGAATCTCAGAAGAGTCAAATGCACTCTTGAGCATCCAGTCAGCCTCCCCTGATCACAGGAAGGATGTGATCTCTCATTCTGGACTCTGAGAAGAAACTTCCAAAGTGAAGTTTGCCTCATGTATGATCAGATTGGTGCAGTACAGTAAATATTACTAAGATTGTGTAGAGCTGCATGGTAGGAGAGCACATGGTTTTGCGTGAAGTTGTATTTTTTTCTTGTTTGAAAAATGAGAGGGTTTCTCTATCATTTCACAGCAAAGGAAACAGAGTAATAACATGTACAGCCTTTCACGATTTGTGTTTTAGTTTTCGCTTGCCTGGGATTTTTGTCACCTGCCAACCGAGGAGCGCTGATGACGTGTGCTGTGGTCCTGTGGGTGCTGCTGGGCACCCCTGCAGGCTATGTTGCTGCCAGATTCTATAAGTGTAAGTCAAAGCCACTGTGACTGGCGTCTGATCAGGAAGGGACTCTGCTGCGGCTGTGGATCTGACCTGGGTATCAGATGGTGATGCTTTGTAAATAGTGTGCCTCATAGGGGTCTGTTCTTAGTTAAAAGGAGCCTGCTTGGTGATTCCTTTTGTGTCATGAGTTACTATCCCAAAATTTATTTGTTCGAAAATGTTTAGTGAAACAAGCAAATTGTGCCACTTATCCACTATCCCCTCCCTCTTTTTTTCTTTAAGCTTTGGCTAACAGGTTGGGCTGAACAGCTTAGATTTGCTGTGTTCATAGAAGCACATATAGACTAATAAAGGAGAAAAGTATACAAATGAGTATCACTGATTTTTTTCACTAAAACAACTAGTACATCTAGGTGTACCTTTTCTTACATATGAGAAGTCATACTTACATTGTATCAATTTAATATTTATAAAAATACACTGTTTCAAGTAAACAAAGATCTCATTATTTTGGAGACCTGGAAAGTTACTTTTGTAATATCATTAGTCACAATCTCTTGTGTTCTTGCATTCTAGAAGTAAAATAAAGTTCAGTGAAACAAAAGGCTCACGGCCACAGAGTAAGGCTGAGATGGGACTGGATGGCTTAGAAAGCAGCTGGCAGGGTCAGCAGGGACCAGAGCTGGCCTCCTCGGGAATGCCACAGTCTCGTCTGGGATATACAGTGATTCCCCACGGTCTAGCAATGTGAAAAAGTTTTGAGGTGAAGCACAGTAGAGTTACGTGGACAACCTTAATGTGGGGTTGGGTAGTCTCAGCCCCCAGTAAAAGATTAACTTAGACCTTGTCAGACACAGTTCTCTCTTGAGTATGTGAAGCCCTGTATGTATGTGTGTTTTAAGTGTGTTTTAATTTCTGTGAATTTTGTCAAGTTCTTTCTTCCCCTTTACTAAAGGAGGTAGGATTAGGGCCATCATACGGATTTTAATGCATACAAAATACAGTCAGCCCTTTGCCTGCCACACCAGCCTTACTTCATGCCACACTCCCCCTTTCTCACCATTTCAGCCACACAGGCTTTCTGTCGGTTCCTCGGACAGGCTGCCTGCTTTCCCACACCCTGCTCCCATCTGCACTCCACTCACTAATGCCTCCCCATCCTTCAGGTCTCCCAGCTGCAGATCCTGTATTACTTGAATTTTGACTGAAATTATAGTAAACCCAGAATTAATCATTTCATAACAGTCTGTTTATCAGAAACATTGTGAGTTCAAATCATGATACATATATATGATCTTATGTGTATATGTAATTTTATTATTTTCTTTTAGGGCAAGTGGCACTTAAACTTGCCTATCAACTATGTTAAAACTTTTTTAAAAATCACAGCTGTTCTGAGATCTCAGCCAGTTTCATTTCTGACTTAAACTGGGAGCAGACGTGTACTTTCATTTTTCACTCTAGCTACTTCAGTATTTGAATTCTTTAAACTGGAAAAAAAAGCAAGTTGGAGAGGGGCAAAGGAGAGTAAAACATATATTAGCAAACATGGTCTGTCAAATGGTCATAACCCTTCTACTCTTCTTAGTTGCCTCATCTGACACACGCACCTCCTAGGAACCACAGTTCCTCCTAGAAACCACAGTGCTAGAGGAAGAGTTGGCCTACTGTGGAAGTGTAAATGTGTTGCACATCAGGCTTGACGGTTCCCAGTTTTATAACAAATTCTGAAACTGACTGCAAGATAAGTGAGAATCCCGTGTGCCCTTCCTGTGCCTAGGCCCATTGATTGATACTGGCTCAGGATTTAAGGATTCTTTTGGTTGTGAGGGGAAAAGAAGAACTGATCTTGATGACTTGCCTCTGATTCTCTAGAGCAGGACTTACCTAGGGAATCCCATCCTGTATGTCTCAGATTTGGATTATTTAATAAAGGAATATCATATTATATTTGCTAGTACCATTTTCTAGGAATGAGTACTCATTGCTGTCTGACAGTTTGGCAAATATCAGACTTGTAATATGGATATTTGGTTTGCTTTAAAGAAAATCTGTATTTATACAACTTTTGTTTTCTTCTATAGCCTTTGGAGGTGAGAAGTGGAAAACAAATGTTTTATTAACATCATTTCTTTGTCCTGGGTAAGTGAATTTTTCAAGAATTACTTTCTTAACATAGTTACATGTTAGTCCCCAAATTTTCAGTCGTTGAGTCTTTAATCCTCCGTGTCTCTAAATCATGTACCTAAGAAAGTAAATTTAATTTTTGAAAAGGGGTAAAATAAATATTTTATAAACGTTTGCCAAATGATTACCACATGTCTTATCTGGGGAAAGTACCTTTAGACATGAGAAATGTTTTAATTCCTTCTCTTCAAAGTCTTTCTGTTTCTTGGTTTTTAGTGGTCAGTCTGACATGTTGTTCTGTAGGCTGCATTTAAAGCTTTTGAGCCAGGCACAGGAAGGAATCCTGAAGATAGTTCAGGCAAGCATATGTTTTCCCATTTTTATCCAAAGCATTGCCATTTTTTAGAGTTTATTCCATTAAGTAAAGTAATATACACCAAAAATAAAAAATAAGCAGCCACCACAAATCCAAAACAAAACAAAAATCCTTCACTCTCTGGAACTGCTTCTCCTCTCGATTATCTGATGCGGTTCTGGTCCTAGAAGCAAAACCCACTTCCTCCCAAACCTGCACATTTCTGGTGGGCAAGAACTGACACGTGAACAGGCTACAGCAATAAAGAAAGCCAAGGATGATGAAGTCTAGAAACCAGAACTGTTCCATTTGCAGGCTAGAAATGCAAGCGTGATGGCAGCAGCATTTTAATACACATTTGGGATAAATATTCTCTCTATCACCTCCACCGAAGATTCACATTCTTCTCAGTTATCGGTTCTATTCAAATTTCTATGCTTTTCTCAAGCCATGTCCTTTGTTTTCTTTCCCTCTGTCAACTCACGAAGGTGTCCGTCCTTACCAAGACTGTGATTTCCTGCAGAATCTCCGAATCTTGCTTTTCAGGCACCTCTCCCTCTAGTCTCACACATCTTCCATTGCTCCCTTCTCACATGTTCTGCTTATGTGGTTCTTTTATTCCTCCAAATAGGCTCATGTCTCCCCTAAAAAGGGATCATAAACATCTTCCCTTCTTATTTCCATCTCATTTCTTTTCTATTCCCAACAAAATGCCTTGAAAAAAATAGTCTCTACTCCTTTCTTCTCATTTTCTCAGTAAACATTTGCAGTGTAAAGCCACGTCATTCGTATTTTTCTCCATCATTTTACTGAAACTTTTAAGTTTGCCAATAATGTTCCCATTTTCAAATCCAGAAACGATTTTCTCTGTATTGTCTAACATTGGAATACCTTCTTGAAACTCCTTCCTTTTTTGGCTTCATAAAAATTATCCTGTGCTGGTTCTTCTTTTATGTCTCTGATCAACCCTTCTCTGATTGATGTTCTTCATCCTACTCTTAACAGTGGGTGTTTACCAGCAGGTAAATAGAGCGTGCTAAGAACTCAAGTATTCAGGGGCAGGGGGACTTGGTGTTCACCTAGGAATAGAAGGATCATTTAATAACAGGAAATCTAGTCATACAATTCTACATAAATAAACACCTGCATATAATTACTGCAACAGATGCAGTAAAATGGCCTTTGATAATATTGAGCATTGTTTTCAGGTTTTAAAAAAAATTTATAGAGAAATATTTCCTTGTATTAAAAAGAATCTTATCTCTAATTCAGAACCAACATCACTGATAATAAAACACTAGGGACATTCTCAGTAAATCTCTTTCATGGCTTGTTGTTTAAGTTCTGTTCACAGTAAAGGAGGAAACAAAAAGGTGGATTTCATCTTATTATTTATAGATAACATTATTTGTATACAAAGAACACCAACACATTTTAACTGTAAAACTTGTAGAATTAATAAAAAGAGTTTGGCAAAATGGCTAGGTATCAACTAATATTCCAAGATCCTAAACAGCACCATTAACCAGTTAAATGTTTTAATGGTAGTGGTAGTTGTGCTGGAAGAGGGCTCTATTCACAGAAAACCCATACAGTGCCTGAAATAACCTCTCAAAGTATGCACAATCCATATGACAAGCCTACAAGATTATTAACTCGAAAGAGATGGAAATTTGCCATGTTTCTTAATGAAAAGATCAAGCATTGTGAAGGTGTTTGGAAAGTCCAGGGGCTGCTGGGATGGAGAATACAGAAGCAGGCCCTGTATCCATGGCAGCGTGCTAGATGTGGCACCATGAGCCAGAGGAACTGTTAGATAAGTGATGCTGGGACAGCTGATTCTCTTCATGAAGGGAGAAAGTTGTCAGTCCTAGGTGGAGTCAAACCTAAATGCACCAGGCGTAACTACTGTGTGAAAATATGGAAGAGCATCTTCATGGTCCCAGGTTAGGGAAGGCTTTCTTCTCTTAAGCAGAGTGCACAAAGGATAAAAGGGAAAGTGGTTGCGCTTAAAAACTGTGTGGGGGAAGTACAGTGATTATTGTATGATTACAACCATATTTTTAAAAATGTATTCAGAAGAAAGACTGAATGGAAATTAACTACACACATTTAGATGTTTGGGTTCAAAAAAAGCCACAGACTGTGACAAGATATTTAACAAGGAATTAGTAAGTAGAATATGTAAATAACTCACATACATGACTTGGCAAGACATGCAGGTCAAATGAAAACCAAGCAGTGGATGTCAGTAGCCCGTCACAGAAGGTAAAACCAAAAAAGCCAGCAAACACCAGACGCCTGCTGCAGTTTTCAATAGAAAATACAAATTAAAACAACAGAATTGACAATCCCAAGTGTAATGAAAACATGTAAGGAACTGACTTTCATAGGCTGCTGGGAGGAGTTTAACTCAGGCAAACCCAATCTGAAGAGCAATTGGGTAGTTTCTAGTCAAGTTTTACATTCAGACATCCTGTGATGCAGCAATTCCACTTTCTTTGTATATATATATTAGAAACATAGAAGTTGTCATATTAATTACATACTACTGTTGCATTTTGTTATCTCTGGTTTTACCCAAAAGCCTGTTGTGTCTTTCAGGATTGTATTTGCTGACTTCTTTATAATGAATCTGATCCTCTGGGGAGAAGGATCTTCAGCAGCTATTCCTTTTGGGACACTGGTTGCCATATTGGCCCTTTGGTTCTGCATATCTGTGCCTCTGACGTTTATTGGTGCATACTTTGGTTTTAAGAAGAATGTAAGTTTATAGGTGTTAACTTATTCAGGTGAATTTTAGCTGCAGAAATTAGCATATGCCATCTCAAAAGATACCATAAAAGTGTGTAAAGATGTAAACTTGTCCTTTAGGATCTGGATTTCATAGAATATTTTTAAAATAGTAGTATTATTTAGGAGCGTGGTAGAGAGGTTACAGATCTAAACTTAGGTTTCAAAGTTTTTTAAGTGAATAGAAGCTAATATAGATTAATTGGGAAAGAAATGCTGATATAAACTAATGAAAACATTCATTCATTCATTCATTCATTCATTTAGAGATGGAGTCTCATTCTGTCACCCAGGCTGGAGTGCAGTGGCGCCATCTCGGCTCACTGCAACCTCCACCTTCAGGGTTAAAGCGATTTTCCTGCCTCAGCCTCCCGAGTAGCTGGGATTACAGGCATGTGCCACCACACCCAGCTAATTTTTGTATTTTTAGTGGAGACAAGGTTTCATCACGTTGGTCAGGCTGGTCTTGAACTCCTGACCTCAGGTGATCCACCTGCCTGGGCCTCCCAAAGTGCACAAAGCTTAGCTAAGTAAGCAGAGAAGAAGTCACTGTAAGAAAAGTAGCTGCAGAGTAAGAGTAGCAAATGTTTGTGGTTGATATGTAGCTTTGAAATAAATTGTATCTGCTGGAAATAAATTGTATCTGCTTCCCTGCTAATATTGGATTTTAAGGAAGATTATAATCAGGTTTCAGTCCTTCCTCCAGTTTCCCTCTCACCCTCCAGTCGGCCTTCTCTCACTTTGCTGCCCACTCCTGCCCTCAGGCTAAAAGAAAAACAAAAACGAGATCTTATTCTTCTGTCTCATCAGTATCCTTCTCTAACCGCACTTCAGTATCCCTGTCCTCTGAAAATATCAAGTCCACAGGGTAAAAGAAAGACTGTGTGGTTAGTACACTTTGTGAGCAGGACCCGGAAGGCCCTGGCAGAAGCTGGCACTGTTCCACAGCCTCCACTGCACTTTCATGCCTGGCTGCTGAAGGATTTTTTTAAACTTCTTCGGCATTTTGTTTAATTTATGACTTTATACCTCAGAAGTAGTGAACTGACAGGGTTTGAATTTTTTAATTACATTGATTAAACAATTACTTGAAATTCCAAAACTTTGCTGGTTTGAAGTTTATAGTATTTCTATTTAATATCAGCCTTGGAAATAAATAAAAGTTGATATACATGATTCTCTGCCTGTATACTCATGCATCTACATGTAAAATAATAATCTAGTCTGTGGAAGTATGGTCTTAATGAAAATATCAAGTTTTAAATTTTGGTTTATCATCACAAAAACTATAGAAGGATATTTTTGAACTTTCTTACAAGGAAATGACTTTCTACATCTGTACTGTCTTCCCCCCTCATGTGGCTGCTTGTGTCCTTTAGGTTCCAGTGATTTTTATACCGCCATGTAGTGTGTCATGAAAGGGAGAATAGTCGAGAACATCACCAACTCCTTATGGTCGTAAAGCTTCATACAGCCATTCATTGTTGTTTTCATGTTCTTAAGTCTTAGTAAAATTGAGCAATTTTAGTAAAGATGACATTGCGCACCTCCAAATAAAAATACATGGACCAAAATTCCAGAACCAGCTGATTTCTTACAGTACATGTGTAATGAAAATGAAAAGCCTAACTCTACCTTTTTATTAACTATTATTTTCCAAGTATTCTCTTATCTCCTGTGTACTTTTTCCTGTGTCTAAAGCCATTAGTCAGTAGATCACTGCTGGAGACAGTATTAACTTGTTCCAGTAGACAGACTGAGTATTGTACCTGATGGTACCTGGATGATGGCTTCCAAAGACAAATTTCAGTTTGATGTCTTAAGTAGACTTTATTGCCATTAGTGACAACATAGAAGCTGAAAAAAAGCAGGCAAATAATCTCGTGTAGAGAAGAATATTTGAGACAGATACGTAATTATGAATTCTTCCTTCCTTTTTTTACTGAAGGCCATTGAACACCCAGTTCGAACCAATCAGATTCCACGTCAGATTCCTGAACAGTCGTTCTACACGAAGCCCTTGCCTGGTATTATCATGGGAGGGATTTTGCCCTTTGGCTGCATCTTTATACAACTTTTCTTCATTCTGAATAGTATTTGGTAAGCTAAGGATAAAGTCCTCTCATTCTCATTACCATTATATGTAATATTTCCTTTTTGTTTGTTTATATGGGTTACTATTTGTATCCTGTAAATGTAAGCAGTTCTTCAGTAACCAGAAATCTTAAAAGCCAAAAGCTTATTTTTATCTTTTCCATGTTGGAAGAAGAACAATAGTGATAACAGCTAGTATAATATGAATTCAAGGCTTGTTAATTCTTACTCTTCCTTAATTCTTACTACTTCATTCTCTGTGAGGTGAGTGTTATCCCCATTTTACAGAGCTGTAAATGAGGCTTTGTAAGTTGAGTAATTTGCTTGTGTTACACAGCAACCCTGTGACAGAAAATTCACCGAAGTTTCTCCAAACCTATGTTCCTAACTAATCTGCACTGTTCAGAGAAGATCCTCTGAGCACTTGTCGGAGGGGATTGGTGAAGGGATTGGTCTAGGTGACCTGCAGAGTCCTTTGCAATTCTCAGATGCCTTCATTCTCCGATTGCTTGTTCACATGTAAAAACTCATAATAGTCATTTTGAGCCATTCTGTGTGTGTGTATATCTATATATAGTGTTATATCATGATTGTTATTGGATCACATTGACGTATGTTACAGGAAGTACCAAGGTTGGAGGTTACAGAAAGTTAGAACTAAATTTGAGCTTTTTAATGATTAGAACATATCTTTGCTTCTTAATCGTTATACTAATTTTCCAAATTCAACTGGTTTTATTATATGTGATAAGAAACGGTTACCTATTCTTAGTTGGCTCTGCCTTTTCAGTCACTTTTTATCAAATATCTCTGGCTCACCAGGAGACGAGTAGTCTAGCCATATGTAAATAAGTAGAAGTTTCAGGCCTCCCTGAGCAGGAAGGTAAAGTCCAGTGATACTGACATATCCTTCCTACTCCTCCCCTTCCCCACCCCATCACCATCCCAACCTGTGATAATTCGTCTTGTTTGGTTAGTTGAGAGAAAAAGCAAACCTTTTCAGTTCAAGAAGAATGAAAAGATTGTGTTATGTATTGTGTCAAATTGAAAATATTTATAGTTCCTTCTTGACGTGTTTGATTATAGGTCACACCAGATGTATTACATGTTTGGCTTCCTATTTCTGGTGTTTATCATTTTGGTTATTACCTGTTCTGAAGCAACTATACTTCTTTGCTATTTCCACCTATGTGCAGAGGTATGTATTAGCAGTATTCACTTATGTTAATTTGTAGACAGTAACTTTGGCATATTGCAATTTGTATATTATTAATTAAAATAATTTCTGTAGATGTATGTTTATTATGATAGACATTGACCTGTATTCCTAAATCAAATGTAACCTTCTTTAGGATTAAGATATCCCAGTTCAGTATATTTAGTTGGAAATTACTATTAGAGACTTTAACTTGTTAATTTTCTGAGAATAGTATGTTGTGCTAACTTTTTACTGTTGTTTTTTAACTGACTTAAAAATTAATACTTTTGTGATACAAATATTTATATCATGCCTGAGATAAAAGAATATAAAATAATCTATTAAAAAATACAAAAAAAATTTTAGACTGAAAATTTAATAAAAGTAAACTAGTAAGAAAATTCATTAAAAAGTTTCTATAATCACATTGTAATGAGTTCTATTCATGGCAGCACCAAAATGATAGTATCCTTATGTAATAGGTAGAATTGAATTTTAAAGATTTAGGTTGTGTTAAATCTACTATTTAATATTGTCTATATTGGAGAAAAAGCTAACTTTATTAAACTTAGTGTGTTATTCAAAAAATGGAGGTTAAATTTACATAACAGAAAATGAACCATTTTGAAGTGGACAGTTTAATGGCACTTACTGCATTTACAGTGTTGCGCCACCACCACCTCTGTTTAGTTCCAAAATATTTTTATCACCCCTAATTAAAGCCCTATACTTGCTGAGCAGTTGCTCCTCATTCCTCACTTCCCCCAGGCCTTAGCAGCCAACGGTCTGCTTTCTGTCTGTTTCGCCTGTTCAGACATTTCTTACAAATTGAATCATATAATATGTGACCTTTTGTGTGTGGCTTCTTTGACTTAGCATGTTTTCAGGGTTCATCATATCATGGCATGTATAGTAGTACTTCATTCCTTTTTTTTTTTTTTTCCTTTTTTTCTTGAGACGGAGTCTCGCTCTGCTGCCCAGGCTGGAGTGCAGTGGTGCAATCTCAGCTCACTGCAAGCACCACCTCCCGGGTTCATGCCATTCTCCTGCCTCAGCCTCCTGAGTAGCTGGGACTACAGGCGCCTGCCACCATGCCTGGCTAATTGCTTCTTGTATTTTTGGTAGAGACGGGGTTTCACCATGTTAGCCAGGATGGTCTCGATCTCCTGACCTCGTGATCCGCCTGCCTCGGCCTCCCAACGTGCTGGGATTACAGACGTGAGCCACCGCGCCTGGCCACTTCATTCCTTTTTATGGCAGAATGATAAATTTGTTTATCCATTTATCCATTGGTGGGCATTTGTATTGTTTCTACTTTTTGGCTGTTGTGAATAGTGCTGCTGTGAACATTCATGTACAAGTGTTCGTTTGAATACCTGTTTTTGGTTTTGAGGTATATATCTAGGAGTGGAATCACTGGGTCATATGGTAGTTCTGTTCAATTTTTTGAGGAACTACCAAACTTTTCCACAGTGGTTGTGCCGTTTTACATTCCCACCAGCAGTGGTGTACAAAGGTTCCAATTCTCCGTATCTTTGCCAACACTTACCTTCCATTTTTGAAAAAATTGTAGCTGTCTTCGTGGGTGTGAAGCGGTGTCTCATTCTGGTTTTGATTTGCATTTCCACAGTGACTAATGATGAGCATTTGTACTTGTGTTTGTTAGCCATTTGTATATCTTCTTTGGAGAAATAGCTATTCAAGTCCTTTGCCTATTTTTAAATTTGTTTGTCTTTTTGTTGAGTTGTAAGAGTTTATTTATTTATTCTGAATAGTAGATCTTTATCAGATTGTTATTTGCAGTTCTGGTTCTATAGGTTATCCTTTTCACTTTCTTGATAATGTCCTTTGCACAAAAGTTTTAAATTTTGATGAGGTCAAATGTATCTGTTTTTTTTTCTTCCGTTGCTTATGCTTTTGGTGTCATATCTAAGAATTATTATCAAATTAGGGCTGAGTGTGGTGGTTCACGCCTATCTCTAATCCCAACACTTTGGAAGGCTGAGGCGGGAGGATCGCTTGAGCCCAGGATTTTGAGACCAGCCTGGGCAACATAGTGAGATCTTGTCTTTATAAAAAATAACAAAATTAGCTGGGTGTGATGGCTTACTTGGGAAGCTGAGGTGGAAGGATCACTTGAGCCCAGGAGGGCTTCAGTAAGCCATGATTACACCACTGCACTCCAGAACCTGGGCAACAGAGTGAGACCCTGTCTCCTACCCCACCCCCGACCAAAAAAAAGAATTATTGCCAAATTCAAGGTTATGAAGATTTACCCCCATGTTTTCTTCTAAGTGTTATAGCTTTACCTCATGTATTTAAGTCATTGATCTATTTTGAGTTAGCTTTTGTATTTTGTGTGATGTAGTGTCCAGCTACATTATTTGACGTGTGGATATCCAGTTATCCAGCACCATTTGTTGAAGAGGCTGTTCTTTCCTCATTTAATGGTCTTGGCAATCTTGTCAAAAATCAATTGACCATAGATGTATGGGTTTATTTCTGGACTCTCAATACTATTCCAGTGGTCTATATGCTGCCCTTAGGCCTGTACCACACTATTTTGATTACTGTGGCTTCGTAGTAAGTTTTGAAATCAAAAAGGCTGAGTCCTCCAGCTTTGCTCTTTTTTATGATTGTTTTGACTATTTGGAGCCCCTTGCAATTCCATTTGAATTTGAGGATTAACTTTTCCAATCTGCAAAAATTGAATCATTGGATTATTGGAATTATGATAGGGATTACATTAGATCTGTAGATCATTTTGAAGAGTATTGCTGTCTTAACAGTGTTAAGTCTAATAGTACGTAAACATGGGATGTCTTTCCATTTGCCTAGGTCTTCTGTCATTTCTTTCAGCAGAATTTTAGAGTTTTCATTGTGCAAGTCTTCCACTTCCTTGGTTGAATTTATTCCTAGGTATTTTATTCTTTTGGGTGCTATTTTAAATGGAATTGGGTTTTTAAATTTTCTTCTCAGATTGCTCATTGCTGGTGTGTAAAAACAAAACCGACTTTTGTATGTTGATCTTATACCCTGCAATTTTGCTGCATTTGTTGATTAGCTGTTGCATTTTGTGTGTGTGTGTGTGTGTATGTGTGTGTATTTAGGATTTTCTAGTCTCAGTTTGCTTTTCGAATATATTTGTTTTTCACATATTCCAAAGGGCAAGAGAGATAGTGAAGTGTTCTCTTTTAAAAGATCTTCTGTTAAGCTATAAGCCACTTAAAAGCAAGAAGAGCTATTTTAATCATCTGCCTTGTTTAAATTATGTTAGTAATAGCTGAAATTGGATTCCAACCAGGCCTTAGTAGAATAATCTTCTTCCTAATACAGAGTTGACCAGACTTTAATACAAGTAGTATTAATGTCGAGCCCTGTGAGTAAGTTGTAAGCTATTTGCACATCGCTTTTCTTTGGGAAGAATAAATTTTGAAATACAGCCTAATGTTTTATTATTCATAAACAGTTTAAGCTGCTTCCACACATTTTTAGCCAGTTTTTAAGCAGCCCCACCAAAGACAGTGGGTGCTTCTTAGCACCTTTAGTGAGGAGAGTGGAATGGGTGAAGTTCAATAGGAGAAAGAGCCTGGAACTGATAGCAGAAATTAGATTGGGGGCTGTCTCATTTATTATGCTTGCTTTGAACCTTAGTAAGCTACATCTTATCTATTAATTGGAATGTAATTCTTGTTCTTTTTTCTTTACTACCTAGGATTATCATTGGCAATGGCGTTCATTCCTTACGAGTGGCTTTACTGCAGTTTATTTCTTAATCTATGCAGTACACTACTTCTTTTCAAAACTGCAGATCACGGGAACAGCAAGCACAATTCTGTACTTTGGTTATACCATGATAATGGTTTTGATCTTCTTTCTTTTTACAGGTAAAATTATAATTTAAGTGATTATTTTTATTTTGTAAGTTTTTAGACAAATAACTTATAAATGTTTGTCTTTTTTAAAACCCATGAAGGCTTATTCTGTTAGTGCTCCCATATTTAGTCCTCAGCACAACTAGGCATAGTTGGGTCTGCCCACCTGTGAGTTGCATAAAGATGATGAAACAGAAGCTGGGGAAGAAGGCTAAACAGGGTCATAATTGTGGTAAAGGTTCAGGGACGCATGGGCCAGTACAGCTCATGGTTTTCGTCTGTTAACCTCTTAAAGGTACACACAGTCCTTTTTTTTTTTTTTGCCACTTCAGAAATAGGGTAGAAGCTATAGTGACTTAAGTTTAGGAGTAAGTAGAAATTGAGGAGGTGAAGTCAAGATGAGGCTGAGAGTAGGTAGGGGATATCAAGGAAAGATAATGGGACATTCCTTAATCTAGAAGCTTTTATCTCCACTTTAAAATTCAAGCATTGAACAGGATATAGTGTGTATTTTATTGGTATTTATTTTATATATGTATATATCTTCTCTATCCAACTAGATGAAAGTTTTCGGTATCTCACAGCCCCGGGTGCTTGGTAAACATTTGTCGCGTGAGTGACTGAACTTAGGAATTATAGCACCTTCCTTTGTCACAAGTAACGCTGCCCGAAGCGTGCATCTAAAATGTTAGCTCCTCACGCATGTCATGGAAGAAAATGCAGGAGCCAAAAAGAAAAAAGAACAAGTTTTTTTCCTCCAATTAAAACTGTTCTACTTTTCACTCATCTGTTAGCATTTCAGAGCCTGGAGTCGGGTTTTGAAGGGCCTCTGCTGCTGTCTCAGGCTTAAGGCACTTCCATCGATTCTGTATTCCAGGTCATTGATCAGACATGGTGGGGTGCGTGTCTTGGTGCTACGTGATAAATTTAGGTCCAGAGCTGTAAATTTTAATAAATCATCTATAAAACAGCAGTAGCCAGTGAAACAAGGAATGACTGTTTTTGTGCCCTGTGTGTCCATAAATGCATATACAGAATAATTTATTCCTAGCCTACACACAAAAAATAACGATCATTGTGAATATCTGTTGTTTTTCCAGACATATGATACAGAAAATGATAGCTTAACCATCACCTAAATTTTATTTATTTTTATTTATTTTATTTTTATTTTTTTGAGACGGAGTCTCACTCTTTTGCCCAGGCTGGAGTGCAGTGGCGCGATCTCAGCTCACTGCAAACTCTGCCTCCCAGGTTCACGCCATTCTCCTGCCTCAGCCTCCCGAGTAGCTGGGACTACAGGCGCCCGCCACTGCGCCCGGCTAATTTTTTTTATTTTTAGTAGAGATGGGGTTTCACCATGTTAGCCAGGATGGTCTCGAACCCCTGACCTCAGACGATCTGCCCGCCTTGGCCTCCCGAAGTGCTCGGATTGGGCGTGAGCCACTGCGCCCAGCTGATTTTGTTTTTTAAAGTGTTATATTTTCATTCATTCAGAGTTGAATTTTGTAATCTGAATTATGGAGTCATATCAAATGGAACCAACCAGTTAAACCAGTAACTTATAGTGTATTTCACTTTCTTCAATTGTATTTTTCCTTTAGTGAACAGGTGGAAGCATTCTGGATAAGGGAGTAGTGAGCCCTTTAAATGCCTTACCTTTCTCTAAAATAGGGTATGGTCTGTATTTGCTTCAGTACTCCAGAGCAATGCCATTTTATTGTATTTAAGTCAATCCATTTTACAAAACAGAAGTAATTATTCTGTCACAAAAGGAAAGACGCCACTTTTAGTACGTACATATATTCCATATTAAGAACAAAATTAAGTAACTAAACTTAAGTTTCTTAGAGTTGCCTGGATAGTGATTAAATGTTCTTCTCATCTTAAAATATTGTTTGTCATCTTGAAATTTATGCAAGTAAGTACAAAGTTATATAAATATACTGAGTTTTCATTATTGCTTTTCTGAAATTAACCCCAGCCCTAGCCTGAATAATTATCCTTTTGACTATGCAAAAGGTATATTTGTATGTCCTCCAAAACACACATTGTGCTTTGCATATAGTAGGGCCTCAATACATGTACAATGTAAGGATGGATATAATGATGTTTGTAATTTCCCACGGTAATGTCCCATGTATAGTCTCTTGATTTAGAAAATCTCCTTTAATATTTTCTCAGAGTACTGCATTTAAAACAATGGTGAAAACTATTGGGACTTTAAATGTAAAATTTATACAAGGATTATTTATAGTCCCTTATGTGTGCATGTGCAAGGAGTACTATGCTTGAAGTCAGAAAAAACGCATTTGATTTCTGGCCACAAGTACCATCCATGTGACCATGAGACAGTCACTTAACCCCTTTGAACCTCATTTTTGTCTCATTGAAAGAGTGTCCCCATCTAGCATTCAAATTCTTTGGAATCTAGACTGATACCTGAAAATCAAGCCATACATTGTTTTCATGAATTATCTCATTTACTCTACATAATAGTCTATGGAGGCAATGAGGACAGATAAATTTCTCCCTAGTTAATATGATAAATGGGCTTGGAGATGTCAGTGGACTTGCCCAAGGATGACACACACAGTTTGTGACAGAGCTGCTCTGTTCTCTGCTACCATGCTGTCCCTCATTTTCAGCTAGGATGCATTTTTGTTACTATCTAATCATGTCACTTTTAACATTTTGTAAAAACTTACTGAGTTATTTTATTATAATTCTTTGAAGACTGATAACTTCCAATAACTGTACTTAGAAAATATCCCCATTTAATCATTATTTGAACCTGTTTTAATGTATTCATCTCATACCTTAAAAAATTCTAGTAGCGTTTTCCATTTTGTTGTAAAATATTCTTAAATAGGAAAGGACAGTTGACATCCTTCAGTCTTTTCTATGTAGTAAGGAAAATAATGTGTATTGTAGAAAGCTTAGGTAATCTTATAGTAGAAAAAAGTTCTACCAATTTTTGTAAGAAACTTGATTTGAGGTGGTCGTATATTTTTCAGACGTGCTCATAGATCTGTAGTATATTCCCGGTGGGTAATAGTTTATAGTTTTGCGACTTTTTTAAGGAACCAGTCATTGTAAGTCTGTATTTTTGTGTAAAGTATGAAACTTCCTTTGAAAAGGGGTTTATTTTTATTTTTTCTCTTATAGGAACAATTGGCTTCTTTGCATGCTTTTGGTTTGTTACCAAAATATACAGTGTGGTGAAGGTTGACTGAAGAAGTCCAGTGTGTCCAGTTAAAACAGAAATAAATTAAACTCTTCATCAACAAAGACCTGTTTTTGTGACTGCCTTGAGTTTTATCAGAATTATTGGCCTAGTAATCCTTCAGAAACACCGTAATTCTAAATAAACCTCTTCCCATACACCTTTCCCCCATAAGATGTGTCTTCAACACTATAAAGCATTTGTATTGTGATTTGATTAAGTATATATTTGGTTGTTCTCAATGAAGAGCAAATTTAAATATTATGTGCATTTGTAAATACAGTAGCTATAAAATTTTCCATACTTCTAATGGCAGAATAGAGGAGGCCATATTAAATAATACTGATGAAAGGCAGGACACTGCATTGTAAATAGGATTTTCTAGGCTCGGTAGGCAGAAAGAATTATTTTTCTTTGAAGGAAATAACTTTTTATCATGGTAATTTTGAAGGATGATTCCTATGATGTGTTCACCAGGGGAATGTGGCTTTTAAAGAAAATCTTCTATTGGTTGTAACTGTTCATATCTTCTTACTTTTCTGTGTTGACTTCATTATTCCCATGGTATTGGCCTTTTAAACTATGTGCCTCTGAGTCTTTCAATTTATAAATTTGTTATCTTAATAAATATTATAAAAATGTCTTCATTGCATCATTACCTATTATATATTCAAGGAGGTTCTGTAAATACAGATCTATTTACCAAGGTGTTTTGAAATGATTTATACTATTTTATCAGATTTTACTGGATTTTGTTAATGTAACACTTTCTGAGTTTTGATCTGAATGGAATTTCACTGTGTAAGGCATTGTCTAAAATGTTCACTGTGAGGCAGTAGAGGAGGTTGAAGTCATGCATATCTAGACAGATGAATTATCTGCAAGTACTTAAGGTGGAGCCTTACTACATTGTCATTAAGGAGTTTCTATTTTTGACTTGTTTTTCAAAATACAGTGTTTTAAGTCAGGTTTTATTACCTGGACATTAGCAATCACTAGCAAGTCTTCATCTTTATGATTTCATTGTTTTAATTTAGATTTCACAAACAGTTTTACTTCTAAGAGTTAAGAAATGCACTGTCTTTCACATTCATCTGACTAATTGAAATCCATTTATGTAGAATATAGGAATGGGGGGTGATTCTGAAGTATCGGTCTGCTTGTATCTGTGAGCATATTCATTTGTATTTTAGGGTCTCTCTGCTTGCTGCTTAGGAGAGCAAATCAGATACTGTCATTAAACTTACAACTAAAATTACTAGCTGTCACTTATATGATATTGCTGGGTTCTTACTGAATAATTTTTTTTTTTTTTTGAGACAGAGTTTCCTTCTTGTTGCCCAGGCTGGAGTGCAATGGCGAGATCTCGGCTCACCACAACCTCCGCCTCCCAGGTTCAAGCAATTCTCCTGCCTCAGCCTCCTGAGTAGCTGGGATTACAGGCATGTGCCACCACGCCCGGCTAATTTTGTATTTTTAGTAGAGACGGCATTTCTCCATGTTGGTCACACTGGTTTCAAACTCCTGACCTCAGGTGATCTGCCCGCCTCGGCCTCCCAAAGTGCTGGGATTACAGGTGTGAGCCACTGCGCCCAGCCTTACTGAATAATTTTATGTCACTGTCCTTTTTTAAAAAAACGGACCTGTTGGTTTTGAAGAGTAAAGGAGGAGCTCTGTTCATTTTTAACATGGAATATTTAAGATAGAAGAGTTTCTTTCAGTTTTATGTATCTCTTGTATTTATTTTTTATGGGTAGAGTTGTCCCTTAGTATTTATGGGAGATTGGTTCCAGAACCCTTGTGGTTACCAAAAATCCATGGATGCTCAAGTCCTTGATATAAAAATGGCAAGTATTTGCAAATAATCTATGTACATCCTCCCATGTGCTTTAAATCATCTCTAGTTTACTCACAATACCTCATACAATGTAAGTGCTCTGTAAATACTTGTTATACTCTATTTTCCATTTGTATTTTTATTGTATTGGTTTTTTAAAATTTATTTTCGAGCATTTTTGATCTGTTGTTGCTTAAATCTGCATATGCAGAACCCCCAGATAAGGAAGGCCAACTGTAATTCTCTTAGGGAGCTGTTGAGATAGGCTGGTTGACTCAACAAAGAGAAGGTTTTAGTTTTTAAAAATCCTGATTGAGACACCAGATTAGTTTTTATTGGCCAAAGTTAAGTTTCTTCAATTTTATTTTTCCTTTAGTGAACAGTTAGCTTAGTGATTTAAAAGTCAGCTGATAGAGTTGGTGTAACTTTTTCTTCGTTTTGTTTTGTTTTGTTTGTGAGACAGAGTTTCACTCTTGTTGCCCAGGCTGGAGTGCAATGGCACTATCTCAGTTCACTGCAACCTCCGCCTCGTGGGTTCGAGCGATTCTCCGGCCTCAGCCTCTGGAGCAGCTGGGATTATAGACACCCGCCACTGCGCCCAGCTAATTTTTTGTATTTTTAGTAGATACGGGGTTTCACCATGTTGGCCAGGCTGGTCTCGAACTCCTGACCTCAAGTGATCCACCCCCCCACCCCGCCGCAACCTCGGCCTCCCAAAGTGCTGGGATTACAGGCGTGAGCCACCGCGTCCGGCCTTTTTCTTCATATATTTAAGTAACCGTATTTCACACGTAAACAGTGGAGAGGCAGTTGGGAAAATGAAATTGGAGTGATAAAGGAAAAGACTTAGGAGGGAGGGAGGGTGGAAAGCCGAGGAAGGAGACAGTGACAAGGAAGGCCTGCCAAGTGAGGAGGGCGGTGGAGAAAAGACCCCTCTCCAGGGCTTGGATCCCGCCGTCCTGAGGGGTGCGCTGCTGCGGCTTTCCCAGAAAGTTCTCCAGGAAAGCGTCCCTCAGCATGGCAGGCGGTTAGAAGCAGGGGTCCGTCTCCTTAGCTTGAGTGTGGCCCGGGACAGAAACAGTTGCGTTGCGCATGTTGTGAGACCCCAGTGACCAGGAACCCCGGGGAGAAGTCTCCTCCATGAGTCATGATAGCCGCAGGCAGCTGCGAAGGAGGGGGACGTGTAGCCAAGACCGGGAAGCTAGGTAACTGCAGTGTTTTCCTGCTGGAGAAATGGCCTTTTGCCATTCCCATGCCTTCTATCTGCCCAGGTCATTTCTAGAGACCCAGCCGTGCCGCAGGGTCGTCCTGCTCGCCGGCTAAGGGCGGCATTCTGTCTGCATTTGCCTCCTTGCCCCGCACATCAAGAAGGCCGCCCAAGCTTTCGGGCAGCGCCGTAGCCCCTTGGTGTCTCCCACAGTTTCTCCAACTGTACCTTCACCTCGAACCTAGTTACAGCCTCACCCCGCCTTCTTCCTGTCTGTTCGAGAGTCTTTCCTCTTTATTTTCCCTTCTGTGTTTAAACCCTCCCTCTCCATGCTTTCCATTTTAAAACACGTCCAACTTTCTGCTAGTTGTTGTTTTTTTTTTTTTTTTTCATTTTTAGTGAAAACAACCCGTCTGACCGATTTCTCCCTCTTCTCCTTGCCTCTCCCACCTGGCTTTGCCATCGGCTTCTTGTTTTCCGAGGATTCTGCTGGTAACCTTGTTGCCGAGCTCCTCAGCGCCCCCACCACCTGGTCCAGCCCTAATTTTACCAGCTCTTTACTGACACGACACTCAGTCTCTCTTGGAAACCTTGTCCTGAAAGCCGTGTTCCTCATAGTCTGGGTCTGAACCTTCCTCATAGAATCGCAAGAAGATTGTCACAAACATGTGCTTGCCCTGCACGTGTTCTGGAGAAGTGCGTTAAAACAGGAGACGCTGCTTACCCACTTCTCTTCCCCTCAATTCCGCCTCTGTCAGTCTCCTCTGGGGGCTCCACTTCTGCCCCCAGCGGGAGTTGCTGCCCTATTCCATCTTTCCCTCTTTGACCTACTTCTCACTTGGTGTTCTCTGTCCAGTTTCACTCTCGTGTTTAGAGTCAGCGCCTCCATCTCCACTCACAGCACCTGCTTGCTGCACAGCCTGCGTGGTCCTCGGGAACACTAAGCTCATGGTGTACAAAAGTGAGCGCACCTGCCCTCCGTCCCCAGCTGCCGCTCCCCCAGAGGCCCCGTCTCCGGTGGGGCCGTCAGCTGCTTCATCCCCTGAGCGGAGCTTCACAGGTCCCCTGGGTGCCCCTTTCAGTCGGTCACCGAGTATCCTCCAAGTCTTCAGATCCATGGCTTCCTGCCCACCCCCTCCACCCATGGCGCCTGCGGTGACGTCCTCCTGCACCGCTGCAGCGACGCTGGCTGGTTCCCTGCTCCAGGCATGTTCCTCCGCAGGGGAACCTGCTAGAGCTGCCACAAACCACACCCCTGCGCTGTCCATCTCCCTCCGTGACCCAAGCCATCCATGCCAAACCACCTGCTCATATGATCTATCCAGGAAATTAGAAAAAGCCCTCTTGGCCGGGCACGGTGGCTCACGCCTGTAGTCCCACCACTTTGGGAGGCCGAAGCGGGTGGATCACCTGAGGTCGAGAGTTCGAGACCAGCCTGGCCAACATGGTGAAACCCTGTCTCTACTAAAAATACGAAAACTAGTTGGCCTTGGTGGCAGGTGCCTGTAATCCCGGCTACTCGGGAGGCTGAGGCAGGAGAATCACTTGAACCCAGAAAGCAGAGGTTGCAGTGAGCCAAGATCAGACCATTGCACTCCAGCCTGGGTGACAAGAGCAAAACTCCATCTCAAAAAAACAAAAAGAAAAAGCCCTCCTATAGGTGTGACGAAAGCATAAAAATCGTAACCTTAAAACTTCTTAAGACACATAGAAGTGATTAAGGGCTTCCTTAAGCAAACTATTTCAGACATTGGTCATATAAATTTGTTTTAATACACAAATTCTATTGCACATTGGAATTTGTAACAGATTTTGGTGACAAGCGAAGAAAACCTAAAAGTCTTTCAAATGCAGCTGCTTCAAAGTTCTGGACCAAGTATGAGTCTCATGTTGCCAAAAGCCTTGTTTTAGACCTGATAAAAACATCAAGACAAAGCATTTTAATATAGATCTGTTTTAGGGGTGTGTGTGTCTGTGTTTAGAAACAGGGTCTCACTCTTGCCCAGGCTGGAGTGCAGTGGTGCAATCACAGCTCACTGTAACCTCGACCTCCTGGGCTCAAAGCAGTCCTCCTGCCTCAGCCTTTCAAGTAGATGGGACTGCAGGTGCAGGCCACCACTTCTGGCTCGTTTTATTTTAATATATGTATTAGTTTGCAAGGGCTGCCATAATAAAGCACCACAGAATGGGTGCCTTAGACAACAGAAATGTATTTTCTTATGTTCTGGATGCTAGAAGTCCAAGCACAAGGTGTCCACATGTCTGGTTTTTCCTGAGGCCTCGCTCCTGGGCTTGCAGACAGCCACCTTCTCCCTGTCCTTGTGTCTTCAAATGGTCTTTTCTCCATGCATGCACATCCCTGGTGTCTCTTTGTGTGTCCAAATTTCCTCCTATGAGGACACCAGTCAGACTGATAGAGCCCACCTGTAATACATATAAC
Organism: Homo sapiens; assembly: GCF_000001405.40. NCBI lineage: Eukaryota > Metazoa > Chordata > Mammalia > Primates > Hominidae > Homo > Homo sapiens. The sequence continues at coordinate 99,568,233 of NC_000013.11, forward strand.
CTCATTTAATCTGAGTGACCTCTTTAAAGGCCCTATCTTCAAACACAGTCACCTTCAGAAGTACTGGGAGTTAGGGCTTCAAATATGAATTTTAGGAGGAAACAATTTGGCCCATAATAATGCACTTCCTCTAAAGATGCTGTATCAAGTGAGAACAACAGGATTCTTTTTTTTACTAGAATCCTTTCGGCAGTAAAGTCAAAACCATCCACTGAACCAAGCACCACAGGGAATTCACTCTTGGATCACTGTTATGTCAGTGACCCCCGCCAGAAGGAACTCTATTGCGGGATCTGGCCAGCATCCTGCAATGCAACGGGGCTCTTTCCTTGTTCCTAGGCGGATCGGCAAGTCGAGAAATAATAGACACACACACAAGATAGTGAAAGCTGGGTCCTGGGGGGTCACTGCCTTCTGGTCCTGCGATGCCGCCAATGCACTGGATTTACCAGCATTTATTGTTAAGTTTAGTGAGGGTGGGAGTAGGTTAGTGAGGGATTTAGAGTCATTTGATTATGAAGTGAGATGGTCACATGGGGATGAAGTAATTCTTTAACATAACATCTGTATGCAGAAGTACAGTATACAGAGATAAGAATTTACAATATAGTGTGTGTGTCAGTAATTTTTAACAGAGCCTTAAAACAGAAAACACAGTCTTTCCATAACCTATGATTAGCAAGATATTAATCAGCAGTAACAGTTGCAGCAAAAGCTGGTTACAAACAATCCATAGAAACAGGCCATGAAGCTAGACAGCCAGTTAGACCAGAAATTCTCAGAAGGGAGTATGCCTTAACCCTAAAGAGGCCTAGAAGGCAAGATGAGGGCGTTTATAGCCCTGTCTTATCCATATGAACAGGCACCCCCCATGCGTCCGTTTATAGGCTCTCCACAAGGGTCACGTTCCATTCCCAGAGCTATGAACATCTGCTTTTCTGGGATAGGAATCTTGGTGATGTGAAACCTCCCTGACTGCACGTCCGTTCATAGGCTCTCTGCAGGGGGAAGCACATCACATGCTGTTGGCTCATTCTGGCAGTCCAACCTGGCATTGTCTTTACACAATCCTGCGTGCAACTTTGTATTTACAATAATCAGGAGCATTTCATCTTTTATTCCATAGCAATAGTTTCAGGGGGTCTTCCTACAGAACTCAGTGTCTAGGGTCTGGGGTGGCACTCCTCTGGCCAGGGCTCCCACACCTGACAGACAAAGCCTGGAGATTAACAAGGCTACAAGGGTATTGGCGCCATGACAAGGCCTCTGCAAGCAAATGGAGAATTATACCCCATAGAGGATAAAGGGTTTTTTCCTGGGCTTGGTTTGTGTTCTGTAATCAGATCATTGTTTTATTTGAGAAGTCTTGCTTTTGATATAACCAAAACTGCTCAGGAAAAAAAAAAAAAAAAAAAGCAGGGTTGGTGGGGTGGATGCAATGGCTCATGCCTGTAATCCTAGCACTTTGGGAGGCTGAGGTAGGAGGATTGATTGCTTGAGTCCAAGAGTTCGAGACCATCCTGGGCAACAAAATGAGACCCCCATCTCTACAAAAAAAAAAAAAAAAAATTGGCATGGTTGCACGTGCCTGTGGTCCCAGCTACACAGGAGTCTGAGACAGGAGGATCACTTGAACCCAGGAAGTTAAGGCTGCAGTGAGCCATGATTGTACCACTGTACTCCAACCTGGGCAACAGAGTGAGACCCTGCCTCCAAAAAAAAAAAAAAAAAAGCTCAGCTGTTGGGAAAGGTTTTTTAAACCTTTTAAAACCCTCAGAAAGAAAGGTCTCTCCCTATGAATAGCAGGACATTCTGGGGCTTCATTAATATGTAAATATATGTCATTAAGAAAATGTTTTTTCTGGCTGGGCACAGTGGCTCATGCCTGTAATCCTAGCACTTTGGGAGGCTGAGCTGGGTGGATCACGAGGTCAGGAGTTCAAGACCAGCCTGGCCAGTACGGTGAAACCCCATCTCTATTAAAAAGTACAAAAATTAGCTGGGTATGGTGGTGCATGCCTGTAGTCCCAGCTACTCAGGAGGCTGAGACAGGAGAATCGCTTGAACCCAGGAGGCAGAGGTTGCAGTGAGCTGAGATCGCGCCACTGCACTCCAGCCTGAGTAACGATACGAGACTCCAAGACTCCGTCTCAAAAAAAAAAAAGTTTTTTCATATTTGTATTTTGTGTTCTATAGCCCAAGTAGATGGTGACCATAATTTCTCTGCCTACAAGGTTCTATATGTAGAAAATCATGCTTTTCTTTCTCAGATATTTTGATGGAACCAAACCTGTTTCCTATGACTGATTTGTTCTCTCCTTTACTATGTAATTTGAAGTCTAAACACTAAAAATCACTGTTTCTTCACATTCTCTTGCTTTTGGAATTCCACTGGAATTTTTTTTTTTTTTTTTTTGAGATGGAGTCTCGATCTGTCGCCTGGGCTGGAGTGCAGTGGTGCGATCTCGGCTCACTGCGAGCTCCGCCTCCTGGGTTCACGCCATTCTCCTGCCTCAGCCTCCCAAGTAGCTGGGACTACAGGCGAGCGCCACCATGCCTAAATAATTTTTGTATTTTTAGTAGAGATGAGGTTTCACCATGTTAGCCAGGATGGTCCTGATCTCCTGACCTCGTGATCCACCCACCTCAGCCTCCCAAAGTGCTGGGATTACAGGCGTGAGCCACCGCACCCGGCCTCCACTGGATTTCTTCACCTCACTCTCTTGAACTTCATATACACATGCTCAAATTTGATTCTTTTTTCCCTTTTATTTTTTGACCTAATGATTATTTGACATTCTCATTAATAATGAATTCTTTGGCTGGGCACGGTGGCTTACACCCGTAATTCCAGCACTTTGGGAGGTTGAGGCGAGTGGATCACCTGAGGTCAGGAATTTGAGACCAGCCTGGCCCACATGGTGAAACCCTGTCTCTATTAAAAATACAAAAACTAGCCGGGCATGTTGGTGGGTTCCTGTAATCCCGGCTACTTGGAAGGCTGAGGAAAGAGAATCTCTTGAACCCAGGAGGCAGAGGTTGCAATGAGCCAGGATCGCGCCACTGCACTCCAGCCTGGATGACAGAGCGAAACTCCATCTCAAAAAATAAATAAATAAATAATATAATTAATTCCTTTATTTAGTGAAGAAGAAAGCATGGCTCTAAAAAGTCCTGTTAATTCCTTCGGATATTTTTAGCCAAAAGTGGTCTAGGCCACGTGAGTGGTGTTGACCATGATAAATAAATAGCACTATAATAGGTCACAGGTCATTAATTTCTCTGAAAAGAGTTAAATATGAGATATAAGTTGGAAATGATATATTTAAGGATTAGAGTCCACTTTTTAAAAGGTTTTTACTGATAGCTTACAATTAATGACATTGTATACATTCAAATTTAAATCAGGTTTTAAAAATACGCTAAATGTTTTAGGGTTAGCATTATTATCAAAGAAAATCATAGGCTGTCCAGGTCAGAGAGAACAAGGCTCCTCTGGCTCATGCTAAAGCCAGACAAATTGTGCCACAGTTGACTAGGACCATTTCATAGACAGTGGTGAACCGAGGCAGTGACTCTGTTGACTGGGAACGGCTCATAGCCCGCTCTAAGCTGATACGAGCCACACTGGCATGAGCCACACTGCAGGGCACTCCTGCTGGCTTCCTGCTTCAGCAGTGCCAAGGGAAAGGAGCTGGGGACTTAGAACTCATCCCAAGACACAGCCACGGGGCCACAGCCACACTACAGGTCCCCTCGCAGGTGGCCACCACCGCCAGGACCCAGAGCCACCTTCCAGACTTGCCACTACTCTGCCCTGGATGATGTGACTTGGAAGAACTTTGCCAGCCCCTTGAGGAGAGGAGACATGCTGACACACTGATGATGCCACAGAATTGAAGTGGCAGAATCTTCTTCTGGACATCAGTAACCCAGATGGGAAGGACTGGGAACACCTGGGTGTAATGGATTCACTTCATGCTGGAGAAATGTGAGTTGGTTGTTGCTGGAATTGCACAAAGTATCCCCAGCAAAAATCCCTTCCTACTCTGGCAAACGTGCTGGCAGACAGTGACGACTTGATGCAGCAATGCGTGTCTGGGTTAGCTTTCGTCATCCCAGAGCCATCCACCCCCTTCGTCAACCTCCTGCCCAATATATCTGTGGTGCGTGTACGTGAATGGGCACTCGTGTGTGTGTGAGAGAGGGAGTATGTGTGTGTAAAGTGCAAGAGGAGGTGGCATGAAGGGACACAGGCTGTAGTGTCAGCTGAGGGTGTGTTTCACTCCAGCTCTAGGACCCCTGAGCATCTCAGTATAGAGCCCCGGGCCAGAGTAATGTGTCCCCATCCTCTGCACTCTGCACTCCTAATACTTCAGAACACTGACGTTTGCCAGCTCTCCTATCTCAAATATCATTCATATTATTGTCTACCTCTGCTGACCTGTCCTCCAAAATACATCACAAACTTCTCAAAAGCAGAAAGGGCCCCTTCTATTTGTCTCTGGCTCACACCCAGGGCATAACAGTACTTTGCACATAGGAGGCGCGTATTTACACATAGGAGGCGCGTATTTATTGACTGAAACTAGGAATTTAGATGAGAAGTGATACTGATTTTAAATCTCTCAATCATCGTTTAATAGGATGATTTAAAGACACCATTTCAATATTTTGTTTAGCTCTCAGGCTCTAGGACGTGCCATCTTGATTCCGTAAAATTATGTTTTTCACTGTGCGTCCACAACATCGCCTCGTACGCTTGTTCTACGTTCATTGACAGTTGTTAAAACAAATCAGCACCGGCAGAACTTGGCCCGCTCCTCTCCACACTTAGCTGAACCGTTACCCATGGAACCAGCCCAAACAGAAAGCTACAAAGAGGCTAATTGAAATCAGAATGCTGGGTCGCTTCTCATTCAAGCAAAACAGATGGCCCTCCTTGCCACACTTCTGTCAAACTTGAGGGGAAATGATTAAAAGCATTTTCAACTCCCACACACGCTGACTGGGCTCCTTAAAGGAATTATACATAGCTATTGAAATGTGGGGTCGGGGGGTTCTTTCAAAAAGCAAAGCTTGGTTTCCTTTCTTTTGAAGGTTTAAGGAAAGGCATTTTAATGGGGATATTCAGTGCCTAAGGCTTCAACTTAGATTCTGAATATTTTATTTATATTTATTTTAATTCAATTTTTCCTTTGGAATAGGTAAAATTCAAAATGCACAAAAGAATAAAGAAAAAACTAAGACTCTAGTCATGTCCCAAGCACCGAGGCCTCTCTCCTGGAGACAGCCACTGTTAACCATCCCCTAGGTATCTTTCCAGAAGTTGAACCTTCATTTTTTTTTTTTTTTTTTTTTTTTGAGATGGAGTTTCACTCTTGTTGCCCAGGCTGGAGTGCAATGGCGTGATCTCAGCTCACCGCGACCTCCACCTCCCGGGTTCAAGCGATTCTCCTGCCTCAGCCTCCCGAGTAGCTGGCATTACAGGCATGCACCAACACGCCCAGCTAATTTTGTATTTTTAGTAGAGATGGGGTGTCTCCCTGTTGGTCAGGCTGGTCTCAAACTCCCGACCTCAGGTGATCCGCCCATCTCGGCCTCCCAAAGTGCTGAGATTACAGGCATGAGCCACTGTGCCCAGCTGAACCTTCATTTTTAACTTAGGTCCTTGAAACTCTCTTATTTGGATTCCTATTTAATGACAGTATTAATGATATTTAGTTTCAAAACCGGTGTGGGGGCTTGTTTTTTGTTGTTGTTTTTTGAGACACGGTCTCACTCTGTCACCCAGGCTGGAGTGCAGTGGTGCCATCACAGCTCACTGCAGCTTCAACCTCCCAGGAACAAGTGATCCTCCTGCCTGAGCCTCCTGAGTAGCTGGGACTACGGGCTTGCACCACCACACCTGGCTAATTTTTAAAATTTTCTGTAGAGATGGGATCTCCCTATGTTGTCCAGGCTAGTCTTGAACTCCTGGACTCAAGCAATCTGCCCACCTCAGCCTCCCGAGTAGCTGGGACTACAGGCCTGTACCACCACACCTGGCTATTTTTTTTTTTTTTTTAATAGAGACTGAGTCTCACTATGTTGCCCAGGCTGGTTTTGAAATCCTGGCCTCAAGTGATCCTCCTGCCTCGGCCTCCCAAAGTGCTGGGGATTACAGGTGTGAGCCACCGTGCCCAGCCTGGTGTGTGGGTTTTTTAGAGGCAGCAGTGGATATTGTGTTCTTATCATGTAAAGGATGTTCAGCACATTAATACAAAGCATTGCAGACAGTGTTACTGCATGACGCCTCTGTGATACTTATTAAACATGTACAGCAGCATAAGCCACCTCTTAGGACCTGCTGGGGGAAAGAAATGAGTGTATACAGAAATGTGAAGAGGAAACCATTGCTCCGTATCTCAACCACCCAGTCAGTACATAATGACAATGTCTCTAATAAATGCGTTGTCAGAGCCCAACTAATCAAAGCATCATCTAATTTCGCCCATTGCTACCCAGAAATGTGGGCCCCTTATTAATGATCTCTGAAAAGCAATGTAAAAACAACCCGGGAGGCCAGGCGCAGTGGCTCACGCCTGTAGTCCCAGCAGTTTGGGAGGCCGAGGCGGGCGGATCACCTGAGGTCGGGAGTTTGAGACCAGCCTGACCAACATGGAGAAACCCTGTCTCTACTAAAAATACACAATTAGACAGGCGTGGTGGTACATGCCTGTAATCCCAGCTACTCAGGAGACTGAGGCAGGAGAATTGCTTGAACCCGGGAGGCAGAGGTTGCAGTGAGCCGAGATCGTGCCATTGCACTCCAGCCTGGGCAAGAAGAGCGAAACTCCGTCTAAAAAAACAAAACAAAACACGTGTCTGGCTGTGACGTACAGGTGCCCGTCTGTATGCACGCGGGCCTTCCGGTTCTGCTCCCGAGAGGGACGCTGTCCTGGAGCTTCCTCCCCCAGCCCCCAGTCTCATCTGAAAAACATCGTTTCGGGAGAAGTCAGTCACCCTGTGGTTTATTTCCACCCCAGTGTGAATTTTTTTTTTCTTTTCAAACTCTATCAATCAGGGCAGTTTTTTAAACCATGTGAGTAACAGTGGAACGAGAAGCTTCTTTTTATATTAAAAACAAAAAATCAGAAAATGAGTGTGGACAGGTGGGGAGGACAGGTCCTTCTCAGCACACTCAATGTAGCTCCCTGGAGGGGGCTGTGTCCTCCACTCACCGGGAAGCAGGGCGATGTCTCATTGGCTGGCTCTGGCGCAGCCAGCCTGGGCTGGTTTGAAGTCAACGCCCTTTTGTTGGGTTGGGGTTAGGGATAGGGTTAGGAATCTCCCCAACCTGTGCTCAGGTAGGGCGGGGCCGAGCGCATCCGCGCCTCAGGTGCATCCCATGCAGGCTCCAGGTTCCAGCAATGCCCCTACAACATCCTCCTGTGTCCCCAGGATGGCCCCGGGAGGCAAAGGCGCCTCCTCATGCTGGCTCAAGGGCGGCATTGGTGGAGGCTGCTCTGGGGAGGGGCCCAACCTGGCACCCCAGCGCCCAGGGGTTGCCTCGCCCTGTTTTCCTGGGCAATCCTGGTCCAGGTTATTACGGTCACATAGAAACGGAAGGAGATGCAGCCTATTTTCAAAGCGCTGAAGAATCTGTGAAATCTGCTTTTATCCCTTCTTACATTTACATTCAGATATTTCATCTTTAGGTTGCTATAGTGACATGTGAATAAATATATGTGAAGTTCTGTGGGCAAGGAACAAGCGGTGGAAAGGGAATTGGGTAGAGATGCCACTTACAATAAGCCTGGACTACCTGTGACCTTCATCATTTTCTAGTCACACAGACACAGTGGTTTGGCATTGGCAATATTTATGTTGATTTTACCAGATTTGCTATAATATTTAGATTTTCTATACATTATAAAGAGTAACATATTTTTCTTTATTTTCCCCAATCATAATGGGACCATATGGGCAGGACAGAAATTGTTAGAGGGCGTGACTCACTGGCAGAGAGGAGAGTGTCTCCCCCTAATCTTGCTCCCAGGCAGCTCAGCAGGAGTAGTTCATTTTGAGGGTGCAAGTTGCTGATTGGGGGAGGGGGAGCCTAAATCCCTTCCAATCAGAGGAAAGGATGGTTTTACTGTGGAAATCAGTTTGGAGGTTGACCTCATAGACTGGGAGCTGCTGGTTGAGAAGCCCACCTCCACTGGTTTGCTGCTGAGCGTTTGAAAACACCAATCAAACACAGGAGAGGACGCAGCAGTTGAAGGGTGACCTAAGACAAAGTGTGGGGAGGCCAACGGAGGGCAGTGAACTGGTCTCCTTTATGAAGTCATCTGCCTGACTCCCTGCCATCGTGCCTCTTGCTCTCTGAAAAAGCCAAGTGGCCTCTTTTTTTTTCTTCGGACTCTCGCTCTGTTGCCCAGGCTGGAGTGGAGTGGCCTGATCTCCGCTCACTGCAACCTCTGCCTCCCGGGTTCAAGCGATTCTCCTGCCTCAGCTGCCTGAGTTAGCTGGGATTACAGGCACCCATCACCACACCCGGCTAATTTTTTTTGTATTTTTAGTAGAGACGGGGTTTCATCATCTTGGCCAGGCTGGTCTTGATCTCCTGACCTCAGGTGATCCGCCTGCCTCGGCCTCCCAAAGTGCTAAAATTACAGGCGTGAGCCACCGCGCCCAGCTGAAAAAGCCAAGTGGCCTCTTGATTGAAGCGGGCAGAGCTCAAGGCAAGGCCCTCAGTTCCTATGACTTGTTTTCTGGTCTGCACTGGGTGGAACAGGAAGCCAACAGTACTATTGTCTGTGAATGCCCCAGAAGCCCCTAAGGGCAAAGGTTCCCAGTGGATGGGATGCCATGGGGGACATTCCAGAACTCTCTGTGGGCGGTTTGAGACCAGCCTGGGCAATATAGCAACCGTCCTGCTGGCACACAAACCCTCCTGCCTCTAAACAGAATTTGATGGGCCCCTTGGCAAAGGCAGGTTTTAGAAACTCCTCGGGGGCTGGAGCGCAAGGAGAGTCTGAGCCAGGCCAAGCCTCCCTGGGGGAACATGGCTGAAGGAAGACCTACAGACATCTCCCCTGGGTGGGAGCCTGTGTTCAGAAGCAGCAGATCCAAGTCTCTGTGTGGCTGAGGAGAGGACATCCTGCTGGCAACACGGTGCTGACCTGTGGGCCCACTGGCAGCATGACTTTGTAATTTCTTGGGCTTTCTGGAAGGTTCTGAGGTGTTGCTGCTGGGCTCAGGTGACCAGTTATTCTCCTAGGGAAGGATGGCCCAGCTCGTTGTCCTGTACACATAGAAACATAGGGTGGTCTGGGGAGTAAATGCAACATCCCCACTTTCTCCCTGCCTTATCTTTCTCGCCTTCCCATTCCCCAGAGAAAGATCCAGGTGCAGAAGGACCCAGAACTCCACAATTGTTACATAATCAAAGCACATTACTCTAAAGGAGACCAGGACCCAGCTCTCCTCCCTACCAACCCAACCCCAGCAAGTCATTTCTTTTTCTTTTTTTCTTTTTTCTTTTTTTAACAGACAATTTTAGGTTTATATGCAGTTATAAGAAATAATAGAGGCTGGGCACAGTCACTCATGCCTGTAATCCCAGCACTTTGAGAGGCTAAGGTGGGAGGATCACTTGAGGCTGAGAGTTTGAGACCAGTCTGGGCAATATAGCAAGACCCTGTCTCTACAAAAAATAAAATAATTAGCTGGACATGGTGGTGCGCACCTGTAGTCCCAGCTGCTCTGAAACCTGGGGTAAGAAGATTGCTTGAGCCCAGGAGTTAGAGGCTGCAGTGAGCTATGATTGCATCACTGCACTCCAGCCTGGGTGACAGAGCAAGATCTTGTAATCTTGTAAATACATAGAAAGAGCACATTCTGTGGCTGAGCCCAAGAACTATTATGCACAAGGAATAACTTGTTGGGACGAGCCATTACCACATTGGCAGGGTCGTCCCGGTCTCTGCTTGGGTATTTTTATCTGTAGGCCTATCAGTTAGTATGCTTTTGGAAAAATCTGGGATTTACTAGAGAAAAAGGTAAAGGTCTAGGGTCGATGTTAATTGTGTCCCCTCCAAAAAAAGATATGTTGAAGTCCTAACCTCCCAGTACCTCTGAACATGACATCATTTGGAAATAGGGTCTTTGTAGCTGTAATTAGCTAAGATGAGGTCATACTGGAGTGGAACAGATTCCTAATTCAAGATGACTGGTGTCCCTATAAAAATAGGAGAATGCCATATAACAGCTAAGACAGAGATCAGAGCCATGCAGCTGCAAGCCGAAGCAGGCCAAGGATTGCCAGCAAACCAAGAGAGGCTGGAAGAAGAGAGAAGGATCTTTCCCTGCTGATTTCACAGGGAGCATGGCCCTTGATCTCAGGACCTTGACCCCAGAACTGTGAGTGAATCAATCTGTTGTTAAGCCATACGGTGCCAGTATTTTGTACAGCAGCCCTCGGAAACTCATACAGCAGGCAACCAATAATGTCCCAAGTCTAGTAAGTAATGAAATACACTCTGACATGGGGATGGAATTGAAATAAAAATAACCATCTGAGGGAGCTCTAGAGCCTTCGCTTCCTGAGTCCTAATTTGACCGTAACCTAGAGGATGGGCAAATAATAGCTGTTTTCAGGACAGGACTCTTAACCTCCTTTCAGTGGTTTTGATTATTTTTAGTTTCTGTTCTATTGATATTTGGATTCTGAGCACAGATGCCTTTACTGCACTGAGTGCCTTTGACCTGAGCTGGATTTTAGCTGGAAGTGCAGGATTCTGAGTGAGACAACACTGAATGCTGAATGACCCCTTAACCAAGGCAGGCCGTTCTCCTAGTCGGGGCCAGGTTCTGGGGACAGTGTGACAAGAGCTTGAATGAAGACAACTCGCCCTCCCTGCCTGCAAAATTTAACAATGAGACAGGAATCCTTATTTTGTATTTTTTCAGGGGGCAGGAAGCTGCAAAATCTGCTGTCCTCTGCAAATCACTATCTGGACCAACAACACAGAAGTTCCCTCAACCTCTGAGGGAACCTCTGCCGCACCTCTGAGCTCTTTGGCTTTTGTAGACGTTCACTTCTCGGAATTCTGCTGACTCTGTGGGTCCCCAGGCATCACCTGAGAACTGGTTAGAAACTCAAAGTCTCAGGCCCTCCCCAGACCTGAATTCGCTCTGTAGGTGGGGACAACAATCTGGGTTTTGAGAAGCCATGGGGTGATTCTGATGCCCACTCACACCCTGTTTTACTTCTGTGTTTACTCTGCACTACAGAAACGAGGAGCCCACGGATGCTTGAGCATCAAAGCTTCAATCACTGCTGCCCGCGGCTCTGCACTGTCTTAATTCTTCCCTGCTTTTTCATTATGTCCCGTCTGGCTCATTCCTCCTTTATCCCCCTGTTTGTATGTGTGTATACATGCATTCATTCATTCATTCATCCATGTATTCATTCAGCAGACTCTAGAAAAGGATATCTTATAGTCACTATGGTGGATGTCTAGGTGGGTCTGCAGCTCTGAAGTTGTGTTGGTTAAGCTCCAAGGAGCAAAGAAAGCTTTTTCAGATGACAGCATGTATTGTAGCGAAATGACGGCTATGAGCATCTTTTAATTACAATTGGGGGTGGGGGAGTGAATATATATGTATTTCTGTGAAAGAGGGAAACGAAGCAATGAAAAGTAAGAGACAGGAAATTGTCCCAACGCCTTGGCTCCATGGGGCCTCAGGGTGCCCTCCATGACGAGCAGTGACTCCCAGCAGCTCCGGCACAGTATCAGGCATCCTTTGCCACTGGCTCTAGGAACCCCTGCACATGCGTGTCTCAGCTTCTAATGTGACTATTTCTGCTTCTCCTCAATGTTGCTGCTTACCCCTAGGTTTGGTTGCCACGAGGAAGCTATGTCCTGGATTTTCTTTTTTTCTTTCAGTTCTGGCTGCCAATACCAAGTTCCTCCTCTCCATCTCACATTCAAAGAGCACACAGAGAGGCTCTAATTGGGTCTTTCTACATCCTGTGTCCGTACAGAGCTCTCGCGTTTGGGTGGGGACTTTGCACCGTGACCAGTCTAAGATCAGCACCAGCCCCTGGTCCAATCAGCTGTGGCCAAGACCCTTGAAGACACAGGCAAGAGGCTCCTGACAGTTGTGTGGTTCACAGGGGTTTCTGGGTGTGATAGGGGCTCAGGCAACATCGGCCCCCAATCTGGGTGAGAAGAGAGGTCTGGAAAGAAGTTACAACTTTGAATAAGTGGTGGTACATAATGCCTCAAGTGTGGTAACATTGCTCAGAGAAAGTGAGTTGAGACAGTGGAAAAGTGGAGCCCCTAGTATCACCAGCTTAACCCACGGGGTAGATGAAGGTCATTAGGAGAATAGAGCAACTAACCTTTATTGAGCACCTACGATGTGCCAGGCTGTATGTCTTGGTGCTTTACATAAATTAATTATTTATTTATTTATTTATTTATTTATTTATTTATTTATGTTTGAGACAGGGTCTCACTCTCACCCAAGCTGGAGTGCAGTGGTGCAATGAATGCTCACTGCAGCCTCGACCTCCTGGGCTCGAGTGATCCTCCCACCTCAGTTCCCGAGTAGCTGGAACTACAGGCTGTACCACCACACCCAGCTAAGGTTTTCTATTTTTTGTAGAGATGGGGTCTTGCTATGTTGTCCAGGCTGGTCTCAAACCCCTGGTATCAAGCAATCCTTCCGGCTTGGCCTCCCAAAGTGCTGGGATCACAGGCATGAGCTACCACACCCAGCCTATTTGTTCTTCAAACAACACTGCAAGCTACCTATTGTTGTTATCCCAAATTTGCAAATGAGAAGGCCGACCAAGCTCACAGAGATCAAGGTCATATCACTTGTAAAGGGCAGAGCTGGGATTTCAATAGCTTTGTCCAACTTCAATAGCTTTGTCTAATCTCTAATAGCTTTTTACTCTTCCTACTGTATATGAACCATATTGGCCTCAAAAGAAATGGTCTGAAACACAATGAGGAAATCAGGGAGAAGAATGTTTTCAGAAGGAGGTGATTAAGAGAGGAAAGTCCTGTCAGGTGCCTCTTTGGGCAATTAGGAATTTATCAATGAAATGTCTATTTCAATTGGGAGAGTCAGATTGTGATGAATTGAGAAGATGAGGCAAAGGAGAGTGAATGTCAGCTGTGAAGGGTAAGAAAGACAGGAAAGGTTTGTTTTGTGTTGTTGTTTGTTGTTTTACTGTAAGGATGGTGTAGCAGCCAGGGCCCAGTCAGGAGACAGAAAGCACACCAGTAATGCGAACAGGGAGCATTTAATGTAAAGAGTTCTTAAATTAGTAAAAAGGGAATTAACTACCATATTCGGGTTATCCAGAGAAACAGAACCAATAGGATATATCTATCCATTATATATATCATCTATGTATCTATTAAGCGGTATCTGTATATATAGATATATAACATATAGACACATATTACAATACTAGTGTTATATGTAGATACAGAAAGAGATTTATTATAAGGAATTGGCTCACGAGAGTATGGAGACTGGCAAGTCCCAATCTGGTGGCCCAGGAAGGGTGATGGTGTAGTGCCAGTCCAAAGGCTGGCAGTCTCAAGAACCAGGAAGAGCCAATGTTTCAGTCTGAGTCCAAAGGCAGGAAGAATTCCCACTTACTTGGGCCAGGGTCAACCTTTTTGTTCTATCCGGGGCTCCAATGGATTGGGTGAGGCCCATCCACATTGGGAAGTGTGGTCTGCTTTGCTCAGTCCACCAATTCAAAGGTGCATCTCCTCCAGAAACGCCCCCACAGACACACCGGAAAAATATGTGATAAAATATCTGGACATCCTGTGGCTCGGTTAAGTTGACACATAAAATTAACCATCACCAACTAGTGTGCCTTCATGTCATTGGACACCTTGATGTCGCCATCAGAGATAGCCACACTGAAGGCCATGTTTCTGGAAGTGAAAGGGAGATGTTGAAGAGGGCCAGAGAAGATAAGAGCTGTTGCACCTGCTGCTGGAATCCTGTTTCGGTGTGTGTGTGTAAAAGGAGTAAAGAGAACCCTAACAAATACAGCAATAGATCAGGCATGGTGGCTCATGCCTGTAATCCCACCAATTTGGGAGGCCGGGGTGGACAGATCGCTTGAGCCCAGGAGTTTGAGACCAATCTGGGAAACATAGGGAGACACTGTCTCTACAAAAAATTAAAAATTTAGGCAGTCATGGTGGTGCACGCCCGTAGTCCCAGCTACTCAGGAGGGTAAGGTGGGAGCATCGCTTGAGCCTGGGAACTTAAAGCTGCAGTGAGCTGTGATTGTGCTACTGCACTCCAGCCTGGGTGACAGAGCAAGACCTTGTCTTAAACACACACACACACACACACACCCCAAAATAGAGGATTCCAGCAGCAGCTGCAACAGCTCTTATCTTCTCTGGCCCTCTTTGACATCTTCCTTTCACTTCCAGAAACATGGCCAGTGTGGCTATCTCTGATGGCAACATCAAGATGTCTAATGACATGAAGGCACACGAGTTGGTGACATCAGAGGAGGTGAAACAGTGCAAGAAGGTAGTGCTCTTCTGACATAATGAGGCCAAGAAGAATGTCACCCTGGAAGGGGCAAGGAGATCCTCGTAGGTGGTGCAGGCCAGACTGTTGATGGCCCTATGCCACCTTAGTCAAGATGCTGCCAGACAAGGACTGCTCCTCCACCCTCTATGACACAGCCTGAGACCAAGAACAGCAAGAAGGAAGATCTGGAGTTTATCTTCTGGGACCCTGAGTCTGTACCCTCTAAGAGCTAAGTGACCTATGCCAGCTCCAAGGATGTCATCAAGGGGAAGCTGATGGAGATCAAGCATGAATCACAAGGAGGTCAAGGGCCATAGCATCCTGGCAGAGAAGCTTGGAGGCAGCGCCATCATCTCCTGGAGGGCATGCCTTTGTGAACCCCCTCCAGCCCCCTGCCTGGAACATCTGGCAGCTCCTGACCTATCTGCAGAGAGTTGTCTGTCCCCTTCCTCCAAGACCAGAGGGGTTTGGGGGATCCCAGCAAGGGGAAGATAATCCCCTCACCCCAGTTACCAAGCAGCCCTCACCCCCAGGCCTTCCTCCTCCCTCCATCCCTGATGGTTCTGGCTTTCCCAGGCCACTTTTGACCTTCTAATTCCTCTTGGATTGAAACAGACAAAGTTCCCCTCACGCACCCTAGTTTGGGAGGAGCCTGTATTTTGTTTTTTGTTTGTTTGTTTGTTTGTTTTTTGAGACAGGGTCTCACTCTGTCGCCCAGACTGGAGTGCAGCGGCATGATCTCGGCTCACCACAACCTCCGCCTCCCAGGCTCAAGTGATTGTCCTGCCTCAGCCTCCCTAGTAGCTGGGATTACAGGCATCCACCACAACTGCCCGACTAATTTTTTTGTATTTTTGGTAGAGATGGGGTTCCACCATGTTGACCAGGCTGGCCTTGAGCTCCTGACCTCAAATGATCCACTCGCCTCAGCCTCCCAAAGTTCTGGGATTACAAGCATGAGTCACTGCACCCAGCCTAGCCTACATTTTTTTTTAACAACACCCATTTTTTTTTTTTTTTTTTGAGACAAAGTTTTGCTCTTGTTGCCCGGGCTGGAGTGCAATGGCGTGATCTTGGCTCACTGCAACCTCTGCCTCCCGGTTCAAGTGATTCTCCCGCCTCAGCCTCCCGAGTAGCTGAGATTACAGGCATTCGCCACCATGCCCCACTAATTTCGTATTTTTAGTAGAGACGGGGTTTCTCCATGTTGGTCAGGCTTATCTCGGCCTCAGGTGATCCACCCACCTCAGCCTCCTAAAGTACTGGGATTACAGGCATGAGCCACTGCACCTGGCCACCCCATGCTACCAACTTCTAATCACAATAACTGTTGACTCTGTGCTTGTGTGTTCCATTCTGTGTGTGAGTGGAATGTGGTAGAGGTGACCCTCCCTGGGCCGGCTGATTCCTCTCCCTTTTCACCTGGTCACCGCCACTCGTAGAAGCAGGACCAGTAAGGGACTTCAATTAGAAAACAAAACAAGACAGATTATAGGAATAGCAGATGTAGAGAAAAAACACTACCTCTAGGGCCGAGGCAAAATATTCAAGGAAGACAAGCTTGGACGAAGCCTCCCCTCCAAGGCTGAGATGCACATCGTTGATGAAAGATGTGGCCACTGGATGGGATAAGAGTTTGCTGAGGTGCTGCAGACCATGGCTGGCAAGCAGAAAACCACCTGCTGGGTGCTGGGGAAACTTTCCAGGAAGCCTCCTGTTGGGGTGACAGTGAACCTTCCAGGAGGGTTCACATCTCTGGGTCTCCCACTGGCCCCACCAGCTGCAGTATTGCAGGAGCAAGAGGAAAAACACTGGGACCAGGAAGAAAGCCTCTGCCACTTGCAATGTCCCTCAGTGGCTGGCTACTGACAAAACGTAACATCGTGGCAGGTGGCAAGGGAGGAACATTTACAGAGTCCATCTCTGATGTCACCAGCAGGGCCAGGAAGGGTTGATCTGGAGCTTGGAGGCCATACATCAGTAACTGGTTCAAATGGGACACTCCACAGTGGAAGAGCCAGTCCAACTAGATACATGACCTGTGAAAGTGCATGCATGGAGGCCATTATCTTAAGCCAATTAATGCAGGAACAGAAAACCAAACACCACATGCTCTCACCCATAAGTGGGAGCTAAACATTGGATACACATGGACACAAAGATAGAAACAACAGACCCCGGGAACTACTAGAGTGGGGAGAGAGGGAGGAGACCAAGGGCTGAAAAACTACCTGTTTGTTACTATGCTCTTTACCTGGGTAATGGGATCATTTGTAGCCCAAAGCCTCCATGTTGCTGGAAAGGACATGATTTCATATATATATATGTATGTGTGTATATATACATACATATATATATATACACATATATATATATATTTTTTTTTTGAGACGGAGTCTTGCTCTGTCACCCAGGCTCGAGTGCAGTGATGCTATCTCGGCGCACTGCAACCTCTGCCTCCCGGGTTCAAGCAATTCTCCTGCCTCATCCTCCCAAGTAGCTGGCATTACAGGCACATGTCACCACACCCAGCTAATTTCTTTTGTATTTTAATATAGACGGGGTTTCACCGTGTTGCCCAGGTTGGTCTCCCGAGCTCAGGCAATCCACCTGCCTTGATGGGCACCTAGGTTGGTTTCACGTCCTTGCTGTTGTGACTGGTGCTGCGATGTACATATGAGTGCATGTTTTTTTGGTAGAATGATTTGTTTTCCTTTGGGTACATACCCAGTAACGGGATTGCTGCATCGAATGGTAGTTGTGTTTTCAGTTCTTTGAGAAATCTCCCACATTTTGAATCACATGTTTTAATTTTCAGATATATGACAACCTCCCCACACAGCCTATATTTTTGCTTCATTATTCCTATTTTTATTTGTACATAAATTAGGTCACTTTCCTGCCCTGATCTACTGAAACTTCTAAATTTGCTACTTCCAAAGTCAATGCCAAATTCAGACTGGCTTTGGTCAGGGGAGGAAGTTAGGCAAGCCAGGATAAAAATTTAGTCTGGCCCAACAACCTCCTCAGGAATGCGGGTTTAGTCTTAGCTCCTCCATTCCCTGGGACAATTATACTTGATTTCAAGTCAGGTTTTCTTAATTCCCAGTCAGCTGCTGTCACACTAACTGTCATTTGTTCTTTTATAAACTAGAAGATTTGCAGATTAAAAAAAAAAAAGAAAAAGCGCACGCATGGCAGAGTTCCACTGACAACACTCTACGGAGAACTCTCAACTCTTCATCTCTAGCCCTGTCTGTTCACCCAAGCCTTTTTTTTTTTTTTTTTTGAGACGGAGTTTTGCTCTTGTTGCCCAGGCTGGAGTGCAATGGTGTGATCTCGGCTCACCGCAACCTCCGCCTCCCAGGTTCAAGCAATTCTCCCGCCTCAGCCTCCCGAGTAGCTGGGATTACAGACATGCGCCACCATGCCTGGCTAATTTTTTTTTTTGTATTTTTAGTAGAGACGGGGTTTCTCCATGTTGGTCAGGCTGGTCTCAAACTCCTGACCACCATGCCTGGCTAATTTTTTTATTTTATTTTTTATTTTATTTTTAGCAGAGACGGGGTTTCTCCAAGTTGGTCAGGCTGGTCTCGAACTCCTGACCACCATGCCTGGCTAAATTTCTTTTTTTTCTTTTTTTTTTTTTTGTATTTTTAGTAGAGACAGGATTTCTCCATGTTGGTCAGGCTGGTCTTGAACTCCTGACCTCAGGTGATCCGCCCACCTTGGCCTCCCAAAGTGCTGGGATTACAGGCGTGAGCCACTGCGCCCGGCCCACCCAAGTCTTATTACAGACTGGAAGCTGCTGCTTTTTCTGAAGATCCTCTAGTTCACAGCCAAATGTTTGGACCTCGGATTCACAGAATTAAGTTCGTTCCACTCTTATCGTCTGTATGTGGAAGGCCCTTCTCTTATTTTAATTGTTTCTTAGTTTCCAAAACCCCCTCCCACTTCTACTCTACTACCCCATCTCCTGTAATGTGTTCGGTGTATGCACTTGGACATGTACAGAATTCCGAAAAAGACCTAGCATTGTTTTGTGTATGTAGCATACACACATTTACATATACACAGTGTTGGGCTCTGGGTCTCATTCTGTGTCTGTCTTTTCTCATCCGCAGTATGTTTTTAATATCTAGCCATGTGGCTGTATGTGCCTCTTGTTCATTGCCTTAGCCCTCCCCAAGGAAGCACCAGTGACAGTTTATTTCTCCTCTCCTCCACTTCACCTTACGAGGCTGACTCTAAGGGCCCAGCTACCACAAACGGCCAGGATGCACATCCCTGTACACATTCTGCTGCAGACCTGGCTATTCGTTTCTCAGCGTTACACCCCGGGACGGCTGGGTCATGGGGCGTACACAGATGAATTTCACTGAGATCTGCTAGGCTGTTCCCCAGAAGACTACACAGTCTGCACTCCCATCTGTAGTGCATAATAATATCCATTTTCCTACCTCCTTGTCAACAATTGCTATCATCTGACTTTCTAATTTTTCCTGTGTCGTGGGTGTAAAGTGGCAGCTCATTGTTTTCTATAATTTGCATTTCTCTAATAGTGAGGTTGAGCATTTCTTCATATTTTTGCCCCATTTTTCTACTGGGGTCCAGACAATTTCTTTGTTTTCTAGATGATTTCCTTGTATATTCTAGATGAGGTATTGATAAAATTATCTGTAAGGGGTCCAGGTAGTAGATATTTTTTTAGGCTTTGCAGACCAGAAGTTCTCTGCTGCACCAACTCAGCTCTGCTATTTCAGCTCAAGAGCAGAGACAGTATATGATGAATGAGCATGGCTCTGTCCAACCAAACTTTTGTTTTGCTTATAAAAATAGGTGGAGGGGCCAGCCTTGGCCGGTAGGCCATGGTTCGCTGTTCTCGACAAATCTGTCTCACTAGAAGTTCTTGCTGGATTCTGACATTACGGTTATCTTCCCCCACTCTGTCTATGGTGTCCTTTGTTGAGCAGAACAATGTAATTTTGATGGACTCAAATTCCTCAATTTTTTGCCTCATAGCTTGTGCCTTCTGAGTTGATGTCAGAAGTCCTTCTCAACCTCAAGATGACAAAATTATTGGGCATCTTTTTTCCTATTGGTTTTATATTTTACCTTCACAATTAGATTTTGGATTATCCAAAGCTGACCTTTGCATACGGTGTTTCTTTTTCTCCATAGAGTGAACCAGTTTTCCCAGCACCATCTAGTGAATAACCTGTCCTTCCCACACGGGTTTGTGCTGTTGCCTCTCATAAGTCAACAGATTTGCTTTTGAGCTTTTTACCCTGCTCCACTGGTTTACTTACTGGTTTCTCTGCCAACAGCACATTTTATTATCATTATTATGGCTTTGTAGTGTGTCTTCATATCTCACAGTGTGAACCTCTTCATGTCTCCTTTAAAAGGCCCATGAGTCCACATCTATTTCAATGATGCAGACTTCTTCATACCTTTTTGGCTGATATTTGGCTGTAAGTCATTTGCAGGAAGAAGGGAATATGAATTCAGGCAAGTTGTAAGTGGGCCATTCCCCACTGAATGTTGTTTAGCTTTTCTTTCTTTCTTTCTTCCTTCCTTCTTTCCTTCCTTCCTTCCTTCCTTCCTTCCTTCCTTTCTTTCTTTCTTTCCTTCCTTCCTTCCTTCCTTCTTTCTTTCTTTCTTTTCAGGGTCTCACTCTGCTGCCCAGGTTGGAGTGCAGTGGCATGATCATGGCTCGCTGCAGCCTCAACCTTCCTAGGCTTAGGTGATCCTCCTACCTCAGCCTCCCAAGCAGATGGGCCGCCAGGCATTCACCACCATGCCCAACTAATTTTTGTATTTTTCCATAGAGACAGGGTTTTGCCATATTTCCCAGGCTGGTCTCACACTCCTGAGCTCAAGTGATCCGCCTACCTCGGCCTCCCGTACTATTACTTGAATACCTGCTGAGTCAGGACTCTTGGTTTCAAGAGCCAAAAACCAAATTAAAATGCCCTTAATTAAAAAAATACACACATATTAGTTCAGGCAGCTGGGAAGTTCAATGAATGACACTATTTGATCAAAGAGTTCAAACAATATCAATAAGGGTCTCCCTCTCCTCTCTTTCTCCATTTCTCATCTTTGATTTTCTCTGTGTGAGCTTCATTCTCAGGCAATCTCTCTCCCCAGAGCAGCCTAGAAGATAATACTATCAGGCTTACCGTGATCTTACTACTCTTGATAGCAGAAGAAAAGACCCCTTTCTCACCAAACATTCATATCCATCTCCCCAAAATGGACTCTGATTGGCTGGTTGGGTCATGTGCCCATGCCTGGATCCGTCATGGTGGCACAGAAGTTGGTCATGTAAATTACAGACCCACCAACCAGCAGAGTGGCATTCTCAACAGGAAAGATGCTAAGAAGACCAAATGCCCACCGATGCCTACCTCACTACCCACCTACACAGTCCTCACAATCCTGAGGGCTGATACAGGGGTAGACACTGAGGCTTAGAGAGTTTAAGTTACTCAGAAAAGCCCCTCACCCTGTAAGATGTCAAGCCAGAATCAGCAGCCAGGTCTATTTGAAAACTACAGCCCTTTCCACTACACCACACTACCATTAGATTAAATTGTTGTCACTTCAAACCCGGGATGGCACAAACTAAACTTATTATTTTTCCTAAAATCATCTCCAAAGTTCAAATTCTCCAAAAGTTATCACCATTTCCTTCTTCTCCCAAGTGTGAAAATTTAGCCTTTTCCTTCTTTCTTGCAGCCAACCTTTTGTCTATCTCTTTCCTCTTCCCGTTCTTTCCCAAATCCACAATCTCCACACTTGTTTGTGGGTTCATTACCTGACATCTGGATCATGATCCTATCTGTTCCCTACTTCAGTCTATCCTATACATAGCCACATATTAAACTCCCTACAGTACAAGTGTTAAAAGAACTGGCCAGGTGCAGTGGCTCACTGCTGCAATCCCAGCACTTTGGGTGGCCAAAGCGGGTGGATCACTTGAGGTCAGGAATTCGAGACCAGCCTGGCCAACATGGCGAAACCCTGTCTCTACTAAAAATACCCATATTAGCTAGTTACGGTGGCATGTGCTTGTAATCCCAGCAACTTGGGAGGCAGAGGCTGGAGGATCGCTTGAACCTGGGAGGTGGAGGTTGCAGTGAGCTGAGATGGTGCCACTGCACTCCAGCCTGGGTGACAGAGTGAGACTCCATCTCAGAATAATAATAATAATATATTATTATATTTACTTGAAAGTATGTATTCATTTGTATTACCAAACAATGCAGCAATGTGGAGCATTCCAGAACTCAGGGGCTTAACACAATAGGTATTTACTACTGCTGATGCCTTCGTGAGTCTGCTGTAGTTTCGCTGACCTGGGCTGGGCTGGGCTGCAGGCTCCACAGCAGGCTGGGCAGCTGGGGCAGCTCTGTTTCACTGCAGGGCAACCTCCTCTCCATCACGGGTTCTGCTAGGATGTGCTCTTCTCACAGCGATGGCTGCAGGGCAAGAGGGCAAGGCTGCAGCTGGAGATGGCACACAGTCACTGGCAGAGCTCAAAGTTAAGGGACAAAAAAGGTATATTCTTCCCACAATGAGATCGTGACAAGGATGTGGAGGCAGACAAGAGGCAAGAATTGGAGCGTTCAATCCAATCCACCACAGGGAAAGTCAAGGCTGACCATTGTCTGGCCTCGCCACATCCATCCAACTCAAACCCCTCCCTTGGGGACTTCAGGTTGTCATGGATCTTGGGAATCTTACAGAAGCCGGGCAGGATTGGGCAGTTCCAGACAGTGAGCAATGTTCCAACAGTAGGCCCAGTTTCGCCTGGTCTCTGCTTTCCCACCACACGAGGAAGAGGGAGGGATTTTCTGGGCCCACTTGTTATTGGTAGTTTTTACAAAATAAGCAAATGTTAAACAATTTCTCCTCTAGCAAATAAACTGAGCCAGGGAGTCTCTTTGTGATTTTTTTTTTTTTTGGCTTTTTGGGGAAAAATATCTCTAGGAATTATTTTCTCTATAAACAATGGCAACAGTTTATTTTTGTTGGCTTGACTTGGATCCTCCCCCACTTCCTTTTTTTGGATTGAGAGGTTGGCTACAGAAATGAGAAAGAAATACTTTTTTATTCTTTTTTTGTGTGTGGTTTCTCTGGTTGGAAAATAAAAGCTCTGCATTCTTTCTGTATTCAGTGCACTTCAAAGTCATAAAAATTTGGATAAAGTACATCAGGGTTATGGGTGTTCTAGATTTCAGTCTTTTTATAACTTCCTCCTATTTCACATTCGTTTGACCTCAGGTTAAAGGAACGCTTTTGAAAAGTATAATGATTTGATCCTAGCAATGGATGTAGCAAAAATACTGGGGTCAATAAGTTGAATTAAAAGCCTTTTTATAAAGAAGAAGAAGAAAAAGAAGAAGCAAAAACTATATTTTGCAAACTTTAAGCTTAAGACTGCATGACAGTGGAAGAATTTCCCAGCTGTATTCTTATAAAGAATATATGCTGTGAAAATATTTTTCAAAGTTTACCAGAGCAAAAAAGTTTGAATTAAAGGAAACTAACTTCATAAACCTCTGAACTTATTTTCCCAGCTTACATAGGCACTTTCTGTAGATTGGTTTTTAGTATTTTTCCATATATATTTTGTTTCTTTTCTTTCCCACAAACATCTGAATATTCTCATGTGTATGGGTTTTACAGTATTACCTAAATATATGTTTCAGTGATTTATTGAGGGGAGAAAAGCAAGTTTCAAAACAGTATGTATATGTGATGTTACTTTTGCTAAGAACTATATATGCGTGTTTATCTATCTACCCATCACCTATCTTCCTAGAGATATATAAATGCACTAGAATAAAAATGCCCAAGACGGCTGGGCGCAGTCTGTAATCCCAGCACTTTGGAGGCCGAGGCGGGCAGATCACGAGGTCAGGAGATCGAGACCATCCTGGCTAACACGGTGAAACCCTGTCTCTACTAAAAAAAAAAAAAAAAAAATTAGCCGGGCGTGGTGGCGGGCACCTGTAGTCCCAGCTACTCAGGAGGCTGAGGCAGGAGAATCGCGTGAATCCAGGAGGCGGAGCTTGCAGTGAGCCAAGATCATGCCACTGCACTGCAGCCTGGGTGACAGAGCGAGACTCCGTCTCAAAAAAAAAAAAAAGAACACAAGACATGACTATAAGGAAGGCAGAATATGAAGTTACCTTCAGGTGTTGGTTTTGTTTGTTTGTTTGTTTGTTTGAGATGGAGTCTTGCTCTGTCGCCTAGGCTGGAGTGCAGTGGTATGATCACTCACTGCAGCCTCCGCCTCCCAGGTTCAAGCAATTCTCCTGCCTCAGCCTCCTGAGTAGCTGGGATTACAGGCATCTGCCACTCCACCCGGCTAATTTTTGTATTTTTAGTAGAGACAGGGTTTCAACATGTTGGCCAGGCTGGTCTTGAACTCCTGACCTTAGGTGATCCACACGCCTCTGCCTCCCAACATGCTGGGATTACAGGTGTGAGCCACTGCGCCCAGCCCCAGATGTTGTTTTAGTCCATTTTCTAGTGCTATACCAGAATAGCACAAACAAACATTAATTTATAAAGAAAATAAATGCATTCCTCACAGTTCTGGAGGCTGAGAAGTCCAAGAACATGGTGCTGGCATCTGGTGAGGGACTTTGTGCTGCATTCTAACATGGCAGAAGGGCAAGTGAGTGTGTGAGACTGAGAGGAAATGGGGGCTGAACTTCATCTTTTTTTTGAGATGGTGTCTTACTTACTCTGTCACCCAGTCCAGAGTCAGTGGTTCACTGCCCCTTGACCTCCCAGGCTCAGGTGATCCTCCCACCTCAGCCCCCGGATTAGCTGGGACTATTAAGCGTGTACCATCCTGCCTGGCTAATTTTTTAAAAAATTTCTGTAGAGACAAGGTCTCACTATGTTGCCCAGGCTGGTCTCGAATTCCTGAGCTCAAATGATCCTCCCGCTTTGGCCTCCCAAAGTGCTAGGATTACAGGCGTGAGCCACCATGCCTAGCTGAACTTCATCCTTTCATCAGGGGTCTACTCCTGCAATAACAAACCCACTCCTGTGATAATAGCATTAATCTGTGCCTGAAGGCAGAGACCTCATGACCTAATCATCTCCTAATGGTCCCACCTCTTAATACCATCACAATGGCAATGAAATTTCACTATGAGTTTTGAAGGGTGCATCCAAACCATAGCAGGTGTTAGCTTTCTCCCTATATACCTACTTATTTTTGCAAGTTCAATTTGTCTATAATAAACATATTATTACTTATAATACTAAATGGGATTTTTTTTTTAACAGAAGAAATAGATGTTTAACGGTTTGGTCTTTTTTCCTGAGAAACTGTAAAACTTCTCTAAGGAAACTAGTAACAAAATCCCCATGTGGGGCCTTGTTTGAATGCTGGAAATCATATGGCTAGCAATATTGTTTCACTAGACAGAAAATTAGAATGAAGAAAGATGAGAAAGCATGAGTTTAGATGCCAGTAAACGCCTTCTTCCTGAAGCTGGCACGAATGGATCCCCAGAGTAGAAGGACAGTATAGACATCTAGAGGTATCTGAGTCTGGAGTTTGTGTAACAGATTTCATCTGCAACTTACCTATGGAAGCAGTCAAAAGACCTTCAAGCTTCAGGCAAATCCTGCTAAAGGAGATGTTAACTTATATGCTTAGAAGTTTTTTCTTGTGCAGATACTTTGAAAAATTCATTGCGATATTTTGGATAAGATTAAATACCAGCAATATTATAAATCCCAGCATTTTGGGAGGCCAAGGTGGGAGGATCATTTGAGGCCAGGAGTTGAAGACCAGCCTGGGCAACATAGTGAGACCCTGATCTCTCCAAACTAACAAAATTTAGCCAGGTGCAGTGGCATGTGTCTGTAGTCCCAGATACGCAAGAGGCTAAGATGGGAGGATTGCTTGAGCCAAGGAGTTCAAAGCTGCAGTGAGCTATGGTCTCACCACTGCACTCTAGTCTGGGCAACAATGAGACGCTGTCTCAAAAAAAAGTAAGAAATACTAGCAATATGCATAGGTTTAGATTTTGTCATATAGCTTTTTTCTTGCTTTCTTTCTTTCGTTTTTAAGAGATGAGGTCTCGCTATGTTGCCCAGGCTGGACTTGAGTTCCTGGGCTCAAGTGATTCTCCCACCTCAGCCTCCCAAGTAGCTGGGAATACAGATGCATGCCACCATGCCTGGCTGGCATTTTATTTCGTATAAATCCAAGAGAATTAAAGATCTAATTAAAATTAATCTCTATTTGGTTTTCCAAATGTTGTCTACCAAAATTCATATATCTGAGAACATTTCACTGGAGCAATTATGATAGTTTATGAATGAGGCAATCCCACAAACATTTTCAAGAACTTATTATATATGAGCCACTGTACCTGTTGCTGTGAATGCAGAGATGAATGAAGAAATGGACTTCGCCTTCCGAGGTTCACCTTATCACAGAGACAAGTTTAAGATTTGCTTTGTTCTTTTACTTAAATAATTCTTAGAACAACAAATAAAAACAAGGGAGGGTGCATTAGAGAATCTCAGCCACATCAACAATTATGAGGCTTCTTTGTTGGGTGGACCATTTTGCAATCCTGGATCAAGGTAGTTTATGCCATTGTGGGCAACGATGCAAAGGTTTAGCGATTGGGGATTAAGGAACAGCTCAGAGCAATTAGATCACATGAAGTCCCAAATGTCTGCTTTATCAGGGTGAATCCAAGTTTGGCTCCTGTTGCTAAAAGAAAAAAATAAAAAGCAATGCACATATTACTTACAAGCAAACCTGGGGGCATGCCATCTATTATCAGCAATAAACAGATTTGATTCTTTTCTAAATGAGATTGTCAGGGCCCAGGGGATTTGTCAGCGTCCCGATAATCCTCAAATCATCTGCCTGCCCTACCATGGTCATAAGAAATTGTTGGTAATAAGGCTGGTTAACAATCTTCTTGTCTGGTGCATTAAAGATAATTCCACATAACCCAGAGGGTCTTAGCCAAACAGCCTTCTTTATATGGTTCAACATTACGCGTCTTACCAAGCATCACCTCTGCAGAGGCTGCCAGCTCTCTGTCAACTGTGCAAGTCACTGGGCCCCCCACCCTGTGCAAAACACAGGCTGGACTTGGGGAGTTTTTAATCCAGTGTGGGATATGGAACCAACATAAAAACTCAGTGGCCACAAAGATGCCCCAGGGGCTCTGGGTCAGGTCCAGCTAATGACCCACACCTTCACTGAGCAAAGACTGAAGTTTTCTTTTTCTTCCTTTCACTTTATTGTTCATGGTGTTCAAAATCTGGCATTTTGAATAAGTAATATATGAAGTGGCTAAAAAAGTTTTAAATGACAAAAAAGGATATTTAAAAAATCTTCTTCCCATCCCTTTCTTCTCTTGCTTTATTCCTACTTCCCTGACAGGTAATCCCTGTCATCAGCACTATTGTATCCTTTCAGAGTTTAAAAAAAAAAAAAGATAAATACAGGCAAATATGAGTGAGCCTTGAAGACATTATGCTAAGTAAAGTAAACCAGTTACAAAAGAACAAATATAGCCCAGTTACATTAGGTTCCTAGAGCAGTCAAATTCACAGAGACAGAAAGTGGAATGGGGGTTTCCAGGGCCTGCGGGGAGTGGGATGGGGAGTTCATGTTTAATGGGGACAGAGTTTCAGTCTGAGATGATGAAAAAGTTCTTGAGATGGATGATGATGATGTCGGTGGCCCAACAATGTGAATGTACTTAATGTCATAGAACTATACATCTAAAATGCTTACAATGGTCAATTTTGTTATGTATGTTTACCGTTATAAAAAAATAAAACAGGCTGGGAGCGGTGGCTCACGCCTGTAATCCCAGCACTTTGGGAGGCTGAGGTGGGTGGATCACCTGAGCTCAGGAGTTCAAGACCAGCCTGGCCAATTTGGTGAAACCCCGTCACTACTAAAATTACAAAAAAATTAGCTGGGCGTGGTGGTGGCCGCCTGTAATCCCAGCTACTCGGGAGACTGAGGCAGGATAATTGTTTGAACCCAGGAGGCGGAGGTTGCAGTGAGCCAAGATCATGCCATTGCACTCTAGCCTGGGCAACAAGAGCGTAACTCCATCTCAAAAAAACAAAACAAAACAAAACAAAAAACCATGAAATACATTTTTATTGTATCCTCCTTCCTTCACACAGAAGATGGAACATAATATGATTGTTCCGTGCCTTGTCTTTTTTACCTAATGATATATCTTGGCGATCTTTCTGTATTACTATGTGCAGTGAACCCTTTTTATTCTTTTTATAGTTGAATACTTTTCTGTTGTGTTGTGTACCGTATTTGTAAACATTGATCCCCTATTGATGGACATTTTTATTTTTTCAATATTTTGCTATAAAAAATGATGCCGTGAATCACCTTGTACATAAATTCTTTCCTATGTTATGATTATTTCTTTTTCAAAGGGCTACCTAGTAGTGGCTGATGTGGTTTGGCCCTTTGTCCCTACCCAAATCTCATCCCAAACTGTAATCCCCACGTGTCAAGGGAGGAACCTGGTGGGAAACCTCGTGGTTTCCCCCATGTTATTCTCGTGATAGTGAGGGAGTTCTCACGAGATCTAATGGTTTTAAAAGTGGCACTTTCCCTTGTGTTCTCTCTCTCTCCTGCCACCTTGTGAAGAAGATGCCTGCTTCCCCTTCACCTTCTGCCATGGTTGTAAGTTTCCTGAGGCCTTCCCAGCCATGTAGAACTGTCAGTCAATTAAACCTCTTTTGTTTATAAACTACCCAGTCTCAGGTAGCATCTTTGTAGCAGTGTGAAAACGGACTAACACAGTGGCCAAGACAGGGGCCTCTCCCACTGACTCGTAAGGCAAAAACCAAGATTCTGGTTTTTTTTGTTTTTGTTTTTGTTTTAGATGGAGTCTCACTCTGTCGCCCAGGCTGGAGTGCAGTGGTGCAATCTTGGCTCACTGCAAGCTCTGCCTACCAGGTTCACGTTATTCTCCTGCCTCAGCCTCCCGAGTAGCTGGGACTACAGGCGCCCGCCACCACGTCTGGCTAATTTTTTTGTATTTTTAGTAGAGACGGGGTTTCACTCTGTTAGCCAGGATGGTCTCGATCTCCTGACCTCATGATCCTCCCACCTCAGCCTCCCAAAGTGCTGGGATTACAGGCATGAGCCACTATGCCTGACCAAAACCCAAGATTCTTAATAGATTTTTATAATGGCCCCACGTCCTCTTTTATTTCCCCAATACTTGAATTGCAAAGAGACAGCCAAGGGCCAATTTCTAAAGCTGGATAGAACTCCTCTGCCCACCCCCCATGCTTACATGTCTCCTTTTAATTTATTTTTCTTTTATTTATTTTTTCAGTTCATCCTTCACATGTCAACAGGTATCCTTTTCATCAATTGCCTCTTGACACTCACAACTAACAAACCAAGATGGCTTGCTTTTGCTTTTCTACTCTCGTCATTTAAAACTGCATATGGATTGCAATCATTTATTTCTTCTGAGAGGTAGCCCAAAGTGTTGCTGCATAATTTCTTGCATTTTTATCACTAGTCAACTTCTCAGTCATTCATTCAACATATACTTATTTAGTACCTACTGAGTCTCAGGCATCTATTCAGGCACTGAAATACAGTAGCAAACAAAGTAAAGTCAGTTCCCACCCTCATGGAAGTAACAGATCATAAGCAAATGAAATGACAGTAATGGCAAGCAATAAACATAAATATGTATTAATAGTATAATTTCAGGCAGTGATAATGCTCTGCATCCCTACTTAAACAATTCAGAGCAGAGAGCCCTTTTATTTTTATAAAGTTTTTTAAAAAATTATTTAACATTTATTTTAGGTTTAGGGGTACATGTGCAGGTTTGTTATATAGGTAAACTTGTGTCATGGGAGTTTTCTGAACAGGTTATTTCCTCACCCAGGTATTAGGCCTAGTACACGTTATTTTTCCTGATCCTCTCCCTCCTGCCACCCTCCACCCTCAAGTAGGCCCCAGCATCTGCTGTTCCCCTCTGTGTGCCCATGAGTTCTCATCATTTAGTGCCCACTTATAAGTGAGAAAATGCGGTGTTTGGTTTTCTGTTTCTGTGTTAGTTTGTTAAGGATAATGGCCTTCAGCTCCATCCATCTTCCTGCAAAGGACATGATCTCAGTCATTTTTTTTTTTTTAGACGGAGTTTCGCTCTTGTTGCCCAAACTGGAGTGCAATGGCGTGATCTCGGCTCACTGCAACCTCTGCCTCCTGGGTTCAAGTGACTCTCCTGCCTCAGCCTCCTAAGTAGCTGAGATTACAGGCACCCGCCACCACACCCAGCTAATGTTTTGTATTTTTAGTAGAGATGGGGTTTCACCATGTTAGCCATGCTGGTCTTGAACTCCTGACCTCAGGTGATCCACCTGCCTCGGCCTCCCAAAGTGCTGGGATTACAGGCATGAGCCACCATGCCCAGCCAATCTCATTATCTTCTATGGCTACATAATATTCCATGGTGTATATGTACCACATTTTTGCTATCCAGTCTACCATTGATGGGCATTTAGGCTGATTCCATATCTTTGGTATTGTGAATAGTGCTGCAATGAACATACACATGCATGTGTCTTTATGATAGAATGATTTATATTCCTTTGGGTATATACCCAGTAATGGGATTGCTGGGTTGAATGGTATTTCTGTTTTTAGGTCTTTGAGGAATCACCACACTGTCATCTACAATGGCTGAACTAATTTACATTCCCACCAATAGCATATAAGCATTCCATTTTCTCCTCAACCTCACCAGCATCTGCTGTTTTTGACTTTTTAATGATAGCCTTTTTTTTTTTTTTTTGGTGGGGATAGGGTCTTGCTCTGTCACCCAGTCTGGAATGCAGTGGCACTATCTCAGCTCACTGAAACCTCTGCCTCCCAGGTTCAAGTGATTCTCCTGCCTCAGCCTCCCTAGTAGGTGGGATTACAGGTGCTCACCACCACACCCAGCTAATTTTTGTATTTTTAGTAGAGACGGGGTTTCACCACGTTGGCCAGGCTGGTCTGGAACTCCTGACTTCAAGTGATCCACCCATCTCGGCCTTCCAAAGTGCTAGGATTACAGGCATGAGCCACCGCGCCCAGCCAATAATAGCCATTCTGACTAGTATGAGATGATATCTCATTGTGGTTTTGTTTTGCATTTCTCTAATAATCAGTGATGCTGAGCTTTTTTTCATATGGTTGTTGGCTGCATGAATGTCTTTTGAAAAGTGTCTGTTCATGTCCTAAGCCCACTTTTTAATGGGGTTGTTAGTTTGTTTCTTGTAGATTTGTTTAATTTTCTTATAGATACTGGATATTAGGCCTTTGTCAATGCATAGTTTGCAAAATTTTTCTCCCATCTATAGGTTGTCCTTTCACTCCGTTAATAGTTTCCCTTGCTATGCAGAAGCTCTTTAGTTTAATTAAATCCCATTTGTCAATTTTTGCTTTTGTTGCAAATGCTTTTGGTGTCTTCCCCATGAAATCTTTGCCTGTTCCTATGTCCAGAATGGTATTGCGTAGGTTGTCTTCCAGGGTTTTTATGGTTTGGGGTTTTACATTTAAGTCTTTAATGGAGAACCCTTTTAAAACAGCATACAGATAAGGGATTCCAAGTCCATCTTGAAAAATTACTGAAGCTACTGTCTTTAGAAACTCTTGTACTCAAGAAAGCTCTGGTCAAAGCAAAAGCCTGTTGGTTCTACCAGACATCAACAGAGGGATTTGTGGTCATTTAAATCATAGAGTGTCACTTTGGACTTACAAATGGCCTTAAAAGCAGTCTTTGAATTTTTTTTAAATTTTTATAATTTAAAATAGAGACAGGGTTCTGCCATGTTGCCCAGGCTGGTCTTGAACTCCTGGGCTCAAGCAATCTGCCCACCTCGGCATCCCAAAATGCTGGGATTATAGGTGTGAGCCACTGCACCCAGCCCTTTTCTATAATTTCTATCTCTTTATCAATATGAAGAACCTACGATTACATTGGGCCTACCCAGATAATCCAGGATAATGTCCCCATCTCAAGATCCTTAACTTCATAACATCCTTAACTTCATGACGCAGAGTAACATAGTCACAGGTGCCGGGGATTAGGATGTGGACATTTTTATGGGGCCATCACTCAGTCGACCACACCAGGGAATTAAGAATCAGCAGTGTGGGACAAGAGAACAACCAACCTACAAAACAACAGGGATTAATAATCAGCACTGGGGAACAAGATAATGACCAACCTACAAAGTAAGTGAAAAGCAACAGGGGAAGTTATGAAAAAAATAAATTTGGCAGAAGATGCCTCAAGATTCAACACTTTGAATTCAACAGATATGTTTTAGGTCTCCACCCAGGTGCCAGGCACCAGGCACAGTTTCAGGTGCTCGGGATATATTGGTGAACAAAACAGGCCAAACCCCTTCCCCCAAAAGTCTTATGTTCAACAGAGACATCATATATTAAGTACATTCTTCAGTAATTAGAAGCAGATGTGCTATGAAAAAATGAAGGGGGGATCAGGGAATGGGGATCAGGGAAGGGGGCTCCGGAGAGGCCTGAAGCGTGTGGGGGTAACCATCCGCCTGCTGACATTAGGGGGAGCTACAGCACAGCTTTGGGGGCTGAGATCAGAAAAGGATTTAGAGGTCATGTATATGAACTCCCTTAGTTTAGAGAGAGGAAGCTACGGCCCGGAAGGCCACAAGGTGGTCGTTAGTTATTCTGTATTTGGCCTAAATTTGAGAGACAGTCCCCTCCTCTCTCCCCAAGGAGGCCAGACAGAGTCATCAGTGTTATCAAAGGCGACTCTGCCAGGAGGTGAGGCTGGGAGGGTTTTGTATCATAGCAGCAGGAGGGATGGATGATCTCAGAGTGGAGTTCTATCTGTGCCACTGTTTAAAAATCATTCCACAGAACTTCTAATATGCCTCTTTCTAAGTGCAGTATTCTGATGTCTTAAATCAGTGACACCGGTCCCACTCAGCCTTTGAGACTCAACTTTGGTGAAAATAACCTGTATCGGCCAGACACCAAAAGGAAGGAAAAACCGGCTTCTGATAAAGAGCCTTTGGTGTTGATCACGAAAGAAGAATTCAGCTTCATTTTCCTAATCGTTCCTGCTCCTTGAAACGTGAAAGTTATTTACATGTTATGATAAACCATAGGTTGATTAGATATTTTCGTCCAGTATCTCCTTGGTGTGCCTATTTGCCAAAAAATGAGCCAATACAAAATCCAAATATTTCTAAGTGAGAGTTATTTACTCACTCACCATCACAATTACAATTACAAGATCATCACAGTTACAAAACCACGTGGTGAAAATGTAACTCATTTCTTCAGGGGACCGGTATTTGTTGAGAGCCACATTGGCTAAGATTTGAGCATTCAGGTCATTTACAGTCTGGCCCCAGACAATCCCTCGGATCCCTGCTGTGTTCTCTCTGCCTGCTCTACTCTTCCTCTGAAGACTTTCACTGATTCAGTCTCCACCACATTTCAGGTCTCCATTCCCTGCTCTGCAAAGCCCCCCAGTTCCCTGCCCCCTCACGCAGAAGGAATTGCAGCAGTTCTGTACCCGTTCCCCCATACACCCATGGACCACAGAACCCATCCTTTCCCCATTTATCCGTCTACTTCTCTCACTACACAGATGACTTCTTTGAAAAGTTGTTTGGCCAGGCTCAGTGGCTCGTGCCTGTAATTCCAACTCTTCAGGAGGCTCAAGGCAGGAGGATCGCTAGAACCTCAAGGCTGCAGTGAGCTATGATCATGCCACTGTACTCCAGCCTCAGTGACAGAGTGAAACTCCATCTCTACAAAACTTTTTTAAAAACTTTCTTTTATTGTGGTTGACAGGGTTCAAGACACACTTCCTCAAAATATGGCACCTTGGCATTTGAAAAACAGCAGAAGCAGGAAGGTCTGTCTGACTTTTCTCCTCCCCTTCTTCCTTGAAGCAGATTATAAGACTTTTTTTTTTTTTTTTTTTTTAAAGACGGAGTCTTGCTCCGTTACCCAAGCTGGAGTGCAGTGGCACGATCTCAGCTCACTGCAACCTCTGCCTCCTGGGTTCAAGCGATTCTCCTGGCTCAGCCTCCTGAGTAGCTGGAATTACAGGGGTGCACTACCATGCCCAGCTAATTTTTTTGTATTTTTAGTAGAGAGGGGGTTTTGCCATGTTGGCCAGGCTGGTCTTGAACTCCTGATCTCAGGTGATCCACTTGCCTCGGCCTCCCAAAGTGCTGGGATTACAGGCGTGAGCCACAGCGCCTGGCGGTTATAAGATTCTCATTGGATAAGTGCCTTCCCCGCCTTTAGGTGAAGGAAAGGAACACCCTTGTCTGTGAAGACACAGAGAAGAGCCTGAGCAAACAGGCCTTGCTAAGTTCCTTCCAGGTTATCACCATTAGATCAGATTCTTTTGCCCTCCAATCATATTTCTCCACAACTGTCCACTCTTCATTAAACCTAAGCATGAAAAAATATACGTTTCACTTTTTCTTTGGGTCTTCCTTTTCATATGAAGGCTTCCATGTCATGTAAAATTCACATTAAATACATTCGTATGTTTTTCTTTTGTTAGTTTGTATTTTATTTCAGGGGCCTCGCCCATAAACCTAGAATGGGTAGGCTAGAAACATCAAACCTCTAGAGCATAAGGGGCTGCTCCCTATCCCTAGTATGCTCCCGCCCCATCCTTCTTTCCCATGTCTCTGCCAAGTGCCTATTCTTCCAGACTGCTCAACTCAACAGGATAGTGAATCTCGGAATTATTCACCCTACTAAATTTCATATGCTCTCTTGATGCACTTGGAAAATTGATACTTTTCTTTTCAGTTTTGGAAGCTGTGAGTAAAGATAGACTTGACTGTCCTAAAGGAGGAACTCTGAATCCCTTTCTCTATTATATTTGGAAATATGTTGATATGGTTTGGCTGTGTCCCCATCCAAAATCTCATCTTGAATTGAAATCCTCCAAATCCCCACGTGTCAAGGGAGAGACCAGGTGGAGGTCACTGAGTCACGGGGGCAGTTTCCCCCATGCTGTTCTCGAGATCGGAGATTGGAGAACTCACTCGTGAGTTTGGTAGTTCCTTCTGTGTTCATTCTCCTTCCTGCCATCTTGAGAAGAAGGTGCCTTGTTTCCCCTTCACGTTCCGTCATGATTATAAGTTTCCTGTGGCTTCCCCAGCTATGCTGAACTGTGAGTCAATTAAAGCTCTTTCCTTTATAAATTACCCAGCTTCGGTCAGTTCTTTATAGCAATGTGAAAACGGACTAATACACGTGTCCTCCAGACACCCACATACTATGTAGATAAAGTTAATAAAACTTTATTTTAACATGTACTAGCATTAGGAAACAGTTAGTTGTTAACCTACCTACTGATTAGCAAAATGCATGAGTCAGTAATCTTGTGAAGAAACTCAACAACCCCCTACCATTGCTGGTGAGAATGGGCACAGCTACAATTTCTTCTAGGAGAATCTGAAATTGAACCAATTAGCAAATAAGACATAGTAGGACCTACTTTAGATCCAAGGCATTTTAAATAAGGATAACTAGTTATACAGCAGTTTTCAACTGTAATGAGGCTGGTAGAACATTTTCATCATATATACATTTTGTTTTGTTTTGTTTTGTTTGAGATGGAGTCTTGCTCTGTCACCCAGGCTGGAGTGCAGTGGCATGATCTCAGCTCACTGCAACCTCCACCTCCCAGGTTCAAGCAATTCTCCTGTCTCAGCCTCCCGAGTAGCTGGGACTACAGGCGCACACCACCATACCCGGCTAATTTTTGTATTTTTAATAGAGACAGGGCTTTACCATGTTGGCCAGGCTGGTCTCGAACTCCTGACCTCAGGTGATCCGCCCGCCTCGGCCTCCAAATGTGCTGGGATTATAGGCGTGAGCCACCATCTTATATGTATTGAATACCTGCCGGGTATAAATCACTGAGCCAGGTGCTGGGGGCACAGCAGCGACAAGACATATAAGGTCCCTGCTCTCAAAGAAGTTATGCTCTCATCCTACAGAAGGTGTTTCTAAGTCAAGACACCAAGAGCCTTTCTCCCAAGGTGGCTACCCAGCACATCACTAGCCCTGCCCCCTAAACAACAATACTGCATCCCAAAGCCCACCTGATAGATGGTTAGTCATCCCATCCCACCCCACCCTCTGAGAACTGCTGGGGAAAGGCACAATAAAGAAGTATTAGGTCGGTGCAAAAGTAATTGTGGGTTTTGCCATTATTTTCAATTCTGTAAGTTTTTTGAGAGCAGGGACCTTGTATGTCTTGTCACTGCTGTGCTCCCAGCACCTGGCTCAGTGAATCCTACCTGGCAGGTATTCAATACATATAAGATGAAATTGTTCTTGCCATTACTTTGAATGGCAAAAACCGCAATTACTTTGGCATGAACCTAATAAATTCACAAACTCATATATCGACATTGTGGTGGAGATGACCAGGCACTGTGACAGTGAAATAGATGTGGGGGCGCCGTTGGGGATCTTTAGGTTATTAGCACAGGCCCCTGTGAGGAGGTGGCACGTAGGCTGAAGGTCCTGGAGGATGAGCAGGTGTAGCCATGAGCATTCTGGGGATGAGGAACGGCATGTGTGAAGGCCCCACGGTGGGAGAGAGCCTCGTGGACTTAGAAAACACAGACAGAAGATGAGTGGGGCTGGAGATAAATTGGAGAGGCTGGCAGGGGCCAGACCGTGTGAGGCTTTAAGGGTCATGGGGAAGAACTCGGATTTTATTCTAAAGCCACTAAAGGGTTTTAAGAAGGGAAGCGATGCAATGACAATAATAATGAGGAATAGTTAACACTACTGAGAACTTGCTTAGATTTTAAGTGTGCAGTCTCTCTCTATGTATATGTAAACTCAGTCTATCATTATAACAAGCCTATGAGGTGATGAGGTATTTATACCCCCATTTTATAGATGAGGAAACAGAGAGCTTAAGAAACTTGACCAAAGTCACACAGCAAGTCAACTCTGGAACTAGGAGCTGCGTCATGCTTTTAAAAGGTCAGCCAGGTTTTATGGCAAACGGGTGATTGTAGGAGGGAAGAATGGGAGCAAGGAGGCTTTGAAATAATCCAGGTAAAGGATGATGATGTCCAGAATCAGACTTGAGTGAGGTGAGTGCAGCCCCAGCCTGGGATGCAAAATTTAAGGAGAAGTCTCAGTAATTACTGCACTCCAGCCTGGGCGACAGAGCGAGACTCCATCTCAGAAAAAAAAAAAAAAAAAAAGATAAGTAATATTGGCCTGGCATGGTGGCTCATGCCTGTAAGCCCAGCACTTTGGGAGGCTGACGCGGATGGATCACTTGAGGCCACGAGTTCGAGACCAGCCTAGCCAACATGGTGAAACCCTATCTCTACTAAAAATACAAAACAATTAGTTGGAAGTGGTGGCACTTGCCTGTAGTCCCAGCTACTCAGGAGGCTGAGGGGTGAGAATCACTCAAGCCTAGGAGGTGGAGGTTACAGTGTGTGAGCTGAGATCGTGCCACTGCACTACAGCCTGGGCGACAGAGCAAGACTGTCTCAAAAAAAAAAAAAAAGTAATATTCTAAACTAAAAACCAAGATAATGGAAAAATCCCATTATGAACAAAATATCAAAATTTTAATTAAAGACAGGATTGGTGTTACTGAAATTGCCTTTGCCTCAGGCTTCAGTATGGCTGGACCGGGCACTGGCTGGGACTAAGGTGGTGACAAGAAAGTGACCAAATTGGAGTAGACAGGCGAGGCCTGAGGTGGAGCAGGCGTGGGAGCTGGGGGAGGGCACCAAGGGGTTGAGCAGTCTCCCCTGTTGGTATCGAATATAACAATAATTCTTAGGCTCAGCAGAAGTTTAGCATCCATGTTCCCAGTCACCTGGACTTTTCCAAATCTTGGAACCCCCTCTGGCTGAAAAGGCTTTTGTTTGTTTAAACGGCCACTTTTTGCATCCAAGAGCACAAGTCAGCTTCCACTGGAAGGTTCTGAGAAACGGTTTCAGGTTTAAGTCTAGAGCATGAATGGAACGGAGTCACAGCTGAAAAAGAAACATGCCGAGTGCCAAGGAAAAGACATGGTTAAGGGGTAACATGGGCCCGGGTAGGTGAAGGTCGGCAGGTGGAGGCCGGCTGGATCAGGGAAGGTGAAAGAAGAGGCAGGGGCAGGGCCCAGCCTGTTTTAACGCCTCGGCGTTCTCACCGCTGCAGAACGGCTGCAGGGGGCAGAGTAAAGAGCTGCTGTCAGTTTCCCTGCCCAGAGAGTGCCAACAGCTGCTCTGACCTATTGCAGGCATGTGTGTTCCAGGATGCAGCCTTCCTGCACTTTGACCACTCTAGATTAATTGCTAACCAAGATATGCACATGATGGGGCTCACAAAGTATTAGGCGGTATTTTAACAACAAAAGCTGCGAAGAAATCCCTAGAAATGTTGGCTCTTCTGGCTGGGAAAACGCAGTCTGTCAACAGTTGCCTCAAAAACTCAGAAGCTCAGAGAGTTGGATTCGGTCACCAGAGAGGCCCCTCAAAGAGGCCCCAACCATTCAGATCCTCTGCTCTGTCCCCCATGACAGCGGGGACGAAGGTCCTAAGCCCTGGCCGGGAGGGCAGTTGACCTCGGGACTCGCCGCGGGGCGGAGCGGGTGCTGGGAGGAAGGAGGGCGTGGCTGGCGGGGTGTGGCTGGCGGGACGGGGCGGGGCGAAGACAGAGCGAGGCGGGGCCTGGGACGGGGGGGGGGTCGGTGTCGCCGTGGGGGCGTGGAATGTGGGGTGGGCGTGGCTAAAGGCAAAGGGCGGGGCGCGCGCGTCGGGAAGATGGCGCTACGTCTGCTGCGGAGGGCGGCGCGCGGAGCTGCGGCGGCGGCGCTGCTGAGGCTGTGAGTGCAGGTCCCCGTTCCCCGCCTTCCCGGCCCGGCTCGCCGCGGGTCGGCTCCTGTTGCAGCCCCGCGGGCCGGGCGCGGCCTCCCCAAGCCCTCACGGGAACCCAGCCGGACGGAAGCACCATGCGCCTCCCACGCGCTGGCTCGACCTCGTCCAAGGTCGCTGCCGCCCGCGCCTCCCTTTGGGAGGGCCCTCGTTGCACCCGGAAAATGGGTACACACCTTAGGTCGAATTACCTGGACTCAGCCCCAGGAAACAAAACTGCCTGCCTCCCCCAAATGGCAAACGTGAACGCGCCAGTCTTTGAGAGGCGGCTTGCCTGGTGAAGAACACCTGCGGTTCGTTTAACACAGCGGTTCCCAAACGGTTTGGTCTCAGGACCCGTTTACACGTCTAAAAATAATTTGAGGACCCCCCAAAGCTTTTGCTTATATCTATTGATTTTTGTGCATGAGGAATTAAACCAGAAATTTAAAAAATATTCACTTAATAACAAACCCATTAACTTTTAATACAAATAACACTTTAATGCATAACTTCTCAAAAAAAAAGTGAGAAGATTGGCTCATGGTTTTTATATTTTTGAAAATTTCTTTGGTTTAATAAAGGACAGCTGGAGTCTCATATCAGCTGTTTTGAAGGAAATATTTGAAAGAAATTCTGGGCTCATGCAGATGCAGATATTAGTTGGGAAAGGGAGGACCAAGCAGACCCTCTCAACGGGTCTCAGGGACCCCCTCAGGTGTCTTTGGACCACACTTTGAGAACCGCTGGTCTAGCACTTGCCCATCGCCTAGGTACGTGCACATACATGGTCTCATTTGGTTCCCTTGACCACCATGTGAAGAAGTTGGGTGTCATGTTTATAAAGATGAAAAAACAGGGTCAGAAAGGTTAAGGATTCTCAAAGCCCTATGACCAGTAATGAGAGAGTTTGGTTCAAACACTAAGTGTATGGCTCCTGGTCTGGAACTTCTTTATTTATTTATTTTTATTTTTTGAGACAGAGTCTCGGTCTGTCACCTAGGCTGTAGTACAGTGGTGTAATCTCGGCTTACTGCAACCTCCACCTCCTGGGTTCAAGCGATTCTCATGCCTCAGCCTCCTGAGTGGCTGGCATTACAGGTGTGCACCACCACCCCTGGCTAATTTTTGTATTTTTAGTAGAGACAGAGTTTCGCCATGTTGGCCAGGCTGTTCTCGAACTCCTGACCTCAAGGGGGTCCACCCGGATCAGCCTCCCAAAGTGCTGGGATTACAGGCGTGAGCCACCATGGCCGGCCTGGTGGTCTGGAACTTCTTTTTTTTTTTTTTTTTTTTTTTTTCCGAGATGGAGTTTCGCTTTTGTCGCCCAGGCTGGAGTGCAATGGCGCCATCTCAGCTGACTGCAACCTCCGCCTCCCGGATTCAAGTGATTCTCCTGCCGCAGCCTCCGGAGTAGTTGGGATTACAGGGCGTCCGCCACCATGCCCGGCTAATTTTTGTATTTTTAATAGAGACGAGGTTTCACCATGTTGGCCAGGCTGGTCTGGAGCTCCTGACCTCGGGTGATCCACCTGCCTCGGCCTCCCAAAGTGTTGGGATTAAAGGCGTGAGCCACCGTGCCCGGCCTGGGTCTGAACTTCTTACGTCTTCTTGCACTGTGACTCTTCAGTCACCCATGTCCTATGGGAGGACCCACCTAGTCTTATGCATCCCACTTTCCCATTTCCTCCGCTGCCCCTGGCACAGGGGAGTCACCCCTCGCCCTAGAGGAGCAGCTCAGGCAGTGTATCCAGGCTGGTCCAGAAGGGTCCTTTTCTGGCGCCTTTTGAGGGGGCCAGCGTCTGTGACCTGTTCAGTAGCGGGTCCAGTGAGCGCACACAGTCCCCACGCCAGTACGCTGGGGGTTAACTCAGTGCTCCTCACCCGCCTTAGCACACTGGTCTGTTCTCGACATGTCTACCCGCTGAATATAGGATTCTTGATTGGCATTTTTTTTCCTTTGAGCATTTTAAAGCGTATTATCGCACTGTCTTTTTGCCTCCATTATTCTAATGAGAATTCAGACGTTAATGTTATTAGGGTTCTATGTAAGTGATGAGTCTTTTTTTTTTTTTTTTTTTTTTTTTTTTTGCTTGATTTTCTCTTTGTCTTGGTCTTTCGGTGGTTTTATTATGATGTGTGTAGATCTGTTTGAGTTTATCCTCTTGGAAGTTTATTGAGTTTCTTGGATGTGTATACATCAAATTTGGGAAGTTTTTGGCTATTGTTCTCTCAAAAAAGTCTACTCTCTTATCTCTCTCTTCTCTTTCGGAGGCTCCCATTGCGTATATGTTGGTGTAGTTGATGGAACCCCACAGGTCTTTGAGACTGTTCCATTTTCTTTCTGTTCCTCAGGCTGGACAATGTCAATTGACCTGTCTTTGTTTTTTTTTTTTTTTTTTTTTTTTTTGAGACAGAGTCTTGCTCTGTCACCAGGCTGGAGTTCAGTGGCGCAATTTCTGCCCACTGCAACCTCTGACTCCCGGGTTCAAGCGATTCTCCTGCTCCAGCTTCCCGAGTAGTTGGGATTACAGGCACGCGCCACCACGTCCAGCTAATTTTTGTATTTTTAGTAGAGACGGGGTTTCACCATGTTGGCCAGGATGGTCTCGATCTTCTGACCTCGTGATCCACCTGCCTTGGCCTCCCAAAGTGCTGGGATTACAGGTGTGAGCCACCGTGCCCAGCCGACCTGTTTTTAGGTTTGCTGATTGCTCCGTCTTCCAACTCAAATCATTTTCATTTTAATCCAGAACTTCTTTCTTTTTGGAGAATGAGTCTCACTCTGTCACCCAGGCTGGAGTGCAGTGGTGCAATCTGGGCT
Source organism: Homo sapiens (assembly GCF_000001405.40). Classification (NCBI taxonomy): domain Eukaryota; kingdom Metazoa; phylum Chordata; class Mammalia; order Primates; family Hominidae; genus Homo; species Homo sapiens. The sequence continues at coordinate 99,609,610 of NC_000013.11, forward strand.
CACTACAACCTCTGCCTCCTGGGCTCAAGCTGTCCTCCCACCTCAGCCTCCCAAATAGCTGGGACTACAGGTGTGCACCACTGCACCTGGCTAATTGTTTCTATTCTTTTGTAGAAATCAGGTTTCGCCATGTTGCTCAGGCTGGTCTCGAACTTGGCTCAAGCAATCTGCCTGCCTCTGTCGCTCATAGTATTGGGATTACAGGCATGAGCCATCATGCCCGGCCCTTTTCTATACTTTCTATCTCTTCATTGATATTCTCTATGTACTGAAACATCGTTCTCATACTTTCCTTTAGTTCTTTTTTTCTTTCTTTCTCTTAGAGACGGAGTCTCCAGGCTGGAGTGCAGTGGTGAGATCGTAGCTCACTGCAGCCTGCAGCTCCTGGGCTCAAGTGATCCTCCTGCCTCAGCCTCCCCAGTAGCTGGGACTACAGGCACACACCACTATGCCCAGCTAATTTTTAAATTTTTTGAAGAGACAGAGTCTTGCAGTGTTGCCAAGGGTGGTCTTGAACTGCTGGGTTCAAATGATTTTCTTGCCTTGGCCTCCAAAGCAGTGGAATTCTAGGCATGAACGACTGCACCTGGACTCCTTCAGTTCTTTATGCATAGTTTCCTTTCGTTTTTTGAACATACTTTAAATAGATGATTTAATTAGTAAGTCCAACATCTGGACTTCCTCAGGGACAGTTTGTACTGACTACTTTTTTCCTGTGTGTATAGGTCATACTTTCTTTTCGTTGCATGTCTTGTATATTTTTTTGAAAACTGGACATTTTAAGTAATATAATGGGGCAACTCTGGAAATCAGATTTCTCCCTTTTGCCAGGGTTTATTGTTGTTGTTGTTTGCTTAGTGACTTTAATAAACTAATTCTGCATTGTATTCTTTGTCATGTGCAACCAGCGAGGTCTCTGCTTGGTTAGCTTAGTAGTCTAACAATTAGACAAAGGTTTCCTTAAATTCCTGGAACCAGTAAGTCTCCTAGTCTTTGCTGAGGGACTCTGTGTGTGTCAGGACATGTCTTCAACATTCAGCCACAGTTTGTCCTGCTTCCACAGAGACTGAAGGTTAGCTAGACATGAGCACTTAAGGTCTTTCCTTAGCCGGTATACAGCCCTGCACATGTGCGTGGCCTCCTAGAGTCTCAGGAACATGTCACAACTTTTCAGAGCTCTCTATGGGTATCTTGTTCTCCATTTTTGCCTTTTAAGTGTTTTGGTTAGCCTGTTGTTTACCCTGTTATCTTCCATCTCAAGTAGCTGTGATGGTAAATAAGTACTTCTGATTGTTTGGACAAATGCCCTCCGGGAAAATACTGTTCCCACTGTGCAAGCTCTGAGTCAGGTCAATTAAAGACAGTTTTACAAGTAGGGTCTTCCAAGGAACCACAAGACAGGTCAAATAGTGACATTTTCCAGAAATGGGGCTTTCCCCCTCTAGTGGCTGCCATGCTGCTGGTTTTCACTGTGATGGGGGCTATTGATTTTCAAGTCTACCACAGAGCTGGGGAAGAGGGATAGGGTAAACTAAACCCCCACGACAATTGCTGTTCTTACTGAGATTCATACATTTTTCTTGAATAAATGATCCCTATATTGCTGCAAGTCTTTAATTTCTAGAATTCTGAAAAAGTTTATTCTGACAATTTTTGCCAATATTCTTGTTGATTTTATGGAGGATAGGATTTTCAAAGGTCCTTTTTCTGTAGTTTTTGCTGAAGTCAGCCTGCATAGAGTTTTGATCGAGTGGATTTGAATTTATAAATTTTTTTTTGCATCTGTTGTGTTGATCATAAGGCTTTTCTTCTTCAGTGTGTTAATACGGTAAATTACAGTGATTGACTTTTTAAAAGTTAAGCTGACCATTGCATTCCTGGAATAAACCCCACTGATTGTGATGTATTGTTTGGATTGCATGTGCTAAAATTTTGTTAAAATTATTTGTATCTGTGTTCATAAGGAATAATCGCCTATAGTTTTCTGATATTGCCTTGGTCTGGGTTTGGTATTAGGATGGTGATGGTCACATAGGATGTGTTGGAGAGTTCCCGCTTCTATTTCATGAAACAATTTGTGTAAATTTGGTAAGATTTTGCCTGTAAATGTTTGCACCTGCAGTTTTCTTTGTGGAAAAAGTGTTAAACTACAAATTTAGTTTCTTTAATAGACATATTGCCATTCAGATTATCTAGTTCTTCTTGAGTAAGCTTTGGTAGTTTGTATCTTTGAAGGACTATGTCCATTTCATCTAAGTTGTCACATTCACGTGCCTGGAGTTGTTCATGCTGACTCCTTATCCTTTTTCTTACAGCTCTACAAAGGTATATACCACACAATTCACCCTTTGTAAGTGTGTGATTAAATAATTTCTAGTAAGTTTATAGGCCCATCACTACAGTCCAATGTTAGGCCCCCCTCCAAATTTCTATCATCCCGCAAATTCTCTTGAGCCCATTTGCAGTTAATCCTTACCCCTGCCTCTAGTCTGTCATCTCCTTACTGTTTGTGTCATCCATAGTGATGTGTCCTTCTTCATCCTTGATATTTGTAATTCTTTTTTCTCTGTTTTTTATTTTATCACCTGGCTTGAGTTATTTTGCTCTTTTTAAAGAACCATCTTTTTGTTTTATCGATTTTTCTCTTTTTTTTGTTTTCTATTTCATTGATTTCTGTCTCATCTTTATTATTTCCTACCTTCACCTTACTTTGGGTTTAATTTACCCTTTACCTTTTTAAGGTGGAAATTTAGATAATTAATTTTAGACCTTTCTACTTTTTTTTTTTTTTTTTTTGAGACAAGGTCTTGCTCTGTCACCCAGGCTGGAGTGCACTGATGCAATCTTGGCTCACTGCAACCTCCACATTCTAAGCTCAAACAGTCCTCCTGCCTCAGCCTCCCAAGTAGCTGAGACTACAGGCATTAGCCACCATGTCTGGCTAATTTTTGTATTTTTTGGAGAGACGGGGTTTCGCCATGTTGCCCAGGCTTGTCTCAAACTCCTGGATTCAAGCAGTCTACCCACCTTGGCCTCCGAAAGTGCTGGGATTATGGATGTGAGCCGCCACACCCATCCGGGGTCTACTTTCTAAATATAAGCACTCAGTAATTACTTTACAGCCATGCTTGGTGGCTCATGTCTATAATCCCAGCACTTTGAAAGGCTGAGGTGGGAGGATCACTTGTGGCCAGGAGTTCAAGTCCAGATTGGGTAACATAGTGAGATGCTGTCACTACAAAAAAAATTTTAAAAGTTAGCTGGATGTGGTGGCTCATGCCTGTGATCCTAGCCACTTGGGATGCTGAGGTGGGAGGATTCCTTGAGCCTGGGGATTTGGGGTTTCAGTGAGCTGTGATGATACCACTGCACTCCAGCCTGGGTGACAGAGCAAAGCTCTATTAAAAATAGTGATGATAATAATAATAATAATAATAATAATAATAATAATAATAACAAAATTCCCTCTAAGGATTGTTTTAATTCCCTCTAGCAAATTTTGCAAGATTTCTGATACCTGTAATCTCTTTTCATTTCTTATGTTGATACTCTGTTTCTGTTTTCTAAAGTATTCATAGTAAGACTCCAAAAGAAAAAGGGCTCCCTGGCTGTATGTGTTCAGTGGTAGCAGCCAAGGAATGTGCCAGGAAGGTACTTCACATTTTGCAGTGCCGTGGTGGAGAGGAATCTGGTAAAGAAAAAACCAGATGAAGACAGTTTAGAGAGGCGACAACTACAAGCTAAGTACCTGAGATTCTGGGTCAACAGGAAGGGGACAGTGTGTGAGGAAGCAGCAGGGCCATGGAAGGTGGCTGAGGGGCCTGGATGGGGTTACCTGTCAGGGTCCCAATAGGCCTTTTGTAGGGTTGGCTTCATCTTTGAAGCCTCCTGAGGTTACCGTGACAACCACTACTGTCCCTCTGTACTGCTGTGAGGCCACTAAGGGAAAAAGGGAGGGAAGGGACCCAAAGGGAGGACAGAGGTGGGAGAAGAGGGAGCGATGGGGAGAGAAAGGCAGAGAACAATGGAAGCAGTGAGCGAGAAAGGGGAGAAACCTCACTGAAAAGGAGGCAGGGTAAACATGACTGAGATGGAAAAATGATCACATTAAAAAGAACTCACTCAGAGTAAGGATGAATGTGTGTTCTTTGCTACTTGAACTGGTATTAAAAGGCCAATGTGAAGTGTTAGATATTTTAAAATGTTTATTGGTATCATTAGAAGTTGACTTCAGTTGCCCAAATGCATGGTGAGAAAGGGGATGTGTAAACAAAAATGATATTTTGGATTGTGAGGCAGAAAGTCATTTTAAATGGCCCTGGGAGGCAGAGGGCCCAATCCTCTCAGTCGCCTGGGACTGTCCTGGGTTTAGCATGGAATGCCTTATGTTCCCAGAAACCCCTTAGGTCCCAGCAAACCAGGATGGCCATTCACCATAGAGGTGGAGAAGTAAAGGGCTGTGGATGAAGACGGGTACTTATTAGGAACAGGGAGGAGGATGGAGTTGGAGGGGATGAGTGCAGGGCAGGATACAGAGCCCAGAAGGAAAGGAATTGACAGAAGCTGGGAGAAAGAATAAAAAGACCAGTGGTCCAAGATGGTAGACCACAGGTTCAAGAACTGGAGCAAGAGTCTTCTGGAATGGCCTCCATTCTAGAACCGAGAGAGAGTATTCAGAATGCTTTAATGGAGTAAGAAGGGCCACTGCTTAGAGTGGGGCTGAAGAGAAAAGAAAGAAGGAGACCCTGCGGAAGCGGCAATACCAGGAAGGCAGTTGTATGCACATCATGCAGACCAGGAGTAGCCTAGGGGTAGGGGACATGCCTGGGCTGGACAGTGGAATTTGTGGGAAATCAGATTTCCCTGAGCAAAAACCAGTGGGCAGCAGCCAAACTGGTGAGCAAGAACTGGCTGTGGTGGCTGGGCCCGAATTGGGAGCTACACCTGCCCGGGCAGGTGTAGCTGCGAGGGAGGTCTCTGCCAACAACTCAGCTGTGCCGTGCCTGCTGAACGGCCTCACCTTGGCCTCTGGCTCTGTTGCAGCTGTGTGGGGCTCGTGCTCCTACATACCGTTATCCTGTGGTAGAGTTTTACCGTGGACCAGAGCCATCTAGAGGACATTGAGTTACCCACATACTTTCTGTGGGAGAGGCCAAGGAGTCAGGGGGGGAGGCCGGGACCTGAAGATCAACTCTTTACTGCAGAGATCCCTCCCTCCCTCTCTCTGTCCCATGGATCCAGAGGGAAGTTGAGGACAGTTTCATGCCACATGCTTGACCCGACTCAACTGAGTAACTGTGGCCACTGAGAAGACTCTGTCCTTGCAAATAACTCTCCTTAGTGCCCATATTCTGCAGAATGTTTGAGTGGCACGAGTACTTCATTCGTCTAGAAATATTTCATGGTAGTCAGTTGCTAATAACAGGATATCTGCAGGTAGTGTGTTCTCAGGAGGCACACCTGAAGCCTCAAAGGTGAGGACATAGACATGGCTGTGGGTGAGCCTGTGCCAAGACATGACCCATATCCATGGGGAGTGCTCTCAGGGCAGCTGACACTGCTCAGCCTCAGCAGTCTCCAGTGATAGCTTCGGAACAGCCACGGTCTGACTGATATACTTTCTGAAAACAGCCTTTGGTCACACAGTTTCCTAACTAAATGTGGTGGTGGCCACTAGAAGTTGCCATTTTATGCGGGACTCCCTGTGAGGAAGCCCATAGTGCTGGTAGCTGAAATTTAGGAATGCAGGTTTCTAAGAAGGCTCGGAAAAGCAAGCTGGGCTCCTTGGGGAGGAGCTATTAGTACGTTTAATTAAATTTTTTAACATATAAAAAGTTGTTAATTATAAAAACAACATTTTTTTCTACCCTGAGTGCAGCTGGAGCTGTGTTCTGCCGTTACACAATTCCTCATTAATTCCACACATTGCTTACGATCCTGTGAAGTTTAGAATTTTATTAGGCAATAAATAAGAAATCAAGGAAATAATATTTGTGGTTTCATATCGGTCACTTGGGTATGAATTTAAATCCACTGTAATTCAAACAGGTTTAGTTTATTTCATGTTGCTACTTGAATGTGTTATAGCGTATCAATTAAATAACTCACTTGAATGATGCAGACTTGAGATTCATTCCCTCCTTCTTTCCTTCCTTCCTTTCTCACCCCATCCTCCCTACCATAAACCAGGTTTAGAATAGCTGTTAATTTAGCTGCTTTGATTTTTTGTTGTTGTTTATTTTGAAACGGAGTCTCACTCTGTCGCTCAGGCTGGAGTGCAGTGGCACAATCTCAGCTCACTGCAACCTCTGCCTCCTGGGTTCAAGCGATCCTCCTGCCTCAGCCTCCTGAGTAGCTGGAATTACAGGTGCACACCACCACGCACAGCTAATTTTTTTATTTTTATTTTTTATTTTTAGTAGAGATGGGGTTTCACCATGTTGGTCAGGCTGGTCTTGAACTCCTGGCCTCGTGATCTGCCTGCCTTGGTCTCCTGAAGTGCTGGGATTATAGGTGTGAGCCACCACGCCTGGCTTTTTTTTTTTTTTTTTTTTTTTTAAGACTGGTGAAGCTATGTTGCCCAGACTGGACTGCAGTGGCTATTCGCAGGTGTTATCATAGCTTACTGCAGCCTTGACATCCTGGGCACCAGTAGCGCTTCTTCCTCAGTCTCTAGTAGCTGGGACTGCAGGCATGTGCTACCACACCCAGCTGATTTTATGTTTTGTTTACATTTAACGATGTTAATCTAGGAGCAGTGATGATGTTCACTGTTGTTCCACATGACTCTAGCACATATATATTTGTATGTGTATAACCACAGTTGTTCATTTAGTCTGTTTCCAGGTTTTCATTTAGTCTGTTCCAGGTTCATTTAGTCTGTTTCCAGACCTAAAAAGGCCTGTTGGCTACCGCGACAGCCTTGGCTGTCACACTGGGCCCGCCCATGGGTGTTTCTGTAAGTGGCCATGAACCTCTTCTGAACTACACCACATGTTAACATCCTTCTCTTAGTTAGGTCTTTGAGATTGGCAGAGGTGCTCTATTTAATAATAAAGGAATGGGCTGGGCATTGGTGGCTCACACCTGTAATTCCAGCACTTTGAGAGGCTGAAGTGGACCGATCACTTGAGGTCAGAAGTTCAAGACCAGCCTGGCCAGCATGGTGAAACCCCGTCTCTACTAAAAATACAAAAATTAGCCTGGTGTGGTTGCGCATGCCTGTAGTCCCAGCTACTCAGGAGACTGAGGCAGGAGAATTGCTTGAACCCAGGAGGTGGAGGTTGCAGTGAGCCAAGATCATGCCACTGCACTCCAGCCTGGGTGACAGAGCGCGACTCCGTCTCAATAATAATAATAATAGTAATAATAATAATATAATAAAGGAATGAAAGTTTCCTTAGAAAGTAAGGTTTCTATTTTAATAGAATACTTGAGTGAGCAAGTCTGTCTTAACTGTTTCTCCTCACTGTGTCTAAATGAGAAGGAAGAATGACCCTGGTGTCTGTATTTGCAGGACACTTTTCAGTATTAATATTCAGAACCCCAAATATTGAAAAGTGTAAAAGGCAGTACTTGCTACTTCATTGTCCCGTTGCTAGCCCCAGTAAAATGAGGGTCTTAGTTTAGCGGAAGACTGTGTTTACTGTTTAACTCACAGTTCACGCTAAAAATTGGCACTTTTTTTTTTCCTAATAAGGGCCTCTCTATGGACCTTTTTAAAGTTTATATGGTCATTAAAAACATCATTGCACACATATACTTTGTACCACTTTGGAAGTAGTGCAGGCTTGTTTGAAAGCATACACTTGACTTGTCTTCTTACTTAGTCTCACAGTATTCTTTGTGAGAAGGTTGATATGCCCACATTATTCTGTGGCCAAAAACAAAAGTTTAGGAAATGAAAACAGCAAACAGAAAACCCCATGCCAAGTGCTGTTTTCGTAGTGAGGCACTGGAGGGCGCTCCGCTCTAGCAATGGGAGATGCACGCAGTCTCTGCAGTCTGCAGGCTGCCCTCACGAACGCCTTTCAGAAGATGTAAGAGTTTTTTCTGTTCATTTTAAGGCAAATGAAAGACACATGGATGGTAGAGGAAATATTTCTATACTGACCTATAAACGGTCCCTTTAAAAGTTTATGAGAAACTGAAGAAGTAGCTCTGTGCTCCAGCCCTCCTTATGACCTCCTCTCTCCCTAGCCTGTTGCAGCCTCACCGGCCTCCTCTTCTGGGCTGTGTCGTCAGCCTGAAGCCCTCTGTCCCTTTGTGCCTCAGCTCAAATGTCACAAATCAGAGAGGTCTTCCTTGACCACCCTGTACAACATAGCCTCCACCCCGCTAAGCAGCCTCTGCACTACCCTGTCCCCTTACTGCTGTTTTCATTTTTTCCTATTGCCCCATTTCCACCAGACATATCACATGCTTATTTGTTTATTGTCCGCCTGTATCCTACCCCAGCCCCCAGATATTCATGAGAGCAGGGACTTGGTTTATTCCATTGCTACTATATATCCAGAACCTAAAACAATCCTTGGCAGTGCCTGATATAAATTTGCAGAAGGAAAAAAGAACAGATTTAGGAATGAAATATTTTGAGTGTTTCTAAAGATTTAGTGGATTTTTTTTCTTTATTTTGGTAAATTATACATAACAAAATTATCATTTTAACTTTTTTTTTTTTGAGGTGGAGTCTAGCTCTGCCCCCAGGCTGGAGTGCAGTGGTGCGATCTCACTCACTGCAACCTCTGCCTCCTGGGTTCAAGCAACTCTCCTGCCTCTGCCTCCGAGTAGCTGGGATTACAGGTGCCCGCCACCACGCCTGGCTAATTTTTTGTATTTTTAGTAGAGACGGGGTTTCACCATGTTGGCCAGGCTGGTCTCGAACTCCTGACCTCAGGTGATCTACCCGCCTCGGCCTCCCAAAGTGCTGGGATTACAGGCGTGAGCCACCATGGCCGGCCCATTTTAACCATCTTTAAGTGTACAGTTTAGTGGCATTAAGTACATTCACATTGTTGTACAACTGTCACCACCATCCATCTTCAGAACTTTTTTATCTTCCCACACTGAAACCCTGTGCCCATTAAACACTAACTCCCTGTTCCCTTCCCCCCACCCAGCCCCTGGTAACCACCATTCTCATTATTTTCACTGTGAATTTGACTACTCTAGGTACTTCACATACATAGACTCACATATTTGTCCTTTTGTGTTTGGCTTATTTCACTCAGCATAATATCTTCCAAGGTGCATCCATGTTACAGCAGGTATCTGATTTTCATTCATTTTTAAGGCTGAATAATCTATTGTGTGCCTATTCCATATTTTATTTATCCATCCATCTGTTGATGGACATTTGAGTATCACTGCCACCTTTTGGCTATTGTTAGTGCATGTTCTATGTGGAGCACAGAAATGTGATGTTTAAGTTTAAGCCTAAAGTGGATTTCTTTGAATTATACTAGCCAGTCACAGATCACTCCTGGGTAGTACTATGGTTTGAATGTGGTATCCCCTCCAAAATTCATGTTGAAACTTAATTCCCATTGTGGTGGTATTAAGAAGTGGGGCCTTGTAGGAAGTGGTTAAGTCATGAGGGCTGTGCCTCATGAATGGGTTAGTATCATTGGAAAGAGGCTTCAGAGAGAGTTTTCCAGTCTTGCCCTTCCACCCTGCGCCATGTGAGGACACAGCAATAAGGCGCCATATTGGAAGCAGAGAGCAGCCCTCTGTAGACACCAAGGCTGGCACCTTGATCTTAGATTCCCCAGCCTCCAGAACTGTGGGAAGTAAGTTTCTGTTGTTTATAAATTAGCCCAGTGTGTAATACTTTTTAAAATAGCAGCATAAACAGACTAAGACAGGTGGTTTCTACTTTTAGGAAAATATTTTTAGTTCATATTAAGATAGAAACTTATTCTAGCTCCTAAAAATCAGAATTGTTTTAATATCCTCAGGTGCTCTTTAATTTTTTCTTACAATTGTCAAAAACAAGTTTAAAATCAAGTTACTAACTCTGCTATAGGCAGGAAGCTCCTGGATAGATACTCTGGGGTTCAAGTCCAATGCTGACCCGCAGTTGGCCCTTGACCTTGTTCAAGGCCCTTATCTAGATTGTGCCTTATTTTTCTCACCCATCAAAAGGAGGATGGACAAGTTTCTTCCTGCCAGTTGACATTCCAGAGTCTAGAAAGGAATTATTGCCCTCAAGTAAGACGACCTTGGGGAATTCAGAAATAAAAAGTATATAGCTTTTTGAGCTCTAAGTTATTTTGGTCCATTTGAGCTCAATTTGACCAGAGATTGAAGATAAAAGCTCTGCCTCCCCCAAACTTATTGGTACAGCCTGCACTCAATTGGTTTTACCGCCTTCTCCTGACATTAAGGGAGATGTTTTTGGTTGTGTGGTGTTGACCCTTTAGGTCCTCAGAAGGGGCGGCACCCTCATGGTGTCTCTGCCTGCAGCAGGGAGTGCTACCAGGCACTTTGTTCCAGTGACTTATGATGGACACAGCACAGCGCCTAGGGGTTAGGATTCTAAAATAATTCAGGTGTATGGAGACGCAGAACCTAAAAGAACTCAGGAGAAAGAGAAGGTAGATATCCTAAATTTTAGTCTGATTTTGACTCAGAAGTGGATACCTGATTTTGGCCTACATTTCACCTCTTTCAGTTTTTTTCTGCTCCATTTGGGTTCCCTGCTCACTTGGAACCCTCAAGCTGGCTTGCAAATGCCCAGAGCCACAGTGCTCTCATAGGGTCTGCCTGTTCTAGGGCCCATCAGCCAGCAGTCCAGCAGGGATGACCAGTGAGCCCAAGAAAACAAGCAGTGCTGATGTCAGATGTGTAGCCCTTCTCAAGTGCTATACATTTTAAGAAATGCCTTCACTGGGCATGGTGGCTCATGCCTGTAATCCCAGCACTTTGGGAGGCCAAGATGGGCGGATCACGAGGTCAGGAGTTGGAGACCAACCTGGCACAACATGATAAAACCCTGTCTCTACTAAAAATACAAAAATTAGCTGAACGTGGTGGTCACACACCTCTAATCTCAGCTACTCAGGAGGCTGAGGCAGGAGAATCGCTTAAACCCGGAAGGTGGAGGTTGCAGTGAGCTGAGATCCTGCCATTGCACTCCAGCCTGGGTGACAGTGAGACTCTGTCTCAAAAAAAGAAAGAAAGAAAAAGAGAGAGAGAGAAAGAGAGAGAGAGAGAGAAAGAAAGAAAGAAAAAGAAAGAAAGAAAAAAGAAAGAAAATGTCTTCTTCAGACACCTCAACTACAAAGGAGTCAGCCAGTCAAGAGAATTTCTCCTCTACCAGGAAGAGAATATGGGTATAGGAGAAGCTTGGAGTCTCTCTGCCACCCCTCATGTTCTCTGGACAAAGTCCCAAGCTGTGCGTTTGAATCATCAGTGTCTACTTGTCCTGCAGAACATCAGGAATTTACCAGGTAATCTGGTGACATGCCTGCACCAGAGGACTGGGAGAATCCTTACCGTTAAACCTCTTCTCCCCACCCCTGAACACATAAATACACTTTTTAAGCTTCCTAACGCTGTACTCTGATCATGGTGCCCACCCCCTTGGACAGCATAAATTTCCCAGTGACCTCCAATTACCTGCCGCTAAAGTCCAGGCCCCTTAGTGTGGCATGTACGCACCTCCTCACCTATCCTCCATCTTTCCATTTCCCCCCAGGCCGCTTACCTGTGGCCCACATGCACCACTCACCATGCCCCACACTCTCGAGTCATCAGTGCCACTTCCTCCTGGAAGCCTTCTTTCCCTGGACACCTCAGCCAGCCATCTGTCTCGTCCCTGAGAGCCCTAACCTCTCCGCTGACTTTTGTCACCCTTCCCTGTGTTAAGGTGATCGAGATGCAGAACTCCCAGTGGTCTTTGATGCCTCCTCTCCTCTCCCACCCACACCCCATCTGTTGCCAGGCCTGTTGATTTTCCCCTTCAGGTGCCAACTCTTCTTTCATTGTATTAGTTTCCTATTGCTGTTGTAACAGATTATCGCAAACATGGTGGTTTAAATTAAGCTTGTCCCTGCAGCCTGTGGGCCACATGTGACCTGGGATGACTTTGAATACGACCCAACACAAATTTGTGAGCTTTCTTAAAACATGAGATTTTTTGGCGATTTTTTTTTTTTTCCCTTTAGCTTATCAGCTGTTGTTAGTGGATTTTATGTGTGGTCCAAGACAATTCTTCTTCCAGTGTGGGGCCAGGGAAGCCAAAAAAACTGGACACCCTTGGTTAAGTTAACACAGATTTGTTAACTTATGCTTCTGCAGTTTGGAAGTCTGACCTAGGTTTTGTGGGCTGAAACCAAGGTGTTTACAGGGATGGAGAGTGTTCTTTCTGGCAGTTCTAGGGGTGATCTGTTTGCTTGCCTGTTTCAGCTTCTAGAGGCTGCCCACATTCTTTGGCTCATGGCTCCTTATCCATCTTCAAAGCCAGACCCAGTGGGCTGAATTCTTCTCCCCATTGCTGCCATCTCTCGGGTTCTGTTGCTTCTGCCACCCTTTTCCACTTAGAAGCACCCTTGTGATTACGTTGGCCCCACCTGGATAACCAGGGCCAGTCGCCCCAACTCAGGGTCAGCTGATTAGCAACCTTCATTCCACTTTGCCATGTAACCTGACATATCAATAAATACTGGGTATAAGGACGTGGACATCTTTGGGGGCCATTATTCTGCATACCCATCCACTGTTATAGATTCAGGTTTGAACTCTTGGAATGACCATCTAATGGGCTGAGTTCCCTCATTGCCTCTCATGTTATGTGCTGCCAGCATAGATATTAAGATGTACATTCTATCATCTAGACCTGTTGGTTCCAAAAACATCTCTTGGATCTGTCCTTTTCTTTTTGTCTCCATTGCCCCTACCCTAGTGGCAAACAATCCTGTGAAAAAGGATTGTTTACATGTATGGGTGCCCCTCCAGGCAATATTCAAGTGTACTCTTCGAGGCTGTTTTAGTACATTCACCATATTGTGCAACCATCACCTCCATCTAGTTCCAAAACATTTTCATCGCCCTAAAGGAGAACTCTATCCATTGAGCGGCCATTCCCCATTCCCTCCTCTCCTCAACCCCTGGCAACCACCAGTCTGTCTTCTGTCTCTGTGCATTTACCATTCCTTTGTATGGATATAGCACTACATTTTGTTTATTTTTTAAATTAAATTTAATTTTTTAGAGACAGGATGTAGCTCTGTCATCCAGGTTGGAGTATAGTGGCACCGTCACCCAGGCTGGAGTGTAGTGGCATGATCATAGCTCACTGTAGCCTTGGACTCCTGGGCTTGAGTGATTCCCCCTGCCTCAACCTTCCAAGTAGCTAGGACTGCAGGCACCCACCACCACACCTGGCTCATTTTTTAAATTTATTTGTCAGTTGATGGACATTTGGGCTGTTTCCACTTTTTGGTGATTGTGACTAGTGCTGCTATGAACATTCATATACAGGTATTTGTTTTCAGTTCCTTTAGGTTTATACCTAGGAACTGCTGTGCCATATAGTAATTCTATGTTTAACTTTTTGAGGAACCACCAAACTGTTTTCCACAGTGGCTGCACCATTTTACATTCCACCAGCAATGTACAAGCGTTCTGATTTCTCCACATCCTCGCCAACACTTGCTATTTTCCATTGTTTTTATTGCAGCCATCCTAGTAGATGTGAAGTTGTATTCTCGCGGTTTCTTCCAAATCATTTTTAAATGTACAAATTGTCTAATTTCACTTCTCTGCTTCACATCCTTCCTATTGCATTTATAATAAACCCTGGCCCCCATCTTGGACTCCAAGGAGTATATGATCTTCTCCCTCCTACCTCTTTCTCTCACTGCCTTCCATGCTCCTCACTCAGTCCACTTACCGAGCATCATTGGCCTTCTCCTGTTCCCTCAAGCAGGGAAGGCAAACACCCATGGGCTTTTATTTATTATTTCTTTATTTATTTTTTAACACTTCCCTCCTTAGGTCCAGAGACCATGGGCTTTGAGGCTCAGGGGATTCAGATCCAAGGTCCATTTAGAAGTAAATGATGAGATGAGTTGGGCACTGTGGCTCACGCCTGTAATTAGCACTTTGGGAGGCCGAGGTGGGCAGATCATGAGGTCAGGAGATCGAGACTATCCTGGCTAATACAGTGAAACCCCATCTCTACTAAAAATTCAAAAAATTAGCCGGGCATGGTGGTGCATACCTGTAATCCCAGCTACTCGGGAGGCTGAGGCAGGAGAATCGCTTTAACCTGGGAGGTGAAGGTTGCAGTGAGCCGAGATCGTGCCACTGCACTCCAGCCTGGGCAACAGAGTGAGACTCCATCTCAAAAAAAAAAAAAAAAAAAGATGAGATGATGCATTGAATGCTAGGTATGGCGTGTATGTAGTTCATAAGAACACCAATAAACAGTGGATGTAAAAAGCAACATCAGATAGATACCTAAAGGCCATGTCTTTGGAACAGGGGTAACCACCTGAAGCATGTCCTCCCTTCCCTGCCTTTTTCCTCCCTCAGAGCACCCCGTTCTTCATTGCACTTATGATTTGTCACCAGCCACGAATGTGTGCATCTCCCTGTTATGTTTGGTCTCCTGCACTGGGCTGGAAACTCCACGTTCACCCTTTATGCCTGTGCCCAGCACAGTGCCTGACACAGTAGGCACTGATTAAATGATTCTTGAATGACTGCATCATCATATGGTCACAGTAAACAGAATCCATCACTAATTATCTATTTGACATGAGCGGGTGGAAAGGCAAAGTTTTTATGCATGAGTGTGGGTGTATGTATGTTTTCCTAGATTATAGATTTGTCTAAACATTCCTGCTAATTTTAAGATATCAAATCTGAAGTTTCCTTGGCTTGAATTTTTGAACATAGGCCAAGGTTGTTTTTAGATTCCTCAGTATTCTCTCTTTTGTGAAAGTTTTCAAAAGTATAAACGGCGCATCTTCCGTACAACTGGTTTACATTGTTGGTTTATGCAGTTGAGTTGTGGGCAGAGGGGAAACCTCAATGTCTGAATGTGGCTTTACCCCAGCGCTGAGATATCCCCGGGAGAGCTTGGCCAGTCTGAGTCCATGTGGCCTAAAGATCCTCCCTAGCCAGTTCCCTGTCCCACCTACATTCTGTTTATTTCAGAACTTCTCACCTGTTGAACACACAGCCCTTCCTCAACACAGGACCAGCTCAGCATCGGGAAGCTGTATTTTAAGAAAATCATGGTCTTCCAGCTCAGTGGAGGCATCTTAGCGGGATCCAAAATAACATTCGCTTTTATCTTGAAATTCTTTCTGTTTTTGGTTTTTCCCCAACTCTCATCCTTCCCCCACCTTCACCTCAGACACTCCAGGTTATTACTGAAATTAAGCATGATAGAAAGTGTGGACTCATAGGCTCAGTTCTGTTCCCTCCTTATGGCCAGCGTGTGGAAGAGCTCCTCTGCTCTCATGCCTTCTCCATCGGAGCTGGTTCATCACCTTGGCCTGTCTTGGGCGGAGTCCCCGACTTGGGAGTTGTGCTGTTCGTTTGCTGTCCATCGGGCTGTAAGCTCCTTGAGGACCAGGCACCATGTTTACTCACCCCTGTCCCTTCTGGGAACCTGGGGGAAACTGCTAACTGGCGTGGCTCTCAGACCTTGCATGGCCCCACACATTTTTTTTCTGTGGGAACCACTAAGCATTAGCAACTCGCCAGTGATCAGCAGGGATTAGCAGCGTTTAGGCTCCGCAGACATTTAATGTGCTAATTGAGGAGCCCAGGGTTCGGCCAAGGAAGTGATTTACAAAGGTGGAAACGGGACTGTTGACACAGGTGCATCTTATTAATTACTGGTTTGGGGAATTAGTAAAAATGTTAATAATTTGAGGGATTATTGTTAATGAAGGATAAGAAACTTCACAACCATATGGTTTACTACTTGATGCGATTTTCCCTTTTTTAAAAAAATACTTTTAAATCTGGGTTTTAGGAAGGACAAGCCATTTCTTGCAGAACTTATTGATTGTATTACATAGGTAAATGGAAAAATATTTCCTAGAACAATTTTTTGTAACAGAAAATTCTAAAACATACCAGTAGTATGAAGTAAGAGGCACCTATGGCACATCTTTGTATTATTCAGTCCCTCCTTTATACATTCTTCTGACAAGAACGGGAGTCATGCCTCCCAGGCTCTGAGTCCCAGGCTCCGAGCATTACTGAGGCAGCTCCTAAGAAGAGAGAAGGGAAGAACATTTCCTGAGGATCTTTGCTGTGCCAGGTTCCAGAAGGTGCTTTGGCGCATCTCACGTGAGATACGGGCTCCTTTTGCCTGCTTTCTAAGAAGGGTGCGGTGTGAGGTGGCTGGCTGCGTGGAAGAGGCCTGGGAGGAGTAATTCCACCAGTATTGTGTCTTAGTCTTCAAGTGGCCAGTGCAGTACCTTGGCCTGTGGTAGATCCTGAGTAAATGTTGACTGAAACGAAGATGCCATGGCCGGTGGTGAAGCAGGGATCAGTGCAACAATGCTGTGAGAATACAGAGGCAGGGGTGGCTTTTGGAGGGCACCTGGATCATTCCCAGGGAAGCTGCCCTCTGGGCAGAGTTTAAAGTATGGCAGAGGGAAGAGTGTTCTTGGCAGAGGGCACAGGCCCGGTAGGGGAGTTATGAGCAGGTAATTGTGGAGTATGGGATTCCCAGGGGCTGGGCATGACGTTGAGAGCGGGGGAGGTTGAGGCCAGACTGTGAAGGGATTCCCAGGCCAGCCCAGGACTGACTTCAGATTTACATCCTATTGGCAACAAGGAGCCAGTGGAGATGTTTAATCTCTTTCGGCCTCCATCAAGTTAGCCTTTCAGTCTGTAACCTGGCCTAAGTGTTAGTCCCATGTCATTTGAACCCCTTGCCTTTCTCTTTTACTTAAATTACATTCACAGTGCGCTGTGAAACCTAATTGGAATAGACAAAACGTGGTGGAACTCTGCAGCTTATGGGGCCAGTTCATGCTCACCTTAATGTGCTTATAATGTACATTTAAATACTGCCAGTTATTTGGAGCTTTCAGGTGACTTCACTTCTCTGTGTATTATGTACTTCGCTTCCTACATCTGCAGTTAATTTGTTAAGAGACCTTAATGAGAAACTTCAAACAGTTTAAATGTCAATTACCAAAAAAGTAAGGTTTTCAAGTTCCAGTAATCTACCCGATTGGTCATCAGAATGTAGTCCCAGGTGGATGTAATTTAAGACATGACATTCCAGAGCTTCAGTTACAAAGAATTTATATATTTCGGGACTAATAAACTGGCTCCAGTGGTGGCTACACTTGCAGGATTGTCTGCAGTTATGACTCATCTAGTACCGGCGCTGCTCAGAACTTTCTGTCCACGGAGTTCACACTGGTTTTGTGTTTGGGCTGGTGCTTTTGAATCTGAAAAAAAGTGCATAAAAATATGCCAGAAATGTAGTAAATATTGTGATCATTTCATTTTTTAATCCGACACTTTTGAGAGGAAAAGAGTATTCATCAGTACTTTATCATAGATTTAATTAATGGGATAATCTTTAATTTCTGACTCAGACATCTGGATTTGTTTCTTGCCACCCCCTCCTTTTTTTCTGTGTTCCTTTCTCGTCTTTATTTTTGATGAAGATAAAATACTTAAAGAAAGCGTTGAATGTGATGATGAGTATTGTTTTAACAGAAAGTAAAATCAAAAGCATGCAGAATAAATTAACCTTGCATTTTCTCGGCAGGTCAGTTAGTGGGTGTTATATCCTTAGTTGTTGGTGCTACAAAGTAAATAATTTTTGGCAGCTGGTTTAGTTTTCACCACTTCTAAGCCTATGACAAATGGTCTTGGAAGATCTTTGGTCTTAAAAAGGAAAATTTTCTGTGTGCGAGTTTTAAGTTCAGTTTTGTTGGGTTTTGAAGTCTTTTTTATGTAAGCCACTTATGTGGCATTTTGTTTTATTTGAATTTGAAATTTTTTTTAAGTTTTAAAGCTAGAGTCTGCCACATTGAACTGTTTTTCACACTTGGCATTTAAAAGTTAATTTGCTTTTTCTGTTTTTAAAAGAGACTAAAAAACTAAGGTTTCCCCTACTAAGCATTTATTAGTCAACCACTTTTGAAAATTGAAAAATTAGTTTGTATGGTTTTAGATTGTTTTTCTCCCAGGAGAAATAATGTTGCTACATAATCTCAGACCTGCATTCACGTATTTAGCCTGCCATAAGTCACTGTCAAAATGAAGAAAATGCTGAAAGTTAGATATACCTGCACATGTGAATTTCATGTATTTTCTGGTAATCAACTCTGTTTTAAAGGCTTTTGGGAGTTGTTTTCTTTCAGAAGCAGCCCACTGGTGCTGTATTTGGCATGTTGTGTGTTATTAAAACTTCATATAAATGCAGAGGTACTAAAACGTGAAGTTTACAAAACCCATCGGAACATTTTTACTTGTGTAGTTAGCACGATCACTTCTCCAAGTACAATAATCTTTGTGTTGTGAGCCTGTAGACAAAACTCGTGTCTGGCATATCTGATTGGAATGTGAAATTTAATATTTTCCACTAGTTATTTCCCAACATGCAAAGTGAACTGATACCCATTAAATATATATATTTAAGTAAAAATAGAGAGGATCAGTGGCCTAATCAGCTTTACAGCTGTGAATTTAGGAAGTGAATTCACAACATCCCTCTCTCCAGAGAGACGACTTGATGACTTACTCTCGGTTTCTTTAAGTGATATAGTAGACCTTGTTTGGATTAATCAGCAGCCTTGGGAGTTGGAGCAGTCATTTGCAATATTGAGTGGAAAAGTTCCTTGTGCTTGGAAAAGTCAGAAGGCCAGGAGTGAGAGACATGGCCTCATCCTTTCCCTGGTGGCTCCTCACCTGTGAAGTTGCACCAGGGTGGTAATAAAATTGTAGGAGCTCATTTTATGTGAAACCATTAGCAGCCTGGGAATTCAGGACTAGCTGCCTTTCATACTTTAAGACACTGGAAGGTGTCATTTATAAGCATAGAGAGCCTGCAGGAAGGCAGAACAGGCTTGTAAACTGGAGCCTGAGGCTCTGGGCAGCAATCAGTGTGTAATAGAGTTTAAAGTCTTAGGTTATCAGAATCACAAATGGGCCTTTAAGTGTTGTGGGCAAATCCCAAGAAACATCTGTCTATAAAAGGCAGGTACAATGGCCAGTTATTTCCTCCTGGTTATTGTGATATTGTTATTTTCTGTTTCTGCCTTTGTGGATGGGAGTGGGGAGAGAAAGGGAGGGGCCCTTGCTACAAGTGTAAGAATAAAATTGTAAATGTTTGTGTTAGTTGAAAAAAAATTGACTATGGTAAGTGTCGCAGCTAATGTAGGGTGTTTTCACCTTGAAACAGCGACTGCCGCCCAGTTCCTGCTGCTTCGTTCGCGGACTCTGAATTCCACTGCTGGGGCAGGCGTGTGTGACAGGCAGAGAGAGCCCTGGGGTTGGGGGAACAAGGAAGTGTTTCCAGTTCCCATTTGGCTTATGCATTGGAGGGTTCCCCAATGTGGGGACAGCGTCCAGGTTCTTGGCCTGTGGAAATGACAAATGGCCCTGACAGGGGGCTATCCCAGCTTCAGTGTTTCTGTTCACCATCCTAAGAGTGGTTCTTTATCTGAAACCATGAAGAAAACCAGATGATTAGAGAAGAATTCAAGAACCCATTCTGTAGACATTGCCTCCTGACAAGTACAAATGCGTCTGTTGAAATCTCAGTGCTCCAAGTCCCCATCTATCCGCCTTCCCCCTCCTCCAGGTTTTAGACAGGTTACCTGATTGCCCCTGGTTGGCCCTCATCCCCTCCCCTATCTGGGCAGCGCTCTCCCTGCTGTGGGGTTGGGTGGTCCTCCTGCTCCTGGGTCATATGGTATCGAGAGATGCTGATTCCATCTGCAGCTCCTTCTCTGTACTGTGGACTTCACTGCTTGTCTCTTTGGCCACTAGGAAGCATTTATTCTGATTCTCATGGGCAGCTTGAGAGGCTTCCCACAGAGGGAAGGGTAGGCCTTTAATATTTCTGTCCTTCATCTCAAAGACTGTTTCTTTAAAGTGGACACAGATGGGATTGGGCTGGAGAGAGGTGGCCCCAGCCCAGGAGATCATGTTGTCTGGGTGAAACCACTGCACGCTCTGGTCCCTGGGCTCCTATTGCTCAGGGTTCCTTTTTAAAGCCCACTTGTCGAGTCTTCTTTCTTTACAGAGGAGATGTTGTGCTTACCCTCTTGTGAGGATCTCACAGTGTTCTAGCGCCTCTCCTTGGAGATGGTATTTACTGGTTTGAGGGTGACCTCTGCTAATGGACCTGTTCAGTCACCAGGTACAGGGCCTTCAGTTGTGTTGTCGAAGAGGCTCTGCTCACCCCTGCCCCACCATATCTGAGAAGTGCCCGAAGTTAGTTGGATGTGGCTTCTCTGCCTAGGTAGCCTTGCACCCCTGGGAGGATGGGGGCCTAAGCTGGAAGTGGATTTTTCTCATCTAGCAGAAGCACATTCGATACTGGATACAAAGCCCCATCTTCTGTTTCAGAAGCAGCTTGGAGCATTTCTTGTTTAACTGTCATGTAAGCCCCTTAAGCAATGCTTTTTTCAGAGAGGTATCATCCTGATAAATTGTCAAATGCCTCTTTCAAATCCATTCCTTTTAAAAAAAATCCTCTTTTCTGTTTATTCTGGAGTCACTCATCATGCAAATAATATCTTTGTGAGAAGTGGTGTTCCTGGAGTTGGAGAAGGCTCTTTAGTAGGGCTGCTGGTCAGTACAGTCCCTGAAAAACATGACTATTTATAACACAGGCACCAGAGGGTTCAGAGACGTGCTAAAAGTGGAGAAGTTGGGGGCAGGGGAGTGCTGGCAAGGATGAACTTTGCCTATTTCACAAGTTTTGACTAAAGTAGTTCTGAATAAGAAAAGCGTTTGATGAAATCTTACCTAGTATAAAGACATATTATTTTTGGCCTCTCTTTTTTCTTTCTTCTTTTTGTTCTTTCACCTTTCCCCTGTGACCTCCCATTCCAGCTGAGCCCTCTTGTTCCCATTTGCCCTGTATTGTTGATCTTAACCCCAGCTCTGCCCTCTCTTAAATCCTGTTCTTATTCTTGGAGAAGACTACAGTCTCCCGAGCTCTTTCTATATGCCAAGCACTGTACTTTTATACATTCATATTATCATGAGGAAATATTCTTTTGCCTATTTTACAGATGAAGCAAGTGAGATTCAGGGAAGTTAAGTAATTTATCCAAATTTACATGCCTACTAAGGGATGGAGCAGGAGCCAGACCCCTGTTTCTGAAGCATGTTTGCTGAACCACTACACTTTAGCCACCTACTGTGGATACCTTTGGAAAGGAGGATTCTTTTACCGTTACCAAAAAGATATTAATAAAAATAAGTCCAGGTGTGGTGGCTCATGCCTGTAATCCCAGCACTTTGGGAGGCAGAGGCAGGTGGGTTACTTGAGCTCAGGAGTTCGAGACCAGCCTGGGCAACATGGTGAAATCCCGTCTCCACAAAAAATAGAAAAATTAGCCACGCATGGTGGCGCATGCCTGTAGTGCCAGCTACTCCAGAGGTTGAGGTGGGAGGATTGCTTGAGCCTGGGAGGCAGAAGTTGCAGTGACCTGAGATAGTGCCACTGCACTCCAGCCTGGGTGGCAGAGCCAGACCCTGTCTCCAAATATTTATGTGTGTGTGTGTGTGTGTGTGTGTGTGTGTGTATGTATACACATATATAATTTATATGCAAATATATAATATATACATATATTACATACATATATGTGTGTGTATATATAATCAAATGCCCATAAATTGAAGATTCATTAAATACAGGGATAGTCATACCATAGTAATGACGTAGCTGTTAAAAAGAATAAGGTAGTTCCCATAAATGGTAGAATAGCTTGATTGTACTAATCCCCCTGTATTTTATGTAGATTTGTAAGATTCACACCAAATTTTTTTTTTTTGAGTTGGAGTCTCGCTCAGTCGCCCAGGCTGGAGTGCAGTGGCGTGATCTCGGCTCACTGCAACCTCCACCTCCCGGGTTCAAGCGATTCTTCTGCCTCAGCCTCCTGAGTAGCTGAGACTACAGGCACGCACCACCACGCCCAGCTAATTTTTGTATTTTTAGTAGAGACGGGGTTTCACCATGTTGACCAGCCAGGATGATCTCGATCTCTTGACCTCGTGATCCACCCGCCTCAGCCTCCCAAAGTGCTGGGATTACAGGCGTGAGCCACCGCACCTGGCCACACACA
This sequence comes from Homo sapiens, assembly GCF_000001405.40. Lineage (NCBI taxonomy): Eukaryota > Metazoa > Chordata > Mammalia > Primates > Hominidae > Homo > Homo sapiens. The sequence continues at coordinate 99,631,908 of NC_000013.11, forward strand.
AAGTATTTTTAAAAACTATTGTAAGTCACCAGAAAGCAAGCAAAATCAGGCAGAAACTGGAGGAGAATCTACCTCAAAAGACAAACTGCGGTGGATAAGGTTTGCAGGTTTGTAGCTTTAACCTGAAGGTACTCCCAAAGCTAATTAAGTGGCCAAAAGCCGCAGCCTTACTGTATTGCGATGTTAGAGGGCAGAGGTAGAAACTGGCAGAGCTGGCAGAGCAGTCAGAAAATTAAGAGGGAAACCCCAGAGAGGAGGGAGCTACAGAGGGCACAAACACCCAAATCTGCATATGAAATTGCACAAATCCTTGGTTGGCTACTAAACTATGTGTCTGCAAACCTGGTGAAAAAGTAGCAGCTTTAAGCCTGAAAAAAACTAAGCAAAGATCTTGGCCACTGCCTACCATAGGGAAGACAGAACTTGGTATTTGTGTTCAGCCAAGTTAGCTGTCTGCTAGAACAAAAATTAGTCTTCAGAGAAATGTGCAGAATCTGGAATCTCTATAACATATCGATCATCATGTCCAGTGTCCTATCAGAAACCACTAGAGGCCGGGCATTGTGGCTCATGCCTGTAATCCCAGCACTTTGGGAGACCAAGGCAGACGGATTGCCTGAGGTCAGAAGTTTGAGACCAGCCTGGCCAACATAGTGAAACCCCATCTCTACTAAATATACAAAAAAAATTAGCCAGGTGTGCTGGTGGGCACCTGTAGTCCCAGCTATTCAAGAGGCTGAGGCAAGAGAATCCCTTGAACCTGGGAGGCGGAGGTTGCAGTGAGCCGAGATTGTGCCACTGCACTCCAGCCTGGTGACAGAGTGAGACTCCGTCTCAAAAAAAACAAAACAAAAACAAAAAAACCCCACTAGATAGAGGTAGAAATGGGAAAAAAGTAGATAATAGAAGCCAAACTCAAGATGATAGAGATGTTACAATTAATAGACAAGGACTTTAAAGCATCTACCATAAATACATTCAAAGACTTAATAAAAATGTATACACAATGAATGAACAGATAGGGAGTATCAGCTTAGAAATAGTAGCTATGGGCCAGGTGCAGTGTCTCACACCTGTAATCCCAACACTTTGGGGGCCCAGGTGGGTGGATCACTTGAGGCCAGGAATTCATGACCAGACTGGCCAACATGGCAAAACCCTGTCTCTAACTAAAAATACAAAAATTAGCCAGGTGTGGGAGACTGAGACAGGAGAATCTCTTGAACGTGGGAGGCAGAGGTTGCAGTGAGCCGAGATCATACCAGTGCACTCCAGCCTGGGCAACAGAGCAAGATCCTGTCTCAAAAAAAAAAAAAAAAAAAAAAAAAGAGAAGAGAAGAAAAGAAATAAGGCCAGGTGTGGTAGCTAATGCCTGTAATCCCAGCACTTTGAGAGGCAGAAGTGGGCGGATCACTTGAGGTCAGGAGTTTGATACCAGCCTGGGCAACATGGCAAAACCCCGTCTCTACTAAAAATACAAAACTGGGCATGGTGGCACGCATCTGTAATCCCAGCTACTTGGGAGGCTGAGGCACAAAAATCGCTTGAGCCTGGGAGGTGGAGGTTGCAGTGAGCCAAGATGGCACCACTGTACTCCAGCCTGGGTGACAGTGCAGGACTCTGTCTCAAAAAAAAAAAAAAAAATAGCTATGAAAAAGAGCTGAAAGGTTAGTGGTTGCCAGAGGTTGAGGGGAGGAGGGAATGGGAAGTGATTGTTTAATGCATATGGGGTTTCCTTTTGTGTTGATGAAAGTGTTCTTGAGCTAGTGGTGAGGCTTGTACAGCACTGTGAATTTTAAACTTTAAAATGGTGAAAATTGTGAATTTTATGAAAAGAGAGGTGAAAATACATGAACTAAATAGAAATTTTTACCAGTAAGCTCAATAGCAGACAAAGTTAACTGAAAAATAGATCAATCGTATGTACTCAGTTTGAGGAAAAGAAAAAGATTGAAGAAAAGCAAATAGAGCCTCAGAGACCTGTGGGACAGTACCAAGCAGTCTAACATGTATAGTTGGAGTTCCAGAAGCAAAAAAGAGATTAGGGCAGAAAAAATATTTGAGGGGATAATGACCAGAAATGTTCCAAATTCGGTGAAATCCATTAACTCACTGATCCCTTAACAAACACTCAGCAAGATAAATTAAAACACACACATGCACATGAGAGCCACATTGCTGAAATCCAAAAATAAGAAAGTCCTGAAAGCTGCCTGAGAAAAAAAGAAGGTGCACAGAAGGAACAATAATATAACTAACAGCCGACTGCTTATCAGAAACAGTGGAGAGTAGAAGGTAAACGTATTGAAAGACAAAATATCAACCCAGGGTTCTACGTCCAGCAAAACTATCCTTCAAAATTGAAGCCCAAATAAAGACCTTTATAATTAAACAAAAACTGAGAGAATTTGTTGCAAAGAATCTGACTATGAGAAATGCTAAAGGAATTTCTTTAGGCTTAAGGGAAATAACCCCAGATGATAACTTGGATCTATAAAAAGAAATGAACCAGAAATGATGAAGAAAATAATCAGATAGATCCATCTGTGTTGATGTAAACATGTAATAGTAATAATAATAAATATTTATATAGCAATTATTTCAGGAAGGACACGCAAGAAAACTTTAACAGTGATAACCTTCCCCGTGGAAAAGGGGAAGAGATTGAGAGCTTGGAGTATGAAAAAGGAGACTAAATTATTATTTTGTGCTTCTTTTGATCATTTGAATATTTTTTAATGTGGATGTATTACTTATTTTTTTAAATAAATTTTTAAATGTCATGAAATAGCTAGGAAAAATAGAGATACTTGATACAAGATGAGAAAATAATGTTCTGTTTCTCCCTTGTAAGGAATATGACAGAAATCGAGACATTGTAGACTGGGAGTCAGGATTGGGTTTCTTTCCTACTCTGTTAGCAGGACACTGTGTCACGTGACAAAGGCTGTGAAGGAGGTATCAGATCGCGCTCTCTGGCCTTGGGCACCTTCTTTCCATTGCTAGGTCTTCTTCCCCATCCCCAGACGTCCCTGCTCATTCCCGGAGCGGCAGCTCCAGGAAGGCACATCTTGCTCTAAAATGGCCTCCTGAACACTCCTGTTCCCACACACTGTCTGGCTTAATCTTACTCCAAGGCAGGCAGCTGCAGAGGGTGCCAGGGCTGGTTCTGCTCCTGGGTTCCCATCTCGGGTGATCAGGACACCATCGTGTGCTCTGTCACCCAAGCCAGCAGCCTGAGAGTCCGCCTTTTAACTCACCTTGTTAATGACCCCAGGTACGTTTCATTAGGTCTTCGTAATGAAATGTACCTGGGGGTCATTAACAAGGTCAATTGACCCAAATCCTTCTCAAATCTGCCGCCTTTCTCTGTCATGATTTTTATAATCTGCACCACGCCCCCCACACCCCCAACCTTTTCCAGGATCAAATTGAGACTTCTCCAGTGTTTGCAGAGTGAGGTCCTGTCTTTAGCCCAGGCCTTCCTAGCCTGGCCCCTACCCAGGTCCAACCTTGTTTTCCACATGTGAGGGTCCACCCTCATCTCCCAGTGAGGTCAGGTCTGGCCATTCAGCCTCCCCTTCCACATGTTCAGCCCTCCTGGCTTTGCGCAGCTTATTGCTTTTTCCTGTGTTCCTTCCTTGTCTTCACATAGCAAATCATTCTCACCTCCAGAGATGCTGTGTCCTATGTCCTAGAAGCCTTACCTATTCCCTAGCATGCTGAACTGAGTGGTCCTGTCCCGGCCTCCCATAACTCTTGTTAATGCTCTGTCCTACTCTTGGAGAGACCATGAAGACTGGGGGAAGAGGACAGGGTTTGGAGTTGGACAGATTTGGTCTCAATTCTGGTCTTTCCATTTACTGGCTGTATGAGCTCAGGCAAGTTGTTTAATCTCCCCAGTCTCAGTTTCCTCATCTTTATGGTGACAATACTACTGCTTACTTTGCTGAGACAGATGGACTAAAGATAATATATATAAAGTGCTTGGTGTGGTTCCTATTATAGCTTTATTCTTACAACACTTTTTTAAACATTGTGTTGATTAAACATTTACTTGATTAAATGTTTTTCTCTCCCATTAGACTATACATTCTTTGAGACCAGCAGTGCTTAATGTTTGTAGAATTCAACTTTTAATGAGTTTGAATTTTAACAGAGTACATTTGCTAAGTTAAAAGAGTGATTATATTAACTTTAATTGTGGAATTTCACGTAATGTGAAATTCAAAGCTTTATATATATTTTCAGCAGAGACTCTTAAAATTATGTTTTCGAAATAACAATTTTATCTCCCCAAGCAAAATGCCACCTGCACCTTTACAAACACTTTACCGCAGTTATGTGAACCTTCATTGCTCACCCTTGCTGCAGATCATTAAATGTATGCATAAATAGAATTATTAATGTTTACCAAGGTCTTAAAGTCCTGGTAAGAAAATATTGAGTGGTCAATATAGAAAGGTCACCTGTTAGCTCCTGATGCTTGAAAACAGAGGTGGGACCTGGTGAGCCTGTCTTCAGCTGATGCAGTGCCAGCACATCTGGGCTGGGCAGGGCCTCCAGTGCCTTCTGCACAGGTTCACGTGGCCAACTCTGCTTGGACAGTGGGATCTGCTCCCTGGCAGCTGGGACACCTGCTCCCCACTGTTGAGCCATTCCTCTTGCCAGGGCTGTTTGAGTATCAGCCACTACATTCCTGGCCCCCTCCTTTTAGAGAGAGATCTCTGATTTTAAGAGGCAAGGTTTAAAGTAAGACATTTCATGTGTAGTAGCAGATATTATTAACTTTGTTGTGCACAGTATGCCTTGGATCTTCTTTTCTTGGGTAGGGTACAGATAAAATGATGGTTCTACGAGGGGTAAGTAGGAAAAATTAGTGGTTCTGGATTCTCTCCATGCCTTCACTCCATTATAGTCACAGTGGCAAGATGGAGTATTAGCAAGACAGGTCCTGAGTGTGGTTGCGGTCTAATTTAAACTTTTTTTTTTAGACTTACTCTCTCGCCCAGGTCGGAGTGCAGTGGTGCAGTCTTGGCTCACTGCATCACTGCATCCCCCAGCCAGGCTCAAGCAATTCTCATTTCTCAGCTTCCTGAGTAGCTGGGACTACAGTCATGTGCAACCATGCCTGGCTAATTTTTTTATTTTTAGTAGAGACGGGATTTCGCCATGTTGGCCAGGCTGGTCTTGAACCCCTGGTCTCAAGTGATCTGCCCGCCTCCCAAAGTGCTGGGGTTACAGGCATGAGCCACTGTGTCCAACCTAATTTAAACTTTATCTTTGTAAGTGCCAGGGTAATAGAGGCTACCCAGTTTGCCATTGTGCTCACCCAAAGATGAAAGTGCTAAGGTTGAGTGGAAGAATTCCCAATTATTAAGCCCCTCCTCTCCCTGTGTTGAAAATTCTCCATGAAAACCCATCTCTGGAGGTGTATCAATCAGTGTTATCACTGCCCTAAGCCATTTCTGTCAAATCCAGTCTTTCCAGCATATTGCATATTCCCTGTCTTGCCAGTGAAATGTGGTAAAGAAGAAAAAAGTTGCCACAGAATGTAATTTTTAAAACCATAGCCGGGCACGGTGGCTCACGCCTGTAATCCTAACACTTTGGGAGGCCGAGGCGGGTGGATCACCTGAGGTCAGGAGTTCAAGAGCAGCCTGGGCAACATGGTGAAACCCTGTCTTTACTAAAAATAAAAAAGGCCAGGTGCTGTGGCACGCACCTGTAATCCCAGCTACTTGGGAGGCTGAGGGAGGAGAATTGCTTGAACCCAGGAGGTGGAGGTTGCGGTGAGCTGAGATCGCGCCACTGCATTCCAGCCTGGGCTACAGAGTGTGACTTCATCTCAAATAATAATAATAAAACCATAAAATTCCTACAAAGTGTGAATATATATTTATGAATGATGTCTGTGTGTATCCGTATACATACATCCATTCATATTTCTGAAAAGCTTTCAAGGAGAATTTTTAAACATAGCAGATGCATTAATTTGCATACAAAGAAGCCAGTTACGGATCATTCTTATCTAGTTATCCAAGTCAACAGTGCCTTTTTTTTTTTTTTTTTTTGAGACAAGGTCTTGCTCTGTCGCCTAGGCTGGAGTGCAATGGCACAATCGCGGTTCACTGCATTCTCGACCACCCAGACTCCAGTGAGTCTCCTACCTTAGCCTCCTGAGTAGCTAAGACCACCAGCTACACCTGGCTAATTTTTATTTTTTAATTTTTTGTAGAGATGTCTCCCCATGTTGCCCTGGCTGGTCTCAAATGCCTGGGCTCAAATGGTCCCCCTGCCTCAGCCTTCTGAAGTGCTGGGATTACAGGAATGAGCCACTGTGCCCAGCTTAATGATGCTATTAAACTACACCTGTTAACCTTCTACTTGCTTTCTGTGGTTGACAAGTAATTCTCTTTGCATTTCTTTTTACTAATTCAGATGGGCTTCTCTTTTCTTACTCCAAATTATTGAAAGTTATTTATTTGTGTAAAATATTACATAGACATACACACACACAATATATGTGTGCCTTATGCATTTTACAACATCATCTGAACAAATATTTATTAACTACCTATTGTGTTTCAGACTCTGTGCTAGACATGCGGGATTTCGCAGTGATCAGAACAGTATCTGCCCAACAGTCCCACAAAGAAATATTAAGCAAGAATAAAATCTGTAGCCACATACCTGTGTACATTTTTTGAGAGCTTACTATGCTCTGGGCACTGTGCTAACATTTTCAACATTATTTCATGTAGCACTCTCAACAACTGTGTGAGATAAGTTTTATTTATTGTTACCATTTTTCCAAGGAGGAAACCGAAACACAGAAAGGTTAAGTTACTTGCCTGAGGTAACTTAGCATTGATAGAATTAGGATTTGAACCTGGGTAGTATGACTCTTAGGTCCCCATGAGCTGGCACACAGGTTGCCAATCCATCAGTTAACCTTCCCATCACTGGGTCAGAGAGCCAAGGAGCAGAAGGGGGATAGAACTTCCCCAGTACCAAACTAAGGGGCTGAGCTGGGATCGCAACCACAGGTTCTGTTCCAAAGCTGGGGCTCTTTCGACAAGGCCATGCCCGCCTTGTCTCTTATGTATGCTTTTTCACTTGAGGCTGAATTTTAGGTCTGAGTCAACTGCATTTTGAAAAAAATCATCTGCTTGAAGACCCTGATGATGTAACAATAAAGGCCATTGGAAAACCGGCAATCTGTGAATCTTCATATAGATGAAATATCCAGGTTAGAATTTATCATCCTAATCTGGATATTTTTGAGAGTGAAAGGAGTACTGTTATAGATGCTGGGGCATCAGGAGCCAGCCAGGACGTCCAGGCAAGCCGGGGCTTGTGGTCACTCTGTGGACACGCAGCATGGTCATTAATGCCCACACAATGTGTGTATTGTTATTTGTAGATTCCATTACTCTTTGGAATATAAACCTCTAAGCAAGCTAAAATAACTCTACTATGCTTTAATTATGCATTGTTGGTAACCATAACAATAAATCCTTGGCCAATTCCAATCCAAGGACATAAGCATTTAGAGTCATTTTTAAAGGAGTGCTCCGATGGTTTAGCAGTCATGTAAATGCATTTATATGTAACAGAAGACAAAAACAATAATTAAGATAAACATAAAACTCATCCCTTTTGCCTACAGAGGCAACTCTATTTTTAGAACTACAAATTTGGGCTGGATGTGGTGACTCTTACCTGTAATACCAGCACTTTGGGAGACCGAGGTAGGAGGATTGCTTGAGGCCAGGAGTTTGAAACCAGCCTGGCCAACGCAGCGAGACCATATCTATACAAAAGAAAAGTTAAAAACTTAGCTGGGCATGGTGGCATGTGTCTGTAGTCCCAGCTACTGAGGAGGCTGAGGCAGGACAACCACTTGAGCCCAGGAGTTCAAGGCTGCAGTGAGCCATGATTGTACCAGTGCACTCTAGCCTGGGCAACATAGCAAGACATTATCTTAAAGAAAAATTGTATGCATAGCCTGAGTACATGATTTGAATATATTTAGGAAATAGATAATGGGATAAAATATTCAAAAGTGAAATTATGCAGGAAAATTCCAGGCATGTGATTGTCATATACATAGTTGAACATTTCTATTCTCTATGTAGTTTAGACTTTAATTAAACAGAATAATCTGACTTTAATCTCTCTTGATACTATAAAAGTAACTTGAATTTGTTCATTTTTTGTTTTTTAATCATGAAAACTAATGCCCAAAGTACCTGTCTAACTCAAAATAATTGTTTCTTTTTTCACACAAAGCCAATTGAATAGATTGGACAATTGCATACTTAAGATTTAATATATTTGCTCATCATATTATGGGTTTTAAAAAATCATTTATCTTGGAGCTAAGTACATTTCACTATGGTTTTTTATGTTCATTGTCGTAAAATATTATCTTTAATGTTTCACTAGGTTCACTAATGTTAGGCTGAGGGTGTTTATTGTTGTATCAGATATCCTTTTGTGTTTTATTTAAATCTATATTTACTAGTTTTAAATAGTTTGCCTTATTGCTAAGGCTAGTGGAAAATAGTTAAAGTGTGAGAATGTGGTTTTTCCCTGTAGTGTTCTTTTGAGTAGTTGACAGCTGTGAAAACATTTAGCAGGCTTCCCTCCTTTTCAGCGTTGGTTAAGCTCTGCTTCTAAAGGAGTATTCCTAGCAGAGCTTGCCACAGTATATCCAAAACATTGCTGTATTACAGACGCAACATGGTTTAAAAGGAAAAATTGAGTGTGGGTTTCAAGTTGACACATGATAAAAGTAGCCCTGAAGTGTTCAATTAGAAACTGAAGGCCTGGATCTGATAACTTCATGGGCAGTGCCCCTGCTCTTTTGTCTTACGACCAATAGGATTTTGACTGCTCAGGAAATTTGTATGCATGTACCCAGATATAGACCTAGGCACCTAAATGCACACGTGGATATATACGAATATATGGTGGACAGTGCAGATCCAAGCTACTCCTGCTAACACATTTCTGGAAAACATTCCCTTTATGGGAGGACTTAACAAAAAAATTAGTAGCTAGTTTTACTTTGGTTTACATATATTGTTTTTCTAATATAGAATTCTCATTAGTTGGTTTTATGAATCATATCACCAAATGAAAATTTGAAAAGTATGTAACAGTTTTCTATTGAGCGTTCTCTGAATATTCTTGCCTTCAGTCCTGCTGGGAGCCTTTTCTCAGATCACCAGTGCAAGCCTACAGTCATACATTGTTTGTAGTTGATACAACCTCAATGATATAAGTTTTTTGATGATTTTAAAATATGAGTAATTAATCATTTATAACCTATAGGTTAAAATGAATTATAAGTGGATGAAGGTGGGAACCCAAATGAATCAAAGCTATTTAAGTTTGGTATTGACATTGTGCATCTTCCCATTATTTATTATACCAAAAAAATCACTTTATTTCTTAAAAATAGTACAACACGGCCAGGTGCAGTGGCTCACGCCTGTAATCCCAGCACTTTGGGAGGCCGAGGTGGGTGGATCACGAGGTCAGGAGATCAAGACCATCCTGGCTAACACAGTGAAACCCCGTCTCTACTAGAAGTACAGAAAATTAGCCGGGCACGGTGGCAGGCACCTGTAATCTCAGCACTTTTGGGAAGCCAAGGTGGGCGGATCATGAGGTCAGGAGATCAAGACCATCCTGGCTAGCACGGTGAAACCCCATCTCTACTAAAAATACAAAAAAAAAAAAAATTAGCCAGGCATGGCAGCGTGCACCTGTAGTCCCAGCTACTTGGGAGGCTGAGGCAGGAGAATGGCGTGAACCCGGGAGGTGGAGCTTGCAGTGAGCTGAGATCGCACCACTGCACTCCAGCCTGGGTGACAGAGCGAGACTCCATCTTTAAAAAAAAAATAGTCCAACACAAGAAGGAAAGAAGGTACAGAAATGGAAAGTTAAGAATGAATCAGTGGAGTAAAACATTTCTGAGATTGGTGCATTTTCCTTTTGGAAATGTCATTCAAACCATATGAAATTAAATTTGGAAATAATGTTCTGCAGTCTCTTGAATGGGATTTAAAATATGACAATGCAGAAAACACATATGGGGATGAAAACCCATAGGACATGTCTCAAGGAGGACAGACACCCTGGGGAAGAACACTTGTGAGGGTACCAGGCTCTCAGACACAAGGAAAGAGGAATCTGAGGGATTGCTGGGAAGGATTCTCATCTTATGACCCCAGCTGTGGGTAGATTTGGCTGGGGAGCCCATTCTCATTGCAGGGGGCGGTGGCCTCAGCCCTGTGCATGCTGACTCTTCAGTGCTGTGCTCTGGCTGAGGCGTGCCTCTAGTGAGGGTGACCCTGGGCACCGAGCATATTCAGTCACCATCAGCCAAAGCTGGTTGTAGGAGGGCTGGCGGTGGTCTTGGGAATGTTGCTTGAATCCATCTTGGGGTGAAAATCAGAGTATTGGCTCATTTCTATTTTTTATGATTATTGTTATTATTATTATTATTATTGAGACAGGATCTTGCCCTGTTGCCCAGGCTGGAGTGCAGTGGCACGATCACAGCTCACTGCAGGTCACAGCTCCCAGGCTCAAGCAATCCTCCCACCTCAGCTTCCCGAGTAGCTAAGACTTCAGGTGTGTGCCACCTGGCCTGGCTCATTTTTTAATTTATTTTTGTAGAGATGAGGTCTCCCCATGTTGTCCAGGCTGGTCTCAAACTCCTGGGTTCAGGTGATCCTTCTGCCTCATTCTTCCCAAGTGCTGGGGTTACAGGCATGAGCCACCATGCCCAGCCTCTCCTTCCTGCCTGCCTGCTTCCCTCCCTCCCTCCCTTCCTCCGTTGCTCTTTTATTTTCTTTCCTTTTTTTTCCTGTTGCTCAGGCTGGAGTGCAGTAGTGCAATCTTGGCTCACTGCAGCCTTAACCTCCCAGGCTCAAACCATCCTCCCACCTCAGCCTCCCAACTAGCTACAGCTACAGGCATACACCACCACGCCTGGCTAATTTTTTATTTTTTGTAGAGCCAAGGTCTTACTATGTTGCGCAGGCTGCTCTCATTTCTAATACACTGAGCTCAACTGCTTGCTGGGTGAGGCCTGCATGAGGACTTTACTCATGGGCTCATAGAAGCCCTTTTAAGCTGCTTAGTGTCCTTAGAGTCTCCAGAGGCATCCCTAACCCAGAATCTTTTGACTGTCCTCTGGAGAGAAAGGCAGTAGGTCTGTACCAAGACCAAGGGGCTTGAAGGCTTGGACGCTCTGCTTCCACCTGCCTCTGGAGTGGCCAGAAGTAATGCCTGTTCTCATGACCAGCCAGTTTGCCTCACTGCTCCGGTGCCAAAGGCCAAGTTTTGATTGGAATGATGTCTGTATATTCTGAATAACCAGGAATTTTGTTTTTCTGATTTACAGATCTTCAGGCTTTTCATCAGCATGATTTGCCATCTCTGTCTTTGTCATCTAGGGTCTGTAATTATCCTCAGGTTTTCTGCCAATACCTGCATTTTCAACCAGTTAGAAAAAGAAGAGCTAAAACAGGTAGAAGCCTGAAACCAAGGGGCATATGCATTTCTGAAACATTTTCAAGAAATTGTCTCAATTTTATATTTCTGTTTATAATTATAATTTCAATGTCCAGTGGAGGAAGTTGTGAGACTCAATGTCAGTAGCTACCACTTACTATTCTGTGCGCCTCGGTTCAGATTGTTTGGGGCAGTGGTGTTTTATGTTGTGGGTCCAAACCCATGAGTCATCTGGGAAGTTAATTTATTAGGTCACAATGAGCGTTTTAAAAAATGAACCATAGGCCCGGCGCAGTGGCTCACGCCTGTAATCCCAGCACTTTGGGAGGCTGAGGCAGGTGGAGCATGAGGTCAGGAGTTGCAGACCAGCCTGACCAACATGGTGAAACCCCGTCTCCACTAAAAATACAAAAATTAACTGGGAGTGGTGGCGGCGCCTGTAATCCCAACTTTTCGGGAGGCTGAGGCAGGAGAATCGCTTGAACCCAGGAGGCGGAGGTTGCAGTGAATCCAGACTGCGCCATTGCACTCCAGCCTGGGCGACAGAACAAGACTCTGTCTCAAAAAAAAAAAAAAAAAAAAAAGAACTGTAACATAATAGGAAATATTCAATTCTGAGCCCATCACACATTTTGTCTTATGAAACTTTTGGTTTTTTATATGTGGTGTATGTATGTATATGTGGTGTATGTATGTATATGTGGTGTATGTATGTATATGTGGTGTATGTATGTACATGTGTATGTATGTATATGTGGTGTATGTGTATATGTGGTGTATGTATATGTGGTGTATGTATGTATATGTGGTGTATGTATGTATATATGGTGTATGTATGCATGTGCAAGCTCTCACTATAAATACACTTCTTCCTGTGGGTTGCAGTAAAAAAAAATTTGAAAACTGTTACCTTAAGACTATTTATTTTAAAAATTTTAATAGGTACATAGTGTATATATTTATGGGGTACATGAAATGTTTTGATATAGGTATACAATGTGTAATAATCACATCAAGGTAAATAGGGTATCTCTGACCTCAAGCATTTGTCATTTCTTTGTGTTTCAAACATTCCAGTTATACTCTTGTAGTTATTTTTAAATATATAATAAATTATTGTTGACTGTAGTTATCCTGTTGTACTATCAAATACTAGAACTTACTTCTTTCTATCTCACTGGATTTTTGTACTCATTAACCATCCCCAGTTTCCTTCCTCTACCCCACTACCCTTCCCAGCCCCTGATAACCAATATTCTAGTCTCTGTCCCCATGATTTCAATTGTTTTAACTTTCAGCTCCCACAAGTGAGTGAGAACAGTTGAAGTTTGTCTTTCTGTGCCTGACTTATTTCACTTAACATAATGTCCTCCAGTTCCATCCATATTGTTGCAAATGGCAGGATCTCATTCTCTTTTATGACTGAATAGTACTTCATTGTGTATATGTACCACAATTTCTTGATCCATTTAGCTACCGATGGCCCCTTAGGTTGCTCCCAAATCTTTGCTATTGTGAATACTGCTGCAATAAACATGGGAGTGCAGATATCTCTTCAATACACTGCCTTCCTTTCTTTTGGGTATATACCTAGCATTGGGATTGCTGGGTCATATGGTAGTTCTAGTTTTAGTTTTTTGAGGAACCTCTATGCTGTTCTCCATAGCGGTTGTACTAAATTACATTCCCATTAACAGTGTACGATGGTTTCCTTTTTTCCATATCCTCGCTAGCATTTGTTATTGCCTATCTTTTAGATAAAAGTCATTTTAGGCCGGGTGCAGTGGCTCACGCCTGTAATCCCAGCACTTTGGGAGGCTGATGCGGGTGGATCACGAGGTCAGGAGATCGAGACCATCCTGGCCAACATGGTGAAACCCCGTCTCTACTAAAAAAATACAAAAACTTAGCTGGGCGTGGTGGCGGGTGCCTGTAGTCCCAGCTACTTGGGAGGCTGAGGCAGGAGAATGGTGTGAACACAGGAGGCAGAGCTTGCAGTGAGCTGAGATTGCACCACTGCACTCCAGCCTGGGCGACAGAGCAAGACTCTGTCTCAAAAAAAAAAAAAAAAAAAGTCATTTTAATGGGGTGTGATATCTTACCGTAGTTTTGATTTGCATTTCTGTGGTGATCAGTGATGTTGAGCACCTTTTCATATGCCTGTTTGCCATTTGTATGTCTTCTTCTGAGAAATATCTGTTCAGATCTTTTGCCCAGTTTTTAAATTAGATTATTAAATTTTTTTTTTCCTATTGAGTTGTTTGAGCTTCTTATATATCCTGGTTATTAATCCTTTCTCAGATGGATGGTTTGCAAATATTTTTCCCCATTCTGTGGGCTGTCTCTTCACTTTGTTGATTGTTTTCCTTTGCTGTGCAGAAGCTTTTTAACTTGACATGATTCCATTTGTCTATTTTTGCTTCGGTCGCCTGTGCTTTTGGGGCCTTAGGGCAATTTCTGATCCAGGGAGAGGGCTTTCTTTAAGGGGTGTGGGGCATGAATAAGCCACCAGCAATGTCAGGGTATCTTCTTTCCTGTGGCTGAGAAATTCCCTAATTTAAACTTAGGATTCTGTTTGCCATGAACATGCTATTAAAATAGTGGCACCCTGGGACACTGTGGGGTTCAGTGGGCTTTTGTGAGCTATCCTGAGGTCCTAACCATCATTTGTGACATTTTTTCCATGGGGAAAAATTCATTTTCAGTTCCAAAGAAGCAACTTATTGGTGAATTATTTTGAGCAGGATCCTGTCATAATCAGGCACTGCTTTTATATTTTTTCTGTATTCAGTAGTAAATCTACTTGTACCTTAAGCAGTCATCGCACTCCTTTAGCCCCTTTTAATTTCTAATGAGGAGTGGTGTGTTATAGGAGTTTGGGGTGGCCTGGGGGAAGAAGGGTTGCTGAAGGATGGAGCTCCTGAAAGGGAGGGTTAATGAGGATGTGTGTCCAAAGGGTGAATGTCTGTGCTCCTCACCAGGGAGAAGGGCATCTTGCATTTACAATGATTTATAATTCACCTGGGTCAGGTTCCTCTGACTATAGGAGCCAATTGGTTACAGAAATCTTTTTTTTTTTTTTTTTTTTTGAGATGGAGTCTCACTCTGGCACCCCGGCTGGAGTGCAGTGGCGTGATCTCGGCTCACTGCAACCTCTGCCTCTTGGGTTCAAGCAATTCTCTGCCTCAGCCTCCTGAATAGCTGGGATTGCAGGTGCCCGCTACCACACCTGGCTAATTTTTTTTTTTTTTTTTTGTATTTTTAGTAGAGACAGGGTTTCACCATCTTGGCCAGGTTGGTATTAAACTCCTGACCTCGTGATCCACCCACCTTGGCCTCCCAAAGTGCTGGGACTACAGGCGTGAGCCACCACGCCTGGCTGGTTACAGAAATCTTAATATAAGGAGCTCGTTACAAAGGCAAGCATACCCTAGATCTGCCTGCTAGCCCTGCGATAGCTACTTCTCAGTACCTTCTGTGCCAGACACTCTTCTAGGCCCAGGGATACAGCAGGGAGAGAGGTGGGCAGGGCCCCTTCCCCTCTGGAGAGGCTGCTGCTGGGCCCTCCGCACGCTCTGGCCTCCCATGCTTTGGGAATGCTTGTCACTGCCAAGCTGTGCAGTGCATCACCATCCATGGTGCTCATGGGCCTGAGGACCACTCTGCCCACACCTAAGGGGGGCTGGGTGGCCAGTGTTTGAAAGGCTTATAAGAAAGATCACAAGAAGTTTCTTCTTGAGAAATGCTACAGTCTTTAAAAACAAAACAAACAAAAAACTACTTAGAATTTTGATAGCCCCAGCTCAAGAAAACAATAGGTAGGACACAAGCTTGTTCATAGGCAGCAGAGAGGTCCAAAGCAATGTGCCTCAAATCAAGACGTGTGGCTCTGAAAAACCTTCTTAGGGAAGGCTCCCGCCCCACCTAGAGCTTCCCAATTCCATAGTATCTAAGGCCTTGCAAAATCTACATCTGTCACACGCCCCCCCGGCCCCGCCCCCCATCACAACTCCATAGTGGGAAGAACTTATTTCAGTGCCTATTTTTCTTGAGGTTTATAAAAACAAAATGTGTGAAGGGAATGTATGCTGATTCTCTTGGGACTAATTAAACAAACAGATTCAGAGAAAGAAAGCAGAGAAGATTTAGGACAGTTAAAATGTAAAAAATGTAATTTTGGGGATAACAGCCGTCAATTTTTCCACTCGAGTGTTTTTCCAAAGGGCAGAGGGCAAGAAGCATCTTAAGTCCTCTCGAAGCTGAGACACATTTCAACTGGAGATATTAGAAGCAAATTTGGTGCCCAAGACAGGTGCCAGATTTTAATTACAGTTGGCATTTCTGAGCATGCTTTTGGCAGAGGTGGCCATCTTGTTGGAAAAGCCATAGATTTTGACACTAGCAGTATGGGTGCCCAGTTGAGAACGATTGCAAATAATTTCCCTCCTATTTTCATCTTGTTGGTTGTGAGAGAAAACTTCAGTGGCTAATATTTAAACAAGATATTCTCTGTTCAGAGGAAACAGTTCATTGGAATTGTCTTGGTGGCTTGGTGTGTTGGCTCTGGGGGTAATAATTTCTATCTTAAAGTCTTTAAAACCAGTTAAAACAATAAAATAGGATATTTCATTATGAGAAATGAAGTTGGCATGCACCAGGTTTTCCATTAAGTTCCAGGTCACAGACAAATAAAGAAAGTATGTTCGGGGGGGAAAAATCCTTTTTAAAAATAATTAGGGAGCTGTCTGTTTTGTTCACCAGATGGAAAATCCGTAGTTGTGGGTGGTCTGTGTTGGAGAGGGCATCTCACAATTGGCAGGACTATGCCTTTAACTTTTCAAGTCCTCGGACAAAAATCTCAACGCCATGGACTATTCAGAAGGCTCCGAATGTTCATCAGTCCTTCCAGGTCTGCTTTTCTGAATTTTACCAGTTTTCTAACAAGAGTGTGTAAGCAAAATGATTATGGAATGCCGAAATAAATAGTCCATTGTTCGTTGAATTCTGAAACAGCATTCCTGCTAGCCCTGGTTTTTTGTGACTTTTCTTGCTGTCAATACCTTATGATGATAATCTGATTAGTGGAGCTGCCTGCGTTACTATTTAAAGGCCCCTTTTTCTTACATTTCTGTGTTCCAGAGTAGATAGGGCAGCCAGATGTGCTAACAGCATAAGAAATCATCATAAGCTTGTTATTTATTGAAGATGGATATTGCACTGTTATCAGTGTTTAGGGTCTTTTCTACACTTGCTTTGATTCTGGTCAAATTAATTCAATAAGAAAATGTACTTTTCTTACTCCTTTCTTGAACTGATAATAGAATGTTAGCTACCTAGTGTCACTAGTATTTTTTTTATCTACACATCAAGGTATCATTTTTTTCTAGCTCAGTCTTATGTTTTACATGGCTTTACATCTGCAAGTTGGACTTTGAAATGAATATTTTATGTTTGAACATAAGGATATATATATTTTTATATTTCATTCATACATTTAACCCATCCCCAAAATTTTCTTAAAAAACTTAATAATTACAGGAGATGTAAATTAATAAAATCATCTAGGATGCTAAATGCATAAACTTTCAATTGAGTGAAAAAAAGCCCTGGAACGTAAATCATTTTTCTCGGACAGCCAATGTGTTTGGCTTTGGATGTACATCAGATTCTGCCTGTGCATAGTAAAAATGGCAATGATTTATTAGTTCCATCTCCCCCCAGCACAGATGCTGCACAGTCTGTCCCTTTTCTGGGCACTAAACAGTGGGTTTTAAAAAACATAATTTCACTCAAGTTTTCCGCTTGCATTCTGTGTTGTACTATTAATAGCAACCCTTTGTTATTCATGCCAGCTCGCTTCTAGCATAAGACAATGATGTGGGGAAACGGTTTTAACTAAAATACTACTAATTGGCACCCATTTTTCATATACTGGTGCAGGTGCAGTTCTGTGAGGAATAGAAGCACCTCTAAAAATTATGTCATGAAGATAGAAAAGCTAAACAGTTACACAGTTAAGTAGGTGTACCTTTGCAATGTCATTGTTTCTTTGAAAAATCTTACTTATTTGCCGATAAGTTGAAGGGTGGGGAAAATTTGGAATATTGATGGAGGACTTATGTGTTAAATGTTCTATGAGTCCACCAGGCGCTGTGGCTCACGCCTGTAATCCCAGCACTTTGGGAGGCCAAATCACGCAGACTGCTTGAGCCGGGAGCATGAGACCAACCTGGGCAACAGAGCGAAACCCCATCTCTACAAATGATACAAAAATTAGCCACATGTAGTGGTGGGCACCTGTAGTCCCAGCTACTCAGGAGGCTGAGATGGGAGGATCACTTGAGCCCAGAAGTTGGAGTCTGCAGTAAACAGTGATCATGTGCCACTGCACTCCAGCCTGGGCAACAGAGCAACACTTTGTCTCAAAAGAAAAAAAAAAAAGTTATATGATGCTTCATGAAAAAAAAAGAAAGTTTTCAGCCTGAGCAATATAGCAAGACCTCATCCCTACAAAAAATTTTTTAAAAATCAGACTGGTAGGCCAAGCGCAGTGGCTCACACCTGTAATCCCAGCACTTTGGGAGGCCGAGGCGGGCGGATCACGAGGTCAGGAGATAGAGACCATCATGGCTAACACGGTGAAACCCCATCTCTACTAAAAATACAAAAAATTAGCTGGGCGTGGTGGCGGGCGCCTATAGTCCCAGCTACTCGGGAGGCTGAGGCAGGAGAATGGCGTGAACCCAGGAGGTGGAGCTTGCAGTGAGCAGAGATTGCGCCACTGCACTCCAGCCTGGGCGACAGAGCCAGACTCCGTCTCAAAAAAAAAATCAGAGTGGTATGGTGGCGCACACCTGTAGTCCCAGCTACTGGGAAGGCTAAGGCAGGAGGATTGCTTGAGCCCAGGAGTTTAAGGCTACGGTGAACTATGGTTGTCCCACCGTACTCCAGCCTGGGTGACAGAATGAGACCCTGTCTCAAAAAAAGAAGTTTTCAAGAGGGGAAGAAATAAGAAGAGTGTTAGAAACCTCAGTTGCCCATCTACTTTCCTCTCCTTGCCCAGGGTGACAGAAACTGTTGCCAAATTCTCACTGGCAGCAACTTGAGTTTTGATTTGGCTCAGGTACATGTGCTCTTCTAGAGAGTAAGGTCAGCACAGAGGCTGCTGGAGGGTGCTGGAGGCTGCCTCCATGGACTCTAGCACCACCTTTCCTCGTCCTGTAGCTGAAATCCTTGGAGTCATTCTTGCCTCCACTAGACCCTTGGATTCTGTGCATCTCCACATGGCTCCCAGCCATTGTGGCTCTTTTTTTCTGGGACTCTCCTCTCTCCTGTCCATCTTCCAGAAGTAGCTTTCTGAACACAGACGTCATTGCGCTCCTCTCCACAAGCAGCAGTCACTCTCAACACTGAGGAATGAAGACCTTACAGTGTTCTTTACACCCTAACCCAAGATTACCTTCCCAGAATCATCTTCCTACCCCATGTCTCTGACCTTCCAATCACATTAAAATTCTCAGGGTGGTGAGATACTCCAGCTCCTTTCTGTCTCTGCCATGGCTCATGCTGCTGCTTCTCCCTACAGAGCCCTCCTCTCATCTTCCTTGAGATCTTGCTGACCAAATATCTTCTCTTCTGATGACTTAGCAGTCACCCACACTGCCGTGGGCCAGCAGACACCCTTCCTCTGCCTTCCAGTAGCTTTGCCCAATGTGATCTCTGCTCTTTGTACCCTGTGCTGTCTCCCATGTTAGATCCAACCACCTAGGTCATAGCGCTACTGCTGGTACCTGATTGCAGGCCCAGCATCTGTCTTGGTGCCAAGCACATGACAAGAACTGAATAAATAGGCCAGGTGAGGTGGCTCACGCCTGTAATCCCAGCACTTGGGGAAGCCAAGGCGAGTGGCCTGACGTCAGGAGTTCTAGACTAGACTGGCCAACATGGCTAAACCCCATCTCTGCTAAAAATACAAAAATTAGCTGGGCGTAGTGGCGCATGCCTGTAATCCCAGCTACTTGGGAGGCTGAGGTGGGAGAATCGCTTGAACCCAGGAGACGGAGGTTGTAGTGAGCCAAGATCACACCACTGCACTCCAGCCTGGGTGACACAGCGAGACCCCGTCTCAAAAAAGAATTGAATAAATATTTTTTGAGTGAAATGGAATTCTGGGTTGTGGCTTTCCATCAGTTAAGATTCTTGGTTGTGGCCAGGTGCAGTGGCTCACGCCTGTAATCCCAACACTTTGGGAGGGAGAGGTGGGTGGATCATGAGGTCAGGAGTTTGAGACCAGCCTGGCCAACATGGTGAAACCCCGTCTCTACTAAAAATACAAAAAAATTAGCCAGGCCTGGTGGCACGTGCCTGTAATCCCAGCTACTTGGGAGGCTGAGGCAGGAGAATTGCTTGAACTCGGGAGGCAGAGGTTGCAGTGAGCCGAGATCATGCCATTGCACTCCAGCCTGGGCGACAAAGCAAGACTCCATCTTGGGGGGAAAAAAAGATTCTTGGTTGTAAGCAACAGACACCACATCTGGCTTTGGCAAGAGGGGGTTTTCCTGGAAGGATATGGACACATTCACACCGTCGGTGGAAAGCAACTGTAGGCATGCCGACATGAATCCTTCTCCATTGTGTCCCTGCTCAGCCACGAGAACAGTGTGCTGCCAGGGTGCTCAGTCTGTAACTCTGCTCAGGATGCAGGCTCCAGGGAGGGAGTGTCCAACTGGGCTAATAGGGCCCACCCTTTGGCTCTGGGAGAGCTGGGCTCCTTGATGATAATCCCAGCACACTGTCAGCTGTGGGTAGGATGAGGCAAGTTCCTCAGGGGGTGAAGTGTGTTTTGGGATAGTCAACAGCCAGTGACTGTTCACCACAGGACTAAACCTTCCATTTCCAGTGCTCCAGTGCCCCAACTGGCCTGTCTGGTGTGATTTGCCAAGTGTTCTGAGCAAGCAGGGAAGTTGTCCATTAAAATACAGATATTGGCCAGACATGGCTCACACCTGTAATCCCAGCACTTTGGGAGGCTGAAGCGGGTGGATCACTTGCACTCAGGAGTTTGAGACCAGCCTGGGCAATATAGTGAGACCCTATCTCAATTAAAAAAATAAAAAGCAGATATCCTGGGAAGGGATAACACTATAGCCCCTGCTAGCCAGCATTGATTTGCCAAAAGTAGGACCTGTGGGTGCAGGATCCAGAGTAGCCATGGATGGATGAGGTGCGAAAGGGTCCCGAATGTTCCAGCAATGCTACCCAAATGGCAAGTGGTGTCGTGGCCTCTTTCACCTCCATACTCAGGGAGAAGCCACTCAGAGGCCTCCACATAACAGGCAGGCTCTCGCCTGGGTGTCGGAGGTGAGGATGCTACTGAAGCTTATTGCTTCTTAAGAATCAATCAAATCAAAACAATGGATGCCCTTCTCCCAAGTGGAAGGGCTGTGCTGGCCACCTTGTATGACTGACACAAAGTTGGGAAGAGTTGCAGTCATGAGCTGGGGAGACACACCCTAAAAGCAGATGAGCTGGTGGCGGTAAATAACACTCCCATGACGACAAGTGGGCTTTGCACGTGTGTGGTAGCAGGGCATGGCCCTGGGGGAGGTGGGGCTACCTGAGGAAAATCACAGGAGGCAGGAATGTATACTGTTTGTTGGGAAAAGACAAGCCAATCTGAAGGGCAAGGGTTTGTAGAGGGGAGTGGTGGAGAGTGAGGTTGGAAGGGTGTTTGGGTCCAGTTGTAGACAGCCTTGAATTCTAGGCAAAGACTTCAGATGTTGTTTTCTAAGCACTAGGAGCACCTGTGGATGTTTCAGAATGGGAGTATCATGATGGATGTACTATTTTTTAAAGAGCAGGAATAAGCAGCAGGCCACTGCTAAGGAATCTGTGTCATGAGGCTGTTAGCCTGGGGACAAGGAGGACCGGCCAAAAAAAAAAAAGTCCTGTATATAAGGGGGAGCACCCAGCACACTTAGGTTCCAGACCTCCATTCCTAGCAACTCACCTGTAACTCCTGGCAGGGGTCTCTGCCTCCCTCTACTCATCCAAAGATCATGGTGCTTGTTCACCAGCCTTATGATGATCCAAAGAAATAGTGATCTTTCATGTTTAAATAAACCTACTTAATTACGTGCATCTGTTTGGAAATTCAGACACACCACATGAGAAGCTACTGGGACTTTTTTCTCCTTTTCTTGGCTTCTCATTTGTTCTCTAGCTTTTTCTTTTTTTTTCATCCTGGCCAGTTATTAACCTTCTCCTCCACTTTTGAGTCTCATAATTGTCCAGATCTCCCAGGACGCTGACAGTGTGGTTTTGGTTCACTTGTTCCTTCTCCTGCTCAAATTTCAATTGATTCAAGGGTGATATGCTGGGTATGATGGGCTGGACATGCCCATTTTCATTCAACTCATCCATAACTAGGATATAAGTGAGGATACAGATTTGGGTGTTATGGCCAAAAGATCTTCAAATACAATGACTTTATCAAGGATAATTTCTTCCCCCCTCACTTGAAACATGGTTAGGTGGTGCAGGGCTGATAACGATGGCTCAGTGAGGTCTCAGGCTCCTTTAGCTATGGTTCTGCCAACCTCAGCACATGGCACACATCTTCCCCAAGGCGGCTGCTTGGTTTGCTCCCACCACGTGGGGTAGGGGGACACATGCCTTCCTTTATGGGGACACTATATTTCTGCTCACCCTGACCACATCCCATCAATCAGAACTTTGACCCATGAATACACTCAGATGCAGGAGAGGCTGGGAAATGTTTTCCTTAGCTGGGCATCCATGGACCTCTCCCTGGGTCCATCCTAGAGAGTGGAGTAGCAGCATTTGCACCCCAGACCTGAGGGGTAGCTGAGGCTGGGCTGGCAGTGGGGAGTGAGGCCAGGAGCTTGGATGTGCAGGCTGGCATGTCCCACACATATGGGGCAAAGAGGAGGGGCTGGCTGGGGCTCGTGTCCTCCTCCGTACCCTCATCCCAAGCCCCAGTGCGGTAGGGTGGGCTGCTCCAACCCAAATCTTCTTCTCCCAAGTCTTCTCTTTCCCAGCATATTATGCTGCTTCCATTTCACCATAGTTTCACTCACTATCAAGGTCTCCAAAGCAATCCCATCATCTACATATTACTTGATTGTTGTGTACAGGGTATTGGGTGAAAATGAAGGTGGGCAGAGCACATAGCCTCCAACCTCAAAGCCAGTAATGTGCCAGATGAAAGGTAAGTCACAGTCTTTAGATTCAGTAGCATTTTAACAAAACTAAAATGTCAGGCCGGATGCCGTGGCTCACGCCTGTAATCCCAACACTCTGGGAGGCTGAGGCGGGCTGATCACGAGGTCAGGAGATCTAGACCATCCTGGCTAACACGGTGAAACCCTGTCTCTACTAAAAATACAAAAAATTAGCTGGGCATGGTGGCGGGCGCCTGTAGTCCCAGCTACTAGGGAGGCTGAGGCAGGAGAATTGCTTGAACCCGGGAGGCAGAGGTTGCAGTGAGCCGAGATCGCGCTCCGAAGTCCATTCTTTCTGTGCAGTGGCTGATCTATCAGAAGAAGAACCCCCTTCCCCACCAGGCCTAAGAACCCATGGGAGTGATGGCCCAGCACTATGGTGTTGCATTTCTTTCTTTTTTTTTTTTTTAGACGGAGTCTTGCTGTGTCATCCAGGGTGGAGTGCAGTGGCGTGATCTCGGCTCACTGCAATCTCTGCTTCCTAGGTTCAAGTGATTCTCCTGCCTCAACCTCCCAAGTAGCTGGGATTACAGGCACCTGCCATCATGCCCGGCTAATTTTTGTATTTTTAGTAGAGACGGGGTTTTACCATGTTGGCCAGGCTGGTCTTGAACTCCTGACCTCAGATGATCTGTCTGCCTCGGCCTCCCAAAGTGCTGGGATTATAGGCGTGAGCCACTGCGCCTGGCCTGGTGTTGCATTTCGTTACTGGCAAGATGATGTATGCTCTTTCACGTGCCCACATGCAAAGGTGTGACTCATGGAATGAAGACAGCTCAGCAACCTCTAGTTGCTGGGACAGAAATGCAAGTCAGTGGGCTCTGGCCTTTCTCCCAGGCTGTGTTGCCACCTTGGTGGCTGGAGGGGCGCTACTAGGGGGTGTGCTTGGCAGAGCCTGGGGTGGCGTCCTCTTTCATCCCACTAAATAACACATTGGTGGCTTGATCTGCCATGAAGCTGACAATCAGAGCAAGTATTTGAAGCCTGGGAAGCTGTGTGGGCCTTGCTTGTGGGACCTGGTGTCAGCTGATGACGTGGCCCTGTCTGGGTGCCCGTGAGTCAGATGGCAGGGATGGCCTGACATCATGAACACTAGCTCCACCTACGTCACATTGGACTTGACTCTTTACAGAGCACCTAGGAAGAGATATTGATGAGTGAACCATTGCCCAGTCATCGAGTTAATTATTTCCCCCCAGAAAGGTTAACATACTGAGGACAGAGAGGGCATGTGTAGGCGGCAGGGCGCACTTTTCATTTAGTCTGGTTCGCAGGTGCGGTCAAGACGATTCCTTATTGTCTTGGAGCCAGCCCTTTTAAGCCTTCCTGCACAGCTCTGTGACAGTCTCGCGGGGAGACCTGTGAGGCCACTTTCCTTTTTTCCAGACCCACCCCCACCTTTGAGATTATCACTCTTCCTGCTTTGTTTTCTGAGGCTTTTTGGCTTTTTAGTTTATTTGTAATTAGAGCAGAAAAGGTACAGTAATCGGATAGAAGGGTTGGGAGTGATAGAATGAGCCAGGATGCGGTGGAGAAATGGGGTGGAGAACCCCCAGACCTTAGGGTGGCGTGTTTGTCAGGGAGTAGACCAGGGTGCAGTTCTAGGCAGACCACTAGATGGCACTCACACATTGGTGTTCAGTCGGGTCCACGGCACTTTCCACTTTGGGCTTCTGTAAAATCTCCCCATGAACTAGCCAAAGCTTTGTATCTGTCATCCCGCCATTTGTCCCTCTAACCTCTCTTGATCGTCTACAGATAGGTATATATATATGTTCCTCTCTAGTTCATTTTTCTCTTAACATTTAGTGACCTTAAAAACCTGGCAGAAATACCTTCAAAGCCTCCCACCTTGTTAGCTGCATTGCCGCATTTTTACTGTTCTCCTAAGCCAATGTTTACATGGCAGTAAATCCATGTTTAGAGTAGGTAATAGAGAAACCTGTTTCTCTCTCAGTCACTCTGAGGGTATGTTTGATAAAGAAATGGAAATTGAGAGGATGAGTTATTAAAAGGATTAATAGGTAACAAATTTTTTTAAAATTTCCATTCAAAATTATGGGTTGGTAAATTGTAAGATACTTAAAATTAATGAGTTGTTTTATCAAATCATTTTCTGTTGTTAGAGAATTTTCAGCAAGCTGAGATTCAAATGCAAAATGTCTTATTGCATACTGCTGGCTCTAGGAAGGAGGAGGGACAGACAGGAAATCATGGTTGATGTTATCTTTACCAAGGTGCATGTGGTGTGAAAGCAAAACCCCATCTTAAATTCATCATCCGTTCTGATGTTGCACAGAAATGAAAATTAATTTCTATATGTCAACTAAAATGGATTCTGCTCCTGCCTGGTTCAATTCTGTCTTAGCTGCGTGGACATCTTGGGGAGCTGCTCTGATGGTACATGCAGACGTGCTTCATCTGTGCACTTCTTAGCTGAGATAACAGTGCTCCGAGCCCCACTGTTAAGGTTAACCTGTATACTGCAGAAGGACAACAGATGGAAATTCTGGTTTGCAGCCACTGCAGAAAAATAAAAACATGTTCCAAAGGGAAAAGGATCTTGTATTTCTGCGTTTGAACCTTTGATCCGCATTCACATCTGAAGGGAGGGCTAAACCTTTTGGTGGAGACACATGGCTTTGCATCTGTGAAAACACAGCTGTATAGAGCAAAACAAAACTAGTGGAAAATACAATGGTTTTGCTGTGTCAGGCTCACCGCTAATGCTTGAATTCTATATAAATATTGTCTTTTGATAGTTCTTTCAAAAATCTTTCTTGACTTTCCATATAATTGTCCAATAATGTTATTCTTTTAAATTCAGATTTGGGGCTTTTTAGGATTAAGGCACAAATGTCTCTTTTCTTTTAAAAAGGCAGTAAAATAAACAGATTGTAGTTAGATCATAATAACATCTAAATTTTGACCTAATTAGAGGGGGAGATGGGGAAAAAAACTCTTTAAAAGAAGATTAAGGTAAAGTTCTAACTTTATCCTTGATTCTGAATTTTTTTTCTTTTTTGGAAATATTGCATACATTTTATACTGCAAGTTACAATGTGAAGGGCCTTTGAAGCACTCTAAAGAGACTTAGCTGCTTTGTTTTGAGCAATTAAGGTTTGTTATTGAGTGAATTAAGCAGCTCTGCTGTGGCTCATCTGTAAATAGTGGTCTTCAGCGAGTTTCTTGATCCGCTTTTCCCAGGAACAGAAGCCAAGTCGGCTTCCTTAGGAGCTGCTCGCCCTGAGTCTCCATGTTTCCTCGCAGTCCGGGGCAGAACCCAAGCCCGTGCCTTCCTCGCCCTGCCTTCGGAGTTTCCTGCTATTGACCTGGCGGGGCGCGCCAGCCCTCCCTGCCCGCTGGTGCCGCGGTCCCTCTCGGCTGCAGCAGTGGGGCACAGGGACGTCATGGACAAAAGACGAGGATGCCAGTTCGATGTGCGAGCAGAAGGCCGCCTGCGTGCGCTCTGCAGAGCAACCGGCCCGGTTTCATAAGGGGCCGCCGGCAGGGGACTGCCATGGCGCCCCCTCCTACCCTTTTTGGCACCAGCAGCTTCATCCGCAGGCCCACTCGGGGTGAATAGTGTGGGAGCTCTCAAGAGAAAGAATTTTAGGTTTGTCGATAGTAATCACCACCTTCAGCGCTCCTCCCACTGCTGGAGAGACCGCGGACTGGGTGACAAGTCTTCCAGGCTCCCAGAAAGTTTCTGCTGCAAAGCGCAGGGTCCGCCTCCCACTTCCAGGAGGGACCAGGAGGGAACCATCGCGAAACCCCGAGGCTGCCGGGGACTCTGACTGAGGCCTTTCCTCCTGTGTCCCTCTCCCCCACGCCGGCCTCCCCTCCTTTCAACTCTCTGCGCTTTGAAACCGCGGAGTTGGGGTAGCTAGGCCCTCCAGCCCGGCGACAGGCCTCGGCCACAGGCAGCGGGGCGGGGTGTGGACAGGAACAAGGAGGTGGGGTGGGGAGGAAGCCTCGGGCAGAGCAGGTTCTCTGCGGAGTTTCGGCAGCCGGGTTTATCCATTTTGATTAAAGAAAAGTAAAAAAAATCCCCCAAAACCAAACAACAAAAACCCTCTCCCAACCCCCAACCCGCCTCCACAGCTGCATTTTGTTCCTGG
Organism: Homo sapiens; assembly: GCF_000001405.40. Taxonomy (NCBI): domain Eukaryota; kingdom Metazoa; phylum Chordata; class Mammalia; order Primates; family Hominidae; genus Homo; species Homo sapiens. The sequence continues at coordinate 99,658,807 of NC_000013.11, forward strand.
GACTGTTGGTGTCACCAGAGCCTCTTTTTTTATGCAATCCTAGACTCCATTGCAAAGGACTTGTAAAGCCTATTAATTTTTCAGGCAAAACAGATCAAGCCTGCCTTTGATGCTGCTGTTTCCTAATTTAGTATTCAAAGGTAAAGAATCCTACTACCGTCTCTTCACTTTTTACATAATTAAAAGAGATTTTTCCCCCAGGGGCAAAGAACTAGTTGCTTAGTATTTTTTGAAGTGAAAGGTCTAACTTTATATCACATCTGTTTTTATGCTCTTTCCTAAACATAACCAATATTTACTCTTTGCTGGTACTTAGTTGCATGCTATTCACCCTTGCATTTTAATTTCTGACAGAGAGGGGATTAGTATTCCTCTTCTAAATCATCCTCTAAGCTATGTGTGTGTGTGTGTATATATATATATGTATATATATGCGTGTGTGTGTGTATTTCTCCTCTAACAAACTGAGAGTGCAATTTAAAAAACTGTAGAATCAGTGATTGCCCTAACTTGTGCATGACTCTTGATTTCACACAGGAGCATTCAAAAGTTCCGTTAAGTGGGCTTTCACAGGTTTCCATCTGCTGTGTTTAATAGCAAATTGCGACCCTTCAAACCACTTCAAGGCCTTTTGTGTTCTTATCTGTGCATTTCAATACTTGCTGGGGAAGTGCCTTCAGTTTCACTACATATGCAAAAAGCCAGGCTTGAATTTTTTGACACCCCCTTTTCATTTGTTGGTGGAGTCCTGTTTTCTATTGTTTGCTTGTTGATGTTGGCAAAAGTCATTTATTTAATGATGCCAGGAATACTATGCCCTATTCTTTATTGGCAGGAAATCCTAAAACATCCGGGAGTAGTTTAAAAATTAATGCATGCCGTTGAAACTTACATATTGGCATAGTTTTATTTTCCCATCATAAGGTAGATGATATTTTAAAGGTATTATATAGTAATAGTCACCAGAAGCCAATTAAAACCACTAGGATTCTATCAAAAACCTGTTTGGCGGCATAAATAATTGATATGTGGAAATAAAGCAGCATTCTCTGGGCAGGGGCCTCCTGTACAGACCTGGGTGGCGTTAGCAGTCTCTCTTCTGTGAACCAGGGGGCGATTTCTGGGCATAATATCACCTGGATTTAAAAAACTTAATAATAAGGCCACACACGCATTTTTAAAAAAACTTCCCTTGCCTGTGGAGACAGAGAGGAGATAGCGATGTTATTTTCAGGTGTTTGAGCTTCTTAGAGAAAAAGAAACAAATACCAGACTCCTTAGGAGCTAGGTGCGAATGGAATAAATTGAGGCACTCCAGCGACACATCCAGCTTGTTTTAAATGATGTGATTAAAAAGGACATCTGAGAACAAATTTATGAAGTTGTTATGGCAACTGAAATACTTGGATTGAAATGTGTGTATCTAAAACATGAAAGATTGCAGGAAGCCGGAGAAACAAGCAAAGCATTGTGTTTGGGAAAGGCAATTGAACAGTGGTAGCCAAATATTATTCCTCTGTCGGTCATCCTTCAGGGTAACTGCCTCGGTTTCCACTTTTAAAAACGTGTGGTGATTGATGCTTTCATGGACTCTGTTGCCCCAAGTCCCCAAGCCTTGTACCAGCGTTTGCTCATTGGTCCTTTGACCTGTTGAGAACACAATCTCTGTATTGTGTTCAATGCAGGGATGCATTTAGAGTTGCCCCTGCATCTACCCATTAAGTTTATACTCCTGTGTTCTCATATTAACGTCTGTGTTTGCGAATAGTCTCTCTAGTCTTTGATTCACTAACTCCCCCAATTCTAACCCACCAATGGCCACCAACAAACAGCCACACTCAAAGGACTCAACATATTTAAATATTCCCTAGAATTCTTTGCTCTGTTCTAAAAGCTATGTATCCCGTCTACATAATTTGATTCTATTGTAATTTCTCATGGTTTTAAAATTTTCCTTACCAGTACTTGTAAGAGTATTGAATAATTGTTTCTTTCAATCACAGGCAAGGATATTTAAAATTAACATGTGGAAATGTGTGTTGCAGTGTGTTGAAAAATCAGTACTTGAAGTCACATCTAGAATGCTTCCGATTTTTTCCATCATTAGATTTCAGATGCAGTGTCCAAAAAAATTGTTTTTAAAAAATGTTGCTACAAATTTCTTGCAATATATTTTGGGTTTTTCACTTTAAATGAAAAAATAGTTAAGTGTCAATTTTAGTGATTTTAGTAGACCATCCCATTAAAAATATGCTATTTTAATTGAAAAAAATTTTTGACAAAACACATTTACACCGAAAAATTCAAACAAAATAATTTCTTCTTTAACAATATTGATTGTTAAATGTTGATTACCAAGTTATTTGGTCTCCTTAATTTTAAGCATAATACTCTTTACTTTGAATAGTCTTAATCCCTAAAGCAAAGCAAAGTAAAAGAGAAAAAAAAGTAGAAGAATTTCCAGAAAATTGTAATTCCCTTAAACCATGAATTAGAACTTTTTACTCTTACTGTAGTTACTCTAGTTTTTTTAGTTAGACATGAGGGTACAATCAAACAGCTTCTTTTTTGTAACAGATTGTTTTCCTACTTCTTGAAAAACTGAGATCAAAACATTTTTCTATTCTGTTGCAAAATTAACTGTTGTTATTCTGTCAGACGAGTTATTCACTCTAAATGTCTTTTTAAACCTGTATATTTATTTTTTTATCCCTTTTTGCATATGCACATGGAAGTGATTCCATTTTAATATAACTTTTTTATTTTGAAAACCCATAGGTTGAAGATGATATAATCAGAGTAATAATAAGGATGCTCCAAGTATATTAAACATAAGAATTTGGGGTCTTTGTTACGGAAATAGATTTCCTTTTTCCTTTCTTTAGTCTTACTGTTTTAAGGATTTTTTTTAAAGTATGATTTTGATGCTTCCAAAGTGGTTGCTATTTTATTTCAGGTGGGTCATTTGATAGTTTGTTGATGTTTTCAAGGTCTCTAAACAAAGTCTGATGTGTTAACAGTCTTATTAACGATGTTAAAATAGAATTAACAGCTTGTGGATGCCTCCAGAGCACAATAGCCTGTCAGCCTCCCCTGCCCCCTTATAAATTGTGCCCCTGCTGTCATCCCTTTGTTTCAGGCCCAATCAGCAAACTAAACTTTTGTGAAGAGAGAAGGCAGTTCAAGTGTTTCTGCCGCAGCTGAAGGGAGGAGCTAATGTGGAATTTATTGGGAGACCAATCAGTGCTGGAGGGAAGAATGACCCCAAATTGGAAGAAGGACTTTGTTGACCCCCTTGGCTCCCTGACCTTTCCTTGCTATTTTGTCCCTTTAAAGAGGTTTACTTTGGTTGTCGTTTACTTTGTGATGCTTTTAGTAAAAGCCCCAGAAGTTTTAAAAGTTTTGGATTTAAGATCCCTCTCAGCACAGATTTAATTGTGCCGTGTGATTTTGAGTAACTTGAGTAGATGTTAACACTCAGAATTATTTTTTAAAAATCTGACACAAGCTATTAATAATTTTTTAAAGGAGTAGAATTTCATTGATTCTCTTGAGCCAAAATAGATTCTAAATCTCTTCTAGTATCTCTTTCCTGTAGTTACTTTCATAGAGAATCAGATTAGTTACTGATGTTAGACTATTGGTTCTATTTCGTTGAATTTATGCTTTAAAAAATAGATTTGTGTATTCCAAATCTTTAAAACTTTTTTTTTTTTTTTTTTTGGTCAGGCAGTAATTATAGTGAGTCAGAAACAAATATTTTTAGAGGAACCCTTTTTTTTTATTAGTATTACTAGTAACAAATTTGACAAATTGTCACATTTTAAAGTACAGATTTATGGGATAGCCTGACAAATGGATACCACTTTTCCTTTGCTACTGTCCAATTTAATAATTTATAAAGTGTGGCATATTTGTAAAATAGTTACCCATTCTCACTGAGCATTACACCAGTTTTGGTAAGGGATACTGAGACATTGTTAAGAATTAAGTATTTTTTAGATTGCTTGAGCACTTTCCTTGTTCCCTTATCAGCATTCTTCTCCCTTGTAATGTGGTTTGTTGCTTATATTTACTTTGCAACCGGCCACTGTTCAAGGACTTCAGACAGTGCTGAGGTCCGAGATGGTCACTGCTGGTCCAAAGAACAAACATCTCAGGCTAGATGCAGGACACTAAATATGTTCTTCAAGCCAAGGTTAAATAAAATTACTCAAATGTAGCCAAATACGGGGAATGAGATGCAGTTAATGAATTGTGGCTTTGAAATATGATCATTTGCCAAGGAATATGCTGTGATGAAAACGGAGCAGTGTAAACTCAGCACTTCTCTTAGCTCGTAGTGAGCTGCTCAGGTAAACCCCGAGGGGAATACTTTCTTCTACTGAATAAACCCTAAAGATAGGCATCCATTGATTGAACAGTGTCTGAAACTGGAGCAAACAGGGCGCCGTTTGATACTAGCCCCATGTGTGGGTATAAATAATGTTTTCCAGTTGGCATCCTTGAGTTGTGCTGCTTGAATAGGGCCACTTTACGTGGCTGAAGAAGAATGTCTCTGCAGTAGTTCTCCCTGAGCAGTAACTGCTTGGTACCTTTCACCCACAGCACCCATTGCTGCCCATCCCCATCCCATGTCTAGTGTGCCCTCACATTCCACTGCTGGTCAGCAGAACCATCTTATCAGAAAGTGTCACCAAGCCCTTTTTTGGTGTGCCCGCTGAATGAGCACTCCAGGCTGTGGAGTTCGGGACATGCCTTGGTTTGTGGGGACCATGCTGCCTGCCTGTCGAGACCAAGCATCGATACTGTGTGTCTACCTGATGAAAGTGTCCAGTATGTGTCTGCATGACTTGGGGACACTAAGAAAACCAAAGGGATTAGCAACAAAGAGAGCTTGTCACCTTTGTGCGGAAGCCAGCTGGCATCTCACAGGGACAACCTACAACCTGAGCTGCTGCGTCCTCACTAAATCTGGGCCCCTAGGGACCCCGTTTTACTCCTGCTCTCCTGGAGCTTATTACGGGCCTGGCTACCAAAGGGAAAGAGGGGAAAATAGACCAGGAGCCTTATGCTAGAACCATTTATTTTGTTTCACGTGATGCAGACAGAGATAAAACTGCAAATTTAATGAAACTTTAACAATCAGTACAATGTTTCTCCTTAAGAACTTTGTAAATAGCATTTATCTTTCAAGAGTTCTTTCTCTCTTTTTGTGATTATTTTATAAACTTAAAGGAAAAAGAGAAAAAGTCAGTGGTTCCAGCATTTGCTTTAGTCTGTGACTTAAATGGATTATAACTCTTGACCGCTGACATTTACCAAGATAAATCAGTGGTCATAGATGTGGAGCTTGATGTCTCTTCGGCTCTGGGACCAATCCCCTTGGACAAAAGTTTTCCTGTGTTCTTAGTATTCTGAACTGGCTACAGCAACTTTAAGGAAAATAAAGGTTACAAAAAAAGTTCTGACAATTTGTTTGCTTTTACATTTTCAAATTTGTGAAATGTAGAGATAATTTTGTTTTCAAATCTTTGTAATTCCCTGAAGCAAATACTTTCAAGCCAGTTGCAAAATGCTGCTTTAGAAATAATTCATATAAACATGCTTCTCTATTTAATCACAAGGGGAGATGTGGAGAATGGATGTTTTATTTTTTCAGTAGTTTTTGCTCTATAAAAATATTAAATTGCTATTATGATTACTAAAGATACCTTTGCGTAGTACTTTATAATTTCCATGTACTTTTATAAACACTATTACATATAATCTTTGAATGAGTTCTGCAGGAAGATATTATTGTCCTGGTTTTGTAGGTGAAGAAACAATAAATGCACACATTCATAACGTGCGACGTAGTGCCAGCTTTGTATTGCCAGAAAATCATTTTAAGAAATAGATTTGGTATGTAAAATGGCTAGAAAACACAACACAAATTTGGAACGAAGAAGCTGTTTTGATTCCACATGATCTCTATAAAATATGACCAAAAAAACCGGGAAAATAAAATCATCTGATCATGTGCAAGTCCTTTTTTAGTACACAATTAGGTGAATCTTGTTTTTATGATTGCTTAGTTTTCATGTTTATAAAATACCATAATATGCCCCATAATTATAGCATAATAATAAAATAGGAAAATAACATCTTCCTTTTAATTTTTAAGACAAATTATAATCACAATATTATAGCAGAAGAATGTTTTTCAATTAAAAAGTGGTTTGGTTAAAATATGATTTTTTTTCTTCTAAAAATCCCAAAATGGCCAAAATATATTTAAAAATATATTTGTTATATATATTTTTATTTAAAAATAATTTTTTCTCCCACTTGTTAAAGATTAAGTGGCATAAGTATTTGTTTTGGGGCAATTCACTGCCGACATTCAGAAACAGAACTGTATTATTGGGCACAGGAAAATCTGATTAGTGTTTCTAAGAATTAGTATAGCACAGCAAGACAGGGAAGCAGTCCAAAGTGCTAAAGGTTAAAAGCAATTTATAAAAACTAGGAAAAGACCTTACTTGCTTAAAAAAAAAATTTCTTAATAATTAAAATTGTCTAAGTGATATTCTTGAATATTTTTTGTAATAGTTTCATATTATTTTCATAAAAATACTTTGGTTGAGGCAGCAGCAGAGGAGGAAGAATTAATATAAAGAAAACAAATTTTCCTATTTTGCAAGATCCAAAATCTTATGAATATAGTTTTTAGTGAAAAAAATTATTAAACTTTTACACAGTAACCCTAAGAAAAGTCTCCACATATGGTCCCAAAGGTTAAAAAAAAAAACCCAAAACTCCTCTGGGGAAATAATCATTTCATGAAAAGCAGTCTATTTGGAATTTCACTGGAGACACTCTGAGAATCGAATCGAGCTTAATTTCTGTCTTTGTGATAATCAAATATACATTTTGCATTCTAGAAGTTTAGAGGAGGTATTATATGTCCATGGTTTTCTTTAAACAACTCTAACGTCAAAATGGTCAAACTGTTGGACTGATTCATGTTAGATAAAACAGATGGGATTCTCAGATCGTGCACCGTTCAGCCGTTTGATGGAATTCGCGCCACCCTGACCAGCGAGCCCAGATGGCGCTTAAATCTGTCACTCTTTAACGACCCTACTGTTTTTTAAAAATATTTTTATATTTGAGCTCATTCAGTTAATCTGAGAGATTAATCTTTTCCAAGATATGTCTGGGGAGGGCTTTACTGAGGGTTTCACTTGGAGGAGCTCAGGGAGAGTAAGAAGAATGATGAGGCCTCTTGGACACAGGACTACTTGCTAGAAGGAACCTGGGGAAGAAGGGCTGGTGGTCCTTGGGCTTTGGAATATTTTTGAGGCAACAAGGCCCAGAAGTGCACGTGAAGAGTGGTAGTGACGGGGGTTAAGGGAAGAGGGGATGGATGGGGAGGGCGTGGTGCAGGGAGGTGGAGGTGAACACTGACATCGCTGAGACAGTACAGCCCCTGCCAAGAAGCTTAGATCTCAGTAAGGGGCCAAGTGCTGACTGTGACCACACCTGAGTGGCTTTAGGCAGCCTGACCTTCACTGCATGGGGATGACTCGGTGGGTGTGCCCCAGGAGCAGAGCCCAAGATGGGCTCCAATGTGATAAGCCTCTGGGATGGCTCTGGAAAGAACCTGTTCTGCACCACAACTCTCACAAATCTCATGGGGTTTTTTTCCCTGTAGGTTTTTTCCCCCCTTTCTTAAATTGTTATTTCGAGCCAGTCAGCCTACTGAAATGCTTCAGTCATTTGGGGTGTAAGATGTTGGCCAGCTCCCGAATCTCTAACCTTGGATACATTTGCAGAGTGGCTTGGAATTGCTTTCTATTCCTGCTGGGGTAAGAAAGGGAAAAATGAATGATTTTTCATTATGCACACATGGTATTTTTTCCCGCATTTGAATCAGATGTAGCAGGTGTCAAAATATGGTACAGAATTTACAGTATTAATGTGAAAATTTCTACTGTCCCAAAAAGCCACCAGAGATGGACAAACCCACCTATGTTAACAAAAGTAAAAATGCCCTGCTGTCTTTAAAGATGTTCCTGGTGGTATTTGGGCTGCTCTGTGCTAGTTTTTCTGGGGATCACGTGATGCTGCCTATACTTGGGGGTCTTGTGGAAAGCAGTGGATGCCTCTCACCCTGCATAGAAGACGGGTCCAAATGTCTTGTGCCCACCTGAGTGTCTACACACTGAAGACACGTTAGAGGTCTGCTTTAGAGAGGTTTTCCTCCTAAATTAAGGATCTATGACTTTCACATAGACCCAAAAGTGAGCAGAGATGCAAGTTGTGTTGAGAGGTTCTTTTGGAAGATGTGGGGCTTTGGGGGTCTTGGGGACTGGGGGACTGTCAGAAGTCACTGCTCTAGTAGAATGTGGTGGGAACTTATAACAACAGATTCTCCACAGAAATGCCACACGTAACCATCCCTTGAGGATGGAGCCACGTATGCTGTAAACAGAGTGGAAGAACATCAAGCTCGTAACTTGTCATTTTCATCATAAATCTGCTGTAAGCTTGCAACAGCCACGGTTTCCCCCTCCCCACCCACATACACATAGGGACATTATGGAAAGGATTGCAGTATAGTCCTACTTAAAGAATCTTGCTTTTTTTTTTTTTTTTTTTTTTTAGAAAATAAACAATTGCTAGAAGAGTGGAGAGACCACTTGCATCTAACTCTGTGGCAGGTTTAGGATTCTGTGTAATCAGTAAGACAGAGAGGGAATGTGTCAACTGGCCTCAATTTCCTAGTAGTTTTGGGTGTTTACAGAGTACAATTGAACATTTTAAGGGAAGCAACTTGTGGTGCCTGCATTGAAAATCATTTTGATGAAGTTATGGAATACATTTGATATTATCTAAAAAACAAATCTCCTACTTTTTTGACTCAGATATTTCTAGTAGTCAAAATAAACATTCGCTCTTAAATTTTACTAGTCAACTCATTTCACATTCACCTGATTCCCTCTAAAAACAAAAATCTTTCTACTATTCCAATTGGCAAATGGTCTGTTTTGGAACAAAAGGATAGATGCATTTGAAGAATTCTCTGGTCACCTGAGAAATGAAGGTTTGCCCATCATTTTTTATTAATGCTTGCCAAGTAATTAGGTATGAAAAGATGAGGAGCAAAAATAAATCTTCATCTTCAATAGAACATTAGAGGCTGGGCATGGTGGCTCACACCTGTAATTCCAGCACTTTAGGAGGCCGAGGTGGGAGGATTGATTGAGGTCAGAAGTTCGAGAACAGCCTGGGCAACATGGTGAAACCCTGTCTCTACATAAAATACAACAAATAGCCATACATGGTGGCACATGCCTGTAGTCCCAGCTACGTGGGAGGCTGGGGTGGGAGGATCGTTTGAGCCCAGGAGGCAGAGGTTGCAGTGATCCAAGATCATGCCACTGCACTCCAGCCTGGGCGACAGAGTGAGCCCTTGTCTTAAAAAAAAAAAATCTTTAATAGAACACTGGCGGCCGGGCATGGTAGCTCACGCCTGTAATCCCAGCACTGGGAGGCCAAGGCAGGTGGATCACCTGAGGCCAGGAGTTCGAGACCAGCCTGACCAACATGGTGAAACCCCATCTCTATTAAAAATACGAAAATTAGCTGGGTGAGATGGCAGTTGCCTGTGAATCCCAGCTACTCGGGAGGCTGAGGCAGGAGAATCACTTGAACCTGGGAGGCGGAGGTTGCAGTGAGCTGAGATTATGCCACTGCACTCCAGCCTGGGAGACAGAGCGAAACTCCATCTCAAAAAAAAAAAAAAGAAAAAAAGAATATTGGCTATTTGAGCAAGATGAATGTATTTTGGTAGATAGAAGAAAAATGAGAACTATCGCTCATCACTGCTGATGTCTAAATCCCCTCCCTGGGCATGAGGATGGTACAATGACACAGCAACCCCAGCCTGCCGGGCTTCTGGGATGCCAAGCTGGGGGTGTCCTGGCCAGGTCCAAGGTGCTGGAAGCCAATCCAGAAAATAGGATGAAGGGATAAAATCACACTCCAAGGCCGTGATATGATTGAATCAAGGTGTTAATCTAGGTGAAGAGTGCAGAAGCCAGATTCACTAGGGGCTCCAGGGCAGGACAAGCTGGTTCAGCGGGGAGAAGGCAGGAGGCAGATGCCCAAGAAGTGTGGGCAGATCTAGGGGTGACTTTATAGGCCCTCAGCTTTTTTTTTTTTTTGAGATGGAGTTTTGCTCTGTCACCAGGCTGGAGTGCAGTGGCGCGATCTCGGCTCACTGCAACCTCTGCCTCCCAGGTTCAAGCGATTCTCCTGCCTCAGCTTCCCAAGTAGCTGGAACTACAGGCATGTGCCACCATGCCCAGCTAATTTTTTTGTATTTTTAGTATAGAAGGGATTTTACCACGTTGACCAGGATGCTCTCGAGCTCTCAACCTCATGATCTGCCCGCCTCAGCCTCCTAAAGTGCTGGGATTACAGGTGTGAGCTGCCGCGCCCGGCCAGGTCCTTAGCTTTGAATGGGGAGTGAGGCATTAGGGGCATGGAGACACGTGAAGAACATGTAGCTTGTCCTTTCTTCCTTCCAGAGCTTTCTCTAGCCATTTGCAAAAATTCCACAAGCACATTATGCAGTCATTTTTCTAGGAACTGGAGAGAGGGGAGAGGTGGATGGGAGGGGAGGGTGTCATAAGCCTTGAAAAAGTTAGATATTCCAAAGAACCTTAGCTTTTCCCAAATAGGAAATGGAGAGTTGGGTGGTAGTTTCAAATCATTATTTCATTTTCTTTACCTCTGAAAAGATTTCTTAGTTTACTGAGAGCCTACCTTCAATTGCATGGATGTTGTACATTTTCTTTTTCATTTCCCATGAAGATCCCTATTTTTAGCTTTTAAGAGCTGTTACTCACAACTGAGATACAAACAGTGTTCTGCACCCCACACAGCATATATCTCATGATTAGTGACAGGGTTCCTAGAACTGCAAGACAAGTTTGGGCTTACTCAATCTGTTAAGTTTCCTTATAGGCATATTTTTTCATTCTATTGTTTTAGCAAGGGGCCTATTAGAAATTTCCATGTGTATAAATGACACTTTAAAGAGCTGGGTGCAGGCTGGGCGCCATGGCTTACGCCTGTAATCCCAGCATTTTGGAAGGCCGAGGCAGGCAGATCATTTGAAGTCAGGTGTTCGAGACCAGCCTGGCCAACATAGTGAAACCCCGTCTCTATTAAAAAAAAAAAAATGAAAATTAGCCAGGCATGGTGGCATGCACCTGTAGTCCCAGCTACTCAAGAGGCTGAGGTATGAGAATTGCTTGAACCTGGGAGGCGGAGGTTGCAGTGAGCTAAGATCGTGCCACTGCACTCCAGCCTGGGTGACAGAGCAAAACTCCATCTTAAAAAAAAAAGAGCTAGGTGCAGTGGTGCATGCCTATAGTCCCAGCTACTTGGGAGACTGAGGTGGGAGGATCACTTGAGCCCAGGAGTTTGAGGCTATAGTGAGCTATGATTGCGTCTGTGAATAGCCACTGCGGTCCAGCCTGAGCAAAGTAGCGAGACCCTGTCTCTAAAAAAGTAAAAATTAAATTTAAGAAGTTCTTCACCATCCAAGTTATGTTACGTGGAATTTCCCGTGGCAGTTTCCTGAAACATAACTTGTTTATGTTTCCTGAAACAAAACTTACCTGCAGTTTCTAGACACGTGCTCTAAAAACAGGCATCTACTGGCCTGTTTTAGGATTTAGAAATCTCTGCTCTGCCCTTCTTTCAACTATCCAAATGAAAAGAATGTTTTAACATTTCATATTTGTGAAAGTTTCCTCAATTACTGACTTTTTTCAGTTTTACAATTTGTTTTTGGCCAAAACAACAGCAACAACAAAAATACGATTTAACTGCAAAATTGACCCCCTGATCTTAGCTACACCTTCCGTGGTCCTTTTCTACCATTCAGCTTGACCCTCCACCCATGGGAGGTCTCTGCTCATTGGGAATACTGGGCCATGAAACATCTCAATATTTTCCATGGTCTTTACTTTATGCTTGCTCCTCTTCTGTTCTTCATACAGCAAGCCAGAGAATCAGATCATGTCACTTCCCTGCATATCTTTCAAAACATCCCATTGAACTTAGAATACAATCCCTCCTCCTTACTGTGGCCACCAAAGCCCTGCATTGCTGGCTCCTGCTGACCTCTCCAGCAACATCTTATGCCACTCTCTCCCTTGTCCGCTGCCCTTATGACACACCGGTCTCCTTTCAGTGCCTGCGGTATACAGCGAGCTAGTTCCTGCCTCAGGGTTGTTGCACTAGCTGGTTCTGCTGCCAGATTCTTTCTGTAGCTGGCTCCTTGTCCTCTTGAGGCCCTAAAGCCTTCCCTACCATCCTATTTTAGGACTCTTATCCTCAACCCCCTGCCATGATTCTCTCTCACAGCATCCTGTTTCTTTCCTTCATGGCATTTATCACAGTCTGTCAATTTTTGTTTTTTGTTTTCTCGTATAATGTTTGTCTTCCCTACTGCAGGCCAAAGAGTTTGAGCTGAGCAGGGAGTTGCTACTGAAAGTGTTTGATCAGGGGAGGGTATGATTGCACTTTAAGGAGATTGATCTATAGCCATGGACAAAATAGATTTAAGTGCTTGGTGAAGGCAAGGGAGAGACTGAAACAGAAAAGCTAAGAATAGAAAACTACTGTAGGCTGGGCACGATGGCTCACACCTGTAACCCCAGCACTTTGGGAGGCCGAGGTGGGCAGATCACTTGAGGTCAGGAGTTTGAGACCGGCCTGGCCAAAATGGTGAAACCTCACCTCTACTAAAAATACAAAAATTAGCCAGGTGTGATGGTGCGTGCCTGTAATCCCAGCTACTCGGGAGACTGAGGCAGGAGAATCACTTGAACCTAAGAGGCAGAGGTTGCAGTGAGCCAAGATCACGCCACTGTACTCCAGCTTGGGTGACACAGCAAGACTCTTTCTCAAAAAAAAAAAAAAAATAATAAAAGCTACTGCAAAAGTCCTCCTAGTAGGTGACAGGGACTCAAACTGGTAGGTGAGAAGGGATGTGTGAGAGACTGCCCTTGTGCCTGGACTCACGTCCCTGACTTGTGCACCTCCCTCCCAAGCACACAGTCCCCTTCTCACATCCTCGCCCTCACTCCACCCTTCACCGTCTCCTTTTGGGTGTCACCTCTGAGGCAGGCACTACAGGCCTTCTGGGTGATTCTTGAGTGATGGGTATGTCTCACATCTTTTTGTTGATGATACAGTTCCTTTATACAGAGCTGTATTGTTATTAGCTGTCGTCCCTCTTGTTAGAGCCCTTCTCAAGGAAGAATAAATACACTGTAGGTGACTAGGTGACTCCTGGAATCTTTTCTTCGGGAATTTCTTTTTTTTTTTCTTTTTTTTTTTTTTGAGACAGAGTCCCACTCTGTTACCCAGGCTGGAGTGCCAGAGTGCAGTGTTGCAGTCATAGCTCACTGCGACCACAAACTCCTGGGCTCAAGTGATCCTCCCACTTCAGCCTCCAGAGTAGCTGAGACAACAGGCATGCACTACTGTGCCTAGCTGCCTATCAGTTTTTCTTTACTGGGTAAGTATAAATATCTAAACATCCACAAGACATGGAATTGAGAGTCTCTTTTCTCTGTCACCTAGTGTATTTCAGGTCTATAATAAATATTATACAGGGCTGGGTGTGGTGGCTCACACCGATAATTCCAGCACTTTGGGAGGCTTCAGCAAGTGGATCGCTTGAGCCCAAGAGTTTGAGACCAGCCTGGGCAACATGGTGAAACCCCATCTCTACCAAAAAAAAAAAAAAGTTAGCCAGGCGTGGTGGTGTGTGCCTATAGTCCCAGCTTCTTGGGAGGTGTGAGGATCACTTGAGCCCAGGAGGTTGAGGCTGTAGTGAGCTGTGATTGTACCACCACACTCCAGCCTGGGCAACAGAGCAAGACCCTGTCTCAAAAAATATATATTAAACAGCAACAATAACATTTTACCTCATTTTTCTCCACTGTTCATTTTGTTTGAAAATCTGTGTGGCAAAACTCTATGCCCTTAACCCTTAAAGTTGCCATTAGCCAGATGATGGCAGGGGAAGGGCGCATGGGATCTTCAGCAGTCCTTCATCCATGCGCCCAATGGGTATTGAGGAGCCACCATGTTCAGGGCACTGGGGAGATCCATCCATGAACAGAACCAAAATCTGCCCCCCTAGAGCTTACAATTCAGCAGGCTGATGGTAACAACAGAGATAAATAAGTTGGTCATGGAGAATTTTAGAAAGTGTCCAGTGTCATGGTGCAACAGAAAAGGTGCAACAGGGGCCAGGCATGGTAGCTTAGCCTGTAATCCCAGCACTTTGAGAGGCTGAGGTAGGCAGATCACCTGAGGTCAGGAGTTCAAGACCAGCCTGGCCAACATGGTGAAACCCTGTTTCTATTAAAAATACAAAAATTAGCCGGGCATGGTGGCGCACACCTGTAATCCCAGCTACTCAGAAGGCTGAGGCAGGAGAATCACTTGAACCCGGGAGGCAGAGGTTGCAGTAAGGTGAGATAGCACCACTGCACTCTAGCCTGGGCGACAGAGCGAGACTCCGTCTCAAAAAAAAAAAAAGAAATGGTGCGACAGGGGCAAAGGAAATGAGGGGAGGCAGGATGCTATTTTAAATAGGGGGTAAGGATAAGCCCCATTGAGAAGGTAATATCTGAGCAAAAGTTTGAAGGAGAGGAAGGACTTAGCCTTGAATACTTTTGAGGAAGAATGGTCTAGGTAGAGCAGCCCTGTGTGTCCGTGGTTAGCAGGGAGGGCTGTGGGCTGGTGTGAAGTGAGAGGGGTCCACAGCAATGGAGGTGAGACCAGAGGGGGAACCAGAGGCCAGATCGCTGGAAGGATGTTGGCTTTACTCCAGGTGGAATGAGGAGCCATTGCAGAGTTTTTAAACAGATCCCTCCAGAAGTTATGTTGAGAATACCATGTAGGAGACGAGGGTTGAAGTGGGGAGACCCGTCAGGAGATAGTTGCTGTGAGACAGGTGAGAGCTGCTGGTGTCTCAAACTGAGTGAGATGTACCTGGGATATGTTTCGAAGCAGAATCAATGAGATTTCCTGGTGGGTTGAGTGTTTCTCAGTTGGAAATAAAAGAGGAGTCAAGGATGACTGTCAAGGTTTTTGGTTTGTGTGACTGGAGGGAAAGAGTGGCTTTCAAAATGGGTTTGGCAATAAATGGAGCACGCTTTTGTTGGGGTAGGGGTGGAGGTCAAGAGTTCAGCTTTGGACATGTTGAATTTAAGATAGCTACTAGAATTCGTTTTTTTTTAGCTACTAGAATTCTTTTTTTTTTTTTTTTTTTTTTTTTTTGAGATGGAGTCTTGCTCTGTCACCCAGGCTGGAGTGCAATGGTGTGGTCTTGGCTCACCGCAACCTCCGCCTCGCAGGTTCAAGCGATTCTCCTGCCTTAGTCTCCTGAGTAGCTGGGATTACAGGCACGTGCCACCATGCCTGGCTAATTTTTGTATTTTTAATAAAGACAGGGGTTCACCATGTTGGCCAGGCTGGTCTCGAACTCCTGACCTCGTGATCTGCCCATCTCGGCCTCCCAAAGTGCTGGGATTACAGGCGTGAGCCACCATGCCCAGCTGATAGCTACTAGAATTCTAAGTGGAGGTATGAAGTAGGCAGTTTTGGGGAGAGAGGCTGGGTCTGGAGATGTACGTGTGGGAGCTGTTAGCAGAGAAATGGTATTTAAAGTCTGGGTGGGGTGACTTAGGAATGGACACAGAGCTGACTGAGCAGTCACACCCCGTTTCCCCACGAAGACCTCAGCCCAAGGCAACCACTAATCTATTTTCTGTCTTAATGTTGGACACTCCAACATTAAGGGATGCGTAAGAAGAAGTGGAGGGGGAACCAGCAAAGGAGATGGAGAAGTCATGAGCAGTAAGATAGGATGATTACCAAGGAGTATATGTCCTGGGAACCAAGTGAAAACAGTACAGCAAGTTGGGAGGGGGTGATTGCACCAGATGTTGCTGCCACTGGGTCAGATAATTAGGAAACCAAGAATCGACTATTGAAAGCTGGATGCAATGGTGCTTGTCTATAATTCCAGCCACTCAGGAGACTGAGATGCAAGGATGGCATGAGCCCAGGAGTTCGAGGCTGCAGAGAACAATGATCGCTCCTGTGAATAGCTGCTGCATTCCAGTCTGGGCAACATAGCCAGACCAGACCCTGTCTCTTAAAAAAACAAAAATTGGGCTATTGGATTTAGCCACGTGGGGGTCATGGGTGACCTTGACAAGAGCAGATTTGGTAGAAGCATGGAATGGATTTTTCCTAATATTCCTCCTCTTCAGGGGCAGACAATATTTAAATGAAACCGTATTTGGAGCACTCATCAGGCTTTAATATTGATGCTGCATCTTCTACTGTCACATACATAAAGGGGACCAGGACCACTGCATTACAGATGTGACTATTTCTACCTTATATATGTATGCCCTATATGTGTATATACTTTATGTGTCTATATCAGCTTTATTGAGATATAATTTACATCTCATACAGTTCACCTATTTAAAGTATACAGTTCAATGAAT
The DNA here is from genome assembly GCF_000001405.40 of Homo sapiens. Classification (NCBI taxonomy): domain Eukaryota; kingdom Metazoa; phylum Chordata; class Mammalia; order Primates; family Hominidae; genus Homo; species Homo sapiens. Next base: position 99,675,411 of record NC_000013.11, read on the forward strand.
TTAATGGTTTTTAGTCTATTCAGTGTTATGCAACCATCACCATGATTAATTTTATTTCTATCACTGTTTCTTCAGCCCCAAAAGAAACCCTGTTCCCATTAGCAGTCACTCCTCCTTTTCCCCCAAAACCCTCAGTCCTAGGCAACCACTAGTCTACTTTCTGTCTTTCTATATTTGCCGATTCTGGACTCTTCATATACATGGAATCATACGATACGTGGTCTTTTGTGACTGGCTTCTTTCACTTAGTATAATGTTTTCAAGCTTCATCCAAGCTGTAGCATGTGGCAGTACTTCATTCCTTTTTAGGGCCAAATAATATTCCACTGTATGTACTAATATATACCACATTTTATTTATTCATTGATTAGTTGTTGGAAATTTAGGTTGTTTCTACTTTTTAGCTATTATGAATAATGCTGCTATGAACATTTCTGTACACATTGTTGTATGGGTATATTTCTTCTGGGGTTATACTTAGGAATGGAATTAGAATGCAGTAGCATGATCTCAGCTCACTGCAACCTCCACCTCCCGGGTTCAAGTTGTTCTTGTGCCTCAGCCCCCCAAGTAGCTGGGATCACAGGCACTGTGCCTCCACGCCTGGCTAATTTTTTGTATTTTTAGTAGAGATAGAGTTTCATTATGTTGGCCATGCTGGTCTCGAACTCCTACCCTCAGGTGATCTGCCCGCCTCGGCCTCCCATGGTGCTGGGATTACAGGCGTGAGCCACCACCCCTGGCCACAGACTGGCTTCCTTCCTTCCCTCCGTCCGTCCTTCCTTCCTTCCTTCCTTCCTTCCTTCCTTCCTTCCTTCCTTCCTTCCTTTCCTCCCTTTCTTTTTCTTTTTCTATTTCTCTTTCTCTCTCTCTTTCTTCCCTCCTCTCCCCTCCCCTCCTGTCCTCTTCTCTCTTTCTGACAGAGTTTCACTCTTGTCACCCAGGCTGGAGTGCAATGGCGCAATCTCGGCTCACTGCAGCCTCCACCTCATTTGTTCTCATGTCTTAGCCACTCGAGTAGCTGGGATTACAGGCACCTGCCACCAGGCCTGGCTAATTGTTTTTTTAGTAGAGACAGGATTTCGCCATGTTGGCCAGGCTGGTCTCAAACTCCTGACCTCAAGTCACCTCAGCCTCCCAAAGTGCTGGGATTACAGGCATGAGCCACCACACCCAGCCTTCTTCATTCTTTTTTTTTTTGAGGTGGAGTTTTGCTCTTGTTGCCCAGGCTGGAGTGCAATGGCACAATCTCGACTTACTGCAACCTGCACCTCCCAGGTTCAAGCGATTCTCCTGCCTCAGCCTCCCGAGTAGCTGGCATTACAGGCATGCCCCACCACTGGGTGAAAAATGCCCAGCTAATTTTGTATTTTTAGTAGAGATGGGGTTTCTCCATGTTGGTCAGGCTGGTCTCGAACTCTCGACCTCAGGTGATCTGCCCACCTCAGCCTCCCAGAGTGCTGGGATTACAGGCATGAGCCACTGCGCTCGGCCCATCATTCTTAATAATATTCCCAAATGGTGTATAGATAAATACTGCCACAATTTCAGGACTAGAGGTTAAAAAAAAAAAAAGGACAAAGTTGGACAGTAGAGCTGAGAGCACAAATTGTCCCCTTTTTTTCCCAGGTCCTTAGGTTCGTAGACCTGTGTCAGCCATAATTACTGCTGAATGTGACTCCTGTGTATACGGTCATTTTTATTTTTTCTGTTCCTGGAGGTAATGCAATAAGTCACCTCAAAAAGGGCAGAGAATGAGGGAGAGAATCTACCTGCATTGGCGTATTGAAAAGATCAGATTATTTCAGAATCCAGATCATTGTTTACTTTTAGCTGCATAAAAATATCCAAGTAGATTTTCTTATAACCTCTCCAAGATAAAGATGCCAGAAACGGCAGCCAAATACATTGACTTTGAGAGAGGAAAAAAAAAAAGCTTGTAATTGCCGATCACTCCTTAGATTTACTTCTGGGGAGCATCAATTAAAAATCTCAAAACACGTGGCTTTTTCAGTAAAATTATATTAATATGGAGGAAGAGTTTTTATTAAATATGAGTGCACGTGTGTCTGTGTCTGTGTGTGTTTTAAACGTTTCCATAATGAGTTCCCAAGTGCTTTTTTGGCAGTAGTTATTAAAGCTTGTGTGTTTGCGATTTATCTGGCAAAATGCCTTTAGTGAAGAAAGGATATAGTGTTCTCTTGGTTCTTTGCCCAAAGTAATTTTGGAGAAATCTGTGACTGTATTTAGTTCATGTCATTCATTGGAGACAAGTCATTGTAATTACATTTGATCACAATCAGTTTACAGTTGTTTTATCATGTTTTCATGCTGAATATCTACTCAGACATCATAGCAAAATTTAATGGCTACTGTTTTATTTGTACATAAAAAGATTTATAGCCCTTTTTTGCAGTACACATCGGGTTTCAATCATCACTGCTACAGAGTGAGAGGAAAGCTATGGATAAAGAACTATCAGAAATCCTTGACTACATAAAATTTTATTTCAGGTCACCTTGCCATAAAAGATATTGAATGTATTTTGTGGCTTTTCCTCCTGACATGCTAACCGTTGTAGAAGAGTTGCAATATTTGGAGGAAACCGTATGAAATGTGGAACTTAATTCACTTAAGATGGTTTACATTTGCGCGTGTTTTCCACTGGAAATAGCCATGCCAGCCTTATGAATGGCCCCTGGGTAATGCAGAGTAAAAGGCAATGGCATTACCGATATTGTTGAGTTTTAAAAGGAAGTTGTCTTCTTAACCATACGGCTGAACATTTTGTCATTGTTGTTTCAGAAGGTCTGCTCTAACATCTGCACTGCGGCAGAGTTGTGTTACAGGGTGTTATTTACAGCTGCCAAATGCTGGAGGCTCTCATGTATCAGACAGTCTCTGATTTGCTAATTGTGGAAGCCTTGATTCACCAGTGAATTTGGGTAAATTCACTAGTTATCTCCTAAGTGTCACTTCTCACCATGCCTTATTTTTCCCAAAAGGTTGATTCCAAGCTCTGCTGAAATCTGCTCTTGGTCTATATGTTTGAGTCTACATTGTTGAAGAAGCTCCCTTTAGAAAAGTGTAATTAATGGGAAACTTTGACATCCAGCTGAGAAAATTAGTTTGCATCAAAAAAGGCAAGATAGAGGATTAAAGAAATTTTAGTCCTAATCTAATTAACACCAATTAAAAGATGCAGATGAATTTACACCAACAAATTGTTAATTATGCACCAATTTGCCTTTTTTCTGCAACCAAACTGAAATCAGGAAAGTATTATTATCTTTTTTGTTTGAGGAGACTTACATTGTGGGTTTGTTACAATCATCTTTTATATAATTAAAAGGTAGGCAGAAAGAGCGTGAAATATTTCAGTCTCCTGACATTTTAATTTAGGTTAACTCTTTAAAAATACAAAGTACAGAAAAAAAAAATTCCAGAAAGTACAGGATAATTCTATTAGCATTTATTCACTGACTAGATATTTATTGAGGACCTAGTATGTGCTGGACACTTAGGTAACCATTGTTTCTCTCACTCAAAATATTTTAACTTGTTTGTATTTCTAATATATTGCTCATTAGAAAAATTGTATACGCCAGGCGTGGAGGCTCATGTCTGTAATCCCAGCATTTTGGGAGGCCGAGGCGGGCAGATCACGAGGTCAGGAGATTGAGATCATCCTGGCTAACACGGTGAAACCCTGTCTCTACTAAAAATACAAAAAATTAGCCGGGTGTGGTGGCGGGCGCCTGTGGTCCCAGCTACTTGGGAGGCTGAGGCAGGAGAATGGCGTGAACCCGGGAGGTGGAGGTTGCAGTAAGCCAAGATTGCGCCACAGCACTCCAGCCTGGGCGACAGAGCGAGACTCCGACTCAAAAAAAAAAAAAAAGAAAAGAAAAAGAAAAATAGTATAAGCTAATTGTACCAAAATTGTATAAGCTAATTAAATTCTGCCCTGGATACATGTCAGAAAAGGAGAATCGAAATTTTGGGCCTCAAGAAATGCTCTTAATGTCCCAGAACTCCTCTTTAATGTGACCTTTTAGGGTATTCAGCGTCCATCTTCCTCACCCGGGGAATCTGTGTTTGTTTCCCAGTGTTACTCAGATCTCCACTGTGCTGGGACTTTCTTTTTCCTTGTGAATCACTCTTACAGCTCCTCAGATGGTGATCTGAGTAATTATGTAGAGGGTGGTGAAGCACAGACCTTTTAGATCTGCAAATGACACATCTGTCCAAATGTCATGTAATGAGTAACCACAATCCACTTTATATAAGCCATATTTCTTCTCTTTCCAAAATGGGAAGGAGAGGGTGGGGGGGGAAATGTCTGGTAGAAATGGGAAGAAAAGCATTTCTATGGATTCCTCTAGCCATTAATTACATAGAAAATGCCACAGCTGCCCTCAGATTTCCAGGTGCACGTTATTAAACGTCATTCAAAGGAAATGTTTGGCCAACTAGATCCTGATGTGAGAAACAGCATCCTAAAGAGCTATGTATGTTACTGTCTAATGCATGTACTTAGGCATTAAATAATATTAAATGACCATATTACCTTCTTGGGGCAATAGTTAATATAAACATTTAGGATGCTCAGTTTGTACTTTTCAGTATTTGTGCTGGAAACTTTTGCATTCACAACTTTGAAAACTGGCTCGTGTTTTCATGGGAAGTGTCAGTTTAAAGTTGGCCTACTAATTAATGGGGGAATTTCAATATGGCAGTGCCTATGACAGCAAATGAAAAGCATTCTTTATAAACATCGTCTTCCTCCACACATTCACAGGTTAGTATCTGACACCCATTTTTAATTTCTAGAGCACCATTTGTACTTCTCTGTGGTTTTGCCTGCAAGTCTTCGATGATGCAGTCCACCCTTCCATAAAAACGTACTCCAATTTTCCTAGATTCTACTTTCATTGTTTTGTGAATCAAGTTAGAAGGTACATAACTTAGCCTGATGAGATGGCATTCATAAGGTTAGGATAGCAGAGTTGCCTAACTAATCTTCCTGTTGCAATGAAATAAAAGAATGATATCTAAGTTGACCAACCTTGTAAAAGGTAATTTTACAAGAGGCCTCCAAAAATAACGGACTAGGACTGGCCAGAGAAGAAAATAAACCCCTCATCCTCAATCCAGAACCCAGAGTTTGTCATCACTAGTCGAAAAGCTTGTTTGTTTTATACCTAAGTGAGACCTTGAGTTATCCAATGTGCTTCCATCACAGAATGGCCCACCAGGGTAGAAGGATTCTGAGTGTATTCCCTGATGCTGTTGCCATGTGCCTATGGAATACCTATGCTCCATATTTAGCCCTCTTTCTGTGTAGTAGCAGAGACGTGGATGGCTGCTGAAACTAAGGGCCCAGTCTTTGGCCTTAGGACAGACCACTGGGTTTCTCCCACTGCCTAAAACCTTAGTAGCATTAGCATCAGACATGGACCCAATAAACAAACTACCTAGTTGATAAGCGCCGCATTTTTCATGATGTTTTACTGTGGCCTATCCACACACTCTTTCCTATTCCATGAAAGGAAGAAAAAGATAATTTGAGTTGTCCTATAAATTAAAATTTTTCCTTTGTGATTATTTTGGACCAGCGCCATAACATTCAGAAGATTATGAGTGGAGTCTTTAGTCTGTGAACAAAGTCCTAAGAAGGAAGTAGTGCTGTAACTTACTTCATCTAAAGAAGCATCATCGCTGAATGTAAAGAGTGATTCTGGATTGGATCTTAAGCCGGAAAAATAAATGGAGATAAAGTACGTTATTGGGATAATTTGTGATATTTAAATAAGGCCTGTAGAATAGATACTAGTATCGTACCCATGTTACATTTTCTGATTTGGATAATTGCAATAAAGTTGTGTAGGAGAGTGTCCTTGGTTTGGGGAACCATTTAAGAGTATAGGGGCACAATGAATATAACTTACAGATGGTTCACGGAAAAAATACAGGTGCATACTATATAAAAATAAATTTATATCTGCATATATTATGCATATCTACCTATCTATATCTGTATTTATACATATGGAGAGAGAGAGACCAAGAGAGACAGAGAGAGCAGTAATGATAAAGAAATGTGGCAGAATGTTAGTGCTAACAGTTGGTAAGACTGGGTAAGGAGAATTCAGGAATTATTTAGCTATCCTTGCATTTTTATTTTTATTTTTTTTGAGACAGAGTCTCCCACTGTCACCCAGGCTAGAGTTCAGTGGCACGGTCTCGGCTCATTGCAACCTCCACCTTCCGGGTTCAAGCGATTCTCCTGCCTCAGCCTCCTGAGTAGCTGGGGTTACAGGCATGTGCCACGACGCCTGGTTACTTTTTGTATTTTTAGCAGAGACGGGGTTTCACCAGTTGGCCAGGCTGGTCTCAAATTCCTGACCTCAAGTGATCCACCTGTCTCGGCCCCCCACAGTGCCAGGATTACAGGTGTGAGCCACCACTCCCTGCCTCCTTGCATCTTTTCTGTTAGTTTCAGATTACAGTCATGTGTCACTTAACAATGAGAATACGTCTTGAGAAATGCATCCTTAGGCAATTTCATCGTTGTGCTACCATCACAGAATGTATTTCCACAAACCTAGATGTTACAACCTACCGCACACCTAGGCTGTGTGGTATGGCTTATTGCCCCTCTGACATAAACCTACACAACATGTAGCTACTGAATACTGTAGGCAATTGTAACACAGTGGTAAGGATTTCTTTTCTTTTCTTTTTTTTTTTGGAGACAGAGTCTCGCTCTGTCGCCCAGGCTGGAATGCAGTGGCGCAGTCTCGGCTCACTGCGTCCTCCACCTCCTGGGTTCAAGTGATTCTCCTGCCTCAGCCTCCTGAGTAGCTGGGACTACATGCGCCTGCCACCATGCCTGACTAATGTTTGTATTTTTAGTAGAGATGGGGTTCCAACATATTGGCCAGGCTGGTTTCGAACTCCAGACCTTGTGGTCTGCCCACCTTGGCCTCCCAAAGTGCTGGGATAACAGGAGTGAGCCACCGCGCCCAGCCAGGGGTAAGGATTTCTATATCTAAACATATATGAACAGAAAAAGGGTACAGTAAAAATACTGCATAAAAGATTTAAAATGGAACACTCACAGAAGGCTCTTACCATGAATGGAGCTTGCAGGACCTCATGTTGTTCTGGGTGAGTCAGTGAGTGAGCAGTGAGTGAATATGAAGGCCTAGGACATTACTGTCACTACTGTAGACTTTGTAAACACTATATACTTAGACTATACTACATTTATTAAAAAAAACAAAAAACTTTTCTTCAGTAGTAAATTAACCTTAGCTTACTATAACATTTTTTTTTTCTTTTGAAACGGAGTCTCATTCTGTCACCCAGGCTGGAGTACAGTGGCGTGATCTTGGCTCACTGCAATCTCAGCCTCCCGAGTTCAAGTGATTCTTCTGTCTCAGCCTCCTGAGTAGCTGGCACTACAGGCACCTGTCACCACGCCCGGCTAATTTTTGTATTTTCAGTAGAGACGGGGGTTTCGCCATGTTGGCCAGGCTGGTCTCGAACTCCTGACCTCAGGTGATTCACCCACCTCGCCCTCCCAAAGTGCTGGGATTACAGGTGTGAGTCACCACACCTGGCCCAACTTTTTACTTTATAAACTTTATATATATATATATGTTTTGTTTTGTTTTGTTTGTTTTTGAGATGGAGTCTTGCTCTGTCACCCAGGCTGGAGTGCAGTGGCACAATCTCAGCTCACTGCAACCTCTGCCTCCCACGTTCAAGCAATTCTCCTGCCTCAGCCTCCCAAGTGGCTGGGCTTGCAGGTGCCCCCCCCTACACCAGGCTAATTTTTGTGTTTTTAGTAGAGACATGGTTTCACCATTTTGGCCAGGCTGGTCTCGAACTCCTGACCTTGTGATCCGCTCACCTCAGCCTCCCAAAGTGCTAGGATTACAGGTTTGAGCCATCACGCCTAGCCTGTAAACTTTGTTTATATTTTTAACTTTATGACTCTTTTATAGTAACAGTAAGTTTAAAACACACATTGTACAAAAATATTTCCTTTATCTCTTATTCTATATGCTTTTTTATATTTTTAATTTTTATTTTTTATACTTTTTGAACTTTTTGTTAAAAGCAAAAACACAAACACATACATTAGCCTAGGCCTACACAGGGTCAGGATCATCAATATTACTGTCTTCCACCTCTACAGCTTGTCCCAGTGGAAGGTCTTTAGGGGCAATAACACGCACAGAGCTGTTGTCTCCTGTGATAACAATGCCTTCTTCTGGAATGCCTCCTCAAGGACCCACATGAGTCTATTTTACAGTTAACTTTTTTTTTTTTTAATAAGGAGGCGTATAGTCTAAAATGAAGATAAAATGTAAAGCATAATATAAAACCAGTAACATTTATTATTATCAAGTATTATGTACTGTGCATGGTTGTATTGCTATATATATATAAAATTTTTTTTTTTTTTGAGACAGAGTCTCACTCTGTCACCCAGGCTGGAGAGCAGTGGCACAATCTCGGCTCACTGCAAGCTCCACCTCCCAGGTTCATGCCATTCTCCTGCCTCAGCCTCCTGAGTAGCTGGGATTACAGGCGCATGCCACCATGCCTGGCTAATTTTTTTTTTTTTTTTTTGTATTTTTAATAGAGACGACGTTTCACCATGTTGACCAGGCTGGTCTTGAACTCCTGACCTTATGATCTGCCCACCTCGGCCTCCCAAAGTGCTATGATTACAGATGTGAGCCACCGGGCCTGGCATGTTTGATTTTTTTTTTTTTTTTTTTTGAGACAGATTCTCTTTCTGTTGCCTAGGCTGGAGGGCAGTGGCGCGATCTGCAACCTCTGTCTCTCAGGTTTGAGCAATTCTCGTGCCTCAGCCTCCCAAATAGCTGGGATTACAGGTGCGTGCCACCACACCCAGTTTATTTTTGTATTTTTAGCCACCGGGCCCGGCCCAGTATAATCTTATGGGAGCACTGTGGTATATTTGGTCTGTTGTTGACCTGAAAGTTATGTGGCGCATGACTGTATCTAAAAACAAACAAACAAAAAATTTAAATAGAAAAGCTGGATTCCGACCACATGAATGAACCTTCTTATGATTCTGGAAGGAAGGCAGGTTCTACTAAGACAGGGTTCTTAGGCTACTACCACTACCTCACCCATAAAGGATCAGCCTTCTTAACCCAGCCAGTCACAAGGGATTCTGAGGATGAATGTTCACCAGGGCAGATTGGTTATGTTCAACAGCTTCATGTATTTCTGCAAAATCTACCAGTCCGATGATGCAGTGAACATAATGATCCCCTGTGAAATAATAACAAGATAAAATGTTCCCAGGCCCATTTGTTTCCCACTGCTACCACCCCATAAGACTGAACCATGGGTTGGAGTGAACACTTGAACCAAAGGTTACTGTATTGTATGTTCCTGTTCACACAGGACTTCACAAAAACCTTCTTTTATAAAGAAAACAACCAGCCAATAAAACAGCATTAGAGTACATTATATATGTGACCAATTGTTTGATAAAATCTGATGTAAGCCTTCAGGCGTAATTGGAGTTCTTAGCAAAATACTTTGGTTTTTAATATTTCTATGACCCTCTAAGGGGGACTTAGCAATTACTCTTAAATTTTCAAAGTGGTGCATGGAGTTTTAGCTGTGTGACTTCCATTAAAGTCCATAGGAGTCTTGTTGCTAAAACATCACACAACTCACGAAAATGTGCCCCTTCTTGTGAAATTGTTAGAAGTAATGGGTATGGAAGTATAGCACAGCATTTCTGGTACATTTACAAGCTTTCTGTACTTGTTTCAAACTTTATACCTTTATGAAAACTCAATAGTTCTACAAAAATTGAAGGGGGGAAAAAGCCTATTATGTGTATTCCAGAAGTGAAGGGTAGAAAAAATACAGTAGAACTAATAAAAAATTAAAATAATTCTTCAAGAAAAGCCAATGTTTCAACATATTTATAATCTTTATTTCAAAATTAATATATCCTCTCCTGGGTTTTTAAAGTAAGCCTTAAAATCGAACTTAAAAAAATGAACTTGACTGACAAAGTTTCACTATAACCACATACAATGATTTTGGGTTTCAGCAACCTCCTCTACTGAAACCGATATAATTTAAGCATCATCGGAGCAAAACTTCACTCCTTTAGATGGTTGGTGGTGTGAGGGGTTTGTTCCCAGTGGATAAGAGGATGGCCTTAAGGTTTGCTGAGTCCTTCTCTCTCAAGAACCTCTTAGAGGCCGGGCACGGTGGCTCAAGCCTGTAATCCCAGCACTTTGGGAGGCCAAGGTGGGTGGATCACTTGAGGTCAGGAGTTCGAGACCAGCCTGGCCAACATGGTGAAACCCCGCCTCTACTAAAAATACAAAAATTAGCTGGGTTTGGTGGTGTGTGCCTGTAATCTCAGCTACTCGGGTGGCTGAGGAACGAGAATCGCTTGAACCCGGGAGGTGGAGGTTGCAGTGAGCGGAGATTGCGCCATTGCACTCCAGCCTGGGCGACAGAACAAGACCCTGTTTCAAAAAAAAGAAAAAGAATCTCATAGACATTTTTCTCCTGCGTCCCTGTGATAAGAGTGCTGTGATTCCTGCTATACAGTCAAACAGATTCAGAGCCCACCTTTGACTCCAGGACCAAATTTCCCCCTTTATTCTCTTTTGTGCTATGCTGGAGAAGACAGTGTGGCAGTTCCCGGGAATTTGTGTGGAGCTGTTTCAGGGACACTCTGAGCTAAGAAAAGGGTGAGAGCCCTGGGAGGAGACCTTCTTTCAATCCAGGCTACATGCTCTGAGTTTTTCCAGGGCATATATAGCTGCTCCATTTGGACTATGCTCCTAGACTGACATGGGCCTGACTCGCAGGAGCCGGCAGCTCCTAGTGCTGAGCTCACCGGCTCGGCCCAGCACCAGCACCACCTCCCCTCTGAGCATCTGGTGGCCTTGCTGATAACACAGTGACACAGCCATTTCCTTCTATAGCAGAAACATCTTTGGAGTTCTGTTTCCACAGTCCTTTGAGAGACACTCTCGAGGCCAGGAGCTGGCCTCAGACATAAAAGTATTTGTTTCAACAGAGAGAGAGAGAGAGAGAGAGAGACTCAGTGACTGCTTTTTGAGTGAATTGTTGTTGGCTCAGTTTCAGTAATGCAATGTTTTGCTTTAGATTAATTTACTAAGCAGTACTAAAGTATCATTTATATACATTATTGAATCTTGGGATGATTCTGTAAGCATTACTTTCTCCTGAAATCTCCACTTCTGTCTGGATAGTGGATTTTAGGATAGGTTTTTAAAATGGAAAACTTGACGCAGATTCAAATTTTCAACACAGCATTGAACGAATAGCATCAGTTGGGGACGAGCTATGCCACCAATTTAAAGTGTCTCAGCCGGGGTCAGAATTAGGAACTGTCTAAACAGGGAATTTCAGAAGGGCAGGGGAGGATATCAAGGCACAAATGGGAGGAAATAAGCCATTGTTCCTTTAGAAAGCTTAGTAACCTCGATAATGAGAGGCTATGAAATAGTTCTTTTTATAACTGTAACTTCTTAACTTCCCAGCCCTAATAGCTCCAAGGGTCACTTGCAGAGAGCTCCGGGGCTACACCTGCCTTGCATAGATTAGGGCCCGCTGCAGCTGTCTTCATTTGCAAGACTAAGGTGTAGCTCCAAGAGGCTGTAGGTCTCAGCATGGAGCACTCCTCCTCAATCTCAATAGGCTGGTGTTGCGGATTAAGATGGCCATTGCAAGCCAGGCTCAGAAATTGCAAGATGAGGCAGGTAACGATTTCCTGGGTTTTATGTATCAGGCCTTATGAGGTATGAAGCGGGAAACCTTTTATATGCCTGCCTTGAATTAGCCATACCTTTTACAATCAGCTCTGTTGAAGAGCAGCTGCCTGGACTATCTAGCATACCCATGGGCCAGGCATGCCTTTGGCACACACACAGGTTTGTAAAGAGCTTGTGAATCTATAGGATGATCTCTTGGTGAGGACAGAAGGGACCCATAGCTAGTCAGCATCGGACTGAGGGCTGGATCCACTTTTTCCTGTAATGTGCGTTTGTTTCACAGAAAATACAATTAGGATAATTCTTGTGTGTTCTCTACAGGAAGGAAGTAGTATACTGCTTGTGAATGGTAGGCTAAATGAGGGAACCATTAAAGGGTTTTTAATAGACTTTTGAACCAAAAGACATAAGGGACTATACTTACATTGCCTTAACTGAGAAATGTTTTGCAGTGTGAGAAGACTTAATCAAATCTTCATTACATACCTGGTCAGGGACCAGGCTGAATGTTTCTTTAAGCAATTGGATAAAATGCACATTGAAGACTTGTTAGTTATGTGAGAATATGTCTGACATGCTTATCATCTCTCCTGCGGGTGCCTGAGTATCAGATACTTGGTTTACTGTGTTGGGTTGAATGCTTCTGTTCTAATTTCTAATGAACTTTACCACCAGACTACTTGATCATGACTAAGCCCAGGAACAATGCAAATGGAATTGCCCCCTGATGGGGAGGAATGGGCCCAGATGGCCCTTAAAAGGTGATAATTAGGAAATATAGCATATCTGAGTAGCTAGAAAGAGAGAAACTTGTTAAAGACAGTCAATCTGTTTGAAGCAACGGTCTTTCCCTTAATTATATGCATTTTCATTTAGAGTTGCTTTAAAGTAAAATTTTTCCCAGGAAAAATTTTTATTAGTAGTGAAAACCTAGAAACCACACACATTTTTTGCTACTCTGTTTCAGATTATTGAAAATTCCTTCCTTCATACATTTTTTTTTGGTTTCCAGATCTGTGTAACAGACTCGCTGTGTGTGTTTTAGGGGCCGTTTTAGGTTATTTTAGCTCTTATGCTAAAACAGTGGGGGAGCGATTAAAAGTGAGAAAAATATTAGTATATATTTGTAAACTGAGCTTTTAAAATTAAAATAGTTGCAGGATATTACAGTCTGTGATTTCATATACTTTGTAAGATTGCCTTAAATGTATTGCCTTCTTGGCAGCATAATGCCAGATTTTTCTCCAATATGTCATTAAAATAATTTTACATATAACAAGTTGAACTTTTTAAAGACTTATATTTTAATCTGAATTAGCATATTTACTAATTATATTACTTATTTGGCTTTTCTTTAGTCCGATTCTTTTTTTTTTTTTAGTGTACAAACTTGGCATTACTCTTTAAGAATAACAAGTGAACTGGAAATGAGAGGGTGGTGACATGAAGAGAGAGAGAAGAAATACATTCCTTATATCTCTTCCAGCTCCTGCATGGAATGGAGGATCTGACAGTGGCCGTTCCTGGGTATTAAAGCCAGTGCAAAAGATAGAGCGTCCAAAAGGCAACTTCTTCCTTATTTGTGAAGTCAGAAAGTAAAATTTACATTGAAGTGCTAAGCTACATTATTCTGAATATTTTGGCAGTCATATTTGGGCAGATGAGTTGCTTTCCTGAAATTACTCAGCACCGTCATTCATCCTGACAAAAGCTAGTGGTACAGATGCACCTTTGGGACTGAGGCCAAGGTGAAACCTGCGTTTTCCAGGTCTGCCCACTCAGTTTTGGAAGGACTCTCAATAAAACCGGCCTCACACCCCAAGCATCACCCCTCCTGTCCTTAGTAAGTACACTCTGGCTGGAATCTAGGGTCCCAGCATCTAGCCCTTGGGACTTCACATAAATTCATCAAGTATCTTCCTCCACTCAAAAATCTCTTACAGAATCTTTGACATTTTAAGCTTCATTACTGCAAAGTGGATATAGTTCATTCTCAGCTTCAGGATTCCAGAAGCATACATACCAGGTCAGAATGGAGAGGCATCACGCTTTCCTTCAGCAAGCTTCAGGGGAGACAGGATTTAGGGTGGGCTACACATATACCAGTTGTAGGATGTTTTGAACTATATTCTTGCAATCACAGACAGGTTGTCCCAGAGAAAATAATCTGGCTCTAACTTCTCTTGTTATCAGTGAAAAGCAAAAATTACTTAGTGCAGGTATGCTTAAAGGAAGAAAAAGGCAAGAGAAAAGTGAGAGGTAAAAATTATTACCATTTTAATTCCATGATTCTCAGCAATGAAGGAGCATGATTGAAATCCCATGTGCCCAGTCATATCTGTAAATGAGAGTATGATTTTTGAAGACTGTATTCAATTGTTTCAACTTGAGCAATTGCAAGTAAGACTTAGGACTGTGTTTACCAGTTACTGTTATTTACTATTACTTTCTAAATGTGACCTGACTTGAAACCTTTATAGATGCAATTTTTATCCATCACAGAACAAGCTCTAAAGAGGAGAGCAGCTTCAACTTTTTCAAGTATTTTTTTTAAAAGGATTTAACTTTGACCAACACCAAACTTGCATCTTGTTAAGGTAACTAATAACTGACTGCTATAACAATATTTAGAATTTTGTTTAACAGCAACTGTCAAAAAAACAAGTTAAAATAGCCCAGGAGATGGATGGCGATTAACTCTGCGTTCTTTTTAGACTGTGTTATTAATTAGCTCTCTAGACTCAAATAGGTTACATCCTCTGAGCAGTAAATTGCATGCCATTTGCAAGCTCTGTGGATGAAATTTACATGTGGCCTAAATGCTATCCACATTGTTTTGTTAAGTAGCATTTTATCTCTCTGGACTGGTCCCTTGCCTCCTCCCCCAGCCCCAGTGGAAAGTTTTATTCACTTTTCTTGCGGGAAGGGAAAGTCGCATGTAGTTTGGTCATTTGGCGCCATCTTCTTTTTTATTGTTAAATCCACTAAAGGCAGTCATGCCTGGCAGTACCAGGCGGGCTCCTTCCGGGGTTCTGGTCGGCTAAGCATTCAGAGTTCTTTGCTTTTTATTTACTAGAAATGTTTTCAGCTTCTGTCTTTGCTTTAAGATCTGATTAAAAGGAACCTTAAAAAAGGAACATAGATTTTGGTGTATGTTTTTCCTCTCTACTTCTCTTCCCTGTGCCCCCCAAACCCAATCACCAACTTCCCCCATCCCCAGCAAACACGGGCTTTTTTGTGTATTTATTTAAAAGCATTTTAGGAAGCACCGTAATACCGCACAGCTTGGAGGTTAAGATAGAATTGGATGTTTCCCTCACCATCAGTTGATGGAATCATCAGTGTTCCGGTTCTATTTATCTTCATGATTTGAGAATGTTTCTGAACAGCTGCCCTTCCGAGGATGCTGGTATTTAGACAGACCTTCCTGTCATTTATCTGACTCACAGGCACAACTCTTTTGAAAGAATTAATATCAAACTTACATATGAAAATCTACCATTTAGAAATGGATTCTTTTTCAGTACCTACTTTTCAATTCAACCGGGGAGATCCCATCTATTTTAAAAAATCATTAATCACATACTTCTGACATTTTCCCTTTCAGTTTCCTCAGGGGGAAAAAAGTTATTTGAATAACAAACAAACAAACAAAAACCCCTCATCGCAAATAGCTGTCAGCCTCCTATGTGAACAAAAGCGCTCTCTCACACTGAGACCTACCGTGTTTTGTTTAGTTAGAGGCAGCAGGGTGGTAGGGACACTATGCAGAAAGGCTTGGGTTAATGAGCACTTTCTGGATTGAGTGTCTCTCCTGATTAACCCTTGGATTACTTGCTTTGAGTTGCTAACCCTCTCTCACTGCCCACTCAAGAATTTCCCACATGGTAGCCTCATCCATAGATGCCCTTCCCTAGATGCACTGATGGTAGACAGCATAAAAATGTGTAAGCACTGTAGCTTTCCAATGAACTGAAACAAAAAGCTTAAGCATTACTTTTTATTTCCTTGATCTAAAGAACATGTTTTGGGGGATATTTTCTTAATCAATATCTAAGTTATCTAGAGTTATAAATACTATAAATAAATTAGTTACAAACTAATTTTTAGACACAAGTCTTTTGTTCAAACCAACTCTTACATAGAAACTCTAAAAATTTGGGGGGGAAGGGGACAGTTGGGGATCAGAATCACTCCCCATTATCTCTCTGTTGGTGCTCCCCAAAGGATCTTCAGGGAACGACGTTTAAAAACCATTTTGTATCATGAAATGGGACCCGAAAGACATTCTTTCTAGTGACTTTGTGTTAGATTGAGTCATATGAAATTGCCACTGTGTGACCCATTTTGACCTAAAAAAAAAACCAAAAAACAAAAAACAAAAAACCAGCACTAGGGTACCAGAGTATTTTTAGTGTAATCACTGTACGTGATAAGAAAATGGAGAAATGAGAAAGCTTGAAACTTAGACTATAAGCTCCTCATAAGCTAATAGCGACTTCCTCCCTTCTTCCGCAGTCACCTGGCAAGTCCCTTCTATGTGCTGCTGGTTCTAGGGATACAGAGATAAAAGGCGTAGTCACTGCCTCCAAATCATCACAGTGCAAAGGACAAATAAATACAGAAGGACCCATGGGATGAAGAAACAGCCCAGGGTGGTGGGAACACAGAGCGAGAGTTTCTAGGATCTTGAAAGCCATGTTGCACGGAGCTCCCGGTCCCTGAGTTTTCAGACTGATCTTTCTGTGGACTGTGCCTAAGTAATAACAGTTTCAGAACGTAGAAACTCAGTGTACATCCTTCATAGCCAGGATGGATATGATAGCCTGGAAGTGAACAGTAAATCCAGTGATTTGTTTTCTTCACTCATTCTTTCATTTTAAGAAAGTGCTTAGAATCCACAAGTTGTGCTTAATGCCAGCAGACGCATTACATATGCCAGCCCTGCCCCTTAGTCACAATTACTCCCCACACTGACCTCCCATTGCATTTAAAAATTGTCGCTTTATTGAGACATAGTTCAGCTCTCATAAAGTTCACATTTGTTTTTTTTGTTTTTTTTTTTTTGTTTGTTTTTTTGAGACAGTCTTGCTCAGTCACCCAGGCTGGAGTGCAGTGGCATGATCTCGGCTCACTGCAAGCTCCGCCTCCCGGGTTCACGCCATTCCCCGGCCTCAGCCTCCCTAGTAGCTGAGACTACAGGCACCCGCCATCACGCCCGGTTAATTTTTTTGAACTTTTAGTAGAGACGGGGTTTCACCATGTTAGCCAGGATGGTCTTGATCTCCTGACCTTATGATCCACCCGCCTCACCCTCCCAAAGTGCTGGGATTACAGGTGTGAGCTACCGCCTCCAGCCATAAAGTTCACATTTTTAAAGGACACACGTCAGTGGTTTTCAGTCTCTTCACAAAGTTGTGTAATGATCATCACTATCTAATTCTAGAACATTTTCCTTACCCTAAAAGAAACCCCATACCCATTGGGGTTCACTCCCTATGCACCCCTCTTCCTTTCTCCTGACAACCACTAATCTACTTTCTAAATCTATAGATTTGTCTGTTCGGGACATTTCCTATAAATGGGACTATATAAATATGCCCTTTTATCTCTGGCTTCCTTCACTCTGCATAATGTTTTCAAGGTTTGTCCATGTTGTAGCATGCATTAGTACTTCATTCCTTTTTCTGGCCCAGTAATGTTCAATTGTAGGAATATACCCCATTATCCATTCCAATGATGGATATTTTTTGGGGGATATCCACTTTATGGCCATTATAATTTCACTATGAACATTTGTGTACAAGTTTTTGGTTGGACATACGTTTTCATTTTTGTTGGGTATATAGCTAGGAGTGGAATTGCTGGGTCTTATGGTAACTATGTTTAACATTTTGAGGAACTGGGATGTATAGCGTTTTGTGCCTGTGTTATGAAACTAATTATGAAGCATCTTATATTCA
This sequence comes from Homo sapiens, assembly GCF_000001405.40. Taxonomy (NCBI): domain Eukaryota; kingdom Metazoa; phylum Chordata; class Mammalia; order Primates; family Hominidae; genus Homo; species Homo sapiens. The sequence goes on from NC_000013.11 coordinate 99,693,196, forward strand.
TTATCATTAGATCTGTCTCCTCCATTAGGTTTTAAGTTTCTTGAGACAGGGATTATCCTTCTTCATCTTTGTATCCCCCACAGTCCAGCACTCACCAAGGCACAAAGTAGGTTCTTAGGAAACTGGTCAGAATAAAACTGACCAATGCAACATCCTCCTTCCCTTAAAATCACCAGCATACCTGGGAACACAGGCTTTCTCTTTCTCTCTTCCCTGTAGCAAGTGACAGCTTATCAGGAATGGAGGCAGCTCGGTATTATCCATCAAGCCTTCCAGCTGGGTGCACACCCTCCTTATCTGCTGTGGGACCTTCACCAGCATCCTGGGATTTCCTCAGGCTGCCTCATCCCCACAACGGCAGTGATGTGACCCACTCTGGTTTATGCAGATACGTTAAGAGAGATTATTTTAAGTACCACTGAAACCCAAGCAGAGGCAAGGCTGGTGGAAACCCCAGTATTTGGGGGCACACTCCCTGTTTGACATGGTTCAGGAATGACTCATACATCTACTTTAAGGGGGATTTGGACAAGGAGGCACTAAGATACCTATCCAGGCTTTGACTTGGGAGCATTGTGCAGGAGGTTTAAGAAAGATTATTTTAAGACTATCTCAGAAGGCTGGAGCAGCATCTTTCTGATTTCTTCTGCTACCTTTCACTCGGAGCCTGTGATTTCTAACATGTATTTCAGGTTGGATTTAAGAGAGAGCTGGCCCCTACTGAATTGGCCACCTTTGATGTTACAGTACTGAGGAGGGGAGGGACAGATGGAACAAAAGTCGTAATTGCCCAAATTTACAATAGGTTCCCAGCAGCAGCTCGCACAAAAGAAATGTTAATGCAATAAACTGTAAATGGAAGGAAGCTAAGCAGGATTTATGGCTGGCGCAAACCTCCATCAAGGCACTGGAACCTCTTTCCTTCATCTGTGAGGCATTTCAGTGGTCACAGTAGAATTGGGCTCATTTGAAAATCAGTGGCTGCTCTGTGTCTTCCCTCCCTTGTGTGTCCTGCACCCCCTACACAAACCAATTCCTGTAAAAACCTGGGGAATCTGATAGAACAATTGGAGAAAAACATCAGTCATTGAGGGTCAAGACTGCAAACCCGGCAGAGCCAAGAGTGCACACACATTTGCTGTGCACATGTATGTGTTACAGCTGCAACCAAAGCGTGCGTTTTCCTTCCCCAAGTCTGTGTTGGGGACTTCCGCAGACACAGCAGATGGCCAGAGTGTTTCCACGTTTCAGCCTCGAAGTGAGAGGGCAGCATGTCATTCACCAGCCTGGCACTTACCCATCCATCAGGGCCACCTCTATAAATGGCTGTTTTTCACATTTGGTTCCAGCAGGTTCCATCTCCATTCCGGCTCACACATACCTTTACCTGTGTTGTATCATGTGGGGTGCTCCTTGTCTCCTTGTCCAGATTGCTGGCCCGCTTGCTTCATTAATTAACCGAGGAGCACGTCTAAATGGAAAATTGCTTTCTGAGATCTGTGTGTCCTGGCTCCATGCTGTGAGGGGCTCCCTGTAATTAAACACGTTTTAAGAGTTGCTGTCTTGCGCATGTGCCCTGGACATCGGTGCTTTCCCCACTGGCTGGGTAGTTCTGTTTCAGACCTTAGACCTAAATGATAATAACAGTTACAAGGAAACTTGCATATCAGTTGATTAAGTGTGGGGAATTTTTTTCCTTTTGAAAGTTGGGGGAAAGAACTCCTCAGTGGGGAAGTGATTTTTCTGCCCTGTAGGGATGGGAAAATGGTTAATCATCATGGGGGCCTCAACAGACCTCAGCATGTTCGCGAAGTCCTTGGCCTCAGGTTCCTCATCCATCCCACCGCGAGAGCGATACGGCTTGGGTAAGCCGCGAATCCCCTCACTGGGCTCCAATTATTCCAGAATTCTAACTTTAAAAATAAAATATTCATATTTAAAAGTTCCTGCTACCGTTTCAAAGAAGCTTCCCAAGAAGCTCTTCAGAGCTGGGGCATGGAGGAACCTGTCACTGGGTCCCTTTCTGCTGGGGGATCAGTTCCTTTTATAAGTAGGAAAAGATTTCTCCATACCCCTTGCAAAGTTCATGGCTGACACCCCTATAACAAAAGACAGGTTAACAAGAGCAAAGCACACAAATATATTTAATACAAGTTTTATGTGACACAGGAGGCTTCTGAAATGAAGCCTCAAAGACCCAGGGAAAACCGCGTTTTTATGGACAGTCAAGCAGAAATATGATGAGAGAACAAAAGGGTTTGATGTAGCGTAATAAACTTAGCAAGCCCGTTCAGATTCTTCTTGGTGTTCCTGTGTGACATTTTTTTTTTCCTTTTTGTTTTGAGACGGAGTCTCCCTCTGTCGCCCAGGCTGGAGTGCAGTGGCGTGATCTTGGCTCACTGCAACCTCCGCCTCCCGAGTTCAAGAGATTCTCCTGCCTCAGCCTCCCAAGTAGCTGGGATTGCAGGTACGCACCACCACACCTGGCTAATTTTTGTATTTTTAGTAGAGAGAGATTTCACCATGTTGGCCAGGCTGGTCTCGAACTCCTGACCTTAGATGATCCCCTGCCTTGGCCTCCCAAAGTGCTGGGATTACAGGAATGAGCCACCGTCCCCAGTGTGACATTTCTTTTCTCTGGGTACAGGGCAGGACACCTGTCACATGAGGGTCTTCAGGGGAGGAGGGAGAAGGTCAGAGGGTGACCTTCCTACTTCTGCAGTTTTCTCGATTTCTTTCAGTTTACAGTACTCAGTAGGACAAGGTGCATATTTGGGGATATCGTGTTCTGAGCCCCAACAGTAACAAAGAACAAAGAAAGCCTTTAGGCAGTTTTTGCTGAGACTCTCAAATAGGAATTTAGAGTGATGGTCCTTGAGTCAGAGAGGCCACTAGAGAAAGTTTGACTTTCCATGTAGAATAGCAAGCTCTCCTCTGGCAAGTCTTTTCCAGACAAGGCTCTATAATTTTTTGCTAATAAATGTGTGGACAAAGTTATGGGATGTATAGAAGTCTGACACCAAAACCATGTCAGAGACTTTTTTTTTTTTTTTAAACCGAGTCTTACTCTGTTGCCTAGGCTGGAGTGCAGTGGCATGGTCATGGCTCACTGCAGCCTCAACCTTCTAGGCCCAAGAGTTCCTCCCACCTCAGCCTCCTGAATAGCTGGGACCATAGGTATATGCCACCACACCCAGCTAATTTTTAGTTTTTTTATAGAGACAGGGTCTCCCTGTGTTGCCCAGGCTGGTCTCAAACTCCTGGGCTCCAGCAATCCTTCCAAAGTGCAGGGTTATAGACATAAGCCACTGCACGTGTCCTGTAACAAAGATTGTTAGTAAAAGTTATTGAAATTTAAATCTATGATTCAAGTCCTGATACATAAGACACATGGCACATGGTAAAAATTGATTTGATTACATCCTAGGAGGCCTAGACTTGGGAAAGAAGGAAAAAAAAAAGTATGAGGCTGGGCATGGTAGCTTGTGCCTATAATCTCAGCACTTTGGGAGGCTAAGGCAGGGGGATTGCTTGAGGCCAGGAGTTCAAGACCAGCCTGGGCAACATAGCAAGACCCCATCTCTACCAAAACAAAACAAAACAAAACAACCACAAAAAAAACCCACACAAATTAAATTTAAAAAGAAAAAGATGAAAAGAAAGATGAGAAGATAAGGAAATATCTGTAGACAGTTTAAGTCTCTATTTTTTTCTACAAATGTACAGTTATGTATTGTAACATACTGCATCTTTTGACCCTGTCTTCTCTGTTTCAACAGAGCTTATCTTTTTCTATGTATTTCTGCTGCTACTGCTTTTCCAAACCACAGCCATTGTCCTGTAATGCCCTTATGCATTTGGCCAAGCCCTCTTAGCTTCTTTATTATTGTGGGGTCTTAGTTGATATTTGGGGTGTATGACATTACAAAACACATGGGATGTAGATGTGGATTGGGAGAGCCCCTGAATTGTAGCACTCTGCTTTCCTCATCTGTAAAATGGGTATAATCAAAGTCTTGGAAGGGTAATTGTAAAGGGGTGTGCAGACAGTGGGGTTACTGTTATTTGCAAGGATCCGCCCATAGTTTTATCTGCAAATGTCACTAGCTTTTGATTTACTCACTCTCGCTTGCGTCTTCTTTCGTGCTGATGTTGGCTCTGCTTTATCCCACAGGCTTTTTATTATTATTATTACTTTTGAGACAAGGTCGCTGTCTGTCACCCAGGCTGGAGTGCAGTGGTGCAATCTTGGCTCACTGCAACCTCTGCCTCCCAGGTTCAAGTGATTCTCCCCACTCAGTAGCTGGGATTACAGGCACGTGCCACCACACCCAGCTAATTTTTGTATTTTTTTGGTAGAGATGGGGTTTCACCATGTTGGCCAGGCTGAGTGATCCTCCCGCCTTGGCTTCCCAAAGTGCTGGGATTACAGGCATGAGCCCCTGCACCCAGCCTTTCTTTCTTTCTTTTTTTTTTTTTTTGAGACAGGGTCTCACTGTGTTGTGCAGTGGCTCGATCTTGGCTCACTGCAACCTCCGCCTCCTGGGTTCAAGCAGATCTCATGTCTCAGCCTCTCGAGCAGCTGGGAGTACAGGCACCCGCCACCACACCCAGCTAATTTTTATATTTTTTGGTAGAGATGGGGTTTCACCATGTTGGCCAGGCTGGTCTCGAACTCCTGACCTCAAGTGATTCATTTGTCTCAGTCTCCCAAAGTGCTGGGATTTCAGGCGTGAGCCACCCCACCGGGCCTCCCAACAGGCTTTTAAAGCACCAGGGCAGCAGGGCACTGGGCCAACAGGTATATTTGGGAATGTGCATTTGGTTTCATGTGTAATAGGAAAGAGATTAATTAAGGTTGTTAGTGTGGCCTAATACTAAATTTCAGGAAGCCTCACAGGACACATGAAACAAATCTTTACAACACATATGTGTTTTCATGCTGCTGAACATTTTGAAGACGTTTTGCCATGCTGGAGTTTGTTTGTTTTGTTTGTGTTTTTGTTTGAGGTGCCGTCTTATTCTGTCTCTCAGGCTGGAGTGCAGAGTTCAGTGGCACAATCTTGGCTCACTGCAACCTCCACCTCCCAGGTTCAAGCTATTCTTCTGCCTCAGCCTCCCGAGTAGTGCCTGGCTGCTGTTTTTTTTTTTTAATTGTTAAATTAGATGGGCTCAGTATTACCGTGCCTTGATGGAGTTTCTAGTTGAGGGATCAGTGTCATTTCTGGGTCCCCATCAGAATTACGTTCAAGCTATAAGTAGTTATGCAAAGTCGTAGGTTAAATGATTTGGGAATAAAATGTCATTTGACGTGACAGAAATGAACCCTTGGAGGCCCACATTTCCACTGGGACTTGCTCTCAGTTCCAGTTCTCATGTTAAGTAATTTTATTAACTGAGGCAAGGAGGGGCATGCGGTGACAAGGGAAATATTTTTTGCTAACATTTTAATCCTAATCACAAAATTTATTGTGTGTGGCTTTATATGCATTTGTAGCTATAAAGCCCTGGAAGATGATGAAAGTAAAAATTAGAATGTGTGGTTTTTCTGCCCAGGTGTTATTTAAAGCATTGTATGAATTGTCAAAAAGATTAATTGTTGTTGCTTGCAGCTAAACAGATGATAAATTTTAAAATTATATTATTACTGTGTGTCAGCATAAAAGCTCTGTGTCCCAAGTGTGTCACCTTTTTCTGTTGCTGTTGACAAGGTTCACATTTTATAGCACACCGCCAGAAGGTGTTGACATATATTCAGATTACTGATTAAATGTTTTTAAAACGTGCCACTCAGAAACTAACACTGATGTTCTATGAAAGAGTCATTTTTCGGAGTAAGATTTTTTTTTTCCCTTCATCATTAACATGGAGGAAATGTTAAACACTGACATTTTAAAAAATGAACCTGGGACTGGCGCAGTGGCTCATGCCTGTAATCCCAGCACCTTAGGAGGCCGAGGTGAGCGGATCACCTGAGGTCGGGAGTTCGAGACCAGCCTGACCAACATGGAGAAACCCCGTCTCTATTAAAAATACAAAATTAGCTGGGTGTGGTGGTGGGCACCTGTAATCCCAGCTACTCGAGAGGCTGAGGCAGGAGACTCCCTCGAACCCGGGAGGTGGAGGTTGTGGTAAGCTGAGATCGTGCCATTGCACTCCAGCCTGGGCAATAAGAGCGAAACTCCGGTCTCTAAATAAATAAATAAATAAAAACGTGGCTGGGCGTGGTGGCTCACGCCTGTAATCTCAGCACTTTGGGAGGCTGAGGCAGGCAGATCACGAGGTCAGGAGTTCGAGACCAACCTGGCCAATATGGCGAAACCCCATCTTTACGAAAAATACCAAAAATTAGGTGGGCATGGTGGCACGCGCCTGTAATCCCAGCTACTCAGAAGGCTGAGGCAGGAAAATTGCTTGAACCCGGGAGGCGGAGGTTGCAGTGAGCCGAGATCGCGCCACCGTACTCCAGCCTGGGTGACAGACCAAGACTCCGTCTCAAAAAAAAAAATAAAAATAGGCCAGGCGCAGTGGCTCACGCCTGTAATCCCAGCACTTTGGGAGGCCAAGGTGGGCAGATCACAAGGTCAGGAGTTCGAGACCATCCTGGCTAACAAGGTGAAACCCCGTCTCTACTAAAAATACAAAAAAATTAGCTGGGCGTGGTGGCGGGTGCCTGTAGTCCCAGCTACTCGAGGCTGAGGCAGGAGAATGGCGTGAACCACGGAGGCGGAGCTTGCAGTGAGCCGAGATTGCACCACTGCACTCCAGCCTGGGCGACAGAGCGAGACTCCATCTAAAAAAGTAAAATAAAATAAAATGAAAATAATAAATAAATAAATAAACCTAATGTTACTGCACTTTCCCATTTCAAATTGCAGCCAGCAATGAAAACAGGCATTAGCATTCCCATTTCTTCTCTTCTCCTTCACTGGAAGGGCAACAACAAACACACCCACGGTGTAAAAACAGCACCAAGGCCGGGTGCAGTGGCTCACACCTGTAATCTCAGCACTTTGGGAGGCCGAGGCATGCGGATCACCTGAGGTCGGGAGTTCGAGACTAGCCTGACCAACATGGAGAAACCCCATCTCTACTTAAAATTAGGCGAGCATGGTGGCGCGCGCCTATGATCCCAGCTACTCAGGAGGCTGAGGCAGGAGAATCACTTGAACCTGGAGGCGGAGGTTGCGGTGAGCGGAGATCGCACCATTGCACTCCAGCCTGGGCAACAAGAGAAAAACTCCATCTCAAAACAAAACAAAACAAAACAACAGCACCAAGGAAGGCGCTAAATGGCTACTTGTAAACAACCCAGGTTGGACACTGGACCCACGACAAGGAGGCAAGTTCCGTCCTGTGGTGGTGTTTGTGATGGGAAGTCTGGGGCTTTGACTCCCTCAAGTTTCCAGGCTAACACACACAACTCTTCCCAGCAGCTGAGGGGCCCCGAAGCCTTGATGTCCCTTTCACGTTGAAGGACCTCACTGGTCTTGGCTGTTTGCGTTTTGTGGATGGAGTGGGCCAGTCTTCAGAGAACTCAAATGTGTATTTGCTGCAGGGAGTGATAAGTAAACATAATGCCTCAAGAATCAACATTTGAATGCTTTTCTTTTTGGCGTTAAGGTATAATGGGACACTGGCAATATATGCTGTCTCTCTGAACACAGCATGAAAGAACTTGAAAACAAATGATTTAGTATTCATTACGGAAAAGTTGGATTTTTTTCCCTCTCTGATTGTCAAGATTTCTTCGTCGATGTCAGTTTTCCAGTGTGAATTTTTCCTCTCCACTCAGAGGAAGTTGACGTTGGTTCAGTGATGTTACAGAGGATGCTGTAAGACAGCCAGGAGCCCAGGCCGGTTGTCACTTCATCCCAGCATGGTGCAAAGTTAGAGATGTTGCAGTGACAGCCTTGGGTGCCCTCAGGGGCAACCAAGTCTCTAAATAATCTCTGTGACCAAAAGTACATAGGAGGTTGTAAATATCCCACAACAAAAATAAAGATAGCTGCCATTTCCCAGAACTTAATGCATATCAGGAAATGTTACCTCTTTATATATATTGTCTCATTTAAATCCAGTAAGATAGCAGCAGCTGTGGGAGGATGTGGTTTTTGTTTTTGTTTTTGTTTTGAGACAGAGTCTTGCTCTGTCACCCAGGCTGGAGTGCAGTGGCGGGATCTCGGCTCACTGCAAGCTCCGCCTCCCGGGTTCACACTGTTCTCCTGCCTCAGCCTCCCAAAGTAGCTGGGACTACAGGCGCCTGCCACCACGCCTGGCTAATTTTTTTGTATTTTTAATAGAGACGGGGTTTCACATGTTAGCCAGGATGGTCTCGATCTCCTGACCTCGTGATCTGCCTGCCTCGGCCTCCCAAAGTGCTGGGATTACAGGCGTGAGCCACCGCGCCCGGCCTGAGGATGTGGTTTTATTCCCATTTAACAAAGGCTTGAGTATCACTTCTTATTTATTTATTTATTTTATTATTATTATTTTTGAGACGAAGTCTCACTCTGTCACCCACTCTGGAGAGCAGGGGTGTGATCTCAGCTCACTGCAACCTCTGCCTCCCAAGTTCTAGTGATTCTCCTGCCTCAGCTTCCCGAATAGCTGGGAGTACAGGTGTGCACCACCTTGCACGGCTAATTTTTGTATTAGTAGAGATGGGGATTCACCATGTTGGCCAGGCTGGTCTCAAACTCCTGACCTCAGGTGATCTGCCCATCTTGGCCTCCCAAAGTGCTGAGGTTACATACTTTATTAACAAAGGAGTGAAGTGATACCCCCTCTCCCCTGTAAGTAGCAGCCAACATTCAAACCCAGGTGTGTCAGATTTTAGAGCCACACTGACATTCAGCAGCTACTGACTGATTGTCTACTATGTGTTAGGCATTGTTTTCATCACACCTTTTATTTTTTGTTTTGTTTTTTAGGGACAGAGTTTTGCTTTGTGGCCCAGGTGTAGTGCAGTGGCATGATGTTTGCTCACTGCAGCCTCGAGCTCCTGGCCTCAAGTGATCCTCCTGTTTTGGCCTCCCAAAATGCTAAGGTGCTGGGATCACAGGTATGCGCCACTCCGCTCAGCCCACATATTTTTAAGTCTGCTTTTTAACCTAATTTACTTATTTTGGGGGTCTTAAAAAATTGGCTCACAGCCGGGCGCGGTGGCTCATGCCTGTAATCCCAGCACTTTGGGAGGCCAAGGCGGGTGGATCACGTGAGGCCAGGAGTTCAAGACCAGCCTGATCAACATGGTGAAACCCTGTCTCTACTAAAAAATACAAAAATTAGCCGGGCGTGGTGTCGCATGCCTGTAATCCGAGCTACTTAGGAGGCTGAGGCAGGAGAGTCGCTTGAACCTGGGAGGCGGAGGTTGCAGTGAGCTGAGATCACACCATGGCACTCCAGCCTGGGCAACAAGAGTGAAATTCCGTCTCAAAAAAAAAAAAAAAAAACCTATTTAAAAATGAAGGCTCATGCAGAATGCTCTGCAAGTTCAAAATAAAACAGAGCTCTGAGCGCCTAGAGGCTTTTTGCCTTAAGGGGCGAGGAGGAAAAAGATTAAGATGCTCCTTGGAAAATAGCCCTTTTTGGCTCCATCTCCTTTACTGTGGTCACCTGCACATGCCTTTAGTTCTTCTGGATTTATATCTAAGCACGTTGCTCTGCTACATAAGAAGCTGACAACATCAGTTACCTTCCTGGAGGTGAAGGAGAGACAAAGGGGCTGAGTGGGTGAGAGGAATACTTTCCACCATGAACTCTTTGGTACCTTTCGGAACCACGTGAATACAGTATCTTTTCAAAAGAAAAGGGTGCTATATTCATTGTCCTAGACTATTAAGCACTTTAAAAGGCACTTCAGGTAATCTAGTTGAAGTGCAAATTTCACTGAACCCAGACTATTATGCAAACAGGACTAGCTCTGTATTTATTCTTTTATGTTGTGGCTTGCCATCCAATTTGTGTTTCCGGGGCTGGGCACGAGGTGGCTCTAGCCTGTAATCCCCGCAGTTTGGGAGGCCAAAGCAGGCGATCAGTTGGGGCCACCATCTCCATTGTCCCTTTTTAAATTTAAGTGACCATAGCTTCTTAGTATGATATCAGGTTTTTGTTTTCTTCCCACCTTGTCTTTGTTTTTTAGTGTGTGGATGCCTTTGAAATTAGTTTTTTTGTTTGCTTGGTTTTTTTTTGAGATGGAGTCTCACTCTGTCGCCAGGCTGGAGTGCAGTGGCGCGATCTCGGCTCACTGCAACCTCTGCCTGCCAGGTTCAAGCGATTCTCCTGCCTCAGCCTCCCAAGTAGCTGGGACTATAGGCACATGCCACCATGCCCAGCTAATTTTTTGTATTTTTAGTAGAGACGGTATTTCACCGTGTTAGCCAGAGTAGTCCGATCTCCTGACCTCGTGATCCGCCCACCTTGGCCTCCCATAGCACTGGGATTACACATATGAGCCACTGTGCCTGGCCAAAATTAGTTCATTTTTTATACATGTCCTTTACACAGGAGATGTATTCAGAAAGATTATCTATATTTTTTCCTTTAAACAATGCATTTGTTTGTTTGTTTTATTTGTAAGCTCATCTCCTGGGTTTAGAGCAGAATGAAAAATTTGACCTTAATCTTCTCTTATCCACTGGTTGGAAGCTCCTACTTTTATGTCAACAGACATAAAAAAGCTTATACATATAAGATAATGTATAGCATGCATAAAGATTTATAGAATGCTATGTCTCATAAATTTCACAGTTATAAAACAAAACCTAAGCTTATGCATGTGGAGATATTCCTGTGTTTGCAGTTGTCAGTGACTTCTAGAGAATGTGGTAAAGGAAAAAAGCACCTGTGGAAGTTATTTATGTAAAAGTTGCTTATGTAAAGACTCAAGCCATTAACAAGAGAAGGAGACTTCTTTATATTGTTAATGACATTCAGATCTTTCTTCTGAATGAGGGTTGTCACTCTGAATGAGTGTTGTCATTCATTTCCTCCAAGCCTTCAGATATCTTTTTCCTTTATCTGACACATTTCAGGAAAGAGTAAGGGAAAGATTTATTTATATTACTTTGATGGTTTCATTTTCTTTGTGGAAGTCCAGTGACCCAGATATAGAGATCTTCTTGGAATATATTACTTTGATGGTTACTTTCTCTTTTTGGAAGTCCAGTGACCCAGTTATACGGATGTCCTCAGAACATTTGAAGTCTAGTTCTGCATTATAAAATAGCCCAGTTGCCATAGGTTGATTTCCTGTAAACCTAAATCATGATTGCAAACTAATTTGGATGCTAATTAGGACTCATATAATGATTATATCAATTTATAACTTGTCTAACAACAATGCATTTCTTTCTTTGCTAGGTTAAGTATTTACACTATGACCTGTGAACAGGGAAACCGGCCTGTGTTGAGTACTTTCTATGAGCCAGGTGCTCGACTGTGTACAAACTTAGAAGAACCAGGTGCACACGCCAGGTTTGGGGGCCGTTTGACAGTCAGCATTCAATAAATGTGTTGTTTAAGTTGATATAATTAATTTAAAAGGAAGTAGCAGGTGATGGTAGTACACTTCATTGTCCTAGAATATTAAATACTTTGTTGTCAGCAGACGGACTTCTTTCATATGCACAGGTCATCTTGAGCACGGATCCTAAGCCTAGTCTTTAATCCTTCCTAGCATCCTACATGAGCCAAACTTAGACAAAAAACAAGGCAACTCTTGGTTATCTAGGGCAATTTGAAATCTCAGCTACCTCCACTGTGTCCAGCTCACCGCAGTTATGCATCTATTTACAACATTATGTTTGCAACATTATGTTTAAGCAAACCACAATGAAAGCATTAAACATAGAATAACTATGATCCAGCAATTTTACTTCCAAGCATATACCGAAAAGTGTTCAAAGCAGGGACTCAGATACTGTGTTCCTGGGTACATGGGTACACCCATGTTTATAGCAGCATTATTCTTGATAGCCAAAAGATGGAAGCAACCCAGGTGTCCATCGACAGGTGAATGGGTAACTACAATGTGGTGTACACATGCACACACACACACACACGCAAGAATATTATTCAACCTTAAGAAAGAATGAAATTCTACCAGTCACGGTGGCTCACATCTGTAATCCCAGCACTTTGGGAGGCTACGGTGGGCGGATCACCTGAGGTCAGGAGTTTAAGACCATCCTGACCAACATGGTGAAACCCTGTCTCTACTAAAAGTATGAAATTAGCCAGGTGTGGTGGCACATGCCTGTCATCCCAGCTACTTGGGAGGCTGAGGCAGGAGAATCGCTTGGACCTGGAAGGTGGAGGTTGCAGTGAGCCAAGATTGTGCCTTTGTACTCCATCCTGGAGAGCAAAATTCCATCTCAAAAAAAAAAAGCATGAAATTCTGATACCTGCTATAACACAGATGAACCTTGAAGATATGCTGAGTGAAATAAGCCATATGCAAAAGGACAAATATGTGATTGTACTTATATGAGGTACCTAGAGTAGTCAAATTCACAGCACAGAAATGCGAATGGTGGTTACCCGGGGCTGGGGGGAAGGAGGGAATGGGGAATTGGTGTTAGTGGGCTTACAGTTTCAGTAGGGGGTGATGGAAAAGTTCTAGAGATACATAGTGGTAATGGATGCACAATATTGTGAAAGGACAAAACTATACCTAAAAATGGTTCAAATGCTAAATTGTATGTTATGTATATTTTGCCCCAATTTTTTTTTTTGTTTTTTTTTGTTTTAAAGACAGAGTTTTCCTCTTGCTGCCCAGGCTGGAGTGCAATGGCATGATCTCGGCTCACTGCAACCTCCGCCTCCTGGGCTCAAGCAATTCTCCTGCCTCAGCCTTCCAAGTAGCTGGGATTACAGGCTCGTGCCGTCATGCCCCGCCAATTTTTGTATTTTTAGTAGAGACAGGGTTTCACCATCTTGGCCAGGCTGGTTTTGAACTCCTAACCTCGTGATCCACCCACTTTGGCCTCCCAAAGTGCTGGCATTACAGGCGTGAGCTACCGTGCCTGACGTATTTTGCCCCAATTTTTAAAAGCAACATAATAAAGACAAAGCCACTGGGAAGGATATAAAATGCCCCTGAGCCAAACACTGTATAGCCAAAAGAGCAAAACTACAAAAACTGCACCAAGCTTCTTTGTAAATTCATTCTTCCACCCTCCAGGACACTCTTGCCTGGTTTGCATCCTGAGAGTCTCCTGGGGTTCCAGTTATTTCAAGGTCACAGTCAGGTAGGCACGGTGGCTGTGCTATGGTGGAAATGGCTTTTGGATTCCTCGTAATTTTGGATTATCGGTGCCCTGTTTTTCTGAGACCAAAACTTATCAATAGAGTATTACGGAAGGTGATATGTAGTAAGTGCACCTTTCTTGGGCATTCAGTCTAAATTCAATAGTAAAGGGAAAATCACATATAGTCAAGTCCAAATTGCTCATGATGTTACAGTAGATCTACATGTCCCTAACTTGATTACCTATTTTCCCTCCAGCACTGGAGTGCATCTCTGCTTCTTCAGCCGAGCTCCAGAAGGAGAAGATGGCTGCATTTAGAGTCAGACTGGAGGAAAAGGAGCATTTTGATATTTTATTTTATTTTTATTTATTTTTTAGAGACAGGTTCTTGTGTTGTCATCCAGACTGGAATGTAGTGGTTGCAGCTCACTGCAGCCTTGACCTCCTGGGCTGAAGCCATCCTCAAGCCTCAGCCTCCTGAGTAGCCAGGACTACAGGTGCCGTGCCACCAAGCCCAGCGAATTTTTGTATTTTTTTGTAGAGACGGATCCTGCTGTGTTGTCCAGGCTTGAAATTTGATTTTAAACATATTAGGCATCACACTAAGCCCCCAAGACAAGATAGAAGCTTACAGAACCTTGACTATCTGGAATGACTTTCACAGAGTGATTTCATCTTTCTTCTTACCCTCAATGAGTAACGTGAAGGCTGAGCAGGTCATACTGTTCAAATTATTTATCTTCTTTAGACTTTTTTCTTCCAAACACCAGTAGTTGAATTTGAGTACTTTAAGTGCTAGTATTATGCAATTTCATTTTATTTTATTTTATTTTATTTTTGAGACAGAGTCTTACTCTGTTGCCCAGACTGGAGTGTAGTGGTGCGATCTCGGCTCACTGCAACCTCCGCCTCCCGGGTTCAAGCAATTCTCCTGCCTCAGCCTCCCAGGTAGCTGTGTTTACAGTCATGCGCCACCACGCCCGGCTAATTTTTTTGTGTGTCTTTAGTAGAGACGGGATTTCACCGTGTTGGCCAGGCTGATCTCGAACTCCTGACCTCGTGATCTGCCCCCCTCGGCCTCCCAAAGTGCTGGGATTACAGGCTTGAGCCATTGCACCCAGCCTGGATTAATGATTTCGAATGAACATTTACAATGATATGTTTTATAATAAAACACATTAAAAAGTTTGAAACACTAGTTACTAGAAACAGTTCTCTCTGTAATGACAGTTAGTCATGTTGTTGCTGCAGTGACAGTTGACTTGGTGTGAGGGTATTGATAAAGCCTGGTGATTTGTACACTTGCCCATATTATGCTTTTCCCAGGCTAGCTATGCAAATCTCATTTCCCTTACATTTGAAAGTCATTTCAGAATTGTTTCATTAGGGTTGAGGCAAGCACAAATCATGAATGCCTGTGTCTTCTACCACCAAACAGATTCTGTTGGACCCACAACTGATATGCTTTCAGCCAGGTTCCATTTAGCATTCACCCTGGACTTAGGGACTCTACAAGAGTGCTGGGTATTTAGTTTTGTTTTGTTTTGCTTTTTGAGACAGAGTCTTGCTCTGTCACCCAGGCTGGATTGAAGTGGCGCAATCTCAGCTCACTGCAACTTCCACCCCCTGGGTTCATTCTCCTGCCTCAGCCTCCCAAGTAGCAGGGATTACAGGTGCCCACTACCACACCCGGCTAATTTTTTTGTATTTTTGGTAAAGACTGGGTTTCACCATGTTGGCCAGGCTGGTCTTGAACTCCTGACCTCAGGTGATCCACCCGCCTTGGCCTCCCAAAGTGCTAGGATTACAGGCGTGAGCCCTCACACCCGGCCTGATGCTGGGTGTTTTGTACAGTGGTCCCACCTTACTGTGTAGAAATTCTCAGTCATCCACCTAATTTGTTTATTTCCCATTCATATACTTCATTTATTCACTCACTCACTTGGCCATTTATGCATATTTATTGATTTTGTTAAAAAGATACCTGAATGAGTGGAACACTGAGATGATATAGTGGAATGGACGGATAGTGGTTAGCCCCTTGGACCCATGAGGGCCAGGTTCTGAAATTCCAGCTCTGAAATTCTACCAGCTGGTTGACCTTGGGCAAATTACTTAGCTTCTCTGTGCCTCATTTCTTCATTTATAAAATGGAGATAATAGGTTAAGAGGGTTAGATGAGACATTCATTCATAGTACTTGGCACACAGTAAGAGCCCAGTAAATACTAGCTGTTGTTATGGATTGAATTGTGTTGCCTCCCCACAAACTCATATGTTGAAGTCCTAACCACAGGTACTCAGAATGTGATTGTATTTGGAAACATGGCCATTGTAGATGTAATTATTTAAGAAGAGTGATTAGGCTGGGCATGGTGGCTCACACCTGTAATCCCAACAACTTTGGGAGCCTGAGGTGGGCGGATGATGAGGGCAGGAGTTCGAGATCAGCCTGGCCAATATGGTGAAACCCTGTCTCTACTAAAAATACAAAAATTAGCCGGGCGTGGTGGCAGGCACCTGTAGTCCCAGCTACTCGGGAGGCTGAGGCAGGAGAACTGCTTGAACCAGGGGGGCGGAGGTTCCAGTGAACCGAGATAACGCCACTGCACTCCAGCCTGGGCGGCAGAGCGAGACTCTGTCTAAAAAAAAAGAAAGAAAAAAAAGGAGTGATTAGGTTGGGCACTAATCCAATATGATTGCTGTCCTTAAAAAAAGAGAAAATTTGGGCACAGAGATAGACATGCATAGAGGGACAATGGCCATCCACAAGCCAAGGAGAGGGTCCTGGAACAAATCCTTTCTTACCAGTCCTCAGAAGGAGCCAGCCCTGCTGACACCTCAGTTTCAGACTTCCAGCCTCCACAGCTGTGAGACAATAAATGTCTGTCAGTGAAGCCACTCAGTCTGTGGTTCTCTGTCACAGCAGCCCTGGCCGAAGACACAGCTGGCAGCACCGTCCTCCGCTACTGTGTTTCTCATTGACCCGAGAACCTGCCTTTGTCCATGTCCTGGCCAATGGGAGATACATTTTCTCCTTCTCAGCTTGTATTCCTGTCCTTTTCTTTCTTTTTTTACAAAATAGCATACAAAAAAGTTCCTAGCAAGAAGAGGTGCTCCAGAAGTTCCCTGGCTGTTTCATTCCTGTGTCTCTTCCTAAAAAGCTGCAGTTGAAAAGATAGAATTTGTTTTCTCTTAGCACATTCTTCTCACTTTCTAAGCTTGATTTTTCTTTCTTTGAAAGAGTGTAACCCCTTCAAAATTAACTCCTAGAGATTGCTCACCTCCCTCCCAAACTTTCGATGAGGAGCGTTTATTTTGTAGACTCTTATGTGTGAATTCTTTCAATAAATAGGGGATGCAGAGAAGCAGCTTTGTGGAGTGAAGCAGTAGGAAAGAGCCTGTTGGGGAGAGAGCTTCGCCACTGCATTTCAGTAGCTGGTTTCGCCCCTACCTTTTTTTTTTTTCTTTCTTTCTTTTTTTTTTTTTTTTTTGAGACGGAGTCTCGCTCTGTCGCCCAGTCTGGAGTGCAGTGGCGCTATCTGGGCTCACTGCAAGCTCCGCCTCCCAGGTTCACGCCATTCTCCTGCCTCAGCCTCTCCGAGTAGCTGGGGCTACAGGCGCCCGCCACCAAGCCCGGCTAATTTTTTGTATTTTCAGTAGAGATGGGGTTTCACCGTGGTCTCGATCTGCTGACCTCGTGATCTGCCCGCCTCGGCCTCCCAAAGTGCTGGGATTACAAGCGTGAGCCACCGTGCCCGGCCCACCCTTACCTATTTTTAAATGGTGACTTGTGTTTTTATTTGTTTGTTTTTAAAGACACTTGAAATTGGACAGTGTTTCTCCATCCTCTCCAGAGGCCCAGAGCAATGTCGCAAGGATGCATTCTGGACGAGGCAGTCACGGGGCCGCACATGGCATTTGTTCTTCTCAGGGACCGTCTGCTGTGTTTCTCTGCCCCAGTGGAGCTGGGGGAATAATAAAGCTCTTATTATTTATACTGCACAGCATTTTTTTCAGTGGTCCTTGTCATTGAGACTTATGAAGACAATGTAGGACAAGAGGGAACTTGTGAGTTTTTATGCAGGTAGGGAAGAAAAGTAAAAGGGGCTATATTTCCAGGGATATTGCTTTTTCCCAAACCCCTGCACTTCCCCAGTCCTTTTCTTTATCTTCCTTTCCCAAATGAGAGGTGTCCTTCTTCTCCGGTATCAGCCCCCTAGTTTCTTCCCTGTCCTCGGGGAATCTTGGTACACCATTTAGCCCCTGTCTTGGTTTTTGACTCTGTCCCTTTGTGGAATTCTTACCCATAGCTTACAGTGATGTTTCACATACATCTCTGCCAAAGATGAAGTGGAAAATAACCTTTGCTTTGTAAGCACATCTCCTTCAAGCTATCGACAAGTCTCCTGGCTTCTCTTAGTTTCTAACCCCTTTTTTTTTTTTTTTTTTTTTTTGAGACAGAGTTTTGCTGTTGTTGCCCAGGATGGAGTGCAGTGGCGTGATCTCGGCTCACTGCAACCTCCGTCTCCTAGGTTCAAGTGATTATCATGCCTCAGCCTCCTGAGTAGCTGGGATTACAGGCGTCTGCCACCACACCCAGCTGATTTTTGTACTTTTAGTAGAGAGGGGTTTTGCCAGGCTAGTCTTGAGCTCCTGGCCTCAAGTGATCTGACTGCCTTGGCCTCCCAAAGTGCCAGGATTACAGGTGTGAGCCACTGCTCACAGTTATCTATTTGTCTTAGTCCATTTAGGCTGCTATAACAAAATACCATAAACTGGGTGTCTTATAAGCAACAGAAATTTATTTCCCACACTTCTGGAGACTTGGAGGTCCAAGATCAGGCAGTGGCAGGTTCAGTGTCTGGTGCTAAGGAAGCACCTGCGCCTCCCGGTCCACAGACGCACACCTTCTCACTGCGTCCTCATATGACAGAAGGGGTGAGGGAGTCCGTCTTTTTTTTTTTTTTTTTTTTTTTGAGACGGAGTTTCGCTCTCGTTGCCCAGGCTAGAGTGCAATGGCGCAATCTCGGCACGCAACCTCCACTTCCCGGGTTCAAGCGATTCTCCTGCCTCAGCCTCCCAAGTAGCTGGGATTACAGGCATGCACCACCACGCCCGGCTAATTTTGTATTTTTAGTAGAGATGGCGTTTCTCCATGTTGGTCAGGCTGGTCTTGAACTCCCGACCTCAGGTGATCTGCCCACCTCAGCCTCCCAAAGTGCTGGGATTACAGGCGTGAGCCACCGCACGCAGCTTTTTTTATTTTTTATTTTTTAATATTTTTGAGACAGAGTCTTGCTGTGTCACCAGGCTGGAGTCCAGTGGTGCCATCTTGGCTCACGGCAACCTTCACCTCCTGGGTTCAAGCGATTCTCCTGCCTCAGCCTCCAGAGTAGCTGGGATTACAGGCGCCCACCATCACGCCCGGCTAATTTTTTGTATTTTTAGTAGAGACAGGATTTCACCATCTTGGCCAGGCTGGTCTAGAACTCCTGACCTCGTGATCCACCCGCCTTGGCCTCCCAAAGTGCTGGGATTACAGGCGTGAGGGAGTCTGTCTTTTATAAAGGTGCTGATTTCATTTATGAGAGCTCAGTCCTCGTGACTAATCACCAACCAAAGGCCTCACCTCCACATTTGATCACACTGGGAATGAAGACTTCAACATACTTTGCAGGGGACAGAAACATTCTGTCTATAGTACCATTAACTTTCTGCTATGGAAGTTGAAGACAGTTCTCTTTTGTCGTATTATACCCCTGATACACACTTCAGTGTTTATACTGTGCCAAGGAAAGCAGTGTTCACAGCTGAGCCATACGGTACACTACAATTTTCCTTTCTCATATAACTTTTTGTCCCCTTGGAGTTAGCAATTGACTTTTTTTTTTTTTTTTTTTTTGAGACAGGGTCTCGCTCTATAGCGCAGGCTAGAATGCAGTGGCGTGATCTCGGTTCACTGTGACCTCTGCCTCCTGGGCTCAAGCGATCCTCCCGCCTCAGCCTCCCAAGTAGCTGGGAATACAGGTGCGTGCCACCATACCCAGCTAATTTTTGTTTTTTTGAGTTTTTTTTTTGGTAGAGACAGAGTTTTGCCACATTGCCCAGGTTGGTCTCCAAGTCTGGAGCTCAAGAATCTCCCTGCCTTGGCCTCCAAAAGTGCTGGGATTACAAGTGTGAGCTACCACACCTGGCCAGTGATTGACTCTTTTGCTAAAACTAATTTTTTCTTCCAACTCTTTGACAAAGTCGTCAATATTAAGCAATATACCCTTACTACTTTTGATTTTGTTTTTAAAGGAATTCCTTCTGGAGTCTTCTATCCTGAACTTGTCGCTTTCTAGGCCAGCTGCATTTCTGTGTTTCTAAAACTTCCATTGTTTATAAAACACCATAATCCTGGCGTTTGCTCTGTTTGTACTCTGTATTTCCAGTATCTGGAAACCATGTCTTCTTTCTTGGCTTATTTCCTCATTCAGGGCTGTGTGTCTTCTAGTAGTTATGTGAAAAGAGGGTTCGTGAAAGTTAAATGTTTTTGAGGCTATATGTCTGAAGAGGTCTTTGGTGTTCTTCAGACTTCATGGAAAACATTTTCCCTAAGAATGTTAAAGGCATTGCTCCCTTTTTTGCTTCTAATGCTGCCATTGCTTTAAAATGGTGCCATTTTGATTCTTGATCCTTTTTCTGTAAATTTTTTTCTCTCTTGAAAATCTCTTTCTTGAAGATCTCTCTTGAAGATCTCTTTCTCCCTAGTCCTCTCAAACTTTGCATTGATGTACTTTGATGGGATCATTTTTGTTAATTATGTAGGTGTTCCATAGGCCTTTCAGTCTGAAAATTTATGTGTTTTAGTTCTAGGAGCTTTCTTTGTATTTCTCTATTTCTTTTTTTTTTTTTTTTTTTTTTTAAGACAGAGTCTTGGTCTGTCGCCCAGGCTGGAGTGCAGTGGTGTGATCTTGGCTCACTGCAACCTCCGCCTCCCAGGTCCAGGTGATTCTCCTGCCTCAGCCTCCTGAGTAGCTGGGATTACAGGCATCTGCCACCATGCCTGGCTAATTTTTGTATTTCTAGTAGAGACGGGGTTTCACCATGTTAGCTGGGCTGATCTTGAACTCCTGGCCTCAGGTGATCCGCCCTCCTTGGCCTTCCAAAGTGCTGGGATTACAGGCATGAGCCACCATGTCTGGCCTCAAATTTTTATTTTTGATAGCTTTTTCATGTTCTCTAATGTTTCTGATTGATTGATTGATTGAGAAAGGGTCTTGCTCTGTTGCCCAGGCTGGAGTGCAGTGGTGCAATCATGGCTCATTGCAGCCTCAACCTCCTGGGCTCAAATGATCCTCCTGCCTCAGCCTCCCAAGTAGCTGGGACTACAGGCACAAGACAGTATACCTGGCTAATTTTTAAATATATTTTTTTGTAGAGACAGGGTTTCGCTATGTGCCCAGGTTGGTCTCAAACTCCTGGGCTCAAGCAATTTGCTTTCAGCTTCCTAAAATGCTAGGATTACAGGTGTGAGTACATGGCACCTGGCCGTGTTTGTTTGTTTGTTTTTGAGACAGGGTCTTGCTCTGTCACCCAGGCTGGAGTGCAGTGGTACAATCTCGGCTCATTGCAGCCTTGACCTCCTGGGCTCAAGCAATCCTCTACCTCAGCCTACCATGTTTCTTTTATAAATGATATTTTATTCCTGTTTTTGCATGTATTATAATATCTTATTTCTCTGTTTGTTCTGTTTTTTGCTCTGTTCTGCTCTTTGCATTGTCCGTTTCTCTTGAGTGCTCTTCCTGGTTGTTTGTTTCGGTTTTTATCTTTCAAGTTGATAACTTTTGTCGAAGGTCTGGTGGTGTTTGACTGTCAGTCCATATTTAAAAATGAGGAACTGGCCTGGTGTGGTGGCTCACGCCTGTAATCCCAGCACTTTGGGAGGCCGAGGTGGGCGGATCACCTGAGGTCAGCTGTTTGAGACCAGCCTGGCCAACATGGTGAAACCCCATCTCTACTAAAAATACAAAAATTAGCTTGGTGTGGTGGCACACGCCTGTAATCCCAGCTACTCAGGAGGCTGAGGCAGGAGAACTGCTTGAACCGGGGAGGTAGAGGTTGCAGTGAGTGGAGACTGCGCCACTGCACTTCCTCCTGGGTGACAGAGTGAGACTCCGTCTCAAAAATAAATAAATAAATAAATAATAAAAATAAAAATGAGGAACTTAAGGACCAGGAGCAGTGGCTCCTGCCTCTAATCCCAGCACTTTGGGAGGCCGAGGTGGGCGGATCACTTGAGGTCAGGAGTTCGAGACCAGCCTGGCCAAAATGGTGAAACCGCGTCTCTACTAAAAACACAAAAAATTAGCCAGGCATGGTGGCGGGTGCCTGTAATCTCAGCTACTTGGGAGGCTGAGGCACAAGAATCACTTGAGCCCAGGAGGCAGAGGTTGCAGTGAGCCGAGATCATACCACTATACTCTAGCCTGGGCAACAGAGCGAGACTCTGTCTCTAAATAAATAAATAAATAAATAAAAAGGAGGAACGTAACCATCAATAGAGAGTTATTTGTGTATGGAACTGATGGGCCTCACTGTAAGGTTATCAGCTGGGGGCCCACCAGCTTCACCAGAGGATCACCACATATCAGTGTCTGTAGGCTTGTTCTCCTGGGCTCTTCTGTTTTTCAGAGAGGTATCCTGTGCTCTCCAGCTTCGGGGGATTAGACCTGGCTTCCAGCATTCTAGAAGCCAAGGCTAGGAGGCAACTGGGGAATTCTCATTATTCCATACCTGGACTTTCACTCAGCCCGTTTCAGCTTTTGACTAACTCCTCCCCTTCACTGTGTTTTGCCTCCACAAAGTGAAAGCTTTTTGGGGTTCCATTTCTCCAGGGATTTACTTCCTTTGCCCTTTTGGAATGGGACAGGTTAAGGTCTAAGTGCTCTTTATAGAGATTTTCTTTTTTTCTTTTTCTTTTCTTTTTTTTTTTTTTGAGACAGTCTCACTCGGACTGGAGTGCAGTGGTGTGATCTCAACTCACTGCAGCCTGGACCTCTAGGGCTCAGGTGATCCTCCTGCCTTAGCCTCCCAAGTAGCTGGGACTACAGGTGCATGCCACCATGCCTGGGTAATTTTTTGTATTTTTTATAGAGCTCAAGGAATCCACCCGCCTTGGCCTCCCAAAGTGCTGGGATTACAGGTATGAATCACTACACCCGGCCTGTACGGATTTTCAAACAATCCTTTTGTTCCAACCCACTACCCTGCCTTCAGAGATACCAGGAACCTCTAGTTCCTAAGCTGTTCCAGAGTCCTGTGGTAGAAATAAGCTTGATGCTTTTGGCTTGTCATGTTTCTCAGGTCCCGGGGCTGCAGGAAGTTAGTAGTCAGTGTTTTCACTTGTTGATTCACTCTCCATTTGCCAGTGGTTTGTTAACATCTCTTATAAGGGATTGATTCTTCTGTTATATCTGTTTCTGTGGATTTATACTCCTCCCCTCTTCATTGTGGGTTTTAGAAAGAAAGCGGAGACAAATACTAATAATAATCTGCCATGTTATTTAGCAAACTTTTTAAACATTTTTAAATTATGAATGAGTATTGAATTTTATCAAATGCTTTTTCTCCATCTCTTGAGATGTTCAAAAGGCTTTTCTTTTCTCATCTGTTAATGAAGTGAACAATAATAAAGTGTTTTGTAATGTTAAATTGTCCTTGCTTTATTGGTGTAATTTTTTTTTTTTTTTTTTTTTTTTTTTTTTTTTTTTTTAGAGACAAGGTCTCGCTATGTTGCTCAGGCTGGGCTCAAGTGATTCTCCTGCCTCAGCCTCCCGAATAGCTGAAATACTGGTGTGCGCCACCATGCCCGGCAGACGTCATTTTTCAGTTTGCTGAAATTCTGAATTTTATAGAAATGTAAAATTGAGACTGGCCTATATTTTTCTTTCTTTTCTTTTCTTTTTTTTTTTTTTAATAGAGTCTGTCGCCCAGACTGGAGTGCAATGGCGCAATCTCGGCTCACTGCAACCTCCGCCTCCCGGGTCCAAATGATTCTCCTGCCTAAGCCTCCCAAGTAGCTGGGATAACAGGCATCTGCCACCATGCCTGGGTAATTTTTATATTTTTAATAGAGACAGGGTTTCACCATGTTGGTCAGGCTGGTCTCAAACTCCTGACCTCAGGTGATCCACCCACCTCGGCCTCCCAAAGTGCTGGGATTACAGGCGTGAGCCACCACGCCCAGCCTATACTTGTTTTTGCCTCCTTCAGTTTTTATGCTTTTTTCAGAAATGAATTGGGAAAAAATTATGTGGGAAACTTTCCCTCTTACTTTAATTTCTTTTCTTTTCTTTTTTTTTTTTTTTTTTTTTGAGACGGAGTTTAGCTCTTGTTGCCCAGGCTGGAGTGCAATGGCACGATCTTGGCTCACCGCAACCTCTGCCTCCCAGGTTCAAGCGATTCTCCTGCCTCAGCCTCCCAAGTAGCTGGGATTACAGGCATGTGCCACCACGTCCAGCTAATTTTGTATTTTTAGTAGAGACGGGGTTTCTCCATGTTGGTCAGGCTGGTCTCAAACTCCTGACCTCAGGTAATCCGCCCACCTTGGCCTCGCAAAGAGCTGGGATTACAGGCGTGAGCCACCACGCCCAGCCCCCCTCTTTAATTTCTTGAACCGCTTGTATAAGATATGAATTATCTGTTTCTTGGGCTGGCATGGTGGCTTACGCCTGTAATCCCAGCACTTTGGGAGGCTGAAGCAGGTGGATCACCTGAGGTTAGGAGTTCAAAACCAGCCTGGACAACATGGTGAAACCCCGTCTCTACTAAAAATTCAAAAATTAGCTGGGTGTGGTGGTGCACACATGCAATTCCAGCTACTCGGGAGGCTGAGGCAGGAGAATTGCTAGAACCCAGGAGGCAGAAGTTGCAGTGAGCTGAGATCATGCCGTTGCACTCCAGCCTGGGCGACAGAGTGAGACTCTATCTCAAAAAAATTAGAAAAAAAAAAAAAAAAAAAAAGAATTATTTTTTATTTTTTTGAGGCAGGGTCTCGGTCTGTTGCCTAGGCTGGAGTGCAGTGGCACGATCTCAGTTCACTGCATCCTCTGCCTCCCAGGCTCCCCGGATCCTCCTGCCTCAGCCTCCTGTGTAACTGGGACTACAGGTACACGCCACCATGCCTGGCTAATTTTTGTATTTTTTGTAGTGATGGGGTTTTGCCATATTGCCCAGGCTGGTCTCAGACTCCTGGGCTCAAGTGATCCTCCCACCTCAGCCTCCCAAAATGCTGGGATTCCATGGGTGAGCCACTGTGAATTCACTGCCTTGAGTAATCTGTTTCTTAAAGGCTTTTGTTAAAACTTGTTAGAAATTATCTGTACAACTTGGGTGTGTATGTGTGTGTGTGTGTATCTGTCTTGACTACTAATGCAGCATATTTAATAACATAGGATCACTTCAGATTTCCTAGCTTTCATTTATTGAATTACAGTACTTTTGATTACTTATATTTATCTGGAATATAGTTCACATTCTCTGTTTTTAAGTTTATTGCCATAAAGTTGTTTTTAGCATTCTCTTACTGTTTTTTGTTTGTTTGCTTTTGTTTTTGTTTTTGTTTTGTAGAGACAGGGTCTCCCTAAGTTGCCCAGGCTGGTCTATAACTCCTGGGCTCAAGTGATCCTCCTGCCTGGGCCTCCCAAAGTACTGAAACTATAGGCATTAGCTACCTCTCCCAGCCTCAGAAGCTTTTCTACACCCTTCCTAGGGGAATGGGGAGATAAGTAGGGGTCACTTAGGGAGTAAATGATTATGAAAAGGGGCATGGGCTTTTGCAAAAATAGGCAGTAGCCTGTCCGGACCAGGTGCCAAGTTCCAGCCTCTTCTAGGTTTGACTCCTGTTGCCTGTTAACCTCCCCTGATAGATTAAAAAAAAGAAAAAAAAAAAAAAACCTAGAGAGGGTTTTCATGACAATTGGCTTCCTTCTGGAGAATCTGCATTTCACTGGATAAGGGAGATTCAGGAAAAGCCCCTCTGCATTTGCTATTTCCCAAATGCCTTCAGCTTGAAGTAACCAGCAAACCAATTCAGCATATTTGGGCTGGTATTTCCTGGACTCGTGTCTATGAGGCAGTGCTTCTTCAGGTGCTGTTCAAGTCTTACTAAATTTATGTCCATTAGATCTATCCATTTCTGCTTCTGGTTGTGAGTTTATCAATTACTTCTGTAATTCTAATAATTTTATTGTTTATTTCAGATGTCTGCAATTTGAGAAATATTTTTCTGATAAAATGTTCTTTTTATCATTAGATAATGATCTTCTTTATCCTGAGAATGTTTTTGCCCTAGTTTCTATCTTGTTTGATATTAATTAATTCAGTCACTCACTCAGCAATACCTGTTGAGAATTTTTTTTTTTTCTGAGCAGAGTTTCGCTCTTGTTGCCCAGGCTGGAGTGCAGTGGCATGATCTCAGCTCACTGCAACCTCCGCCTCCTAGGTTCAAGCGATTCTCTTGCCTCAGCCTCCCCAGTAGCTGGGATTACAGGCATGCACCACCACGCCTGGCTTATTTTGTATTTTTAGTAGAGATTTCTCCTACATGGGGTTTCTCCATGTTGGTCAGGCTGGTCTTGAACTCCCAACCTCAGGTAAGCTGCCTGTTTGGCCTCCCAAAGTGCTGGGATTACAGGCATGAACCACCACACAAGGCCTATTTTTTTTTTTTTTTTAAGACAGGGTCTCTCTCTGTTACCCAGGCTGGAGTACAGTGGTGAGATCACGGCAACCTTCACCTCCTGGGCTCACATGATCTCCCTGCCTCAGCCTTCTGAGTAGCTGAGACTACAGGCAGGCACCACCAAGCCTGGCTGAATTATTTATTTATTTATTAATTATGAGATGGAGTCTTGCTGTGTTACTCAGGCTGGTCTCAAACTCCTGACCTCAAGTGATTCTACTGCCTTGGCCTCCCAAAGTGCTGGGATTAGGCGTGAGCCACCATGTCCAGCCAAGAACCTGTTCTATGCCAGTCACATCAAGAAACAAAACAGGCATCACCTGACAATATATATATATATTTTTTGGAGACGGAGTTTTGCTCTTGTTGCCCAGGCTGGAGTGCAGTGGTGCTATCTCAGCTCACTGCAACCTCCACCTCCTGGGTTCAAGCGATTCTCCTGCCTCAGCCTCCCTAGTAGCTTGGATTACAGGTGCCCGCCACCACACCCAGCTAATTTTTTGTATTTTTAGTAGAGATGGGGTTTCACTACGTTGGCCAGGCTGGTCTCAAACTCCTGACCTCAGACAAGCCACCCACCTCAGCCCCACAAAGTGCTGGGATTACAGGCATGAGCCACTGCACCTGGCTTGACAGTATCTTTTTATTTTAATCACCTTTTTATTTTTTACTTTCAACCATTCTGTGTCCTTCTGTTTTAGGTGTATCTTTTATAAACAGTATTAAATTGAAACTTTTTTTTTCTTTAAATGTAATCTTGGTCTTTTAGCAGGGATATTTAATCTGTTCACATTTGTTGTGATTGCTAATGTAATCAAATTTGGTTTTACTACCATATGTTACTAATTTTATATACTATGCTGTTTACTTACTGTATTTCCCCTTTTCCTGCTTTTCATTGTACTTAGTTCTCTTTATTTTTTTTAAGTTTTATTTATTTTATTATAGTTTTCTTATTTATTCTACTTTGCTTATTTCTTCCTATTGATTTAGAAATTATACATTCTATTTTTTCTTTTGGTGATTACATTTAAAATTTAATATGCATATTTTATTTGAGTCTAAAGTTAATGGATATTTCTCTGCTCTCCTTCTGATCAAAATGCCTCGGAATATTTTGGCTCTGATATTCACTCCCAGTCTTTCGTATTCCCTGTGTAGCATGTTATCAGAGTCTAGTACTTAACTTTTTGGTTCATTTTTTTTTCAGTACTTTGTTTTAAATGAGACAACATTATAATTGATATTGCTGGCTCATTTAGATTTACTTACATGTTTACTCTCTGCTCACCATCGCTCCTTTGGATCCCACTCTTTTCTTTTGGATTGAGTCTTTTTATCCTGAAATATACCATTGGTCACTTCTCTCAGTAAAGGTCTAACAATAGTAACTTTCTTCAGCCTTTGTATGGAGAACGTGTTTATTTTGCCCTTCCTCTTGGATGATTGCTTAGTTGCGTTCAAGGCTAAAAGCTATATTCTCTCAATACTTTGAAAATACTATTCCATTAATTTTTGGTTGATTTTGCTGCTTAGTAACATTCTGCTGTGAAGAAAAATTGTTCTTTTTTCATGGGTAATCTGTCTTTTCTCTCTATGTGTTCTATAGTTTCACTATTATGTGTTAGGTGTTGATTTGTGATTGTTTATCTGGCTCCTGACTGTGCTGTTCAATCTGAGAATGTAAATGCTTCTTTCCATTCTGAAAACATCTCAGTCATAAGTCCTCATTCTTTCTATTCTCTCATTAGCATTTGTTGTAAGGTCTCATGTTCCCTCGTTTCTTAACATCTTCCATCTCCTACTTCTCTGTGCCATGTCCTGTATGATTTCCCCGCATCCATTCTGTAGTTCCCTAATTCTTTTTTTTTTTTTTTCTTTTTGAAATGGAGTTTCACTCTTGCCGCCCAGGCTGGAGTGCAGTGATGTGATATCTGCCCACTGCAACCTCCACCTCCCAGGTTCAAGCGATTCTCCTGCTTAAGCCTCCTGAGTAGCTGGGATTACAGGCACCCACCACCACGCCTGGCTAATTTTCTGTATTTTTAGTAGAGACGGGGTTTCACCATGTTGGCTAGGCTGATCTCGAACTTTGACCGCAAGTGATCCACCCGCCTCAGCCTCCCAAAGTGCTGGGATTACAGGTGTGAGCCATGACTCCCGGCCCCTAATTCTTTTATTGGCCATATGTAATCTAATTTACTTACTATTTCAGTGACTCTGTTTTTTTCCTTCTAAATCTGCTGTTTGGTTCTCTTTCAAATTAATTTTTCTTTTTTTATTTTCTTTTTTTAAATATATATATATATTTTTATTACACTTTAAGTTCTAGGGTACATGTGCACAACGTGCAGGTTTGTAACATATGTATGCATATGCCATGTTGGTGTGCTGCACCCATTAACTCGTCATTTACATTAGTTATATCTCCTAATGCTGTCCCTCCCCCCTCCCCCTCTAATTTTTATTTTCAATCGTGTCCTATTCTTTCAATGGTTACTGTTCTTGTGTCACTTTAATAGCTCTAAACACATATATCAGATTCTTTTTTAGGTTGTCACTTGTTTCCAGTTCCCAGGTACCCATTGGCCCGCATGTTGTACTTGCTGACCCTTGGCGTGGTAGGTTAGTTCCTGGCCTGGTTGGAATTTTTTATTGTGAGCTCATCTTCAGCAGGGGTTATTTTTGCCTCTGGGAGTCCAGGGGCCCTGGATTGTGGAGATGTTTCTGGAGCACTGCTTTACCTTTTTCTTCTGCAAACCAAGGCTCAGTTATTTTAGGGTCTTGAACAAGTTTTAATTTTTAATTTCTCTATTTGTGATTTCCAACCCATCTGGGTGGTATCAACTTAATCCCTGCATTTGCTCTTAGCACAGGCTCCTGATTCAGATGATTCATACAAAAGCTTTTAGTTACTTTTCAGAGCTCAAGCCAGACCTCAGGCCTCCTTCCTGTTTCTTTGGTGAGCATGGTTCTTCCAGTTCCCTTTTCATGGACTGGCTAGCTTCTTAAGGGGTCTGGTTTGGTCCAGTTTCCCCCTCATCTTGCACAGTCCTGGCTGGTGTCTTCTTTCCCCAGGGGTGTTGACACTCTGACCCCTACTTATTGTTTCAAGGGCTGACAGCCCTCGGTGGATACATCAGCTTGGAGGTTTCCTCCCAGCCCTGGAGATTTGCTTTGTTTCTGGCACTTGGGAATCTCTCTTTCCTCTTTCTATCAAGCTGAGCTACGCATGAAACCTTTTTTTTTTTTAAGTTGCTTTAGATTTTCCAATAGCTGTGTGTAATTTCAGCAGGAGTGGGTCCGCATCAACTCAGCCTGCCACAAACCTTATTCATCTTTGTACTCTCCAACCCAGAACAGTCACTGGTTCATACCAGATGCTGGATGAATGAATGAGTGAATGAATGAATGCATTTTTCACTTCCAGTAGCAGATAGAAGCAGTATTCCAGTGAGCCATGCCTCCTACCTCTCCAGGAGCACTGAATCAGGCAGAATTCACTTTTCTTTGAGGTTATACGTAGAGAGTTCCCAGTGAAAAAATGAAAAGAGAATAGGGCTTCTTCTATGCTTTTGTTTTAAGTCCCAGAACAATAGGACTGTTTAACTGCTTTGCACTGCTTGATATATGAAGGTGGACTGACGACTGAGTTCCCATGCCGCTTGCTGGTGGCTTCACACAGCATCATTACCAAGAGGACAGGACACTAGGACTGTTTACTTCCCCCTTTCTCCCCTGTTTTAAGAAAAGTGTGCCTTTGATGAGATATAGCCGCAGGCTCTTGTTTTACATTGTACGTCAACTGCTGTTGTCAGAGGCTGGTTATTGATGCCATGCCCTGTTTTAATTCACACTTCTCTGCTAATCAATTACAGCGTTTATCCATTAATCAGGCATTCTGACAGGGTCAATAACTGCTTTTTGGCTCTTGTGCAGGGCTGCACGTTATCAAGCCAGGAATAAGGCCCAGGAGCTGGCTTTAAAACACCGTGTGACTTTCCCAGGCTGGTGGACTTCCGGAGCAATAAACATCTAGTGGGGATTTCATATGGTGGGTTTTTCATATATTTGGTAGATGGGATTTTCTCACTGAACACTTCATTAACAGGGCTCAACGTTAGTGAAGTGTGGACAGGTGTGCTCTGTTTAAGAAAAACAGAAACATCAAAAGGTAATTATTGCCATCACATACCAATGACTGCATTTACCTAAAAGTAGCATTAAATTATGAGCTTTCTTCTTTTATATTAAATGTTTACAAACAGTATCTTCTTGGCAGTAGGGTTTGAGAGCAACGACTCTTAAAGCCAAAATGTTGGAGCTGCTGCTGGATGAAAACCAATCTGAAATTTAGATTAAATAGGGCTGTAATCGTAATGTGAGTCAAGAGGAAAATCCGTAGTTTCTCTCTGGAAATTTCTTGAGGCCCATCTTTTCCGTGGAGTGTTTTAAACCTTCGTATCCATGTTCCCATCCATGGGCACACGGGCATCTTCAGTGCCCCTTAGTCTCTCTATAAGAATTTGTTACAGCATATTCAGATGTGGTAAATTGTCACAGAAATGAAAACTTTTCATTTTAGTAAGGATAAGTAAGAAACAGAGGTGACAAGGTTTAACTGGAGAGTTCCAGTTTGGGTAGGTAAGTTACCATTCATCATGATGGTTACAGGTTTCAGTGATCTTTTTTGTGACAGATGTACCAACATTTAATTGTTTTTCATCAAGGGCGGAGAGAAAAGACACTTGTGTAGATTTTTCAATTCTCCTCCGTGTCACTTGGCTGTCCTCACCATTGTCTGAGCTCCTTTCTCTTATCCTTTTTGCTGCAATGAGTTGTGTCATTCCCTCATGGTCAGCACTTTTGTTGTCTTTGTTTTTTGCTGTACCTCAGAAGTCCATCTTTTCTTTCATCTCTTTCCCATTCATGCATGAGGGAACAGTTGTGCCCTGTTGTGGGGATGTTCCGCTGGGTTTCAAACAGTAGGGTTTCTTTTTATTCTCTTCTAAGTAGTACAATGGGGCTGAATGTCTGTTGCAGAATGCACACACTAATATGCCAGGTTATTTGGTTTCTAAGAAGTCAATAAAAATACTACATTTAGGCTCAGTCTTTGGCTTGATTTTCCCCTATTTGCCTTTCAAGCCTTCCGTTATGAATCTGTTTGTTTCTGATTGTAAAATATAATCTTGCATATTAAACCGAAGCGTGGAATCAACAAACACTTTGAGGAAAATGTTCCTGGCGGTGGAGTATTTTCACACCAGGCAGGGTTGGCAGCCGGCACCCTCCCTTGATAAGAGCCTGGAAACAGCCCCCAGAGCAATTAATGGCAGCTCCGACTTGGAGAAGATGAAAAAAAAAAAAAGAATGGATCCCAAGTTGGTCTTGGCAAAACTTTCTGGTGTAAGAAACCAGCTCCTCTCTGCATTTAGAGGGTACAGCTGTGATTGTTTTCGTGCAGACTTCTCACTCAGTTCTTGTTTTGGTGGGGAGTTGAGCACGAGCAGAACGCACCGAGTTACACACACAGACGCAAAGGCCATTGCAGCAGCAAAAGGCTAAAGACATAAAAAGTTAGAGATGTCTTAGGACACTTTGTTCTTATATTCAGGAACAATCTTCAAAATCCTCCTTAATGAGGTCATAAAAGAAAAAAATGGAACAAGTGTTCCTTGTGTACCTCTCTAGGGCGTGTCGTTGGGGTCACTTGCCACCAGTATCCTATTTAAAAAGGGATTGGGGTAGTTCAATCAAGCATTGCATTAAGAGAGAGACTTTGATTAATTCCTTCTCTTTTCTTTTGTGCTATAGATAATTTCAGTCAATTTGTGATACTTTCTTCTTAGCCATTGCTGAGGCTGAAAGTTCTTGATGCGTCCTGCTGAGTATTAGCATTTCTCGGGCCTACTTGGCTATGGGGAAGAGGCACGCACTGCAGACAGCTCTCTAAGCCTTGACAAGCAGGGCTGGCCTCTACACATGACCGTGATCTGGGATATCGGTTTAGGAAAGAGCCCGCTCTCAGGTTGCTGGCAGAAAACAAATCTTGATGTAAAAGAAGAGAAGACCGAACAGTAAGATGGTGACTTGCTGTGGTAATACCGTGCGGTTTTTTTAAGGTTCTGGACCTGCTTCTTACTCAGAAGCTCACAGCTTGGGTAAGTTTCAGGAACTGCTCTCAAGGGGAACAAAAGAAAAGGAAAAGTGAGGGCTAACAATGTGAGCTTTCACTGGGGCTGTTGTGGGAAAGTTGAAGATTGGCCCCAGGATGGTCAGGATCAGGTAGAAAACTGGATTCTATTGTCATTTGTTTTCTTTTATTGACCAGCTTTCTTGTTTGTGGAGAGGGCAGCAGAGAGATGAAGGGACATTCTAGTACTATGCTGTAGAAACTCAGTGGGAAATGTTAACTGTTTTGATGTTAGGATATATCTAAAATGCTTAGTTAAACTGAGTCCCATACCTGTTGTATTTTATAAGCTCATTTTGGAAAATGTACGTAATGTTTATTTATTGTAAATGCAAGGTCTGTTCGGTATCCGTACATTTCCACGCCGCTGAAAGGGTGGATTTGGTTCTGATGGACTGGAACGGCTCCCGGGGAGGCATTGTGGTGTTTGCGTAAATCCCCTTTCCTTTTTGGTTTACTCATTTGATGCAGGAGGGTCGGTTCTTGGGCTGTTGCTTTCTCTCCTGTTAATCCAGCTACTGCACATGCGCACGAAGGCAACAGGTTAAAAGTCCTAATTTAAGATAGCTTTGGGTATGGAGAGATAAAATCCCTTTTTCTCCAGTTGAAGCATCTGTTTTTCAGTTGAGTGTAGATGGGTTGATTTTCATGAATGTATACATCTAATATGTTTATGTAAACACATTAAGGCAAGATTTCAGAATTAATTTCAGAGTATGTTTTATGATAATTACTGCTATTCTGCCAAAAGTTTAATAGCCAATCATAAGAATTTTCTTAAATTATTATTTTCAAATTAATAAGGTGTTAGACTTCTCATTTGTTCTTTCTGGTACTGTTTTGAGATTAAGAACTCAAAGATGAACTCATTCATTCATCAAATATTATTTATTAAACTCTTCCTCCATGCCAGGCTCATTGTCATAATTATCATTGTAATTAGTCTGTAACTTATATTTACAATGATTATGTAAATAGCGGAAACACCTAACTATCCTGCTTCTTGGTAATCAGGTTTAACTCTCCATGGGGTCGGTGTGTTCTTTCTGAAGCATGTCTTTGAATAGATTACTCGGGCCTTCCCCTAGTTCTTGGAATGCTAACTGAAATTGTGTGATTGATAGATTTCCCCAGACTTAAAACTGGAGAGATCCATGGGGGCAGAGTGGTTCCATGGAGGCAGAGTGGTGTCATGGAGAGGACACAGGCTGTCGTCATTTACTTTTCCTGCCCTGAAAAGGGAAGAGCCAGCAGCTCAGGGGTCGGTGTGAGACTTAAACTCTGAATAATGTAAAGCGGCTGGCACAGGCCTGGCCCTCAGTGCGTCCCCCCATGAGCGCCCCTCCCCCGCCCCTTATCCCTAAGGCAGTAGTGTCTGTAGGGCCTCAGGCACCTACATTCTCATTTCCTTCATGTATGCAGAGGGCCAGGGAAGTTACCTGGTTACCACTTGCTCTGTGCCACAAAAAAGGCGTGCAAGGATGTACATCAGAACCTGGTTTTGACTGGGCACAGTGACTCACGCCTGTAATCCCATCACTTTGGGAGGCTGAGGCGGGCAGATCACCTGAGGTCAGGAGTTCGAGACCAGCCTGGACAACTTGGTGAAACCCCATCTCTACTCAAAGTTCAAAAATTAGACAGGCATGGTGTCACACGCCTGAAATCCCAACTACTCGGGAGGCTGAGGCAGGTGAATCACTTGAACCTGGGAGGCGGAGGTTGCAGTGAGCCGAGATAATGCCACTGCACTCCAGCCTGGGTGACAGAGTAAGACTTCATCTCAAAAAAAAAAAAAAACTTTGTTTCTGTGCACAATACCTCAAAGACTTGTTAGGCCTGGGGAATAGACCTGCCTCATTTGCTTGTTTGAAGCCTAATTGCAGGTATTTCTAATACTTCCTACAGTGGATTTCTCTCGTCTTCCAAATGTTGCTTTTCCACAGAATTGGCGTGGTAATTGCTGAGAAGAAAGAACTTCCTTAACTGAATCAAGCCTGCCTCCACCTCTTTTCTAGGATTGCAGGTTCCTTTTCAGATAAAGGTCTCAAAAGGGCAGGCAGGGCAGAAGGTCTTCTCATAAAATCCGAGGATTGTGGTCCTCTGGGTGCTTCATCTGCTGCAACCAAGTAGAAAAAAAGGAATAAACACAAACACATTTCACTCTGCCTCCAACAAACCTCCTTCAGGTCAGATCTAGTATCCAAGAAGTAACAAAAATAGTCCATCTAGCAAATGAGCCATTTTCTTTGAGAGACAGGCAAGCAAGACACCTGGGTTTGTCTAGATATAATTAGTTATTTCTCCCGTGGCCAGTATGGGAGTAAACACTATGCAGTAAACACCAGCTGAAGAACATTGTCCTGTCTATCTCAGGACAGGGAATGATAGATACCTTTTGGTCTCTACTTAAAGACAGTATTGCCGGGTGCGGTGGCTCATGCATGTAGTCCCAGTACTTTGAGAGGCCGAGGTGGGCGGATCACTTGAGGCCAGGAGTTTCAGACCAGCCTGGCCAACATGGTGAAATCCTGTCTCTACTAAAAATACAAAAATTAGCCAGGCATGGCGGTGGGCTTCTGTAATCCCAGCTGCTCAAGAGACTGAGGCAGGAGAATTGCTTGAACCTGGGAGGCAGAGGTTGCAGTGAGCAGAGATCATGCCACTGCATGTCAGCCTGGGCAACAGAGCAAAACTGTCTCAAAAAATAAAAATATAGACAATATTAGTATTAATATTACAGATCCCATTATATTTCTTTTCATGAGTTTTGTGAGGGTATTCCCCAAAGCTCTGTGTTTTGGTGGGGGGGATTACAGGTGTGAGCCACCATACTGGCCCCCTCCCCCAATAAATATAAACTGGGTACTTATTAATACTTAATATACATATGTTTCTTTTCTTTTCTTTTTTTTTTTTTTTTGAGATGGAGTCTCACTCTTTTGCCCAGGCTGGAGTGCAGTGGCACGATTTCGGCTCACTGCAACCTCCGTCTCCTGGGTTCAAGCGATTATCCTGCCTCAGCCTCCCGAGTAGCAGAGACTACGGGTGTGTGCCACCACATCCGGCTAATTTTTTGTATTTTTAGTAGAGATGGGGTTTCACTGTGTTAGCCAGGATGTTCTCGATCTCCTGACCTCATGATCCGCCTCCCTCGGCCTCCCAGAGTGCTGGGATTACAGGTATGAGCCAACTTCTTTTTTTTTTTTTCTTTTTAATAGAGACAGGGTCTCACTGTGTTACCCAGGCTGAAGTGCAGTGGTGCAATCACGCCTCACTGCAGCCTCAACCTCCAGGGCTCAAGCAGTCCTCGCACGTAGCTGGGACCACAGTTGTGCACCACCATGCCTGGCTACTGTGTGCTTTTTTGTTTTGTTTTGTTTTGTTTTTGTAGAGATGGAGTCTCATTATGTTGCCCAGGCTGGTCTCAAACTCCTGGGCTCAAAGAAGCCTCCCACCTCAGCCTCCCAAAGTTCTGGGATTAGAGGCATGAGCCACCATGCCCAGCCCCACCCCAGTAAATATAAACTGGGTCCTTCCTTAATACCTTAAAGACAGCAATTTTCGACATATTCAAGACAGTTGTTCCTTCTGCTTTGGAATGCTGAGAGCTTCTTTCCTCATAATTGTGTTCTAGAAGTTCTGCAGGGCCTTGCTATGGGAACCAGAGAAAGCAGAATGGCCAGGGCCATCCAATTGTCTCCTTCCCAGAGATCAGGATGAAGGGCTGTGTTAAAAGATCTCTCTCATCTTCAGCTGGAAACAAATAGTACTGAAAAGAATGATCTGGACTGTTTCTCTTGTCTTTTAAAAGTGTGAGGCCTAAAGAGGGGAGAGAGTATCTTTGTGCTGTGTTATGCCTGACACATTGTCGGTGACCAACAGATGTACTTGGCCATTTATATGGGGATAACATACATGTGATCTTAGCCAAAAGGCCCTCCAAACCTTCCTTCAGCAGCCCTTTAGATTGGGCTCCTTTGTCAGTCATCTGCTTGAGTATCAGCTATGCTGAAGGAAAAGACATAGGGAATGGTGGTTGGAGGTGGTGGCAGCCAGAGATAAATGTATCTCTGAGGCATGGTTTCATCTGGTCAGTAAGATGTGTGCCTTTGGATCTGCTTCGGGCTAAATATCTTAGGGGTTTGGTGGGCTTTAGAAGTGTGTGTAAATGGGAGGCGGGAAAGTGAGGCCGGAGACTCATCATCACTGCTCTCCACCCTCCAGAGGGGACTGCGGAAAGCGCAGCCAGCCATCGGCCTGTTGACAAGGCACTGGCAGTCACTGAAAAATTCTTTTCCTTTCTCTGTCAATTAGCAAATGATGGTCTTCTACTGATAAAGTTTAGGAATAAAGGAGAAAGAGGAAGATGGAATCCTGGACCACTTTCAGCCTGCACTTGAGTATTCCTTATGTGTTCTCCTGACTCCCTGGTGCCACTACCCCCTGCCACCGTCGGCCCTGTGGCAGTGGGGCCCTTCCCCCCGCCAGCCTCGGCACCGCTTCAGTGTGGCTGGTGCCTCCACCACCATTGGTACTGTGTCAGCATTGCTGGTGCACCTGCCACCGTCGGTCCCTCATCAGCATTGCCCATGCCCCCACCACCGTCAGTCCCTCATCAGCATTGCCGGTGCCCCCCTACCACCGTTGGTCCCACATCAGCGTGGCCGGTGCCTCCACCACCGTTGGCCCCACGTCAGCGTGGCCAGTGCTGCGACCCAGTTGCTGGCTGGAGGATGGCTGGCCACTGTTGGAGCTGCTGATCTTTCCAAGGCCTTGTCACAGTGGCCATAGATCTCAAGGTGCACCCAGGACACTCAGGAAACCAGCCTCTTGGTTAGGCAGCTGAGGCCTCACTTTTCTGCATCCATGTACTCCTTTGGTATCTGGATCTTCCTTTTAAACTTTGACTAACACGTGTGGCAGAACCAATCACCACCACAGCCTGCAAGTGCACTGAGGACCTGTCAGGCCCAGGGGAGGTGCAGCACGCTCATGGGGGCAGCCCAGCACTGCCCAGGTGGCTGGAGCGAGTCACGGGGAGAGCAGAAAGCTTTGGGCGTCCTGGCTGACTGGCCTCTTAGTGAGAATACAGAACAGCTCCTGGCAGCACTTTCCCTTCCAGCTTTCCTCAAGACAGGCCATGCCAGGCGAAGAGGAAGGGCAAGGTGGCTCCCTCCGGGTATGGAGATGGGGTGAGCCTGGGGACAGTGGAGCCTCTGAGCAGAGGACTCCAGAGGCTCAGGGAGCAGCAGAGCCGCCCAAGATGATAGACAGGAGCTGAAGGCCAGAGGGGACCACGCCTGGAGTCTTGGCGGGAGGAGCATGGACACAGGACCAGGGAGGGAGCCCCAGAGGCAGTGCCGACCATCCTGCTAAACACACGGAACGGCCTCCCCATTCTTTCCCCTAAAGAGTAGGGGCTTGGGCCAGGCACGGTGGCTCACGCCTGTAATCCTAGCACTTTGGGAGGCCGAGGCAGGTGGATCACCTGAGGTCAGGAGTTTGAGACCAGCCTGGACAACATGGTGAAACCCCTTCTCTACTAAAAATACAAAAATTAGCTGGGCGTGGTGGCAGATGCCTGTAGTCCCAGCAACTCAGGAGGCTGAGGCAGGAGAATCACTTGAGCCCCGGGGGCTGAGGTTGCTGTGAGCCGAGATCGTGCCACTGCGCTCCAGCCTGGGTGACAGAGTGAGACTCTGTTTCAAAAAAAAAAAAAAAAAAAAAAAAGGCGGGGGCTTGGAGAGGAGAGGAGGGGTCCTGGTTTTGTTGTACTTTGTTAATATAGACCAGATTTCGGCAGATTGCACTGTATAAAGAAAAATAAACATGGACAGAAAAGTTGTATGGTCAAAATTGAAGTAGCAAAGCCTTCTTTAAAAGTTGAAATTACTTTTGTTTCTTTACTAAAGCACAAAGTCTAGTTGCAGAATATATGTCTATCTTAGCCTGCTTTAAGAAAAAAAAAAAAAAGCGGCTGAGCCCAGGGGCTCATACCTGTAATCCCAGCACTTTGGGAGGCCATGGTGGGAGGATTACTTGAGGCCAGGAGTTTGAGATCAGCCTAAGTAACATAGCAAGACTCTGTCTCTACAAAAATAAATAAAAGACTGCAGCTGCTTATATTAAAAAAAAAAAAAAGGCCAAAGAATGCCTCAAAGCATTGAAATAAAACTTACTGATGGTTTCACCAGCAGAACAGAGACATTGGCCACTGTTTAAGCTGTGCTAGATGATAAAGAAGGCCATACATTAGTTTCAAAGTCAGAGTAGACAGAGGCGGAGGGTAGATAGGTGTTAGCAGGATGGCTCTCACGGACGTGCTGGGGCCACATGGACAGTGGACCCCTGGATGGGGAGGGAGGAAGGAAGGGCCTCGGACATCTCCTGATGTGAAGAATCCTGTGTTCTCAATTTTAACCTCTTTGTTTCTAGCCAAGAAGTAAACTGAATAACATACTCCACACCAGAATGGTTTCACTTAGCTTTCGTATCTCAGGAACTGGGCTTCAGTTCTGCAGTGAGAACTGTCCTTTAATTGCTTCTCCCCTGGAGGCTGATGTGGTGACATACTTTGGAGCACAGGGCATACAGGCATCCCTGCACGAACGGTACCAGGGGCTTGGGATGGCTGCAGCACATTCTGCTGGGGCTTTGTTTTCCTTGGGGCTATGTTTGTTTTTTCTTTTTCCCTTCTTTCTTACTGTTTCTTTTTTCTGGATGCATTATGTTCTTTAAAGACTAGTGATTTTCCACACCAAATTATTTTAGAAATTTCAGCATTATATGGCAGTTTTTTTTTTTTTTTTTTTTTTGAGACAGGGTCTTACCTTGTCACCTTGTCACCTATACTGGAGTGCAGTGGCACAAACACGATTCACTGCAGCCTCAACCTCCCCGGGCCCAAGCCATCAGTCTTCCACCTCAGCGTCCCCCACCAACAAGTAGCTGGGACCACAGGCACATCCCACCACACCCGGCTAAGTTTTGTATATTTCGTAGAGATGGGGTCTCAGCATGATGCCCAGGCTGGTCTCAAACTCCTAGGCTCAGGCAATCCTCCCTCCTTAGCCACTTACAGGTGTGAGCCACTGTGCCTGGCCTATTTTAAAGGTGTTTTTTCTTTCTTTGGTTTCGGAGAGAAATCAGTTTCCTGTGTATCTTAAGCTGTGTGGATAGGGGGATTGTGATAATGGGTCATTATTTTATAATTTTGCTATTTTAAATGAGTTTTAAAACCTGTAGCCAGTTTCTGATCTCAGGGAACATACCTATTAACTCAAGGTGTTACAAATATCTTGACAGCTTAAAAATTGAGTTAAGATATGAAAATAAGATATGAAAATATGAAAATACTGTGCTGTAATACAAGAGGCATTCATTACCTTTTCCCTGCCCATCAGTCTCGACAGGATAACTTTACACTTGACCCAAAGATATTTAAAAATACATCCGCTTTCTTTGAAACTTCTGTGTCAGTGTTTTTCATTTGAATGATTAACAGAAGCACATTGGTTTGTAGGTAAATAGTAAATAGGTAATTCTACTTGTTTTTCTAATTTTTAAAATGCTTTACAAATAATTATTAATGATACTGTATGATTAAGGAAAGGGAATTTGTATGAAGCTAATTTGAAGGTAATTGGCTTTTGCATTTATTTATTCATGTATATATTTAATTCGCATCTGTTATGTGTCAAGTATAGTGCAGGAGTCAGCAGAAAAAGTAATTCCTAAAATCATGGCTCTTGAAATCAGTTATTTGTCTTTGTTTTTCCTCCTCAAAGATTACTCCCTGTTCAGTCTTGTTAATGTGATCAGAGATTTATATTAACTTTTAAGATCTCATAATCCCAATAATGTAAGATATAGTAGAGATGAGTAGAGAACAGAACTTAAAAAAAAAAACAAACTGTAATTACTAGGAAATTGACTCTACCAGGGAAATTAACAGACTTGTCCAAAATTGTCCCTGTAGACAGAGAGGGCTGGTAAGGCTGGAATGAACCCGTCGTAATTTGAATGCTTAAAACTTTTTCCATTTTATTGTCAAAATTATTGCCTGAACTTCCTTTTTCTCCTCATTTGCCTATTTCCCTTGCTTTTTATCTTGTGCACCACCAGTATACAACATAGTGGTGTTTAACTACTTCCTGAAGGCATTATTAGTCATCAGGAACACCAGGTCATTATCGAAGTAGATAAATGGGCATTCCGCCCATCGACTACCCCTTGGACTAATTTGGAAAATATGGTTCCTTCCCTCAGAAGAAACAGCCCATGCTCCTCTGGACACTTATAAAATAGCCATGCGCACGTCTCTGTTCCTTCTGAACAACTGGAATTAATGTGTCCTGCTTGATGCTAAACTGGAGTTTAATTCACAATGGCAAGGACGCTTCACCTAGAATATCTGTCCATGTGAAAGGTGGGGAGCAGTGCAGCTTCCATCTCCCTGTCTGTTTTTTGGTGGGCTTTCAGCTTTTCTGTCCCATGACTGTTAGTGACTGCAGCGTAACCCCAAATCTTTCACCAGATGTTGTCTCACCATCTTAAGGAAAGAAGAAAGTTCTAATGGATGTTTTGAATGTGCTCGACTTTTATTTTGTTCAGACCCAAACTGAATGAGGCAGAGGTTAAAATCTTTTCTTGTTCCATCTGAGTAAGCACGAAAACCTATGATCCTTAATCTTTTAGAAGAAAAATAACCCTTCTCTGTTAGTGGGATTTCTGATTCATTTCTTCTGCCCTGCTCCCCTGCTCTGCATTTTTTTAGTCAAATACTGTCTGGACTTTTGTGAGCCAATAACCTCCCTCCTCACCTCATTCCCCTCTCTTCCCCTCCCCTGTGATCACACAAAGAGCAGAGAGCCCTCAAAAGCCTGGGTTTCTGGGTTTTGTATTTTAAAGAGAGGATGAAATACTTGCTGTACTTCAAAACATAAAACCGATCTGTTAAAACTTTCCCAAAAGAAACTGATTGGCATCAGCATAGGGGGAATAAGAAAAGTAAGAGAAATTGAGATTAAAAAAAAAAAACAAAACGGAGGAGAATGTAACGTTGGCCATTGTAATTCATACCAAACTGACTTTCCTTTAGTGCAAACTAGTAGGCGTGGCAATGACTTCAAACCTCCCAAGTTAGGGAGCCCTGAAATCTTTCTACTTACTGATATCTCTGAATAATAACCAGGGCCCATACACGGGGCTGGGATTTGATAGTCGAGGCCTTCAGTCCTAACCATTTTGCCCTGTAACTTAGATCAGGACCTATACATTTATTTGTCCATGGCTACACCCATAGACATATATTCTAACGCAGGGGCCATGAACCAAATCCCATGTACTGCCCATTTTTGTACAGCCTTCTACCTAAGAATGAGTCTTCCAGATGAATGATTCGATGATAGGGAACATTACCTTTGAACCCCAGTTAAGCAAAATGCTGTTCCCCCCAAAAGATTTCCGTTCTTCTCACAAGTAGAACTATATTACTATAGAAGTCTACTATAAAATATAGTAGAACTATATTACTATAAAATCTACCCAGTTTTATTTTGAATTTCACCAGTAAAAAAATTTGTGGAAATTTGTGTTCTCACTTGCTATACCAGCGCATATATAACATCTTCCCATTTGTCTCTCAGCCCGCAAAGTCTGCAGTATTTACTATCTGGCCCTTTCAGTCAGAAGTTTGCTGAGTGCTGCTCTAAGCTGTCACAAATAGAGATGATTTTGAAGGGAAAAAAAGATATTCTCACTATCATTCTTTGTCTTTGCCTGAATCTCTGTTTTAGCTTTTTGTTGTTGTTGTTTGTTTGCTTGTTTGTTTTTAGAGGCAGAGTCTCGCTGTGTCACCTAAACTGAAGTGCAGTGGTGTGATCATAGCTCACTGCAGACTCAAACTCCTGGGCTCAAGCCATCCTCCCGCCTCAGCCTCCTGAGCAGTTAGGACCACAGGCGGGCACCATTGCACCCAGCTAATTTTTAAATTTTTTTGTAGAGATGAGATCTTTGCTATATTACCCAGGCTGGTCTTGAACTCCTGGACTCAAGTAATCCTCCCACCTCAGCCTCCCAAAGTGCTGGGATTATAGGTGTGAGCCACCACACCCAGCATTTTTTTTTTTTTAAGAGTGAAGTTTCTCTGGTTAATGTGAATGTGAGTTAATAGGCTCTGGCTTGTGCAGTGCAGTGCCCTGAGAAAACTGATATTAATTGTACAGTTGTGAAATGTGGTATAATATTGTCAATAGCAGCTTGTTTAAAAAATTTAGATTGCAAAATAAAATAAACCTGTGTTTCCATATATAAAACAGGCAGCAATAATAGTACCTACTTCAAAGGACTGTCCAAAGGATTAAGTGAGATAATGTAAATAAGGGATTTAATAAATGTTAAAGAGAAAAAAATCTACCATTGAGAATATGTTTGTTTGCACAAGACTTGGTACCTTTATCTTAGCATACTGTATCTTAGACAGATACAGTATCCCTAATACACTGTAGATACCTAAATCATGCTTCTCATCGATTTCAGTTAATACAAAATATAGTCCTATATCTCTTTTCAACACAATTCTGATTTTAAAGGAAGGGTCTTCTTAAAGGAAGACCATTGTTTGTTTGAAACAGAATTACTATATCCTATACGTTTCTTTTCTTTTTTTTTTTTTTTTTTTTTTTTGAGCTGGAATCTCGCTCTGTCATCCAGGCTGGAGTGCAGTAGCGCAATCTTGGCTCACTGCAACCTCTGCCTCCCGAGTTCAAGCGATTCTCCTGCCTCAGCCTCCTAAGCAGTTGGGATTACAGGCACCCGCCACCACGCCCAGCTAATTTTTGTATTTTTAGTAGAGATGGGGTTTCACCATGTTGGCCAGGGTGGTCTCAAACTCCTGGGTGATGTGGCCGCCTCAGCCTCCCAAAGTGTGGGGATTACAGTATGAGCCACCGCACCCGGCCATCCTATATATTTCTAAGATAAAATTTTAAAGTATAAGTAAATCTCATTGGAGAGCAAAAGATGAGGTTTTTTTTTTGGTTCAGAAAATTTTAGGATAATGGAGGTCAGTGTTTTGCTAACCATCTGTAACAAACTGCAGCATTGGAAAGGGACACTGTCTTGGTATTTTGAAGAGCTAATATTTATGCCTGGGAATCCTCTACCTGCATGAAATCGGCAGGTAAGAGTTAGAAATATGCATGACATTTTCAAGGAAAAAAAAAATCTGTGGTGCCACTTGAGGAGATGAAATCTATGGTCCTGCCTGTTTTCCTCACTCTGTGGCTCCCAGAATGCATCTTTGACTCTGGAGTTTGTCCTTCTCCCTCCACGGCCAGATTTCACTGTCACTCCTCTGAGAACCCTCTCCACTGCCCTCTTATGCTGAATGAGCCCCTCCCCACCAGGCTTCAGGCCATTGGTTTCTACCAGTGTTCACATTTTTTGTCTGTTGCCTTCGCTGGACCTCAACTTCCCCCAAGGCTGAATTTTGTCCTCATTTTCATATTGCCAGACCCTGGCTTAGGTGCCCAGTATCTATTTGTTGAATCAATGAAATACTGACTAAAAATTGTCTAACACTAAAATAAAATGAAAGCCAAAAAAAACCCTTTAGATTTTTCTTTCTTTTTTAGATATAGACAATATACATAGATAATCATAACATTATTTTAGTGCTGATTAAAAATTCACAGATAAGCCCAAATTTATATATAGCTTGTCTGAGGGTTAAGTTCTGAAGAATATGGGGGGCATCAGAGAGTTGATACAAATCCATCTTTATTTTCTGCAGGGCCAGCTCCTTAGCCCAGCAGCAGCTCCCCGGTCCCCCTGTAAGTGTGTTTCCTAGATGTGGCAAAATGCCTGCCATGGTGTTCCAGGCCCAAGTGTCTAGCTCATGGAGGTCAGAGGGGAAGGGGCAAGTGTCTTCTCAGCCACAGTCGCTGTTATCAATTGGGCTTCCTGTGCACGAGGTGCTTCGTCAAGGGTTTTACATGTATCTTTTCATTGACTTCTCACAACAATCCTATTATTATA
Source organism: Homo sapiens (assembly GCF_000001405.40). Lineage (NCBI taxonomy): Eukaryota > Metazoa > Chordata > Mammalia > Primates > Hominidae > Homo > Homo sapiens. The sequence continues at coordinate 99,737,416 of NC_000013.11, forward strand.
TCCAACTCCTAATATGAATCTGGGATTTAAAGAGGTTAAGTAACATGCTTAGGGTGTCACCAACTCCAGGTGTGCTGGGTTCCAAAGCCCATGCTCTTCACTGTTAGGCTTTCCTTACCTCTCACCTCCTTTCCAGGGAAGTGGCAAGATTTTTGGAGCTGGCGAGTCTGGGGACTCATGACTGGTTGTTTCTCCTTGAAGCATAGACTAGAGGAGTCATGTGCGCAAGAGTGTTGTTAATCACTATGCTTTCCCCTCCTGAGCTCAAGAAAAACAGAACTGTCAAGAGTTAGGAATTGCGTCCTGGTCACCAGGTTCCTTGTTTGTCCCATGACCCAGAGTGGAGTCATCCCAACAGAGATGTGCTAGGCTGTAAGCTGAATGTGATAAGGGAGGCAAACTGCACCACAGTGAAGTCCTCCAACTTTTAGAAGAGGCTAGCTACTGTGCGCGTCAATTTTTTCTAACCTTTTTTTTTGGTGGCTTATATGCAATTACATACGAGTTACATTTATTGAGTACCACATGCAGGAAGTCCCAGGCAATGAGAAATGAGCTTCATGGTAATTGAGAATGAAGTTAAGGAAGAAAATTTTATTGTTAATCAAGGGCTTAATTGCCTCCGGGACATTTTAAATAAATGCCATGCAGTACTTAAGGAGCAATGTTCTGTAAGTGAGATGCAAAAATTCTTTAATTAAACCATGGTGGGTATTCCCTGATTGAAATATCTGCCTTTATCTTAATATTTAAACCTTCGTGATTCATGTAACAACTTAATTAGGGATGGAGTAAATTAAAGGCTCCTTGAAAGAACCAATCAGTTGTATAAAATTGGTTAAAAGTATTTCTGGGATAGGCTTCTGTGTATTTGTACTGATCAGAACATATCTTTGGTTCATTTTATGTTTAGCTGTCATCTCGAGTAAGCTGTATTTCAGCCTGTAGGGGACAGATGGTGGCTATGGCATTGTATAGGGCAGACAGTTATTAGAATTTGTCTGAGAAATGGATCAAATGTAAGGGTTTCTTGGCCACTGAGAAAGGAGACATTTCCCCAGATGATGACTTGGATGGTACCTGCAATTAACCAGGTAGGAGGCTGCCAAGTCTGTTCGTTGGTCAGTCAGTCAACACACCTGAGTGCAGCCACGGAAAAGGCCTTGTGCTCAATGGTGATAAGCTTGTGTCAGTGTCAAACTAAACAGACCCAGAGATTCAAGGGGACTTGCCAGCCTCTGATTGTACATGGTAAAAAACAAAATGGAAACCCCGAAAACTTAGGTATTCAAATGTTTAGACTTTACTAGATCACTCAGTTTATGAGTGGCAGAGATGCCTGGTGTGGAGCTCGATAAATTCTTGTGAAAAGAAGGAAGGAAATGAGAATGGGGGCAGTTGCCTGGGAGGAGGGAGGGGGACAAGGCTTGCATCTGTCACTGTACTGCACAGCGTTCCCTGACTAGTTGGACACTCAGCTGTGACTCTCGTGCTGTTAACAGACATTGTCATGAGGATTCAAAAAGTGCAGGGAATACACATCAGTGGCTCTTTAAAAATTCAGGGTTGGTGTGTTTTGCCAAGCTAACATTGTGATTTCATTTAATCCTTAAAAAGAGTAAAATTGTTCTCAGAAGATACCAAAATCTTAAAACATAGGATCATGTCTGTTTTTAAAAATTTATTTAGCTCAAATAAGCAGCCAATAACAAGATGAAATAGTCATCTAATAATGGTGTTTTATAAATGGTTTTATTTGGAAATTTTTTTCTCCTAATTTCAGTGTTCGTAATATGAAACAGTCAAGCCCTTTAAAAGGGATTGCATTTTCAAATAAACACACTTAGACACACCGTGTGAACTTAGTACTTGAGGAAAGGAAATGAGGGGAGGAAAGGAAAATATTTTAAGTCATATTTTCATGAAGGACTCTGTGGTATTCAACACGTGTTGGCAGACTCTGGCCAGGCTCAAAAATGATGGGTCGCGTTCTGCCTACTGTTTTAGGACCACACTGGCCAGGGTGTCCCCCAAGGTGCCTTTCTGCCTCTGGAATCCCTGTTACGGGCCCACGGAAAGCCTGTGGATGCCCACCAGCTGCTGAGGGGTCCCTGTGATGGTTTAGATCTGAAATCATACTCAGTTCTTTGGCCATGTTCTGGAAGGCTAGAATTGTTATGTCACTGTGAGTATGGAAATCCCTTTAGTATTCTACATGATAATTCAGAGCAATTAATTCCATTCTAATTTCCATGCCCTAGAAGAACTGTACTTGTGGCCGGGCATGGTGGCTCACGCCGGTAATCCCAGCACTTTAGGAGGCCGAGGTGGGTGGATCACCTGAGGTCGGGAGTTCCAAGACCAGCCTAACCAACATGGTGAAACTCCATCTCTATTAAAAATACAAAATTAGCTGAGCATGGTGGTGCATACCTGTAATCCTAGCTACTTGGGAGGCTGAGGCAGAATTGCTTGAACCCGGGAGGCGGAGGTTGCAGTGAGTCAAGATCGTACCATTGCACTCCGGCCTGGGCAAGAAAAGCGAAACTCCATCTTGAGGAAAAAAAAACAAAAAAACAAAAAAACTGTATTTGTAAAAACCTGAACAAAGACTATCATATCTGCACAAAGTCTGTGAAGAAAGGAAAATGAGCCATGTGTACTCCAGAGCAACTAGCTGCTTCCCAGTGGCCATAAATATGTCTTGTTTCTCAACCATTTCCAAATGCTTCAAACTTAAAGAAATTTGTACGTGCCCAGGAACGCTCTATCTTCGCCTTCTCTGGCATTAGTTCTATGATTCTTTAATGTTGTGGGAGATATTTATGAAATCATTTCCTCTGACTTTAGTGACTCTGCCTTTGAGAGCTCAATGGTAAATACACAATCAGCATGTGTGCTAAGAGGCTCGAAAGTCTCATGACAAATGCTGTCCTGTACCTTGCAGGGCAATGATGTCTGTAAGCATCTTTCCTTAAGCACCCACTCACTCGCTGGCTTGGATACAGTGAGTCTCAAGACATCTTAAGAAAATTGCCATCTGAGCATCACGCTGCAGGATCTGGTGTTAGATATTTTTGTGGCTACGTGGGTTCTTACTCATTTCCCCTCTCCGTCTGTCTTGTATTTTCTATGTGCCGGTCTTGCCTTAGTTCATATGCATTCAGGAGAAGGTATCATTAGCGACTTGACGCCCATATTATGACTTAACGAGCTGGAAAGTCCACACGTATAGATTCTGCATCTCTCAAACTGAGATTTTTGATTCGTAGACAGGTCGCCCGTAGACTCTTCCCAGAGGCTTTGGCTGCTTGGGACACAGATTGTAATCACAGTAATTAGCACTGAATTTTCAAGTCCTGCTCTCCAGCTTGACCTGGCAGCATTTAACGGCGTGCACACAGCTGGATCAATGGCAGGAATTGAAGGACCCAGTTGTGGGGCTGCTCCTGGCAGCCTGTGATGGGCACCGTCCCTGGAGAATTCCAGGAAAGCATCAGGGACAAGGGATGGTGCAGGGACCTGGGTGCGAAAGTAAAGAAATATGATATTTATAAAGCACCTGTCGATGGGAATCCTGTTCAAAATTGTTACTGGAGACAAATTGAAGTACAGACTTCTGCCTGAAATTCATTATCAATGAATTCATTTTTCTCCTTCTTGCTTAGTTCAGTTTTGGGTATTTCTAAAATGTTCTTTGTTAAAGTTTACACTTCCTTTCCCTAAAAGAAGTACTTACAGATAGGAATCTTAAAGCTAGTGGGAAAGAACTGTAGGACACAAAACAGATACTTCAGTGGCACAAATGGGGCAAAGAAGCACCCATGCCTGTTATGAAGTAAATTCTCTAGGAAGTTTGGTGGTGTTGGGGAGTCAGGGACTTAAGCTCAGATAAGCCAGAAGGCACTCCTCTGTCACCCACTTCTTCATAGTCCCAGGGAGTGTGTCACCTTACCAGGCCACTAGAAGGAGAGAGTGACAAGAACATGGCAGTTTGGCACGGCAGACCCCAACCTTCATCCATCGAGGGCTTGTGATTTTGTGGGGATACTTGAAGGCTGACTGCTGAATAAAAGGTTTAAACTTACAGGAAATACCTCTCAACACAAAACCATTTGAGCATATGTATCTTTTTTTTGGGGGGTGGGGGTCGGGGGACGGAGTCCCACTCCGCCGCCCAGACAAGAGTGCAGTGGCATGATCTCAGCTCACTGCACTCTAGTCCGCGTTCAAGTATTTGTAGTAGAGACGGGGTTTTGCCATGTTGCCCAGGCTGGTCTTGAACTCCTGACCTCAGGTGATCCACCTGCCTTGGCCTCCCAAAGTGCTGGGATTATAGGCATGAGCCACCGTGCCCAGCCAAGCATATGTAGTGTCTCTAACCATATGATCAATCTAGTTGAAAAAGCATGGTAGGCAGAGTTTTACAATGAGAGCTTTTTTTTAATGTTTAGTTTCCTTAGGGACAGAAACATTATTGTTCCATTCTACCATTCTGCATCAGTAGTTCGTATGAGGTTGTACTTTTGCCTTTGTCACTTGTCAGCATTTGCACTGACTTAAGTTGTTAGAATATTTATGTGGAAAATGAGGGCAATTCTGTGTGTAAATATCTCACTTGACAATCATTTTATGATTTGAATGTTCACTTGCAATGAGACCCTGACATGTTCACACGTGCTAGTTTTCAGCTGCAATTACATTTGCCACTAATTTGTACCTTGGAACGTGTTTACTGAAGCCGCTATGGAGCACTCGGTTCCGGGAGCCCTTTCACTCATCAACTGCTTCTAGGTCGCACCTTGCACTGGGAGAAACCTGGTGTCTTTCTGGAAAATTCCTTACCATTCAACAGCTTACCCAGTCATGCATTTAGCACTTTTTCCTGAAATTCTTTCATAAATAAGCAGGAAGCCTTCTTTGCTATTTTTATTATAAAAGGGGAAATGAGGATAAAAGTTACACATGTTGTTATTTTAACATCTAGTCTTGTATTTGTTGAAGAGTTACGCTTTTACTTAAAAACAAAACCAGAGACTTATGCCTGTTGCCAGCCTCTGTCAATGATGGCTCTTCATTCTTTTAAAGTTCACAGCAGAAAACACTGTGTTAAGCTCTTCTTGGCTTTAAAAGCCAAATTAGACACCCAAAAGTCTCAGCACTTTAAAATCCTTTAAAAGATGATTTAAGTAAATCACTTTAGAAATCTATGCCCAAACTTTTAAAAAGTACTTTTCACATCTTGCCTTTACAAGTAACTGTGGAATTAGACACACCATAAATGTACTCTGTATTTTCTTAATAAGTTTGAATTTTCGGAAAGCCTTTATTTTTATATTATAGAGCCAACACGGCTGTTGGATGTTGAAGAGACCCAGCCAATATTATTACACATTTCTTTCTTAAGTGCAGAACTTGGATTGGGACAGGGACTGTTTGGTTTGGAAAACATCATCTGTTTTCCTTCTCCTCCTCCTTTCCTTCTGTGTTTATTTCATTTGGTGGCTGCAAGTTGCAGGTTTTTTTCCACTTCACACTTTTGCTAGCCCTCTTCTTTTCTTCTGCTTTACAATTTGCACTAGAAGAGGGTAGCGGGCTTTTTGTTTGGGTTCGGGTTTTTTTCTTTTTCTTTTTCTTTTTTTTTTTTCTTTGCATCTTCCTTCCTTTCCACAGAGAGATTGCTGCTGACCAAATTTAAAACACTACAGTGTTTAGGATCCCTGCAGGGCCATTTTAAGTATTTGGAGCCATAAAGGGCCCCAAGCCATAACTACCTGAATTGCTTTTAATTACACAATATAGCTGCATCATTTTACTTCAGATTCTTTTTGATTGATGCTGCAGGGCAATTGTAACCGCGAATGATGGGATTAAGTGCCTCTTGAAGTGACTTTAGCTTCTTGTGGGAACAAAGGGAAAGAGGAGAACACTTAGTCCCTTTTTTGCCTGAGCTGCCTTTTTCTTCACTTGCGTATAAAGAAATACAATTAACAAACATTATCCCCAGAGGTAAATTGAAATGTACATGCAGACAAGAACCGCTCTTGACTGCAATTAGACATATATGATCTAAGGTATTCTGGCCATTCATTAGTGCTAATTGTTTGAGAAACAAGCCCAGAACAAATGATTAAAATGTAGGCGCCATAACTGGGATTATTAGCATGTGTGATAAAATGCACACTCTGTGGCTGTACTGAGGAAACGCTTTGGAAAGCAGCTGTGATTTGAAGAATGGTTGGTTCGGCTCTGTGGTGAGCTCTCTTGGTGTTTGCTCAAGACCTGGTGGTGTTTATAACAAACAACTTACATCTTTCTTTCTTAATTAGTGGGAATCACAATGGTATTTTGTAATTTAATTGTAATTACAAAATTGTAATAAATTGTAATAAATTGTAATTACAATATTGGTATTTTGTAATTTAAAATCCTATCGCTTTCCTGCGCCTTTGGGTTGCTCCTGCAGTCTAGCGGTATTGCGGGGACTCGGGATAACCTGAATTCTTAGATTTTGCTTCTACACTCCACTTTCTTTTTTTTTCTCTTCTTTCTTTTTTTTTTTTTTTTTTTTTTTTGAGACGGAGTTTCGCTCTGTCACCCAGGCTGGAATGCGGTGGCGCGATATCAGCTCACTGCAAGCTCCGCCTCCCGGGTTCACAGCATTCTCCTGCCTCAGCCTCCCGAGTAGCTGGGACTACAGGCGCCCGCCACCACGCCCGGTTAATTTTTTGTATTTTTAGTAGAGACGGGGTTTCACCGTGTTAGTCAGGATAGTCTCGATCTCCTGACCTCGTGATCCACCTGCCTCGCCCTCCCAAAGTGCTGGGATTACAGGCGTGAGCCACCGCGCCCAGCTACACTCCACTTTCTTTAAAATGTTGGAGGCCAGGGAGAACCACTTGAAAGTTTGCTCCCTTATTTGACTTTTGAATAGTTACTCATCACACCTACACTGTAGTGTGAGGGAAAAGTTCTGAGATATCCTCTGGCATTTGGAACTTCTCTTACCATACAGAGACCTGGCAGGGGTGACCTAGTCAGACGTAAACCATCTGGGAGCTGGCTGGTCCATCTGAGCGGCCAGCAGTCTGCAGGGTTCTTATGACTGAAGGGACTGGTTTTGGGATGTGCCACCCCAGACCTAAAATCGCTAAGCCCTCTAGGACCTGTACAAGTGGAGAACGCCTAATCCAAGTTAAGTGACCAAAGGAGTAAGCACCAATTCAGAGAGATAGATGGCGATTAAATTTCCTATGGAAATGCATTTAGGAGCTGGGACCTAGCACTCAGTGAGAGAGATGGGAGGTACCCAGGGCAAGGGAAAGAGAAGATATGAGATGAAAGAGGAACAAAGGAGCAATAGAGGGCTCAATGGGGAGTGTGCTGAGCAGGCAGAAGCTGCATCCCAGGTAGTAGGTCTGTCTGCTACTGGGTGCTTCAGGGCTCCCTATTTGGAGCTCAGTGTTTCTCTGTCCTCCACCTGCATTGCTGCATCTGGAGTCACAGGCAGGACCATTTGGAGATTGTCCATTTGGTGCCATGAAAACCTGCAACAACCTTTCAATCTCAAGTGAGACCACTTGAGATTGTCACCCAACATACTTCCCCAGCCACCTATCCCTTAGCATGTCATTAGCACATTCCAAGGGAAGACAAATATCAGCGTTAGCTAGAGAGGATATAAGATTAAATTTGCTTTTAAAGTCAGCTACCAAATTCAAAAGACAAGCACAAAAGATTTTCTGGTTCTCTCCATCTCTAACTGACCTATTCTGTCTTTCTTGCCATTGTTACAGAAAATGGAATTAAGTCACAAATAAACCATAACATAGATTATTATAGACATACAGCTCTTAATTTTCAGTTTTATTCTTTTTGTATTTACAAGAAAAGTGTTACTCTCTGAATTTGACCAGTTAGTTCCACTGGAAACTAAGTAACTGTGTATATTCCATAAGAGTGGGTTTGGCAGGGAGCTGAAAATAAAGGGGAAAGAAACTGTTTTGCACTTTAAACTGGGGCATTGCTGTGTGGTACTGAATTAAGAAAAAAAAATATTAAGCTCCCTTAAAATTAGAGGAAGTTCTAGGAAGTCTTACCTTAAATAGATATTTAAAGGAATTAGTGCTTATAGCACATTAAACATACTTCAAAAACAAAACCCAACTATGTTAGAAAAGCCTTCACGATCACATCCATATGTTTAGTTTTAATTTGCATCACACTTAGCTCTGAATAATTAAGAAGGAAAAAACAATCTTAATCTTATCATGGGTCCTATACAATCAAAGCCACATACACGTGATTCGTGATCACAGCTTGTATTCACAGCTTTCGTGTGTGTGGTATGGGTCTGGCAATTAGACTCAGACTGTGTTTTTTTCTAAAAATTATTCAGTGCTAGAGAGTGATCAATATTAAACTCTCCCAAAAATGTACAAATCAGAATAATCAAGGGACTGTGGCTAAATAGAAAAAAAAAAAGTCAAAATTCTAAGCTATGTAACATTTTGGCCTCATTTCATTGAGATTGACACTTGAAAGGAATTTTTGAGAGAATCTAGGATGAAAACGGAGATTTCATTAACCCAGGTCATTTTCATGACAGTTACCAAAAAAAAAAATTTTTTTCAGATGTGGGAAGAACTATTTTCTCAAAATTGCAGAGCCATTTTCTAGAAGAAAAAAAAAATGCTCTTCCATGATTACTTTCATATCAAAGTACCCAGTCTTGGGGGAGATGCATTAATTTGACACGTTTAGCAGCCTTTGAGCTTTTGAAAAACTCTGTAAAAGAATCCATGGTTACATCTGTCAGGTTGACAGTCTTTCGTGACCTTTAAAAAAAAGTTAAGGAGAAACTGATCTTTTTAGTTCACATTTGCTCAGTTACCTCTAACTGAACAAGCTAGGAAATAGTCATTTCAGCTTTAAATACTATTTTTTTTTTTTTTTTTTTACATAGAATCACCAGTACTAATGGAATCTCTAAATGGAAGAGTTTAGTGGATATTTCTGGTGGTCTCATGGTAATGATATGTCCTGTGCTCTTCACTGGCTATTTCAATACATTAGCTACTAAATATTGTCTTTTCTGCACCTGTTTTTAGAATCAGATCTCCTTAGGAAGATCAACAGTGGGCATTCTAACTAGGGGCCTCTGCTTTGAATGTTCCTCATTGGCCAGTAAGGGAACAAGTTTCTTCTTTGTTCCTTACACACAGAGTTCCAGGATCCAAAATTATTAATGATCTCTACAGAGGCAAAGAGAACTCAGGCTGGCGTGTCCTTTCTGTTTTAATTACAATTTACCAAATCCTCCCATGTCATGCACTTGACAGGTGCTATACCTCATAGTTCCCAATGCTGGGATTACACTTGGAAATCCATCTATCAAATCTCTTTGGGTAGAGTCCTGAGCAGTCATTCTTGGACCAAGTTCTCAGCGACATTAACAGTTAACTATTAATGAACAACATCCTTTGACTCCTTTGTGTTTCCAGGAGCCCCTGCTAGAAGCAGCCCAGAAACAGAAGAGATGCTAATCGCATTGTGTGCCTGAACGTGTTCAGTGAAGGAGCGCAGGTTTCCCTCTTGACCTCGGAGTCACGGCAGGAAAAAAAATCCCTCCAGTTTTCCGTCAGATAAAACCTCTGCTCCTCCTTCTCTCACCAAAAGTAGAGCCAGAAAGTGGGATTAAGGCAAATACCCACTAACAGGCACATGCGCCATTGTCATTCCCTCTTCCACACAAAACAAGGAGCTTTGCAGAAAAACAAAAAGCTCCTCTCCTCTCCCCCCCGCCCCACCCCCATGCTCCCTTTCTTTTCCTCCTCCCCTCCTCCTTCGTTCCTACCCTCCCACTTTCTTATCCACCCCGGCTTTCCCTCAGCTGCCCCCCTTCTCCTTTTTCTGGTTTTCTCTCTCACCTGCTCTCAAATGCCCTCTCCCCCGCCTTCCTCTTCCTCCTTGCCTCCTGCCGCTCTGATTTAGGCCAACTCTTTCCTCATCCTCATCCTCCTTTCAGAAAAGCGTCAGTGTTTACCCTCAAAGGAGCTACCGGGTGCCCATGTGCTGTGAGGTGGAGCCACTCCGGGAGCTGCCACGGCCACATTTATAGAAAGATGAACCCACACGGGAGACAAACGGGGCTCTCTCTGTTTTCATGGAAAAACTGCCCTTTTATTTGGGATTCATGAATGGTCACCACAGTGGTATGGGTCTTCCTGTTCCTGGGACTTCGCTGACATAAGCCATGCACCTGCCTGGACAACTAGGGCTGTGTGGCCTCACAAGGCAGATTCAGTGAGTGACAACAAAGTGCTAACAGACAGTAGCTTCTGGTCCGTGTTTGTACAGCCTACCTTAGGAGGCCTTCCTTAGCGAGGGCCAGCGTGTGGTGGACTCAATATTTGTTGAATGTGTGTTTTATCCTGAATCTGATCAATACGTTTTTGTTTATGAAATGATAGCATGGATGTGATAAGGCCAATAGATGGGGTAATTTTATTTTTTTAATTGTGGTAAAATATACATAACATAAAATGTTAACCATTTTCAAGCATGCAGTGCAGTGGCGTTAAATAGTACATTATGATTATTGTGCGACCATCCCCACCACCCATCTCCAGAATTTTTCATCTTCCCGAACTGAAACTATACCCATTAGACAAAAACTCCAATTCTCTGCTGGCCGCAGTGGCTCATGCCTGTAATCCCAGCACTTTGGGAGGCCCAGGTGGGCACTTGAGGTCAGAAGTTCGAGACCAGCGTGGCCAACATGGCAAAACCCCAACTCTACTAAAAATACAAAAATTAGCCAGGCATGGTGGTGAGTGCCTGTATTCCCAGCTACTTGGGAGGCTGAGGTGGGAGAATCTCTTGAACCTGAGAGGCAGAGGTTGCAGTGAGCCAAGATTGTGCCACTGCACTGCAGCCTGGGTGACAGAGCAAGACTCTGTCTCAAAAACAAAAACTCCAATTCTCCCCTGGCAACTATCACTCTAGTTTTGTGTTTTTTTTTTTTTTTTTTTTTTTTTTTTGAGATGGAGTCTCACTCTGTCGCCCAGGTTGGAGTGCTGTGGCACGATCTCGGCTCACTGCAACCTCCGCCTCCCCGGTTCAAGCGATTCTCCTGCCTCAGCCTCCTGAGTAGCTGGGATTACAGGCACCTGCCACTACACCCAGCTAACTTTTTGTATTTTTAGTAGAGATGGGGTTTCACCATGTTGGCCAAGCTGATCTCGAACTCCTGACCTCATGATTCACCCGGCTTGGCCTCTCAAAGTGCTGGAATTACAGGCATGAGCCACCGCGCACGGCCTCTAGTTTCTATCTGTATGAATTTGATGACTGTAGGCACCTCATGGAAGTGAGAATCGTAGAATGTCTGTCCTATTGTGTCTGGCTTATTTCATTCAGCATAATGAAGAACTTTAATTTTTGACATGGATGCTTGTTTGCTCTCTCATTCTGTGTGAAAAAAGACTTCCAGGCAGGTCGCCTGTAATCCCAACACTTTGGGAGGCCAAGGTGTGCGGATCACCTGAGGTCAGGAGTTCGAGACCAGCCTGGACCACATGGTGAAACCCCACCTCTACTAAAAATACAAAAATTAGCCAGTGTGGTGTCTGGTGCACCTGTAGTCCCAGCTACTTGAGAGGCTAAGGTATGAGAATTACTTGAACCCTGGAAGTGGAGGTTGCACTGAGCCAAGATCACACCACTGCACTGCAGCCTGGGCGACAAAGCGAGACTCTGTCTCAAAAAAAAAAAAAGAAAAGAAAAGAAAAAAGACTTCCGTCATTGGGACACTTGTAGGAACGTCCCTCGCCCCTGGTGTCCCGATGGTCTGAGGAGGCAGTACGCTGCAGTGAGACAGTATAACGCAAACTTTACTAAACCGGACAAGAATAAGGATTCTGCTTTTTTCTTGACTCTTGCCAAGCCTGTCCTTTATCTGATGTCCAACCCTTTTCATGGGTTTCCATGACAAATAGAGTGGCCAGGGTAGACCAGGAGGGCCGTTCCTTCCCGGTGCCCCTGCTTTGTACCAGGAACCCCACAATAGCCAGAAGGCTGGCCTAGGAGTTGCCCCCATCCTGTACCCTGAGTCCTTCCTTAGAAGCAAAGCCATGGTGGACCACAAACTGGCTTCCCTTGTGTATCTGCTTTGGGCACAAAAGACCATGTCTTCATTTCAGCACAAAACAGTGCACTTCATTGAGGTGTGATATAATTGCTTCAGGAGAGAGTTTGCTCTGAAAATGTCTTCTCGGCCTTCCTGAAGCAGGCTGCACGCTTATTTATATTGGCACCACATGCTAATCTCACGAATGGCCCTGTTCCGCCAGTGGGAGGACAAATAGCTGTTCTTTTGCTCCCGTGTCCATGGAAAGCTCCCCTTTCTCCTTGCATGGTTGCCATAGTAACCAAAAAAAAATAGTTCTTCAAAATAGGGAAGGAATCTCTCAGGGTACTTGGGAACTTAGCAAAGTGAGAACATAAGTAGGCCTCAATTATCATAGATGCTGGTGTAAATACCTAGTTATTAATAGTCAAAGCGGGTTGAAATTGGTAGGTGAATTTTGCTGTCACTTAAGAGAGTAGGGAAAGATGGGTGAATAGGCTCTTACCTTCACTCAGTACTACAGATTCTTCTGTAACCATTGGAATTGCCAGACGAGGTCAGACCCACAGGCCATACAACACAGAATTTAGTTTTTGTTGGCACAGAACAGAGAAAGAGGCAGTGACAGAGCACAGTTATGCTCCTGCGACCCCCTCAGCCCCCTCAAAGGATTGGAGATACAGCGCTAAGTAGAGGAATCCATTACGAATCTGTCATACTGCTGTGGATATGTGCACACTTTTCTGTAAGAAATTTTTATTTTCAACCTTTATCAGCCCTTAGAGTCAAAATCTCTTTAAAGGAGCTAAAGGGCCACAGCATTTTTGTGTGGTATTCTACATAGAAATTTACTGATGGCCAGGCGCGGTGGCTCATGCCTGTAATCCCAACCTTTAGACAGGTGGATCACACAAGGTCAGGGGTTCGAGACCAGCCTGGCCAACATGGTGAAACCCCGTCTCTACCAAAAATTAAAAAATTAGCCAGGCATGGTAGCAGGCACCTGTAATCCCAGCTACTCGGGAGGCTGAGGCAGAAGAATCGCTGGAACCTGGGAGGCGGAGGTTGTGGTGAGCCGAGATCGTGCCACTGCACTCCAGCCTGGGTGAAAGAAGGAGACTCTGCCTCAAAAAAAAAAAAAAGAAAGAAATTTATTGATGTATTATTTTTAAATAATGCCCTCTTTTTTTAAAAAAAAAATCTTATGTTTAAGAACATATAAGAACTTACTTAAATTTATTAGAAATTGTGGAGACAATTTCCAAAGGATATATAAAAGATATATCTTTTTTTCTGGTTGTAAAACAGCTCTTCAGTGGTTACTGGACACGGGTACAGCTTAAAAATTTTAAAAATATTTGAATGGAAATGTACGATGATATAGCCACTGTGGAAAGAAATATGGCAATTCCTCAAACAATTGAACATAGAATTACCAGATGATCCAGCAGTCCCACTTCTGGGTATGGAATTGAAGCACGGACTCCAACACGTATTTGTACAGCCATGTTCGTAGCAGCACTATTCACATTAGCAAAGAGGTGGCAGCATCCCCAGTGTCCATTGACAGATTTATGGATATCAGGATGTGGCATATCCATACGATGGAATATTATTCAGCCTTAAAAAGGAAGAACATTCTGACATACGCTATAACATGGTTGAAGCTTGAAGTTTTTTTGTTTTTTTTTTTTAGATGGAGTCTCACTCTGTCACCCAGGCTGGAGTGTAATGGTGTGATCCCGGCGCACTGCAATCTCTGCCTCTCGGGTTCAAGTGATTCTCCTGCCTCAGCCTCCCAAAAAGCTGGGATTACAGGTGTCTGCCACCATACCTGGCTAATGTTTGCATTTTTAGTAGAGACGGAGTTTTGCCATGTTGACCAGGCTGATCTTGAACTCCTGACCTCAGGTGGTCCTCCTACCTCAGCCTCCCAAAGTGCTGGGATTACAGGCGTGAGCCCCTACACCTGGTGAACCTTGAAGATATTATGCTGAGTGAAATAAACCAGTCACAAAAGGACAAATACAGTGTGATTCCATCTATGTGAAGTATTTAGAGTAGTCAAATTCATAGAGATGGAAAGTCAAATGGCGGTTGCCAAGGGCCGAGGGGAGGAGGGAATGGGGAATTCATGTGTAATGGGGCCAGAGATTGAGTTTTGCAAGATGAAGAGTTCTGGAGATAGATGGTGGTGGTGATTGCACAACGGTGAGAATGTACTCAGTGTCACTGAACTGTACACTTGACAGTGGTTCAGATGGTAAATTTTGCATTATACATATTTTACCACAATACAAAAATAGTAGTGTTTCACATGGTGGGGAGTATAAAATGATAGCCTATAGATCAGCTCAAGGTAGGAAACAACGATCTTAAAATGATTCATGGATTATTGTTTTATTGCTGTTCAAATCAGGAAGTTATAAAACTTTCCCCAGGGTTCAGATCGCCAGTCCCTTTCCACAGTTACCTTTGCTCACTACACACATTCCAACTCACAACACACACAACATACAAAACCCTGGGCGTAGACAGTGCAGAGGGCCACGGATGGGAGAGCAAGCCAGGCACTCTCATATGCCGCTGGTGGGAGTGTAAATTAGCACAACTCCATTGGGAAGACAGTTTGGTGAAGCCGACGGAGAGCATTAAATAATCACACTGATAACCTTTTTAGCCCTCTGAGGACAGAGGCTAATGGAAACTTGTGGCCCTTTCTCCTTGAACATTCCCTAGCCTGCCACCCAGCCTAGCTTGGAGTCCATTCTTTCATTCATTCAGCCTGCATGTGCCAGACATGGTGCTGTGAGCTCCATGTATGGCTTTGAGCCAAGCAGACCAAGTCCCTGCCCACAGGGGGCCTGTGGCACATGGGCTGTGGAGTTGCACATGAGTGATACCAGCTGGGGCTGATTTTTGCAGAAAAGGAATTTCTGGGAGGCTGGTGGACAGGCTGGAGAATAGGAAAATGGACAGTGACCAAACTAAGCTCCTAAGAACACAGCCCAGCCCAGGCCAGGGCAGTCTGGCCAGGGTAAACCAGACTGTCTACCCTGCCCCCTCCTGCTGCTGTCCTCCTGCTGCTGTCCCTGCGCTGCTGTCTTCCCTCCTGCCATCCTGGGCACTTGCTGGGGGCACCTCTTTCCTTCACCGGCTCCCACCTTCTTTGTGTCACCCCCTCATGGCTCAAAGGCCCCACCTGCAGTATCTCATGGGCCAAGCTTATGCTTGTGGCCTCTCCCTAGCTTTCAAAGGATGTGGAGAAGGACCGTGGGGTCTCTGCCTCCACCCCCACCAAACAGGAAGGGTGTTCCTGTCTGGGACAGCCAAAAAGGAAAAATTCTCTGAACCCAGTGGAAGACAGACAGTGAACAAGTAAACAAAGCCAATAATTCATTTCAAAAGGGGAAGGCCTGTGAAGGGAAGGGCGGGGTTCTGGAGGACAGCATCCCAGGAGGGGGCATGGGGAAGGTCCTGCTGAGGACAGGGCATGTAGGCTGAGCCTTGAGGGATGAGAGGGTGGCAGACATGCTGAGATCCAGAAGAGCCTTCCAGAGAGGGAACCACTTATGGGATGGTCCCGAGGTGAGCAGGAAGATGTGGTGTGTCAGGGAACTGGCAGCAGATACCTGTAACTGAGGGTGGTAAGCAGAGGAGACGGATGGGCCAGGCAGCCAGGAGCCTGCCAATCTGGGTGAGACATTTGGTTTTTAATGTGAGAACACTGGGAAGCCATGGAAGGGGCTCAAGCAGAGGAGCATCATGATTTGATTTGTGTTTTTTAAAGTCCAGACTGGCTGTGGTGTGGAGAAGGGACTGGAGAGGGACAGAGGCCCCAGGAACCAGTCGGGAGTAAGGTGGTGGTGTCTTGGGCCAGGGTGGGAAAGATACAGTGCAGAGGTGCGTGCAAGGCACAGTTAACGCCCATGTATGTTAGCTCTCCAGTTTGTAATGTAGAGTAGGATGTAAGTCCCATCCTAAAGGCCCTGGCAGGGAGCTGGAATGCATGGAATACCTGATTGATACTGGGTTTGATTAGTACGTCTTTAAAATTTATTGATACATTTACCTACATTTATTAAAATGACTTAGAATTTATTGTGCTGTTAGAGTTATTATTTTAGTGGCAATCTCTTTTTAACTTCATTTTGAATTTAAAGAGTGATGTTATGACTTTCTAAAGCCCTGAACCAAGTTATTTTCTGCACTTAGTCAAGTCTGGACTGCTACTTATATGACTCAAAAGTATTATGACATTGGCCGGGCGCGGTGGCTCATGCCTGTAATCCCAGCACTTTGGGAGGCCGAGACGGGCGGATCACCTGAGGTCAGGAGTTCGAGACCAGCCTGGCCAACATGGTGAAACCCCATCTCTACAAAAATACAAAACTTAGCTGGGCATGATGGCAATGCCTGTAATCCCAGCTACTCAGGAGGCTGAGGCAGAAGAATCGCTTGAACCGGGGAGGCAGAGGTTGCAGTGAGCCAAGATCATGCCATTGCACTCCAGCCTGGGCGACAAGAGCGAAACTCGGTCTCAAAAAAAAAAAAAAAAAAAAAAAAAAAAGTATTAGGACTTGGCCGGGTGTGGTGGCTCATGCCTATAATCTCAGCACTTTGAGAGGCCAAAGTGGGCGGATCGTTTGAGCCCAGGAGTTCGAGACCAGCCTGGTCAACATGGAGAAACCCCATTTCTACAAAAAGTACAAAATTTAGCCGGGCATGGTAGCACGTGCCAGTAGTATCAGGTAATCACTACTTGGGAGGCTGAAGTGGGAGGGTCACCTGAGTCAGGGAGGTGGAGGTTGCTGTGAACTGTGATTGCATCACTGCACTCTAGCCTGGGCAACAGCGTGAGACCCTGTCTCAAAAAAAAAAAAAAAAAAAAAAAGAGGAGAGATGGAGTCTCACTCTGTTTCCTAGACTGGTCTTGAACTCCTGGGGTCAAGCAATCCTCTCACCTCAGTCTCCGAAATAGCTGGGACTGCAGGCACACACCACTATGCCCAGCTCTTCTAGATGATCTTTTTTTGTTGTTGTTGTTTTTTTTTTTGGAGACAAAGTCGCGTTCTGTAGCCCAGGCTGGAGTGCAGTGGCATGTTCTCAGCTCACTGCAACCTCCACCTCCTGGGTTCAAGTGATTCTCCTGCCTCAGCCTCCCAAGTAGCTGGGACTACAGGCGTGTGCCACCATGCCCAGCTTTTTTTTTTTTTTTTTGTATTATTAGTAGAGACGGGGTTTTACCGTGTTGGCCAGACTGGTCTCGAACTCCTGACCTCGTGATCCACTCGCCTCAGCCTTCCAAAGTGCTGGAATTACAGGCATGAGCCACCCCACCCAGCCTAGATGATCTCTTTTTTTTTTTTTGAGACGGAGTCTCACTCTGTTGCCCAGGCTGAAGTGCAGTGGCGCAATCTCGCCTCACTGCAAGCTCCGCCTCCCAGGTTGACGCCATTCTCCTGCTTCAAACCCCCGGGTAGCTGGGACTACAGGCACCTGCCACCACGCCCGGCTAATTGTTTGTATTTTTAGTAGAGACAGGGTTTCACCATGTTAGCCAGGATGGTCTCGCTCTCCTGACCTCGTGATCCGCCCGCCTCGGCCTCCCAGAGTGCTGGGATTACAGGCGTGAGCCACCGCGCCCGGCCCTAGATGATCTCTTTTAAGTAGATACTCATTGTTATGATTTCTGTCCTCCTCTTTTCTGGGCCACAGGGGGCCCAGGAGGAAGTGTACAAACCATGTCATGGCAGCCTTCCCTGTGGGCTCCAGTGAAGTTGCTCATGTGTCTTGGCCCTTGGTGACTGGTCTCTGATGCCGTACTAATGGTCAGTGGACCTGTGATCTGTTCTTGGGGTACAGGAAATGCATGAGGTGTGCCCAGTGGGTGTGATCATGGCCCTGCAGACAGGGCAGCTCCTGCCTCTTCTCTCCCTGTTGCTGTCTGTCACCCAACACCAGCCAGCCTGTTACCTCTGATATGGGCGCCCTCACTCCTGGACTCTGACAGCTCCCTTGCAGGCACACTGCCAAAGGGTCAGTCGAAACTTCTGGATTCTTCCATCCTCAGGGAATGGATAGCATGCCACTGTTGCCCTTCTCTGCCTGAGCAATCTATATTGCTGTGTCTGCTCTTCTCTGTGCCCCACGTTGATGCAGAGCTCCCATGAAGTCTCCCAGAGGGTGAGTGGGAAGTTGGCACACCCCCTCAGTTTGGACATTCCCATTGCCTCTCTAGTCACTGTCACTGTCCTGCATGTTCCTGGGATGGGGGAGTAGACCAGGCAGAACCTTCAGCCCTGTCTCATTACTTGGGCTCTCCCCACCGAACCGCTGTCAGCATCTGAAGGGCTTTGTCTTGCCCGTGACAAGGACTTCACTTCAAATCCCCCATTCCTTTCTCACTCTGCCTCCTAAGAATTCTATGTTCAGACCCTTAAGCTGCTGGAAATTATAAGACTTCTTCTCCACTAACAAAGGCACGTTTATTATCTCACTGTGGACTTGATACCAGAATCTAGCATGAAGCTCCTAGTTCAGCAGGGACTTCCTGGTGTTCACCCCATTCTCACCCCTGCACTTCTACAATGATGGCCATGGATTCAGTGGGTGGGGATGTGAAGCAACATGATTTTCAAACAAGGGAAACTTCTGCTCATCTCAAAATTATCATTTGATCAGTGGAAGGTTGTGTAATTGATACCTATCTCCCCTGCCTAAATGTAATAGGATTAAATTCTGGTTACTATTAATGTTCAGCAAGCCCAAGTCCTTTTTGGGATCGGTAAGACACCTTAGTTGTACTTACAACCCTTAATGCAGAGATTCTCATCTTTGGCTGTACTTTGGAGTCTTTCTGGTAGCTTTGAAGAAGTGCTGAGGCCTGGGACTCACCATAAGAGTGATTTAATTGGTTTGGAATGTGGCCTGGTGTTTTAGCCCCTAAAGCAAGCTTGTCCAACCTGTGGCCTGTGGGCTACATGTGGCCCAGGACAGCTTTGAATGTGGCCCAACACAAATTTGTAAACTTTCTTAAAACATTATGAGATTTGTTGTTGTTGTTGTTTGTTTGTTTGTTTGAGCTCATTGGCTAGTGTTAGTGTATTTTATGTGGAGCCAAGACCGCTCTTCCAGTGTTGCCCAGGGAAGCCAAAAGGTTAGACAGTCCTGGACTAAAGCTTCCCACATGATCATAATGTTCAGGCAAAGCAGAGATCCTTAAACTAGCTACCAGCTAAGTAAAGAAGCCATTCACTTGGGTTTAGAAGTCATGTACTAAATTGTATCTTCAAATGGACATGCGCTTCTTTGATTACTATTGCTATTTTGAATTACTGCAGTTTGAATGTTATTTTATTATTTTTTTTCAGACAGGGTTTCACTCTGTCACCCAGGCTGGAGTGCAGTGACGTGATCATGGCCCACTGCAGCCTTGACCCCCAGGCTCAGGCGGTCCTCTCACCTCAGCCTCAGGAGTAGTGGGGACCATAAGCTTGCACCACCACACCGGCCAATTATTTAAAACATGTTTGATAGAGACAGGGCCTCCATGTGTTGCCCAGGCTGGTTTTGAACTCCTGGGCTCAAGTGATCCTTCTGCCTTGACTTCCCAAAGTGCTGGCATTACAGGCGTGAGCCACCATACCCGGCCAAGTGTTATATATTTTTTTAATCAAAATACTTTTCTTTAAATATAGATTTTTTTCAAGTTTGTGGAAACCTGATTGAGTTTCATTGCTTTCACAGCATCTACTTGTACATAATGGTAGCATTTGACTCAGTTAGAAATTTTTACTGAGGCAAAATTTCTTGCATTAAGACAGTGGCTATATTGGCATTCGCTAGTGCAGCTGCCCTCCAGCTCAGCTGCGCATTAGAATCACCTTGGCCACTTTTATTTTATTTTTATTTATTTATTTATTTCGAGATGGAGTTTCGCTGTTGTTGCTCAGGCTGGAGTGCAGTGGCATGATCTCGGCTCACTGCAACTTCCGCCTCTTGGGTTCAAGTGATTCTCCTGCCTTGGCTGCCATTGTAGCTGGGATTACAGGCACCGGCCACACTATGCCTGGCTAATTTTTTGTATTTTTAGTAGAGTCAGGGTTTCACCATGTTGGCCAGGCAGGTCTCAAACTCCTGACCTCAGGTGATCCACCCGCCTCGGCCTCCCAAAGTGTTGGGATTATAGGCGTGAACCACTGCGCCTGGCCACCTTGGCAACTTTTAAACGTTCCATAGCCTAGGTTTTATCCCAGACCAATTATGTCAAACTGTCTGTGGCTGGGACTCTGCCATCAGCATATTTGAAAATTCCCCAGGGGACTGCAACGTGCCACCAAGTTTGAAAATGAATAACCTGGAGACATTTATGTGATATGTATCACCTGGAAATCTTGTCTATACGCAGATTCTCTGATGAAGAAGGACTGGGATGGGCTCCAAATCCTGCATTTCTAACTAGCTCTCACATGACAGCAATAAGAGAGCAATGGTGCTGACCTGCAGCAACAGCTCACTTAAGTGGCAAGGACCTAGAAAGCTTAAAAAGCCTGGGTCCTGTTACTAATGAATTTAATTTGATGGCACTGAGTAGGGTCCAGAATTTGACAATTTTGAAAAGCTCCCCAGGTGACTATTATATTGAATCCCGGGTTGGGAACCCCGTCATGCTACGGGCCAGCTATGCCTCTTGTTATATAAATGGTTAATTAATGGCATCAGGTGAAGGGGGAAGGGAGACGACAAAAACAAGGCCAGGTGGGGGCCCCCCTCTGGGATGGCATATCTAAAAAAGGTCCCTCTTTAGAGAGAACTCACCATAAGGCTACCAGATTTTTTCAACGCATCTTAAGCCCCTGCTTTGCATATTTTTTGAATACAGTTACATATTGACTATCTAGAGGCCCTAATTCCAAATATGTAAGATAAAATAAAACAAGTTCCATCTTGTCACCTGCTGCAATTGTATTCATACGCTGTAGACAGTGCTGAATACAACTCAAGCACAGAACAGATTTTGGAACAGCTGGGGATGGGGGAAGGAGAGGACTCACCAGCAGGAAGGGAGGAGGGAGGCGTGGTAAAGCCTTCCTTCTCCGGAACGGTGACTGCCGTGACTGGGCTTCTGCCACCTGCCCAGTGACAGCCCCCCTCCAGACCACAGAGTCTGCAACAGAACCTGAAGCCCCAATCCTCCTTATACGTTTCTTCTTTACATTATTTCAAACAGTTTTGTTGCCTTTGATCTTTTCCCCTAGAGCTTGCTCAGTGCTGGCCTTGTGCTGTCCTGCCTCTGATTCACAGGCTGTTCTTTGGGGTGTCCCTCTCTGAACCTCTGGGGATGCCCTTTTTTGTGCCACCTCCTGACTGTGCTTAGCACAGTGCAGCTCAGGGCCACTGGATACAGCTGTGCAGGGTGTGCCCTAGAGAGGGCACCTGGTGAGGGGCACAAGAGGGGCTGGGCCAGTCATGCTCTACACTGTGCTGCAGCAGGAGCTAGAGTTGCCTTTCTGCTCTTCCATTTGCTGGAAAGCACTAAGGGGCACCTTTTTCCAGTTTGCATGTAAGTGCTGCCTTGTGTGCTAGTGGAGGCCCAGAGCAGGTCACCCATTGGTGCTTACTAAGTGCTCACTGAATGAATGAATGCATGAACAAAATAACAAAATAGAGGCAATAAAGATAAATAAGAAGCTTTCATAGTCATTTAGGTCAAGTTTAAGGAAGCCCTAAACTAGAATGTAAATGTGTGATGGAAAGCAGGGGATAAACAGAGGAGCAGAAGCAACAGGTGGTGGATTGGATTAAGGTTCAAGGATGGCAAAGGAGAGAGGGAATAAAAATTATCTCCTACCTGTAGTCACCAGTAATGCTTGACTCTTCCACAAGAAGAACAGGGACAGTGGGGTGCGGGTGAGTTCTACGCACCCAAGTCTGGAGAGGTGGCTTTGGTGAGGCAACAAGTTAACAGGAGTGATGCACCTCTGATGTCAGGCCCTGAAACAAGCAGTGCAGAGAGATGTGAGACCACCCCCACCCCCTCAGAGAGCTCATGCTCTAGGTAAGGATACCAGACACAGAATTTCTGGTGCTGGGCTGTGTCAACCAGCAGCACCCATGGGTGACAAGTGACAGTTAATAATACTATAGTAGCTGTATCTACCTACTACTTGTTTTACTCTTCGGGATGAGCTTTCATCTGTGAGAAGTAGCTGTTATGTTGCTTCTCATTGAAGAAGACATTGATGCTTCCTACCCCATCTCCTGACTGCCAGTCAAAACATTAGGTTGAATCATATAAAATTACCATTTTGTAGGTCAAAAATGGTCAAATATCAGCAATTTCATATAGTTCAGCTTAATACATTCCACTATTTTTGCTGTTTGAGACCTTTTAAATGCTTTTATTGGCTTAAGTCAATTATAAAAGGAGATTTTTGATTACCGGTTCAATCTCCTTACTAGTCAGACTCGCTATTTATCTAGGTTATTCAGATTTTCTGTTTCTTCACAGTTTAGTCTTGGAATTTGTCCATTTCATCTAGGTTATTCAATTGGTTGGCATACAATTGTTCATAGTACTGTCTTATGATCTTTTATTTCCATAGAATCAGTAGTAATATCCCCATTTCCATTGCTGATTTTAGTAATTTGAGTCTTCTTTTTTCTTAGCCTACTAGCTAAAAGTTTGTCAGTTTTGTTGATCTTTTAAAAAAATCAACTCTTCATTTCATTGATTTTCTCTGTTGCTTTTCTGTTCTCAACTTCATTATCACTGCTCTTATATGGCTTTTATAATTGCCTATGCATTTACCTTTACTAAGATGTTTATTTCTTCATGTGGGTCCAAGTTACTGACCAGCATTTTTTCATTTCATGTTTTCATATACCTTTGGGCCTTCATTTCACTCTGCACCTAAGCATTTCTTGCAGGGCAGCTCTACTGGTGACAAACTCCCTTGGCTTTTTAAAATCTGGGAATGTCTGAATTTCTCCCTCACTTTGAAGGACAGTTTTTCCAGACATAGGATTCCTAGCTGACAGGTCTTTTCCTTTTAGCACTTTGAATATATTGGCCCATTGCCTTTTGGCTTCCAAAGTTTCTGATGAAAAATCTGCTGATCATCTTACTGAAGATACCTTGTATGTGATGATTTGTATCTCTCTTGCTATTTTGAAAATTCTTTCCTTTTTTATTGATAAGAGATATACATAGTTTCAGGATACATGTGATAATTTAATACAGTCATATAATTTGTAAAGATCAAAGCACCATACTCAGGATATCTGTCACTTTAAATATTTGTCTATTCTTTATGCTAGAACCATTTCAGTTCTTTTCTTCTAGCTATTTGGAAATATACAATAGATTATTGTAAACTACAGTCACCCTACTGATCTGTTTAACACTAGGTCTTACTTCTTTATCAAACCATATATTTATACCCATAATCAACTTCTCTTCATACCCACTTTTCCTCTACCCTTCTCAGCCTCTGGTAACCGTTAATATTTTCTGTCTTTGGGGGCTGGATGCAGTGGCTCATGCCTGTAATCCCAGCACTTTGGGAGGCCGAGGCAGGCAGATCACGAGATCAGGAGATCAAGACCATCCTGGCTAACACAGTGAAACCCCATCTCTACTAAAAATACAAAAAATTAGCCGGGCGTGGTGGCGGGTGCCTGTAGTCCCAGCTACTTGGGAGGCTGAGGCAGGAGAATGGCGTGAACCGGGGAGGCGGAGCTTGCAGTGAGCCAAGATCGTGCCACTCCACTCCAGCCTAGGCGACAGAGTGAGACGCCAACTCAAGAAAAAAATATATATTTTCTATCTTCACAAGATTTGTATTTTTAGCTCCCACATATGAGTGACAACATGCAATATTTGTCTTTCAGTGCTTGGCTTATTTCACTTAACGTAATGACCTCCAGTACAATCCATGTTGCTGCAAATGACAGGATTTCATTCTTTTTTATGGCAAATTTTACACACACACATTCACGTAACAGTTTCTTTATGCATTGATAGACACTTTGATTGGTTCCATATTTTGGCTATTATGAATAGGGTAGCAGTGAACATAGGAGTGAACATACTCATTTTGATATATTCATTTCCTTTCTTTTGGATATATACTGAGTAGTAGAATTGCTGGATCACAGCACAGTTCTCTTTTTAGTTTCTTTGAGGAACCTCAATACTGTTCTCCATAGTGGCTATACTAATTTACATTTTCATCAACAGTGTACAAGGGTTCCCTTTTCTCCACATCCTCACCAGCACTCGTTACTGACCATCTTTTGGATCAAAGCTGTTTCAACTGGGGTGAGATGATATCTTATTGTAGTTTTGATTTGCATTCCTCTGATGACTAGTGATGTTACCATTTTTTCATATACTTGGCCATTTGTATGTCTTCATTTCAGAAATATCTGTTCAGACCTTTTGTCTGTTTTTAAATTGGATTTTTTGTTTTTTGCTGTTCAGTTGTTTGAGCTCCTTATATATTCTGGTTATTAATTTCTTGTCAGATGGGTAGTTTCTAAATATTTTCTCTCATTCAGCAGATTGTCTCATCATTTTTTTTATTGTTTCCTTTGCTGCGCAGAAGTTTTTTTTAGCTTGATGTAATCCCATTTGTCTTTTTTGCTTTGGTTGCCTGTGCTTTTGGGGTCTTACACAAAAATTTTTGGCCAGACCAATGTCCTGGAGCATTTCCCCAGTGTTTTTTTTCTAGTAGTTTCAAAGTTTCAGGTCTTAGATTTAAGTCTTTGATCCATTTTTACTTGATTTTTGTGTATGGTGAGAGATAGGGGTCTAGTTTCATTCTTCTGAATGTATTTATCCAGCTTTCCCAGCACCACTGAAGAGACAGTTCTTTCCTCACTGCATGTTTGTGGAGACTTTGTCAAAGATGAGTTGCTCATAAATGCGTGGATTTATATTTGGGTTCTCCATTCTGTTCCACTGGTCTATGTGCCTGTGTCTGTTTTTATGCGGGTACCATGCTGATTTGGTTATAATAACTTTGTAGTAAATTTTGAAGTCAGGTAGTGTGATGCTTCCAGCTTTGTTTGTTTTGTTCAGGATTGCTTTGACTATTCAGAGTCTCTTGTGGTTCCATATAAATTTTAGAACATTTTTCCTTTTCTATGAAGAATATCATTGGTACTTTGATAGGGATTGCATTGAATTTGTAAACTGCTTTAAGTAGTCTTGTCATTTTAATGATATTAAAGCTGTGAACATAGATTAGAATATCTTTCCATTTTTTGATGTGTCCTCCAAAATTTCTTTCATTGGTGTTTTATAGTTTTCCTTGTAGAGAGATCTTTTATTTATTTGGTTAAATTTGGTTGCTAGGTTTTTAATATTATTTATAGCTATTATAAATAGAATTGCTTTCTTGATATCTTTTTCATATTGTTCACTGCTGGTGAATATAAATGCTGCTGATTTCTGTATGTTGATTTTGTATTTTGCAACTTTACTGAATTAGTTCATCAGTTCTAACAGCTGTTTGGTGGAATCTCTGTTTTTCTAAGTATAAGATCATGTTATCTGTGAACAAGGCTAATTTGACTTCTTCTTTTCCAGTTTGGATACCCTTTATTTTTTTCTCTTGCCTAATTGCTCTGGTCAGGATCTTCTAGTATTATATTAAATACAAGTGGCAAAAGTGGGTATCCCTATCTTGTTCTAGATCTTAGAGGAAAGTCCTTAATTTCTCCCTGTTCAGGATGATGTTAGCTATGGGTTTGTCATATATGACCCCTATATTTTGAGGTATGTTCTTCTTATATCTGGTTTGATGAGGGTTTTGATCATAAAGCGATGCTGAATTTTATCAAATGCTTTTTTGGCATCCATTGAAATAATCATATAGTCTTTGTTCTTGGTTCTGTTAATGTGATGTATCATGTTTATTTATTTGCATATGTTGGATCATCCTCGCATCCCTGGGATTAATCTCACTTGATCATGGTGCATGATCTTTTTATTCTTTTTTTTTTTTTTTTTTTTTACTAGACAGAGTCTTGCTCTTGTTGCCCAGGCTGTAGTGCAGTGGCACGATCTCGGCTCACTGCAACCTCCGCCTCCCGAGTTCAAGCGATTCTCCTGCCTAAGCCTCCCGAATAGCTGGGATTACAGGCAGATGCCACCACGCCCGGCTAATTTTTGTATTTTCAGTAGAGACGGAGTTTCATCATGTTGGCTAGGTTGGTCTCAAACTCCCGACCTCATGATCTGCCCGCCTTAGCCTCCCAAAGTGCTGGGATTACAGGCGTGAGCCACCGCACCCGGCCGATCATGGTGAATGATCTTTTTAATGTGTTGTTGAAGTCAGTTGGCTAGTATTTTGATGAGAATTTTTGCATCTGTGTTCATCATCTTAGTTTTCCTTTTTTCGTCATGTCCTTCTCTGGTTTTGGTATCAGGGTAATGCTGGCCTCATAGAATTAGCTTGGGAGTATTGGAGTATTCATTCCTCTTCAAAAAAAAAAATTTTTTTTTGAGACAGGGTCTTGCCCTGTCACCCAGGCTGGAGTGCAGCAGTGCAGTCACAGCTCGGTGCAGTCACAGCTCACTGCAGCCTTGATCTGCTAGGCTCAAGGGATTCTCTGCCTCAGCCACCCAAGTAGCTAGGACTACAGATGTGTACCACCATGCCTGGCTAATTTTTTTTTTCTTTTCTTTTGGGTAGAGACATGGTTTTGCCATGTTGCCCAGGCTGGCTCTTCAGTTTTTTTGAAGAATTTGCGTAAAATTGATATTTGTTATTTAAATGTTTGGTAGGATGCGGCAATAAAGCCATTAGGCCATGTGGGGATTTCTTTCATGGGAGACTTTATTATGGCTTCAGTATCACTACTCGTTATTGGTTTATTGAGTTTTCCTATTTCTTCATGGTTCAATCTTGGTAGATGTATATGTCTAGGAATTTATCCATTTCTTCTAGGTTTTCCAGTTTTGTTGGCATGTAGTTGTTCATAGTAGTCTCTAATGATTCTTTGTATTTCCGTGGTCTCAATTGTTATGTCTCCTTTTTCATTTCTAAAGTTATTTATTTGGGTCTTCCCTCTTTTTCTTTTTTCTCGGTCTAACCAAGGGCTTGTCAATTTTTGTATCTTATCTTTTTTTATTTTGTGAGACAGCATCTTAATCTGTTGCCCAGGCTAGAGTGCAGTGAAATGATCATGGGTCACTACAACCCTGAACTCGTGGGCTGAAGCAATCCTCCTCCTGCCTCAGCCTCCCAAGTATCTGGGTACTATAGGCATGCACCACCATGCCTGGCTAATTTTTTTTTTTTTTTTAAAGATGGGGTCTCACAGGTCTCGCTATGTTGTCCAGGCTTGCCATGAACTCCTGCCTCAGGCAATCCTGCTGCCTCGACCTCCCAAAGTGCTAAAATTGTAGGTGTGAGCCACCATGCCCAACCCTTGTATTTATATTTAATTTACCAATGGGTTTTATACCTTTAAATGTTTTTCTTTTCTTTTTTTTTTTCTTTTTGCACTTTAGTGTTTTTTTCTTGCAGATTGAATAACTCAATATTTAGTGTTTCTTGTAAGATGGTGGTGAATTCTCCCTGCTTTCATTTGCCTGGGAAAAACATATTTGAAGGATAACTTTGCTGAATACAATATTTTTGGATGGCAGTTTTTTCAGCACTTTAAAAATGTCATTCTGCTGCTTCCCCCTGGCCTGTATGGTGTCCATTGAGAACTGCCAGACACATTGGAGTGCCTTTATATGTTATTTGCTGATTTTCTCTTGCTGCTTTTAGGATTCTGTTTGTCCTTGACCTTTGAGAGTCTGATTATTATATGTCTTGAGGTAGTCTTATTTGGGTCAAATCTGTTTGGTGTTCTCTAACCTTCCTATACCTGGATATTTATATCTTTCTCAAGTTTTGGAAAGTTTTTTGTTTCTCTTTTTTTTTGAATAAGCTTTCTACCCCTTGCACTTGCTCAACTCCCTATTGAACCTCAATAATTCTTAAATTTTGTCTTTTTTCTTTCCTCCCTGTGTCACCCAGGCTGGAATGCAGTGGTGTAATCACAACTTACTGCAGCCTCAACCTCCTAGGCTCAAGCAAATCCTCCCTCTCAGCCTCCCGAGTAACTGGGACAACAGGCACGTGCCACAATGCCAGGCTAATTTTTTGTATTTTTTCTAGAGACAGGGTTTTGCCATGTTGCGCAGACTGGTCTTAAACTCCTGGGTTCAAGCAATCCACCCGCCTTGGCCTTCCAAAGTACGGGGATTACAGGCATGAGCCACTGCACCAAGTCGAGTCTTTTTTTTTTTTTTTTTTTAAAGACAGGTTCTCATTCTGTCCCCTGGGCTAGAGTGCAGTGGTGTGATCAAAGCTCACTGCAGTCTCGAACTCCTGGGTTCAAGCAGTCCTCCCACCTCAGCCTCCTGCATGGCTGGAACTACAGGCATGCACCACAATGCCCTGCTAGTGTTTTTATTTTTTGTAGAGAGGGGGGTCTCACTATGTTGCCCAGGCTAGTCTCGAACTCCTGCCTTCAAGTGATCCTCCTGCTTCAGCCTCCCAAAGTGCTGGGATTACAGGCATGAGCCAACTCATTTGGCAAATTTGGTCTTTTGAGGTAATTTTCTGTATCTTGTAGGCAATCTTTGTTGATTCTCATTTTTTAAAGATTTTTTTCTCCTTTATGTATTTTCAAGTAGCCTATCTTTAGGCTCAATGATTCTTACCTCTGCTTGATCCATTCTTCTTTGGAAAGCCTCTAAGGAATTCTTCAGCTCTGCAAACATATTTCTCCATTCTAAGATTTCTGCTTGATTTCTTTTTATTATTTCAACCTCTTTGCTAAGTTTATTTGATAAATTTCTGAACTGCTTTTCTGTGGTATCTTAAAGATCACTGAGTTTCCTTAGAACTTCTATTCTGAATTCTTGGTTAGAGAGCTTACATATCATCCTCTCATTTAGAGTGAGTTGCTGGTTCCTTGCTATGTCCCTTTGGGGAGATCATGATTCCCTGTTTGCTGTTGTTTCCTGTTGATGTGTATGTCTTTGCATTGAAGGATTATTCATTTAATCTAGTCTTCTCTGGCTGGCTTGTTTTTGTATTTTATTGGATACATTTGCTTAGAGGCTTTTTGCTGCTGGGTCACTGCCTCCTTTTTAGCTCTAGGTGGAGCCTTAAACCCAGGTTCACCTCAGCTCTTAGTAAACTATCAGAACGCTGCTCTTCCTGAATGGGGGAGGTCCCCAGGGGATTTTCTTGGCAGGGTGGGAAGGCTGGCTAGGGGTCCATGCCCAGGGGATCTGTGGGACAAACCTCCTATAGTGTGGTACTGCTAAACAGCCACTCTGATTTGGCATCTCCTTTTGCTGAGTTACACAACAGAGATTCCAGAGCTGGGGATGGTAGTCCCACCTCCCTGCTTTGCCTCTGTCTGTCCTCAGGGATATTTCTCCCTTCAGGCACTTGCGATGCTTCCCATGGATTAAGGCAGAGCAGGCCTCCTGCCAGGGAACCCAAGATGGTAGAGAAGCTGAATGTCCACCTCAATTGCACTTTTTCCAGTGTAGAAACCTTGAGTTGGAGGAAATGTTTTTGCATGCCTGGTGATCGGCATAATGTGGGGAATGTTGTTATGGATGTAGAAATCCAATTGTCTTACCATCTGCTCAGGGTTTTTTCTGGGGTCCTGGGAACTGTCTCATCTTCATATTTGAGTTCTGAGGTCCTTCTGGTGATAATTTCAGCACTGTATATTTGTTTTTATTTTTCTGTTGGGGAGGGGTGGGTACTAAAGCCAGCTTACTTCTATGCCACCATTTCAGAACTGGAAGTCTTTCACTTTTGAAAGTTTGATTTTAGTGTGTCTAGATGTGGGTGTCTTTGAGTTCATCTTACTTGGAGTTCATTTAACTTCTTGGATGTTTGTATTCAAGTCTTTCACCAAATTTGGAGAGTTTTCAGCCATTATCTTTTCAAAATACTCTTGCTACCCTTTTCTCTCTCCTTATCCTTCTGGAATTCCCACAGTGTGTGTGTGTGTCTGCCTGATGGTGTCCCACAGGTCCTTTAGGCTCTATTCACTTCTCTTCAGTCTTTTTTCTGATCCTCAGACTTGATAATTTCCATTGTCCTCTCTTCAAGTTTGCTAATTCTTTCTTCTGCCTGCCAAATCTGCCTTTGAATCCCTCTAGTGAATTTTTCATTTCAATTATTGTACTTTTCAGTTCTGGGGTTTGTGGTATCTTTTTAAGTTTTCTATCTCTTTACTGGTATTTCCATTTTGTTCATACGTCATTATCTTGATGTCCTTCACTTCTTCCTTTAGTTCTTTGAGCATCTTTAAGACAGTTGTTTTAAAGTCTTTGCCATCAGGTCTCTTTCAGGGACCGTTTCTGTTGACTTATTTTTCTTCCTTTGACTGGGCCATATTTTCATCTTTCTTCATATGTCTTGTGATTTTTTTGTTGTTGAAAAGTGAATGTTTGAATCTAACAGTGTGGTATCTAGAAATCAGATTCTCCCCCTCCCCTGGGCTCACTGTTTTTGTTTACTTATTTGATGGTTGTATACTGTGTGTATGCTGAGGAAAATATAAGCCTGAGGTATAAATGTAAGGTCTCCTCAAGTCTTTTCTTTTTCTTTTTTTTTTTTTTTTTTTTGAGCAGAGTCTTGCTCTGTCACCCAGGCTGGAGTGCAAACGGTGCTATCTCAGCTCACTGCAGCCTACACTTCCCGAGTTCAAGCAACTCTCCTGCCTCAGCCTCCAGAGTAGCTGGGATTACAGGCACCTGCCACCACACCCCGCTGATTTTTGAATTTTTAGTAGAGATGGGGTTTCACCATGTTGCCTAGGCTGGTCTCAAACTCCTGATCTCGTGATCTGCCCACCTCAGCCTCCCAAAGTGCTGGGATTACAGGTGTGAGCCACTGCGCCCGACCTCTTTTTTTTTTTTTTTTTTTTTTTTTTTTTTTTTTAAAGACAGAATCTCACTGTGTCACCCAGGCTGGAGTGCAGTGGTGCAATCTCAGCTCACTGCAACCTCCGCCTCCCAGGTTCAAGCAATTCTTGTGCCTCAGCCACCCAAGTAGCTGGGATTACAGGCATGTGCCACCACACCTGGCTAATTTTTTGTATTTTTAGTAGAGACATTGTTTCACCATGTTGGCTAGGCTGGTATCAAACTCTGACCTCGGGTGATTCCCCCTGCCTCGGCCTCCCAAAGTGCTAGGATTACAGGTGTGAGCTAGCACTCCCAGCTTCTCAGGTCTTTTCTGAGCCTTTCTCTGGGCATCCATGGTCATTTCTATTTTCCCCTATATATATGTGTTTGTTTTTGAATGTCCTAGTCTTTAATGTCTGGCTTCTAAAAGGGAAAAAAGCAAAAAATTAATGGGGGAGGTGCTGGCCCTTTAAATTACCTGGAGGTCACTTCAGCCCAAGGGAGAGGGGCTTGCAACATTGGAGGGACATACAATAACAGTGGCTCTCAGCCTCTTTGTCTGCACTTCTGTGATTAGAACCAGCAATCAGTGATCAGAGCACAGATCCTTGATATTTGGAGGGTCAGGGTCTTTGTTTCTGCCTACCCTGGCTCCCTCAAGCTATGTGCAGGTTGCTCCAGGAACATGGGCACAGCTGCCTACCATGTGACTGAGAGGTGGGGGATGGGTAGCTGCTGCTCTGCTAAGAGCTGAAGTTGACCAAAATTAACTACTATTTAATATCCAAGCCTTCCCCGAGAAGTTGCAAGCCTTCAATAGATTCCAAGTGGTTTCAAAATAGTTACAGCAGGAAGATTTTGCTAATGCAGTTGTCTGGGTGGGGAAGATTGCTGGTGCTTTCTACTCCACCATCTTCCCCCTCTCTTAGATTTTCACATGTGTGGTTACATTAAATCCTGATGAGCAGAGAATTTGCCCCAAACATTTCTTGGTATTTTTAGGGAAATGTATATGTTGCAAATTCTAGTCTCCAGTGTGAATGATAAGTAAAATGTGGTTGTTGCTGTTACATCATTATGTTTTTTCCCTGTTTTTAGATAAACCAGATATTTTCAATCAATGAAAAACGATGACAGATATTTCAGGCAGTCTTCAATTAGCTGGCAATAATATGTTTTATATTAAATGAAATGTTTCGTAAGCCATGTACACTTTTAAAATCCATCTCTATCTCACCATACCTCACATGATACAGTGCTTATGTTGTGGCAAAATAAGACCCAGACTCAAGTTTTAGAATTCCTTAAGGTAAGGTCGGCTACAAGAAGGAATGAGGGCCCCCACACAAACTTGCAAGGCCCCAAAAGACAGTGATTTTTCTTGAGATACATTAAGTCACAAGCACACTAATCATGGTGAAATGTTACAACCGTGCAAAGTATTTGATAGTGTTAACTACTGATGTCCAGGGTTTTCATGAAGATATAGCTGACATATATATTTTTTAAGATCATGCTATTTATCTAGGGAGAGTAAAACATCAGTTTGCCAGGGTTTTAACTTTTCTTTCTTTTTCTTTTCTTTCTTTTTTTTTTTTTTTTTGAGATGGAGTCTCGCTCTTGTCGCCCAGGCAGGAGTGCAGTGGCGCGATCTCAGCTCACTGCTCA
Organism: Homo sapiens; assembly: GCF_000001405.40. Lineage (NCBI taxonomy): Eukaryota > Metazoa > Chordata > Mammalia > Primates > Hominidae > Homo > Homo sapiens. Next base: position 99,770,163 of record NC_000013.11, read on the forward strand.
CTGCAACCTCCACCTCCCGGGTTCAAGGGATTCTCGCTACTCAGCCGCCCAAGTAGCTGGAATTACAGGCGCCCGCGACTGTGCCCGGCTGATATTTGTATTTTTAGTAGAGACAGGGTTTCACCATATTGGCCAGGCTGGTCTCGAACTCTTTTTTTGTTTGTTTGTTTTTTGAGACGGAGTCTCGCTCTGTCACCCAGGGTAGAGTACAGTGGCGCAATCTTGGCTCACTGCAAGCTCCGCCTCCCGGGTTCACGCCATTCTCCTGCCTCAGCCTCCCGAGCAGCTGGGACTACAGGCGCCCGCCACCACGCCTGGCTAGTTTTTTGTATTTTTAGTAGAGACGGGGTTTCACTGTGTTAGCGAGGATATTCTGGATCTCCTGACCTCATGATCCGCCCGTCTCGGCCTCCCAAAGTGCTAGGATTACAGGCGTGAGCCACCGCGCCCGGTCTGGTCTCAAACTCTCTACCTCAGATGATCCACCCTCCTCGGCCTCCCAAAGTGTTGGGATTACAGGAGTGAGCCACTGCGCCCGGCCGGGTTTTAACTTTTCTTAACTGGCAGTTATTTTTTTTGAGACAGAGTCTTGCTCTATTGCCAGGCTGGAGTGCAGTGGTGCGATCTCCGCTCACTGCAATCTCCACCTCCTGGGTTCAAGCGATTCTCCTGCCTCAGCCTCCCAAGTGGTTGAGATTACAGGTGTGTGCCACCACACCCAGCTAATTTTTGTGTTTTTAGTAGAGATGGTGTTTCACCATGTTGGCCAGGATAGTCTCCATCTCCTGACCTCATGATCCACCCGCCTTGGCCTCCCAAAGTGCCAGGATTACAGGCGTAAGCCACCACGCGGGGCCCTTTTTTTTTTTTTTTTTTTTTTTTTTTTTTTGAGGCAAGGTATTGCTCTGTTGCTCAGGCTGGAGTGCAGCTTTGCGATCACAGCTCATTGCAACCTCATCGACCTTCTGGGCTTAATCAATCCTCCCACCTCAGCCTCCTGAGTAGCTGTGACTACAGGCATATGCACTATGCCTGGCTAATTTTTGCTTTTTGAGTTTTTTTCCTGATAGAGCCGAGATTTTGCTATGTTGCCCAGGCTGATCTCAAACTCTGGGCTCAAGTGATCTGCCTGCCTTGGCTTCCCAAAGTATTGGAATTAGAGGCGTGGGCCACCACACATGGCCTAAGGCCTAATTGGCAGTCTTCATGACATAGAACTTCATCTCTTATGGGCAGGGTTGGCTTCATGGACATGTAATTTGTGCTCTTAGACATACCTAGTGCTGATATAATATTCTTCTGTTGCCATTGTGAAGTTCTTAATAAATTATAAACAAAGACCTCTGCATTTTCATTTTCACCGGGCCCCGCAAATTGTATCGCTCGTCCTGATTATGGGAGCTGATTTCATCTTCCTTTACCATATCGTATGAGCTAAAGCATGGTTTTCACGGGATAAACTATGGAACAGGCAAGGGTGGTGGTAAGCCAAAGGAGCTTCTGGCCAACACTTTTTATTTCTACCAGAGACTGAACTTGGTATGATAGGCAAGGGAAAGAAAGAGCATAGTTTAGAAGCAGGCAGGGGCTACTGACAGCTAGAGATTCTCCATTAATAACAACAGCAGCTGCTGGTACTCCTGCTACACCCACGACCATTTCAAGTAGCTAAAATATCTGCCAGGCTCTGGCTAAGTGCTTCATGTTCATTATTTCCTTTAACTTAATCTTCTCAACAACCTACAAATTGAGTATTATTTTTATAGATGAAGAATCCAAAGTTACCAGTAATTAAGTTGCCTACAATTATAGAGGCATTCACTGTCCTTCCTACTCACTTAAAAAGAACCAGTCTATCTTGTCTTGTTAAAATTGGATGTGAATCACCAATTTTCACCCTTTAAAAGATGTATTGGCAGGGCAAGGGCCATAGACTTCGTTAGTTTTTTTTTTCTACTTTTTTACTTTTAGGTATAATTGTAGATAGTATTGTTGTTTAGTACCTTTTGGATAGATATTTTCTTTCCTTTTTCTCCATAGATGCTATCTAGACAGTATAACAATACTGGAAGTGTTTTCCAAGAAGAAATACATACACCCTCCTCTTTGTCTCAGAAGATGTCAGTAAACAGTCCTATCTATTTTTTAAACCTCAGCCAAAATAACATTTAGTTCATTGATTATCTCTGCTATTATTGTTTTCTTAGTTTTTATGTGTGATTGTATTCTACCATAATTTTAAAAGATTATCCAGCTAGGCATGGTGGCTCATGCCTATAATCCCAGCATTTTGGGAGCCCAAGGCAGATGGATCCCTTGAGCCTAGGAGTTCAAGACCAGCCTGGGCAACATGACGAAATCCCATCTCTACAAAAAATACAAAAAATTAGCCAGGCATGGTGGCACACACCTGTAGTCCCAACTACTGGGGAGGCTGAGGTGGGAGGATCACCTGAGCCTGGAGGTGGAGGTTGCAGTGAGCCGAGATCACACCACTGCACTTCAAACTGGGCGACAGAGCAAGACCCTGTCTCAAAAAAATAAAAATAAAAAAAGATTATCCATGTGTTCTATTTTAATTTTGCATTAAAATATAGTTTTTCACAAGTTTATAAATACAGAAATCTCATTCTGGACTAACCCCAATCACGTGTCTTGCAGGAAAGCGTCTCTAGCAGCTGATATCCCCAGACTTGGATATAGTTCCTCATCCCATCACAAGTACATCCCCCGGAGGGCAGTGCTTTATGTACCTGGAAATGATGAAAAGAAAATAAAGAAGATTCCATCCCTGAATGTAGATTGTGCAGTGCTCGACTGTGAGGATGGAGTGGCTGCAAACAAAAAGGTAATGGCATGATTTTAGTATGAGAAAAAGAAAGGTATTGAAATTTGCTTCTCTTCCGAATAGTGACATTGCCCGCTATTTGGAAAGATTCTACCACACTCATCTTTTGCTGATTATTAACAATTCTTTGATCTGCTTTTATATAGGTTCTAAATGTGTATCTCTTTTCTCTGAGAGAAAGGAAGAATCCCACCAAAATATATTTTAAAATCACGACCTTCAGTAGATGAGACTATGTGTATGTATAGATAAAAAGATGGACAATCAATTTTGGCCATGATGTTTGCCGGTCTAGGTAAATGAGTGACATCAGGGGTCCCCAATCCCCAGGCCATGGACCAGTACAGGCCACAATACAGGCCTGTTAGGAACTGGGCCAGAACCCAGGAGATGAGCAGTGGGTGAACAAGCATTATGGCCTAAGCTCTGCCTCCTGTCAGATCAGCAGTGGCATTAGATTCTCAAGGAGCACGACCCTGTTGTGAACTGCGCACGTGAAGGATCTAGGTTGCACGCTCCTTGTAAGAATCTAACTAATGCCTGATGATCTGAGGTGGAACAGTTTCATCCGAAACCATTGCGCCGCCCCACCTCCCATGGAATAATTACCCTCCACAAAACAGGTCCCTGGTGCCAAAAAGGTTGGGGACCACTGAATTAGATAATTCTAAAATTGTGGTGTAAGATTTTCAGACTGATAAAATGCAACTAGGAAGTTCTTTCTTCTTCTTACCACCAGGTATACTGAGTAATGGTCTTTTCTCTTCTGGGATACGTGTCAAGAGAATAAAACATAGTTTTTCATGGATAAATCACCATTTTCTCTACTTAATTTAAGGGAAATGACACATAGAACCTTAGTGGTTGGCTGTAGCTTCTGGCTTATTTCCTCATGGCCTGACCAAAGAGATGAGCCTTAGAAAATATCCAACTTGTAGGCCGGATGAGGTGGCTCATGCCTATAATCCCAGCACTTTAGGAGGCCAAGATAGGAGCATCACTTGAGCTCAGGAGTTTGAGACCAGTCTGGCCAACATAGCAAAACCCCATTTCTACCAAAAAAAAAAAAAAATTTAGCCAGGTGTGGCGGCGTGTACCTGTAGTCCCAGCTACTCAGGAGGCTGAGGTGGTAGAATCACGTGAGCCCGAGAGTTTGAGGCTGCAGTGAACCATGATCGTGCCACTGCACTCCAGCTTGGGCAACAGAGTGAGACCCTGTCTCCAAAAAAGTTTTAAAAAAACAAAATAACCAATTTGTAAATAGGTACAAAAGACTCTTACTGCGTGACTGTATAGTAGTTGCTTTTTATTTTGTTTTGCTCAACTTTGTTTTCTATGTTTTTCTAATGAACATGGATTCATTCAATGATTAGTTGAGATATATAAATCATTATAACAATAACTTACATTTGCATGGAACTTTTAAAGTTAAAAACATGAGTTCGCTTGACCTTTATCTATCCAGGCCCTAGACAATGAGGTTGGGCTGGGAATGGGTCGTGGGGCGGGGGATGAGGGAGCTGGCTCTCTGGATTTATGCCTACTTGAAAGTTTCTTGCGCCAGGTGACCTGAAACAACGTGGCTGTACTATACAATTTTCTGGATTAATTGCTTTTTCTGGAGTTTCTAGCAAATATTTGCCTTAATTTTAAAGAAAAAATTTAATTTCCAGTATCTTCCTAATGGTCAAACTAAGGCTTTCCAAGTATTTGGAAAAGGATTAGAATGAGCCTGTGGAATCTAAAATGTCTACTCAACATCTTTGGCATGTGCCAAGGAAAATACTATTAATCCTTCTCCCAGAGATTAAAGTAAATAGGCCTTTTTCTGAAGGCTGTAATATGATTTCAGTATGCTCCTTCCCATAACTCATGTAGTGCACTCCAAGATTCGATGCTAACTTGTAATTCCAGTTCTGTGTGACCCAGGGCAATTCACTTTACTTCTTTGCCTCAATTTCTTATCTGTACTGTAGGGATGACAATATCTTCTTTTGTCAGGGACAGGGTTTATTATGAGAAAAAAGTTGATAAAGTACCTGGGAGTAGCTTGATTTCCTATAGGAAATAGATAAATCCTGTAGTAATCATGATTAGAGGGGAATTTATTGTAGCATTGTAGCACAGTGAGCCATTAGGTGCCCTGATAAACTTCTAATTATAGTTCTTCACAAATCTTGAGGTTGTCCTCCAATACCCACCTGAGAATGTTTTCTGCCACTCAAATGAGTTGGAAATATAGTCTATTTCTGCTTTACATTTCCTTATTGTTTATCTGGGTTCCGAAGCCATCCTTATCTCCATAGTAGTAGCAGCTGTGCTACCACTTAGGGGAAACCTGAGGAGGAGAAGGGAAAGAAGAGTTAATGATTGCCCACCATCTTGAAGTACATATGTCCACATCGAGTCTTTACTAGGACATTTTCATTCTCCTAATGCAGCTGGACATTGCAATGTGCTAGACATACTGTTTTAGGCATCCTAAGCTCAGAGTCAGCTAAAATTTCATTAAAAAAATTTTTTTTGGTCGTTGTGTTGCCCAGGCTGGGGTGCAGTGGTGTCATCATAGCTCACTGCAGCCTCCAACTCCTGGGCTCAAGCAGTCCTCCCACCTCAGCTTCCTAAGCAGCTGGGACTATACGCACCTACCACCATACCCAGCTAATTGTTTTATTTTTTGTAGAGATAGGGTCTTGCTGTGTTGCCCAGGCTGTTCTTGAACTCTTGGACTCACGTGATCCTCCTGCCTCAGCCTCCCAAAGGGCTGGGATTACAGGCATAAGCCATGATGCCCGGCCAAAATTCTCTTTTTCATCCATAGAAACTTCTGGAAAGCCAAGCTGGTCTTTGTTTAAAATAATAATAACAATAGGCCGGGCACGGTGGCTCACACCTGTAATCCCAGCACTTTGGGAGGCTGAGGTGGGCAGATCACAAGGTCAGGAGATCAAGACCATCCTGGCTAACATGGTGAAACCCCATCTCTACTAAAAAATACAAAAAATTAGCTGGGCGTGGTGGCGGGCGCCTGCAGTCCCAGCTACTCGGGAGGCTGAGGCAGGAGAATGGTGTGAACCCAGGAGGCAGAGCTTGCAGTGAGCCGAGATCGTGCCACTGCACTCCAGCCTGGGTGACAGAGCAAGACTCCATCTCAAAAAAAAAAAACCAAAAAACAAATAATAATAATAATAATAATAATCTTGGCCGGGTGCAGTGGCTCACATCAGTATTCCCAGCACTCTGGGAGGCCGAGGCAGGCGGATCACTTGAGGCCAGTAGTTCAAGACCAGCCTGGGCAACATGGCAAAACCTCATCTCTACTAAAAATACAAAAAATCAGCCAGGAGTGGTGGCACACACCTGTAATCCCAGCTACTCGGGAATCTGAGGCACGAGAATCACTTGAACCTGGGAGGCAGAGGTTGTAGTGAGCCGAGATTGCCCCACTGCACTTCAGCCTGGGTGACAGAGCAGGACTCTGTCTCAAAAAAAAAAAGTTGTTTTTTTTTTTTTCTTAAAATCTCTATCTAGGACTTAATTTTATCTGACATATTTCACATCATAGCCCTAGCCTGTCAAGGTCTTTTTGGATTTTGATTTCATTATCCAACATTTATATTATCTGAGAATTTGACATGCACATCATATGAAAATTTAACAAGTTTCAGGGAAATTTTGAAGAGGTTGGGGCCAAGTGCTGCACAAGCATGCCGCTAAAAACTTCTTTTCCGGTTTATTGAACAGAGACGTATATAGTGCTGACGATATGCTGGGCGCTGTAATTTGCATGACAAGCCATTGAGGTGCTATGATTACATTCATTTTACAAGTAAGGAAATTGAAGCACAGAGATATCCAGTTCATGCACGTTTTTTTTTTTCATAGATAGAGTTTTGCTATTGTTGCCCAGGCTGGAGTGCAGTGGTGCGATCTCGGCTCACTCACTGCAATCTCCGCCTCCTGGGTTCAAGTGATTCTGCTGCCTCAGCCTCCCAAGTAGCTGGGATTACAGGTGTGTACCACCGTGGCTGGCTAATTTTGTGTTTTTAGGAGAGATGGGGTTTTACCATGTTGGCCAGACTAGTCTCCAACTCCTGACCTCAGGTGATCTGCCCACCTCCGCCTCCCAAAGTGCTGGGATTACAGGCCACCGCACCCAGCCCCCACGCCCAACCCAGTTCGTGAATTATACCATGAATGTGCTTATTCAGAAACCTAACTCTCCTAAAATCCAATCTTTTCACGCAGATATTATGATATTTTCATCAAATGCCTTTTCAAAATGAAGATATGTTCCCAATCTACTTGTCCAAAAATACCTTCTCCCTCAATACCTCCACCTAACCAGCAAAGTGAGGTCAGGTAAATGAGACTTGTTCTTGAGGAAACCCAAGTCAGTACCTCATTGCTACCACCTCTTTGTAAACTGTTGGAAATACAAAAATGCTGTACTGAGAATTTTCTTTCTTCCTTTTCTTTTCTTTTCTTTTTTTTTTTTTGAGACAGAGTTTTGCTCTTGTTGCCCAGGCTAGAGTGCAATGGTGTGATCTCAGCTTAATGCAACCTCCGCCTCTCGGGTTCAAGAGATTCTCCTTTCTCAGCCTCCCGAGTAGCTGGGATTACAGGCGCATGCCACCACGCCTGGCTAATTTTTGTAATTTTAGTAGAGACGGGGTTTCATCATATTGGTCAGGCTGGTCTCGAACTCCTGACCTCAGGTGATCTGCCCACCTCAGCCTCCCAAAGTGCTGGGATTACAGGCGTGAGCCTGAGAATTTTCTGTTACAAGTGCTGTATTACATATATTGTTATTTACATACCTTATCCCATTTACATATGTTATCTTAATCCTTATAGCAATGTTTTGAAATATGTACAAGGTCACATTGCCATTAAATAGCAGAACCAAGATTTGAGTCTCCTAGAATTTTTGCCAGGAACCAGCCTCCAGCTCACCTGCTCGTGTATGTCCTAACCCACGTTTTTCGTCTTTCTTGGAAAGTGAGTGCCTTGGCTTCTTTTTATCTTTAGTCAGCTTCCTGTTCTCCATTATCTCTCCAAGGTAACTGACAGGAGCTCTGTGTTCCCATCTGCAGACTCTTTCAGTGTTCTGGGACTGGGATTATCATCCATTTAGACCTAGGAGCTTCAATTCACTGGAAAGTCCAGATAAGCCTGAAACTTCTCAAATATCTCATATTCTCTTTTCTTTCTCAAAGTCACCTCTTAATCATGTTTCTTATTTGAATATTATTCTCTTGATGGAGGACATAGAGACCATTTTTAGTGAGTTTATTTCTCAGTAAGAAGAAATCCATATTAAAACTCTTAATTTCAGATTATCTAGTTAGAGTCTGGCTAAACTGAATCATTATTGCCTAATTCAGCTTTCTTGGCATTATTAAAATGTCACTTCATTTTATATCTCATTTTTTTATTAATAGACTAATTCCATATTTCATTTGATTGACTCTCTGTGAAGTATGGGCTTATAATGAAAACAATAGGAGTTTCCACAAAGCAGTTTATAAGTATATAATACCTTCCAGCAGGCTCTAATCCTGTCCTGCTAATCCAATTTGTGTTTAAGTAGCTCCTTCATGTCAAGGATGGCACTACCAGCTCACCTTCCCAAGCACGGATGATAAAAAAGACTGCCTCCACTCCCTCTTATCTCCTCCTTTTCATTGTTAAATGCATGAGGAGGTGTGGGGCTGTCTAAGCCACTGCTTGCTGGGCCACAGTAAAAATATGCCAAGTAATGCACCGATTTCTGATGTAACTCCATGACACTGGGTGAGGCCAAGAAAGTAGGCACTGAGGAGGAAGAGGCATGATTCCATAGCTGCCATTTCAGTTGAATGGATATTTAAACAATTCTTTAAATTTATTTACTATTTAAGTATTTAAGTATTTAAATGTAAATACTAATCAATACTTAAATAAATACTGAGTACCTACTCAACTAGTTGCCATGGCAGGCAGGAGGGAGACAAAAATGGTGGCAGATCCCCAACCTGGAGGAGACACAAGCTGTTGTTGAGAGTGGCAAAAAGTAAATAGCTATGATCCAACAAAATAGGTCTATGAGAACATATTTCTTTTTTAATCATTTGGTTCTGAGTGGGGTTTTTTGTTTTTGTTTTTTTGAGAAGGAGTCTCGCTGTTGTCGCCCGGGCTGGAGTGCAATGGTATGATCTCGGCTCACTGCAACCTCTGCCTCCTGTGTTCCAGCAATTCTCCTGCCTCAGCCTCCCAAGTAGCTGGGATTACAGGCGCCTGCCACCACGCCCAGTTAATTTTTGTATTTTTAGTAGAAATGGGGTTTCACCACGTTGGCCAGGCTGGTCTCAAACTCCTGACCTCAGGTGATCCTGCCTCGGCCTCCCAAAGTGCAGGGATTACAGGCGCGAGCCACCGTGCCTGGCCAGTTCTGAGTATTTTTTAATTGTCATTTATTTGGTCTCTTGCTTGAAATATAACATACAAAAGAGTGCTTCCCAAAGTCTATGATGAAGAACCAGTTTAGTTATCCAATCCATTGTGGACTGATACTTTTGTAAAATACAATACAAATGAATTGCTATAAAAATTAAATGCTGGTTGGGTGACAGCAATGTCAGGTGCTACAGAAGTTTCTAAACTGTTACTCTCCAAGGTTGCACTTAATCATAGTGGCATGGTAAAGTTTCAGGGACTGAGACTGGGCCACAAACCATAGCTTGAGTAGCAAGGACTTAAATTTCCAAGTGTAGGAGAGTTTTTTGTTTTTTGTTTTTTTCAATTTATCTTTTTGTTGCTGAGCTCTAGCGTAGTGACATGGTGGGTGGTTAGAGAAATGTGATGTGAATGGTGATGATTCTTTGAAATTTGTCATTCTGCTTCATGACCAACTACATTAGCCATTTTTTGTAACTGTTCCATGTGCTGAAGAAGAAAGTATATTTTCTACTTACTAGATGCAGAGTTCTATATATTTTCTATTAGACCAAGCCTGTTAATTATGTTATTCAAATATACAAATCTTTACCGACTTCTATCTGCTTGATGTGTCAAAAATTGAGAGAGTCTAGTTGAAATCTATTCTCCAATAGAAAATTTGCCAATGTCTTTAGGTATATACACATTTAGAATTACTACATATTCCTGGCATATTGATTCATCTATTTCTATGTACTGACCATCTTTATCCCTTATAATGCATTTTGCTTGAATGTTTATGTGGTCTGATCGTAATACAGCAACATCAACTTTCCTTAGGTTGGCATTTGCTCAGTGTAACATTTTCATCCTTTTGCTTTCAAAGTGTCCATATCTTTGTATTTTAATTACGTCTCCTATTTTTAAAAAATTTCTATATCCATGTTGACAATTTCACTCTTTTTTTTGAGATGGAGTCTCGCTCTGTCACCCAGGCTGGAGTGCAGTGGCATGATCTCGGCTCACTGCAAGCTCTGCCTCCTGGGTTCACGCCATTCTGCTGCCTCGGCCTCCCGAGTAGCTGAGACTACAGGCGCCTGCCACCACACCTGGCTAATTTTTTGTGTGTTTATAGCAGAGATGGGGTTTCACCATGTTGATGGTCCGGATCTCCTGACCTCATGATCTGCCCGTCTCGGCCTCCCAAAGTGCTGGGATTACAGGCATGAGCCACCATGCCCAGCCGACAATTTCTCTTTTAACTAGAATGTTAATCCATTGTCTTTTTTTTTTTTTTTTTTGAAACGTAGTCTCACTATGTTGCACAGGCTGTAGTGCAATGGCACGATCTTGGCTCACTGCAACCTCTGCCTCCCAGGTTTAAGCGATTCTCCTGCCTCAGCCTCCCAAGTAGCTGGGAATACAGGTGCCTGCCACCACACCTGGCTCATTTTTGTATTATTAGTAGAGATGGGGTTTCACCATGTTGGCCAGTCTGGTCTCGAACTCCTGACCTCAGGCAATCCACCCGCCTCGGCCTCCCAAAGTGCTGGGATTACAGGCATGAGCCACTGCACCCGGCTAATCCATTGACTTTTAATGTAATTACTGACGAGTTTCACTTTAATTACACCATTATATTTCATAATGTTTTCCCACCTGTTTCATGTTTCTTTTTTCATCTTTCTTTCCTTTTAAAATATATATATATTTTTAAATTTTTTATTATTTATTTTTATTTATTTATTTATTTATTTTGAGACGGAGTCTCGCTGTGTCACGCAGGCTGGAGTGCAGTGGTGCGATCTTGGCTCACTGCTAGCTCCGCCTCCTGTGTTCACGCCATTCTCCTGCCTCAGCCTCCCAAGTAGCTGGGACTACAGGCGCCCACCACCATGCCCAGCTAATTTTTTCTATTTTTAGTAGAGATGGGGTTTCACTGTGTTAGCCAGGATGGTCTCAATCTCCTGACCTCGTGATCTGCCCGCCTTGGCCTCCCAAAGTGCTGGGATTACAGGCATAAGCCACTGCACCCAGCCAAATTTTTTATTTTTTGAGACTGAGTTTTGCTCTTGTTGCTTGTTGCCCAGGCTGGAGTGCAGTGGCATGATCTGGGCTCACTGTAACCTCTGCCCCCCGGGTTCAAGCAGTTCTCTTGCCTCAGCCTCCTGGGTAGCTGGGATTACAAGTGCCTGCCACCACGTCTGGCTAATTTTTTGTCTTTTTAGTAGAGATGGGGGTTTCATCATGTTGGCCAGGCTGATCTTGAACTCCTGACCTCAGGTGATCCACCCGCCTCGGCCTCCCAAAGTTCGAGGATTACAGGTGTGATCTACCATGGCTGGCCAGTTTGTTTATTTTCTTAGTTCATTCTTTCCTCTCTTAGTTTATAAGTTAGGACTGTGTTTGTAATTTTTATTGGTTACTCTTGAAATTTTACTAAGCACGCTTAACAATGCCTAAAATTAATCCATATCTTTCTTCTGGACAGCTCAAGAACCTTGGAAAACTTTAAATCCAGTTATTTCTCTCGCACTGTATGCGTTATTTTTGCTCAATATTTTAGTTATCTCTCTTTAATCCTATACATTTTATATTATTGCTATCTACAGTATTTCTTTATATTATCTTACATATTTTCCCACTTTTTTTTTGCTTATCATTTGTTTTGTATCTCAGATCTTCCTGGGGTCAGTTTTCTTTCTCTTCAGGTGCAACTTTCAGAATTTCCCTATAGCGAAAGTTGGTTGATCATAAAGTTTACATTTTTGTTTTTTTTGAAAATGTCTTTATGGCCTGGGTGTGGTGGCTCACACCTGTAATGCCATTACTTTGGTAGGCCAAAGCAGGCAGATCACCTGAGGTCAGGAGTTTGAGATCAGCCTGGCCAACATGGTGAAACCTTATCTCTACTGAAAATATAAACATTAGCTGGGCGTGGTGGTGCGCACCTGTAGTCCCACCCTCAGGAGGCTAAGACAGGAGAATTGCTTGAACCTCAGAGGTGGAGGTTGCTGCGAGCCAAGATCATACCATTGCACTCCAGCCTGTGTGACAGAACGAGGCTCTGTCTTGGGGGGAAAAAAGTTTATAATAAAAAAAATTTCAAAGGATGGGTACCTTGTTTTGGAACAGTTGACTATGTTCTCTAGAGTGCCATCCTACTGTAAAAATGGATACATTTCAACAAAAGTCCTTTTTTTTCCCTTGGTATACTGAAGTTTTACTAAAATGTGACAAAGTGTGGATTTATTACTCTTTTTCTCCCTCCCTTCCTCCCTTACATTTTTGCTTCCTTTTTGCTTGGTATAAGTTGTGTTTCCTATATTTGTAGATTCATGTCTTTTATCCATTTTGTAAAATTTCCATTAGCAATTCACATATGGCCTCTGTTTCTCCTTTCTATTCTTTCCTTCAGAGATGCTGAGTACACGTAGTTGGAAACTTCATTCTATCCTCCTTCTCTCTTAATATCTTCTCATATTTTCTTCTTGTTTCTCTGTGTTACATTCTCAGTTAGTTCTTCATGTTTAATTTCCAGTTTTCTAATTCTGTCTTCAATTGTGTCTAATCCGTTTAACCCATCCTCTGAGGTTTTTTGTTTTTTGGTTTTTGTTTTGCTTTTTTTTTGAGACGAAGTCTTGCTCTGTGGCTCAGGCTGGAGTGCAGTGGCATGATCTCGGCTCACTGTAACCTCCGCCTCCTGGGTTCAAGCAATTCTCCTGCCTAGGCCTCCCAAGTAGCTGGGATTATAAGCATGCACCACCACGCCCAGCTGATTTTTGTATTTTTAGTAGAGATGGGGTTTCACCATGTTGGCCAGGCTGGTCTCAAACTCCTGAGCTCAGGTGATCCACTTGCCTCGGCCTCCCAAAGTACTGGAATTTCCGGTGTGAGCCGCCATGCCTGGGCCATCCTCTGAGTTTTTTATTTTAATTATTATATTTGTTATATCTGGAAGTTCTATTTGGTTCTTCTACATATCTGCTTGGTATATTATGAATCTGATAAATTCAGTACTTTGGGGTGTAATTTTTTTTTTTTGAGACGGAGTGTTGCTCTGTCACCCAGGCCGGAGTGCAGTGGTGCGATCTCAGCTCACTGCAAGCACCGCCTCCTGGGTTCATGCCATTCTCCTGCCTCAGCCTCCAGAGTAGGTGGGACTACAGGCGCCTGCCACCACTCCTGGCTAATTTTTTGTATTTTTAGTTTCACCTTGTTAACGAGGATGGTCTTGATCTCCTGACCTTATGATCCGCCCGCCTCGGCCTCCCAAAGTGCTGGGATTACAGGCATGAGCCACCGTGCCTGGCCATAAATAATTTTTAATCTAAAGAAGAGAAACTTTGATTAAACTTTGGGACACTTATTTACTTTCCCTCATCAACAATCATGGATTATTATGTCATGATTATGAGTGGCAAAGTCTTATATGCCTCAAGAAAACATAACATTATTGAGTGCTATGGCATTCTATAGAGAACTTCAATCTTTGGTCATAGCATTAAGAGTTCTTGGTTTCATAGCCTCATGAGCCCTCTTTGAAATAACCTATCTAAATCATTTTTTGTTGTTTCTGCTGACTCTTACTTATGGCATGAACCCATATGTATATTTTATTCACATCAGATCTGTAATGTGCCAACGTTGCAGCAAGATTTGAAGGAGGTACATCTCACACAATAGCATGAGAAGTCAATCATCATGCTTGTGAACCACAAAAGGATCATGAACCCATATTCATTGGAATTAATTCAATCAATTCTTAGATCCCAAGAGCTTAGAGTGAGAAGGTTTTCCTCCAAAGAAAATTTGTGTTTGCTCCTACTGAAAGTCAAAGATATTACTAATGTGGGAGTCTCAATTTACTCTCTCTAACCTTGCAGTGGTCTCAAGGCTTAGTATTCTGATACTAGGTCTGATATAGGTATTTGATTCCCCGTGTCCTTATTTTTCTTTCACAAATCAGAATTCAACCTATTGCTTTTTGTTATTCCTCTGCTTCTGGAAAATTCTCTCTTTTTTTTTTTTTTTTTTTTTTTGAGATGGACTCTCACTTTGTTGCTCAGTCTGGAGTGCAGTGGCTCAATCTTGGCTCACTGCCACCTCTACCTCCTGGGTTCAAGCAATTCTCGTGCCTCAGCCTCCCGAGTAGCTAGGATTACAGGTGCCCACCACCAGGCCCAGCTAATTTTTGTATTTTTAGTAGAGACAGGTTTCACCATGTTGGCCAGGCTGGTCTTAAATTCCTGACCTCAGGTGATCCGCCCGCCTTGGCCTCCCGAAGTGCTGGGATTATAGGCGTAGGCCACCGTGCCCAGCTGAAAATTCTTTTACATTTTACTGAGCCCAAAAATGCATTAAAAAGTACTTTTGTTGAAATGTATCTATTTTTACAGTAGGATAGCACTTCAGAGAACATGGTCAACCATTCCAAAACAAGGTACCCATCCTTTGACATTTTTTTTTGATTTTCCGAGACAAGAGTCTTACTCTGTCGCCCAGGCTTGGGGTGCAATGGTGCGATCTCTGCTCACTGCGACCTCCGCCTCTCTGGTTCAAGTGATTCTCCTGTCCTCAGCCTCCTGAGTAGCTGGGACTGCAGATGTGCACCACCACACCTGGCTAATTTTTGTCTATTTAGTAGAGATGAGGTTTCACCATGTTGGCCAGGCTCATCTCAAACTCCTGACCTCAAGTGATCCACCCACGTTGGCCTCCCAAAGAGCTGGGATTACAGACTTGAGCCACCCCGCCTGGCTTTTTTTTTTTTTTTTTTTTTTTTTTTTTTTTTTAAAGACAGGGTCTTGCTATGTCACCCAGGCTGGAATGCAGTTGTTCAATCATTGCTCACTGCAGCCTCAACCTCCCAGGCTTAAATAATCCTCCCACTTCAGCCTCTTGAGTAGCTGGGACCACAGGTGTGTGCCACTGTGCCTGGCTAATTTTTTTATTTTTATTTTGTAGAGATGGGGGTCTCTCTATGTTGCCCAGGCTTGGTTATAAACTTTAAAACAATTAGTCTAAAATTCATTCTTACACATTATTTAAAAAGCCAAATAGTTATAAAGCAACCCCCAACCATTATTGTTTCCCCCTTTCCAGAGACAATCCCTTTTACCTGTTCTGGCTTATTCATATGCCATTTTCTTCAATATTTCTAAATAATACATTTTTTTTTTTTGAGATGGAGTCTCGCTCTGTCACCCAGGCTGGAGTGCAGTGGCACAATCTCTGCTCACTGCAACATCTGCCTCCCAGGTTCAAGCAGTTCTTTGCCTCAGCCTCTCCGGTAGCTGGGATTATAGGCGCCCAGCACCACACCTGGCTAATTTTTTTGTATTTTTAGTAGAGACAGGGTTTCACCATCTTGGCCAGGCTGGTCTTGAACTCCTGACCTCGTGATCTACCCACCTCGGCCTCCCAAAGTGCTGGGATTACAGGCGTGAGCCACTGCGCTTGGCAATAATACATTTCTTAAATTTTTTTTTTTCTATTTCAGGCATGATATATTGACTCCTCACTATGGAGAATGAGGATTTATCATTCCTCCCTCTCCACCTTGTCTCTGCCACGTGTGAACCTTGCCCATCCCCCAGTTGTCCCAATACAATTATATTTTAACTTTAGTAAGGTTAATATTCAGTGTAAAAACTATTTAGAGCTGAACTATATAGTAATAAATGATTATCTTTCTATTTCTGCCAGACCTATTGTTTTCCATGGAGGTGGAGTTCATAATTGCCTTTTTTTTTCTGGCTTAGCTTTCCTTTTTTTTTTTTTTTTTTAATTATACTTTAAGTTCTAGGATACATGTGCACAATATGCAGGTTTGTTACATATGTATACCTGTGCCATGTTGGTGTGCTGCACCCATTAACTTGTCATTTACATTAGGTATATTTCCTAATGCTTTCCCTTCCCCCTCCCCCAACCCCACAACAGACCCTGGTGTGTGATGATCCCCTTCCTGTGTCCAAGTGTTCTCATTGTTCAGTTCCCACCTATGAGTGAGAACATGCGGTGTTTGGTTTTTTGTTCTTGTGATAGTTTGCTAAGAAAGATGGTTTCCAGCTTCATCCATGTCCCTACAAAGGACATGAACTCATCCTTTTTTATGGCTGCATAGTATTCCATGGTGTATATGTGCCACATTTTCTTAATCCAGTCTGTCATTGATGGACATTTGGGTTGGTTCCAAGTCTTTGCTATTGTGCATAGTGCCACAATAAACATACGTGTACATGTGTCTTTGTAGCAGCATGATTTATAATCCTTTAGGTATATACCCAGTAATGGGATGGCTGGGTCAAATGGTATTTCTAGTTCTAGATGCTTGAGGAATCGCCACACTGTCTTCCACAATGGTTGAACTAGTTTACACTCCCACCAACAGTGTAAAAGTGTTCCTATTTCTCCACATCCTCTCCAGCACCTGTTGTTTCCTGACTTTTTAATGATCGCCATTCTAACTGGTGTGAGATGGTATCTCATTGTGGTTTTGATTTGCATTTCTCTGATGGCCAGTGATGATGAGCATTTTTTCATGTGTGTGTTGGCTGCATAAATGTCTTCTTTTGAGAATTGTCTGTTCACATCCTTCACCCACTTGTTGATGGGGTTGTTTTTTTCTTGTAAATTTGTTTGAGTTCTTGGTGGATTCTGGATATTAGCCCTTTGTCAGATGAGTAGATTGCAAAAATTTTCTCCCATTCTGTAGGTTGCCTGTTCACTCTGATGGTAGTTTCTTTTGCTGTGCAGAAGCTCTTTAATTAGATCCCATTTGTCAATTTTGGCTTTTGTTGCCATTGTTTTTGGTGTTTTAGACATGAAGTCCTTGCCCATGCCTATGTCCTGAATGGTATCGCCTAGGTTTTCTTCTAGGGTTTTTTATGGTTTTAGGTCTAACATTTAAGTCTTTAATCCATCTTGAATTAATTTTTGTGTAAGGTATAAGGAAGGGATCCAGTTTCAGCTTTCTACATATGGCTAGCCAGTTTTCCCAGAACTACTTATTAAATAGGGAATCCTTTCCCCATTTCTTGTTTTTGTCAGGTTTGTCAAAGAACAGATGGTTGTAGATGTGTGGTATTATTTCTGAGGGCTCTGTTCTGTTCCATTGGTCTGTATCTCTGTTTTGCTACCAGTACCATGCTGTTTTGGTTACTGTAGCCTTGTAGTATAGTTTGAAGTCAGGTAGCGTGATACCTCCAGCTTTGTTCTTTTGGCTTAGGATTGACTTGGCGATGCGGATTCTTTTTTGGTTCCATATGAACTTTAAAGTAGTTTTTTCCAATTCTGTGAAGAAAGTCATTGGTAGCTTGATGGGGATGGCATTGAATCTATAAATTACCTTGGGCAGTATGGCCATTTTCACGATAAGATTCTTCCTATCCATGAGCATGGAATGTTCTTCCATTTGTTTGTATCCTCTTTTATTTCACTGAGCAGTGCTTTGTAGTTCTCCTTAAAGAGGTCCTTCACTTCCCTTGTAAGTTGGATTCCTAGGTATTTTACTCTCTTTGTAGCAATTGTGAATGAGAGTTCACTCATGATTTGGCTCTCTGTTTGTCTGTTATTGGTGTATAAGAATGCTTGTGATTTTTGCACATTGATTTTGTATCCTGAGACTTTGCTGAAGTTGCTTATCAGCTTAAGGAGATTTTGGGCTGAGACGATGGAGTTTTCTAAATATACAATCATGTCATCTGCAAACAGGGACAATTTGACTTCCTCATTTCCTAATTGAGTACCCTTTATTTCTTTCTCCTGCCTGATTGCCCTGGCCAGAACTTCCAACACTATGTTGAATAGGAGTGGTGAGAGAGGGCATCCCTGTCTTGTGCCAGTTTTCAAAGGGAATGCTTCCAGTTTTTGCCCATTCAGTATGATACTGGCTGTGGATTTGTCATAAATAGCTCTTATTATTTTGAGATACATCCCATCAATACCTAATTTATTGAGAGTTTTTAGCATGAAGGGCTGTTGAATTTTGTCAAAGGCCTTTTCTGCATCTATTGAGATAATCATGTGGTTTTTGTCTTTGGTTCTGTTTATATGCTGGATTACCTTTATTGATTTGCATATGTTGAACCAGCCTTGCATCCCAGGGATGAAGCCCACTTGATCATGGTGGATAAGTTTTCTGATGTGCTGCTGGATTCAGTTTGCCAGTATTTTATTAAGGATTTTTGCACTGATGTTCATCAGGGATTTTGGTCTAAAGTTCTATTTTTGTGTGTGTGTCTCTGCCAGGCTTTGGTATCAGGATGATGCTGGCCTCATAAAATGAGTTAGGGAGGATTCTCTCTTTTTCTATTGATTGGAATAGCTTCAGAAGGAATGGTACCAGCTCCTCCTTGTACCTCTGGTAGAGTTTGGCTGTGAATCCGTCTGGTCCTGGACTTTTTTTGGTTTGTAAGCTATTAATTATTGCCTCAATTTCAGAGCCTGTTATTGGTCTATTGAGGGATTCAACTTCTTCCTGGTTTAGTCTTGGGAGGGTGTATGTGTCCAGGAATTTATCCGTTTCTTCTAGATTTTCTAGTTTATTTATGTAAAGATGTTTATAGTATTCTCTGATGGTAGTTTGTATTTCTGTGGGATCGGTGGTGATATCCCCTTTATCATTTTTTATTGCGTCTATTTGATTCTTCTCTCTTTTCTTATTAGTCTTGCTAGCGGTCTATCAATTTTGTTAATCTTTTCAAAAAACCAGCTCGTGGATTCATTGATTTTTTGAAGGGTTTTTTGTGTCTCTGTCTTCTTCAGTTCTGCTTTGATCTTAGCTATTTCTTGCCTTCTGCTAGCTTTTGAGTTTGTTTGCTCTTGCTTCTCTAGTTCTTTTAATTGTGATGTTAGGGTGTCAATTTTAGATCTTTCCTGCTTTCTCTTGTGGGCATTTAGTGCTATAAATTTCCCTCTACACACTACTTTAAATGTGTCCCAGAGATTCTGGTATGTTGTATCTTTGTTCTCATTGGTTTCAAAGAACATCTTTATTTCTGCCTTCATTTCGTTATGTACCCAGTAGTCATTTAGGAGCAGGTTGTTCAGTTTCCATGTAGTTGAGTGGTTTTGAGTGAGTTTCTTAATCCTGAGTTCTAGTTTGATTGCACTGTAGTGTGAGAGACAGTTTGTTATAATTTCTGTTCTTTGACATTTGCTGAGGAGTGCTTTACTTCCAACTATGTGGTCAATTTTGGAATAAGTGTGATGTGGTGCTGAGAAGAATGTATAGTCTGTTGATTTGGGGTGGAGAGTTCTGTAGATGTCTATTAGGTCCGCTTGTTGCAGAGCTGAGTTCAATTCCTGGATATCCTTGTTAACTTTCTGTCTCGTTGATCTGTCTAATGTTGACTGTGGGGTGTTAAAGTCTCCTATTATTATTGTATGGGAGTCTAAGTCTCTTTGTAGATCTCTAAGGACTTGCTTTATGAATCTGGGTGCTCCTGTATTGGGTGCATATATATTTAAGATAGTTAGTCTTCTTATTAAATTGATCCCTTTACCATTATGTAATGGCCTTCTTTGTCTCTTTTGATCTTTGTTGGTTTAAAGTCTGTTTTATCAAAGACTAGGATTGCAACCCCTGCCTTTTTTTGTTTTCCATTTGCTTGGTAGATCTTCCTCCATCCCTTTATTTTGAGCTTATGTGTGTCTCTGCATGTGAGATGGGTCTCCTGAATACAGCACACTGATGGGTCTTGACTCTTTATCCAATTTGCCAGTCTGTGTCTTTTAATTGGAGCATTTAGCCCATTTACATTTAAGGTTAATATTGTTATGTGTGAATTTGATCCTGTCATTATGATGTTAGCTGGTTATTTTGCCTGTTAGTTGATGCAGTTTCTTCCTAGCCTCAATGGTCTTTACAATTTGTCATGTTTTTGCAGTGGCTGGTACCGGTTGTTCCTTTCCATGTTTAGTGCTTCCTTCAGGAGCTCTTTTAGGGCAGGCCTGGTGGTGACAGAATCTCTCAGCATTTGCCTGTCTGTAAAGGATTTTATTTCTCCTTCACTTAGTTTGGAAGTGAAGTTTGGCTGGATGTGAAATTCTGGGTTGAAAATTCTTTTCTTTAAGAATGTTGAATATTGGCCCCCACTCTATTCTGGCTTGTAGAGTTACTGCTGAGAGATCCACTGTTAGTCTGATGGGTTTCCCTTTATGGGTGACTCTGGCTTAGTTTTCTGTCAATACCCACTTCATGACTAATTGTCTGAATCTCCCCTTCGCATGTTCAGAAGCATCCAGTATTCTATCGGTTCATTTCTTGGAGAAGTCTCTCCCTGAACCATCCAGTCCCTTGAAGTCTGGGCTGCTGGTCCTTCAGGCAGTGGCACAACTGGAATCCTGAACTCTCCCTTCCCCACCATTCTGGGGATTCCCTTCACTTTTCCCTTGTGATCAGTGTCCTGTTTTCTACATCCTATGACTTTTCATTTCTAGGTATGTTTCTGTGTTGGGGTGAGGCATATCCGCCAATGGCTCCTGAGAAACGGCTTCCTTCTGAAGCATAGAAGCAACTTATATGAACATAATCTCATTTTTTTTCTAATTTGGCTTGTAAAGAGTAGAGATCTATTTGGAGTCTAAACCAAAGAATTGTGATTTGAGGAAGGCCTTTTTTTGGGAATCTAAGTTAATATTCTAGGATGTCACTTGTGGGCAACTTAATTTGATACCAGCAGTCTGAGTTAGTGGAAAGGGTAGAGGGCTTGGCAACAGAAAACTCATTTAAATTTCCCAGTTTTGACACTTGCTAGCCAGGGAATTTGAGTCCTGTAATCTCATGAGCCTCTGTTTCTTTAATCTATCCCATGAGGTTGGTGATAATGAAACACACACCACCCACCACAGGGCCAGCTGTGAGGCTCAAACAGAAAAGCCCTTTGTAAACTCTGAAATGCTACATAAATAGTGTCTTTTTTAAAAAAAAAACAAACAAAAAACAGCGGTGTCATTTTTAAAGAGGGTAAAGCTTAGAAAATTTAAGAGAGTGAGTAATTAGTATGTCCCTTAAGGTATCTCTTTAACATACAGGAGCATAATTTGATAGTCAGGAACTTTAGAGCCGTATTGCTTGTGCCTGTGTCTGGATTCTGATAACATTTTGTCCTAACAATGTGACCTTGGGGAAATTAATTCCACATCTTTGTACCTCCATTTCCTCTTCTGTAAAATAAGAGTAAGGATGGTAAGAGTAGTATTCCACCCCACAGAATTAGATTAAAGGGGCCTGACATTTGTGAAGTGCTGAGAGCTGTGCCCAGCACATATAAGTGCTATGTGAGCATTTGATAAATCCATAAATAGCCATTGTCTTAACCGTGCTCCCAAACAAGTGTCTGAGAGCATCAGTTCAAGTCTCTGGTGATTGATTGCTTTAGAATGCCAAGACTTACTGGTATTGATTATTACCTTAGAGTCCTGACTCTCACAGGGTAATATATTGGGACAGATAGGTTTTCTCTCTAAATATCATGGAGTTTGCCAATTTTGCTATTTTTTAAGCTTCCCCCCTCAATGGTAGACAAAGAAAAGACTCTAATGCCAGAAAAACGCCACTTTTCCACTTAAGCTCCTATATAGATTTCTTAACATGAGGGGGCTGGAAACAGCCATCTGAGAAAGATGTTACTTATTTTTTTTCCCTCCAGAAGCCAGAGAGAAAAATAAGTCATTTTATTGAACTGCTAAACAATAGATTTTTACTTTGCATTATTGTGCCAGATACTTGAGCAGTTCTCGGAAGAAAGGGAAAAAGAAAAAGTCCAGAGAAGGCAGCACCATCTGGCTGAGGACAGTTCAGAGCAAGTGGGAGCTGGGCTGGAGGCTGGACACTGAGCAAGACCCACACACAGTGACCCTTCCCCACCGTGGGAAACAGGAATGGGAGGGCAGCTGCAGGTGGGCTGGGATTGTCTGGGGAGAGCTGGCCACCCTCAGTAGAGGGGGCAGGGGAAGCACCTGGTTGAGTGGGGATCAGAGCAGCCGCTCTCTTCTCAGCCAGCTGCTCCACGTGGCAGAGTACTCAGGACAACCAGGAGGGCCGCCTTGTTGCAGCTGCCTTCCTCGGTGAAACACAGAGGAAGGCAAATGCCTTCTAAGTGGCAGTCAGTGCTTTGGCAATCCCTCCACCCCACACCCCACCCTACGCCCCACCCCTGGAGTTTCTCAACTGGGCCATGCTCTTTGAATGCTTCTCCTGCCAAGGCCTAAAAGAAGGTGAGTGGTTGTGGAGGCGAGAACAACTGGAGGCTGTGCTGTAGAGAAGGGAGTGCAGCTATGACCCCCACAGTGAGCCCCTTCCTAAGTGCCTCTTCCCCAAACAGAAATTCCTGCAAGGCCTCCTGTAGTCACCTGTTAGACTGCAGAACCGGGGAGGCACTCCATTTGTCAGTGTGAGTTGCTCAGAAAGAAACGCCCAATATCATTCAAAGTTATTGGCTTATTATTAGTCTTTATTATTAATTTATTAGTACTCTTTATTATTATTACTTTAATTGCCATACAGATGGAGGGTCCTTTCCACCTGAGCATATATATTCTCTCTACTTTGTGCTCTCATTTATACTTCTTCTTGTGCACATGTGCATACATAACACACACACACACACACACACACACACACACACAAAGTACGTAGACCTTAAAGCCCCATTTATGCTTACATAGACACACCGTACACATACACGAATCCATTTGGCTAACTTTTAAATTCCTCAGTGCTGTCACTTTTGTTGAAATAAATTAGTGGAGTGGCTAGGTGTATACTTCCCACAGCGAGCCAGTGAACTAATGTGCAGGGAATGATTAAATGTATACAGGGGCATGGGGAGCCAACTCCTCTTCAATAGGGGTGTGAAATTAGGATGGGAAGGCTCCTCTCCCAGGTGCCTTGCTTTTATTAAAAGACTTAAGAGCTCAGGAGATGTCTTCAATAGGAATTAGGATATCTGAGTCTTTCTGGAACAGTGTGGAAAGCTGAACTGTGCTTAGGAACTCTGCAAGGTCTTTTTGATCCTTAAAGGTTCTGATATAAAAACCTATCCAGGTTTTTATAAAAGTAGTAAAGTGTTTTCAGTCTTTTATTAATCTCTTCATACCCTTAAATAACCTTTCCCCTTTTGAACAGTAATTGTTAAAAAATAAATAAAAAACAACAAAAAATTTTTTCTCATTGTTTTATTCTTCAAACCAGGCATCCTCTTAATGCAAGGATTCAAATATCTCTATTAGGGTCATAATAGTCAGCAATTTCCATTTAATGAGATCAGCAAAGTCTCTTTTCAAAGAGATGCAGGCTTTAAATTGCCAGTTATTTCTTTTCCTGCAATTCCTAGGAATCCAATTAAGTAAGACTGAGTATGATCTATAATGTGATATATCTGGCTACAGAAAGCCCGGGCCTAGGCAATAAAACAGATCTTTGAGCTCCAGCTCAAAATTAAGATTAAAAAAAAAAAAAAGAAAGAAAATGCAGCTTAAATGATTCAAAGCTTTATAAATGTGGAAACTGCATCCATTTCCTCTAATATGAAGTAAGAAATAGCTTCGAGACTATGGTGAAAATCATTAAAGTTACTTATTCCAAATATAGCTACTAATTAAAATCTCTCCGTTGGACCAGGACCACAGGTGATTTTTACAAAATAAATTTAAGAGGTTTTGGTTTGCTAAATCTGTGACTAACGAATCAAATATGTGGCCAGGCGCCGTGGCTCATGCCTGTAATCCCAGCACTTTGGGAGGCCGAGGCAGGCAGATCACCTGAGGTCAGGAGTTCGAGATCAGCCTGGCCAACATGATGAAACCCTCTCTGCACTAAAAATACAAAAATTAGGTGGGCATGGTGGCACACACCTGTAATCCCAGCTTCTGGGAGGCTGAGGCAGGAGGATCACTTGAACCCAGGAGGTGGAGGTTGCAGTGAGCCAAGATTGCACCACTGCACTCCAGCGTGGCTGACAAGAGCAAGACTCCATCTCAAGAAAAAAGATTCAAGTGTATATAACCACTGCCAAAATAAAGAGAAGATAGTGTGAAATCATGCAGAGAACATGCTTCATATCAAAACATAGTATTCTTTTCAGTTTTTAAAAATTTCATTTGCCACAATTTATAACAGTATTAAATACTATATTTTCATTTATTATTATTATTATTATTATTATTTTGAGATGGAGTCATATGCTGTCACCCAGGCTAGAGTGCAGTGGTGCTGTCTTGGCTCACCACAACCTCCACCGTCTGAGTTCAACCAATTCTCATGCCTCAGCCTCCCGAGTAGTTGGGATTACAGGCATGTGCCACCACACCTGGCTAATTTTTGTATTTTTGGTAGAGGCAGGATTTCACCATGTTGGCCAGGCTGATCTAGAACTCCTGACCTCAGGTGATCCATCTGTCTTGGCCTCCCAAAGTGCTGGGATTATAGGTGTAAGCCACCACACCCAGGCTAAATACTATGTTTTTAATAATAAATCAGTGGGTGTATTTTAAGTCATAATTTAGTATTCTGATTTAGAGACAGAGTTCAGCAATAATATCATACTTTTGCCATGTATTTTTAAATATATCAAAGCTTCTCAGGATGGTGGTAGTGGTGGTTTAAATCTTATTCTGTACCGGCTATGCAGGCCGCATGGTGTTTTGCTGATAACAGAGGAGGAAAGTGTGGCTCGTGAGGAGCAAATGTCAAGTCAGGAATTAACTCAAGACACAGCCTGCCCTTCTACTAAAAATGTGCTATTTCAAATATGTTTTTGCAATTTCCTCCATGTAATGCAGTTGTGTTAGCCATTTATTGGTCAGAAATTAACCTCCAAAAGTTAACAGTTGGGCCCTGAATTCTCAGCCAAGTCTAGTCTAAGAAGCAGCATATTCTTGGGCAAGTTATTGATTAACTCCAGGTAATTAAACCAAAAAGACTTTTCTAGGGCCAGGGATAGTGGCTCACACCTGTAATCCTAGCACTTTGGGAGGCTGAGGAGGGAGGATCACTTGAGGCCAGGAGTTCAAGATCAGCCTGGGCAACATAGTGAGATCCCACCTCTACAAAAGAAAAAAAAATTACCCAGGCATGGTGGCATGTGCTTGTGGTCCCAGTTACTCAGGAGTCTGAGATGGGAAGATTGCTTGAGCCCAGGATGTTGAGACTGCAGTGGGCCATGATCATGCCACCAAACTCCAGCCTGGGTGACAGAGTGAGAACCTGTCTCAAAAACACAAAAAACAAAAACTCTCCCTAAACATCTGTCAAAAGAGCTCAAAAGCCTAGAGAGAAAGATGAGCCAGGTGCTGGCCGGAGATAAAAGGCCAGCTTTGTCTTTGGTTTCCCAAAGACTATTCAAGAATTGGAGGGTGAATTCTTGGAGCCTCCAGGGGTAGAAGAATGAAACTAAGGTTGAACACCAATAGGCATTCTGCTGAGCATTTCATCTAAGCCCCCTGCCATTTTGCAGGGGAAGGCTGATAACCTGGCCCAACTGGTGCAGGTCTGCAGGGCATGGGGCAGGGTGGAATGTTGTCAAGAGTTTCTCTTTCCTAGAGCTGTGGATGGATAGGTACACAGGGGAAAGCAAAGTAGAGAGGGCCAGTAAGTGGAAAAAAACTGTTCCACATAGTCAGAGCAAAGGGAGCCTGAAGTAGGTATGAGAGCCCAAATTTGTGGTCAAGACATAAGAGGATTAGGAAGAACAGACCTAGGAACTTCTACTGGTCAGGGCCATCATGGCTCCCTGTGCTGGCAGCCATGATTGGGCTGCTTCACTGGAGACATGCTGCATGCCATCAGCCTTCAACTTTGAGGGCCACAGGTGGGGTGGGCACTAACACATCTCCTTCCTGGGTTTGGCTGGAGGACAGTGGCCTCCTTGAATTTTGGCCCATTCCTAAACTGAAGGCAGTTCCCCACCATAGTTCCTTCCAGCCTCTCCCCTTCCTAAGAGGGCCAGGCTGTGGAGCTGACCATGGTGCTGAAGATGATCTGAGATTGATTCCAGAGAACATTTAGGGAGTACTTCCTGTGTGCTAGCACTATTTCTAAGTGCTCTGCATGGGTTAACTCATTTCATGTTCATAGCAATTCTATGAAAGAGGTGCTATTATTCTCCCCATTGACAGATGACAGATAAGGAAAGTGGAATACAGAGAGGTTAACAAACTTGCCCAAGGTCACACAGCTAATAAGCAAGGAAGCCAGGCAGAGCTGCACTTTGATCACCACATTTGCTAATGAAGGTTATTAACAGAGCCACACAAAACCTCCTGGATTTTCACTTGTCCAATATCATCCTAGCAGAAGTGAGCCAAGGTTCCCCATCTCAAGTTGCCAGGCAGGTTGCTGTGGGGTGGCATCTTGGAGAGTCAGACACAGTAGTGTAGACTGGTTGGGTACAAGCAAAAGTGGGCAGCCCACCTACTCCATCTAGTCAGTCACCACACCCTAATGTTATGACTTACTTCATACCTGCTTCCCTGGTAGGCTCTTGGCTTTGTGAAGAGGGTGCCATCGTATCCCCCATTGCTTACCAGGGTGCCCAAGACATAGTCATAGTAGGTATTCAGCAAATATTTTATGAATAAATGGGTTACATGTGATCAATATATGGTAGCTGTTATTAATTTGCTATTATTTCAACATTGATAGAAGCACCATGTTGTAGAAATTATAGTCCCTTTTTATTTTATATTTGTCATGCCCCACTTTGGGAGTTATATAGAGTTCAGAGTGCATCTTAGTCTCATATAGATGCATGTGTGGAGACAGAAATGAAAGAACTCAAGTCATGAGTTGAACGATTTTAATGCCTAAATACATGTATGACTGAATTTTTGTTATATGTTAGATTTGGGATCTTACAGTATATTTAAGATTTAAGATCTTATAGTATCTCAGGAAGATAGTTCCACTGACATGAAAATAACTCTGAACTGTCTCTTTTAGAGGATGTATAAGCATTCCATGTTAACAGAACTTGCAGTGGCAGTTAGAAAATATTCCAGTCAAATTTCTGGTTTTGGAGCTGAGTTTATTGCCTGTTTGTTGTTTGATCTTATTCAAATCATGTTTTTGTTGTGTTGTATTAATATATAAAAGATTTCTGTGTCTGCCATGTTAGCTGTTTGTGTGTGTGTGTGTGTGTGTGTGTGTGTGTTTAAACAACACTCCACAGCTGAGCTCTTGGAGGACCAGGCCTATTTTGACAGCTCCCCTTAGTCCATGTATCACCAAGCTCATTCTCTGCCAATACGTTCCACGTGATTTTGTGGACATGTGTAGCACGCCTGTGCAACTTGCAAACACCCATACATTATTACAATAATAATTGGGTTTTGATGCAACTGGAACTCAGTACTACCAAGCTGCCAGCATTTCCTTTTGGCTACCAGTACTAGGCAGGAAAATTATAGCCTAACTGTCTTCCTGTTTATTGATAAACAAAGTGGCCAGCCCAGCAATGGAGCCTGATTAGCAGTTTGCACCCTTTGTGAAAGGATAAACAGAACCCTACTGTTTTCTGTGTTTGACTGCAATTTGCATCTTTAAAGAGGTTGGACTGCCCTGAGATTCATGTTCAACTTGAGTGCCTGGATGTTCTTTGATATGTTACATGTCAGCCTCCTTGTTTTCCTCTCCTTCATCTTGAAACAATATTTGCCAGAGTTTCTCTGTTCCCATCTGGCTTACCATAAGCTTCCCCATAGTCACCTATCTGAAGAAGGAGGGAGGGAAGAGGCAGGAGAAGAAACGTCTCTGTTTCACTGCGCTCAAATTTTACATTCCCAGAAGGCCCTTTAATGTCATCTCAATTCCATTTTTTGAAGAGATAGTAATATAAGAATGAAGACCAAAAGACAAAAGAGAATCTGCTTACTGCTCTCTTTGGCCCATGGGATCATGTTTGGGCTCGTTCCCCCTCCATCATCTTCACTCACTCAGCAAAAAGTGCCTTCCCCCTTTGTAAAGTGAAATGTGGTATTAGTCACCTACCTCAAGTTTGGTGAGTGTTCTGTTCTGAAATTTATTCTAACCTAATTAGATTCTTAAACTAAATGGTAACAGAGCAAATAGTTGGCTCCCTCTGTAATTATTTTCCAGTGAAAGAAATGAAGATCATTTTAATTGGAATTTGCATGATGTAAAAGAGAGTATTAATACATGTAAACATCCATTAATCTGTTTAAACAAACTTTCCCCTTAATCCTTACCGTATGTAAACAACATTTGTTTTGCCTTAGAGATATTGCATGATTGGACCCACGAGACTCCAGTTATCCCACTGAACAGTTACGTTTTATAACTTCAAAAGAAATGTTATATATTTATTGGAGGTTGTAGGGTGTTAAGTGTAGTTAGACATAAATTGTACCTCAGCTATTTTGTTAATGCCAATAGGGATTAAATTAGATTTTTATAGCTGCTGTAGAAGTCTATTTGGTAGTTAACAAGTGGGATTTTTAAATCCTGGGAAACATAATCCTATTATAACACAGGCAGCTGAATTAACATAACCCAGGAAGGGACTCTTCGTGGATTAGCATTTTTTGACAATAACAAAGAAAATCATCAAATTGTGTGGGGATATTACATGCTTTTCTCAAAAGTAAGAACAGCGAATTGGGAAAAGGAAACGAGAAATGGCCAAACATGCTATTTCTTAGAGACCGTTTCTTTTTAAGGGAAAGACAGTGGAGGCTGGGCAGTAAGCTGAATAAATGTCTGCTATTTTCTGTGAAGTCAGTAATGCTTTTTCAGTTATTATTAAACTCTTGAATCTGAGAATTATAGAGCTGGAAAGAACTTTGACATTTATTTAATTTTTATAGTCCTATTCAAATATTTACTTCAAACACTTCAGAAAGATGGATATATCTCACATATATACATATATACACATACATATAAATATATACACGTATATTGCATGATATACACACATTCACACACACACACACATACACACACACTTAATAGTATATGAGTGGCCTTTTTAAAGAAGAGCCTTTCTTAAGTCTTAGCAATTGGTTTTCACATGCTGGTGAGGGTGATTATTAGAGCTTGCAGGACTTGCCAATTTTCATTTGCACGGGTATCATCTTAGCAGATAATCACATGGGCATCAATCACTGGCATATTATTGTGTTAGATAATTGCATGGGCATCAATCATGTGTGTATCTGGAGCAAGTCATCATGTGGGCTTCAATTTCATCTATCTGGAGGAAGGTAATTGTGTTGGAAGCAGGGAAGGGTGTGTCTACATGGCAGATAATCACATGGGGATCAATCACATAGATATCGAGGTAGATAATCCTGTGCAGATCCATCACATGTACCAAAGTGGCTAATTACGTGGATATCAATCATGTCAACACCCTGGTTTTCTGGTACAGGTTACACGTGAAGCACACATGTTGTGTGCCTGCTTATGTGGGAGAACAGGTCAGATGTCGCGTGCACCCACCCAGGGGCCTGCAGCGGTGTGGTGTGTGAGGAAGCTGAGCCATTCAGAGCGTGGCCTTCCTCCACAGAGCGCTGGAAATGCCATGATTAGGGATCCTGTTGGGATTCTTTTATTTTAAGGCTTTGGCTCCTGCCAAAAGGAAATGTTCCTGGGAGGAACATGACTGCATGTAGAAGAACGTGCAGTTTGTCGTCCTCCCCTCACTGGCATCTATTTTTCCCTCCTTCAGACCTTGCCTCCCAATTCCTTCTCACCCACATGGTTTGGGTGTGGCTTCAGCCCCAGTGGAGTCTGGGGCTCAGGGCCAACCAGTCAGTGCACTGCATTCCACTGGCCACCATGATTGGTTCAGGCCAGACCACATGACTTCAGCCAGTCCAATCAGAGTGAATATCAGGCTTTTTGGGGAGAAATTTAAGGGAGAGTTCATTTCTCTCTGAATTTTACCTGAGGAGGTGAGATTGGCGCTGCTGCTGCAACCAGTGCCTGGGAGAGGCTGATATGTCCAGGCCCCAACAAATGGAGCCAGAAATGAAGCCACCTACAGAAATCAGATCTGAGAGGTGGAGAGAAATCCTGTCCTGAGGATACTGCTTGGGCCTGATTTCAGCAGTCCCTGAAGCAAAATCCCTGGCCTGGAAAGGCTCACCTGAGCCAATACAATCCCTTTTGGCTTAAGACATAATTGTTTGGCCGGGTTTGGTAGCTCACGCCTGTAATCCCAGCACTTTGGGAGGCCGAGGTGGGTGGATCACCTGAGGTCAGGAGTTCGAGGCAAGCCTGGCCAACATGGTGAAACTCCGTCTCTGCTAAAAATACAAAAATTAGCCTGGCATGGTGGCGCATGCCTTTAGTCCCAGCTACTCAAGAGGCTGAGGCAGGAGAATCGCGTGAGCCCAGGAGGCAGAGGTTGCAGTGAGCCAAGATTGCACCACTGAACTCCAGCCTGGGCGGCAGAGTGAGACCCTGTCTCAAATTAAAAAACAACAACAACAAAAAAAAAAAACAAAAAAAAAAAAACGTAATTGGGTTTCTGCCCCCTTGCTTCAGAAGACCCTAACTGATAGGATAAAATCATCTGAGTCTTTCCTGAAGAACAAAGTTTCATAGGAGCAGCCCCAGTAGGGGAAGGAGCAGCTCTGAGGGTGTAAGTGAGGGCAGAAGGGGAAGCTGAGGCTTAAATAACATCACCGTCGCCCTTAGTATAGGCCTTGAGCTGCTCTTGGCAACTGTCACCAGGTGCCCCCCCTCCACACGTCCCTGTTGGAGTGCCCCAGTCTCCTGGCCTCTAAGCATCTGAGCTCAAGCTGTGAGGAACGTTTGTTAAAGACTTTTAAATGCAGGCTTAATGTTTTCCCTTTTCCCCCTGCCTATTCTTATTACTTTGATATTTATCAAATACAGTTTGTAATATTAATTACACATTAATGTTGAAGTGCAGTTCCCATCACCAAAATAAATGAAAAAATAGGTGTCCTCATGGCAAGAACCATACTGTTCCAAGGCATTCTTTTATTGCCATTTCAGTAGACAGTTGGATTTTTTTTTTATCAGCCTGAATGTGACATCTGATAATTATTGATTTGGAAAGAGATAAAAGTTTTGGAAAAGAAAGTAATAGAAAAAAAAGAATTCTCCTTGAAGTTAAATAGACTATTTCTTGGAAAAGCAAAATGGGAGTTTATATGCTTTGTCTACCAAATTCTGTGTGGCTAACAGCTTGTGCCTTTTCTCCTTCAGTTTTTATTCTTGTTAATACTGTCACTTTCTGCGTATGCTAAGGTTTATAAGAAGGTAATGTGACAGTTGATAGAAACACCTAGTAAGAAAACACGGCCGGGTGCAGTGGCTCACACCTGTAATCCCAGGACTTTGGGAGGCCGAGGCAGGCGGATCACCTGAGGTCAGGAGTTCGAGACCAGCCTGACCAACATGGAGAAGCCCCTTCTCTACTAAAAATACAAAATTAGCCAGGCATGGTGGCGCATGCCTGTAATCCCAGCTACTCGGGAGACCGAGGCAGGAGAATCTCTTGAACCTGATAGGCGGAGGTTGCAGTGAGCCAAGATAGCACCATTGCACTCCAGCCTGGGCAACAAGAGTGAAACTCCATCTCAAAAAACAAAAAAACAAAAAAACACACATCACTGAAATTTACCTAGAATCTTTTTTTTAGTCCCTTTGGGCTGCTGTAACAAAACACTGTAGATTGGGTGGCTTAAAGAACAAACATTTATTTCTTACAGTTCTGGAGGCTGGTACATCCAAGATCAAGGTGCTGGCCAGTTCCCAGTGAGGGCTTTCTCTTCTTGGTTTGCAAGTGGCTGCCTTCTTTCTGTATCCTCACATGACCAAGAAAGAAATCATCCCCATCACATTGGGGATTAGGGCTTCCATGTAAGAATTTGGGGGGGATATATTTAGTCCATAGCAATCTTAAAACCTCATTTTAATTTAATAATTCCAAACTCTTTTTTGGTTATTATTGTTAAATTTCACTCAAACTTTAGACATAGCAGAATGTAGCACATTTAGTTTGAAATTCACTTATTTTGGGGGGGTCCAGACTCTAGTTGAAGTTCAGATAAACAATAGGATGGCTAATGGGAAAGGGGGGAGCTATAATGCTTCACTCATTCACAGACCTCATTTCTTAAGTCCCTCTCACCAGTGCAGTACACAAGTTCTCACTTGCTGCAGGTAAATATTTGTGAAATGAATGCATGTATGAATGAGTGACTCCATAAATGACTGGTCTCTGGCTGGAAGGCATCCCCAGGACTTTAGATGGGAGTGTGAGAGATAGACAGTGTATTCTGCACTCCAAGCTGCTTGTGTGGTCTTCCCTCTGCCCAGCATCCTTGGGTCTTGCTGGGAACATCTTAACTCATGAGGCCTTCCAGGACTACTCAGACTCAGTTATCTTCCTGGCTGTATATTCTACATGTGCTATATGTACTTTCTGTTCTGTAACATGCATCAAACCTCAAATACACGTACAGCGCTTACCGTTCACACTAGACTGGACACTCTGCAGGCAGGGATTGGGTGTATATTGCCAGCACCCAACACTTTCCCAGCATGTGCCACTTCATTACTCTTAGTGGAGGTGGGAATGGCATGATTGTGGTGGACTCTCAAGATCTATCCCACTTCTCTGTAACCAAGCAAATCGGTAACTCATCCAAACTCAAGGGCTAAGTCTGACTAGACCAACAAGGGGTAATTCAGCCCTCCTTGCCAGCCCTGACTTTTCATCACCAGTGACAGATGTGGAGTGGCCGGCTGAAGGTTTCTAGGAAGGTTTTCTTTCCTCTTAAGAGAAGGCCATGGCAAATCAGTCTTTCCTTTCTGCTAACAATGACAAAAGGATGTGTTGCTACAGTCACTAAGGATAGCTTGCCCTAGAACAAAGGCAACATTGTGGGTTGGAGAGTAAGTAGAGAATGAATGGGCATCCTTGATGACACTGCTCAGCTGCTGGCTTCACCAGCCCATCGCTGGATGTTGTCACATAAATGTCGTTAGTGTTTAATTAAGCCAGTCTGAATTTGGGTTTCCAATCTTCCAGCCCAATGTATCCTAACTGAAAAGGAACTGCAGTGGAAAGCCTATGGGCTTTGGTGTCCAATACATTGGATTTGATTCTTCTTAGCAGTGTGAACTGACCTGACTTTCCTAATATGTGTAATGGAGAAAGTAATACTTCTCACCTGGGGTTGATGTGTGGAACAAAGAAAATATGTATGTAAAACACTTACCAGAGTGCCTAAAACACAACCAATGTTGTTTCTTTTCCATTTAGGAGATGGTTCACTTGTTGATCTGGGGGGTCCAGTGGGTTGAATTGATCAACAGTGAAATCAGTAAACTCTCTGGTCCTTTGCACATGAACTGTCAGGTAGTTCACCGTCTAGTATGGGAGTCAGATAGACATTCGCGGTCACACTAACAGTGGGGTTCGACTGCAGTCCTAACTGGAGAACAGTGTCCAGCTAACAGAGGTTGAGAGTACTGATCAAACCACACCTGAAGGCTGGAGTGCAGGTCTCGTAGCCATGAACTAGAGAACAAGAAACAGCGGAAGATGCTGAGGATGTTAATACTGAAGAAAGGACGACCAGAAAACAGAAACGACTTCAAAGAGAAAAGGGAGTGGAATCGTTCTGTGCTGCTTCAGAGGGTGGAGTGAGGACAGACCCCATCAACAAAGGACGCAAGCTTTCACTCAACAGGAGAAATAACTGTCTGAGAATTAGCAGTGCACAAAGGCAGAGAGCGAGCACCTCATCAACAAAGCAGCTCCCCTTCCCAGCAGCCACTCATCAGGAAGTCCTGCTGCAGGAGTTTGGGCCACATGGCCCCCAAGGGCTCTTGCAAAGATCTGGATTTGACATTAAACTGTTCAGCAGACTCTTGTTGTTTGGGCTACAGCAGGTGGATCTAGAGAGCTTCTCTGTTGGTTATACTGTTGCTGTTGTTTTTCTGAATTCCCTCCGTCTTTTTTCTGACTTCCTCTCTTGTTGGCCACTATAAGCACCACCCAAACTGACCTTTCACCTCTAACTGTTTTTTTTTCCATGCTCCCTTGATGATCAGAGAGATCCTATACATGAAGACAGAGTAATGGGATTTGTGCAGCTGCAGTGCAGTTTTTAGGGAAGCGAAAGGCTCCCTGCCCTGTAGTCTTCCTGTCTCGCCTGCCTTTATACCTGAAATGTTCCCTTTTCCCTCATCTTTCAACTAAGGCATCACCTCCAGAAAATACTTGATAAATGTCAATATAGTAACTGGTAAGTTGTTAATATATCACCTGTGAGGGATACCATATTAATGCCATATGCTTTTTAAAAAAGTGATAAAATATGCAGAACATACATTTTACCATTTAAACCATTTTTAACTGTATAGTTCAGTGGCATTAAGAATATTCACATTGTTGTATAATCATCACCACCAGCATCTCCAGAACTTTTCATCTTCCCCAGCAGAGACTTTACCATTCAACAATAACTCCCCATTTCCCCCTCCCGTCCCTGGCAACTCCCATTCTGCTTTCTGTCTATATGAATTTGTCTACTCTAGATACCTCATAGAAGTGGAATCATGCAGTATTTGTCCTTTTGTGACTGGCTTATTTCACTCCGCCTATTGTCTTCAAGATTCATTTGTGTTATAGTGTGTATCAAAATGTCTTTCCTTTTTGAGGCTGGATAGTATTCCATGGCATGTATATACCACATTTTGCTTATCCGCTTATCTGTCAATAGACACTTGGGTTCTTTCCACTTTCGGCTGTTGTAAATATTGTTGCCATGAACATGGGTGTACACGTGTCTGTTCGAGTCCCTGCTTTAATTCTTTTGGGTATATCCCCAGAAGTGGGATTGCTGGATCATCCGGTAGTTCTTTGTTTAATTTTTTGAGGAATTGCCGTACTGTTAATAGCATATACTTTAAAAACCTATATGTTAACCAAGGAGAAGAAAACAAGTTAATTTGAAGAGAGTCAGAAAGCGTGAGTGTCCAGAGCCTACTGAGCCCTGGAAGTCACGGATAAAAACAAGAAGTGAAGTCAACACTCTCGGTGAGAAAGGGAGCGGTACTGACAAACTTCTACCATCCCAGTGTGCCCGGTTGCTCCCACGCCCTCAGGATACTAAAGCTGGGAGGAAGGAGGGGGTGGGGGAGGGGACTCAGAGGGAGAGCTACTGAGTGCCTGCAGGGATTATTTCGAGGTGCTTTTGCATCCATTAACTTATTTAATCATCAAAACAACTCAGCAGGTGCCCTTATTTTTATGGACAAGTCTTGTCAGGTACTTAACATTTTTAATTTTTATTGCTTTTAAAAGCAATGAAGAATATCTTTAAGAGGGAAGAAATAATTCTGAATCCACCAAGCTCACACAAAATTCACCTCAGTACTGCCCTATTTTCCTTTGCTCCCTTTGCAGCCATAATTTTTACATGGTTGCGTTGTTGTCATTTCATTTTCTACTTTTTAAATTGCTACAGAGATCTTTGTATTTATTATTTTAACAGATGTATAGTATGCATCTAATGATTTCACTTCAATTCAGTTAACTATTCCCCTACCATTGAATATTTAGATTGTCTTCAGTTTTTCACTATAATTTTATAATTGTTTTATAACAAGATTTTATAATTTTAGCAATAAAGAGTTTCATGTACATAACTTTTTTCCTCTTATACTTATTTCTTTAGAATGCATTTCTAGGACTGGAATTACCAAATCAATGGGTACAAACATTTTTGTGAATTTTGTTATACACTGCTGAAGTGTTTTATAAAAGGGATGTTTCAAAAGTGATTTTTTGAAGATTGATAATACATTTTCAACAGCAATACTGGAGTATACCAGTGTCTCCACATTAAGTATTACTTTTAACTTTGTTTTATTACTTAGTATATATATAAGTATACTTAATTGTTGCCTTAATTAGTTTTTAAAATTAATTGCATGGTTTCCATATGCTTAGTAACTGTGTTTCATATGTATTTTGTCTCATTACACCTTTTACCCAGTTATCTGTTGGATGACCCTAGAAGTATTGCATTGTAATTAAGACCAAACACCAGAAGCAAAGGTAGATTCAGTTCTTACTTTTGTTACTTCCTTAATCTTGGGCAAGTTAATATTTCATTTTGTTAAGCCTCAGATTTCTGATCTTTGAAATCAGAAACAACCATAGTACCTACTTCATTAGATTATTTCAGAGGTCAAATGAGGTAATGTGTCTGAACCACTTCAGCACAATGCCTGGCACATGGAATATGCTCCGTAAAGATTAGATATCTTCACTGTTATTATGTAGAGCCATTCGTCTGATTTTTCCTCCTCTTACCATATTCTAAATCTTCTGTTGTATTACCTCTTACCCTTGGGTAGTTGAGCTGCTGGGAGTTGGAAGTAAGGGCAGTGGAGTTTGTTCAGGGCAAGGCCTGCCATCTGGTTCACACATGGGTGTGATCTGGTCAGACTAAACAGCATTTTAACTCCAGATGGCTGTGTCTACATTCTCGTGTTATGTGGACGGATGATCAACAGTGGACTTGCAGGGGTGGAAGGATGTACAGAGACCCTATTAGAGCTACCCTAGTGCTTCCAGTTAGAGCTGGTGTTCACACAAGATTGTTGAGGTAGGGCTACCCCATTCGCAATGGTATTCAAGGAGGAAAGTAGCCTCCTGTCTCCAGCCAGTTCAACCTTCACTGCTAATTCCTGTGGCTCCTGCTGCAGCTGCAAACCACAACCCACTGATTTCTCCTCAGATAGAGCAAGAAGGGGCAGAAAGTCCGGTCCACATCTATTCAGAACTTAGTAGTTGATAGGTGCGTTCTTTATGCTTTCTCACTGAGATGTGTCTCCCCGCATGTGCATGACTAAGCCACGAAGGTCTGATTTGACGCAGAATCCACTGGCTGGTATTCAGTTATCCATAAGGATTGAGAGCCAGCACACCCATGTTCCTGGCAGCATTATTCACTGTAGCCAAAAGGTCGAAGCAACCTAGGTGCCCGCTCACAGATGAACGGGCAAACAAAATGCGGTGTCTTTGTTTTTAAAAAGGAAAGATCTTCTGATACATGCTACAACATGGATGAACCCTGAGAATATTACGCTGAGTGAAATAAGCCAGTCACAAAAGGACAAATCCTGTATAATTCCACTTACATGAGGTACTAGAATCATCAGATTCATAGAGAAAGGAGAAAGACAGTTTCCAGGGGCCGGGGGGGAAGGAGGAACGGGGAGTGTAGGAAGAGGAAAAATGTTCTGGTGATGGACGGTGGTGATGGTTGCACAATAAGATAAATGTACTTACTGCCAGTGTACACTCTAAAGGGTTTAAAACAGTAAATTTTATGTTAGGTATGTTTCACCATAATAAAATATTTTTTAAAAAGGAAAAAGAAAAATAACTTGGGCCTAATCTAGGATATGAAGAATATGAGAAGAGTTAAAAGAATTTTTTAAAAATTAGCAGCAACTTGTGAGAGAAGGTTCCTCCTCAAAGCGGAGGAAAGAATTAGGATAGATTGTAGTTTAGACCCAAGAAAACCAACTCTGTTCAAAGCATATGAACCTGAAGTTCCCTGTGGTCATGGCAACCTTGGGAAGGTTCAGGATCCTCTTGGTTTTTGTTTTTGTTTTTGTTGTTGTTTGTTTGTTTGTTTTTGAAATGGGGTCTCACTCTGTCACCCAGGCTTGAGTGCAGTGGCGCAATCACAGCTCACTGCAGCGTGGACCGCCTGGGCTCAAGCAATTCTCCTGCCTCAGCCTCCTGAGTAGCTGGGACCACAGGCCCACACCCCCACTCCAGGCTCATTTTTTGCATTTTTGTAGAGATGGAGTACTGCTGTGTTGCCCAGACTGGTCTCAAACTCCTGGGCTCAGGCGATCAGCCTGCCTCGGCCTCCCAAAGTGCTGAGGTTTTAGGTGTGAGCTACTGTGTCTGGCCTAGGATCCTCTTGTAGAGGAACGGTCACCTGAGCCCTTTGTGCTGGAGAAGATATCTGGCCCATAAGCAACTTTAGTCACCGGAGATAATACTATAATTTATAGACTTAAAAAAAAATTATAGACTTAAAAGCAGTGTTGAAATATTTGAGGTTTTTCTTGTTAGATTGAGCTTTTGAAGGACAAGAAAATGACTGTATTAAATTCATGAATATAGTTTTGAAAGTTTAAGGGAATTTAATAAAGTCGTAAATGGTGCCAATTGAGGTTTCAACTTGTTTAGATATATTCAACCTGAAGTAATCAATTTTGTTTATAAATAGAATGATAACATTGGAGGTGGAGGACAAAGGCCTAAGGCAGGTGAATTTTTGAATTGGTAATTTTAATGAATTTAATATTAACTTAAAAACCAAAGTAACCCACATGATCTTTTCCATGTTGAAAAGCTGCCTTCATACATCAAATTTCACATTGACAGCTCTGATCCTGGTCCTTCCTATTCTAAAGTACAGTTGCTGACTTATTTGTGGGTTTCTCCCATGAGTATGTAAGCTCCTTAAGGCCACAAGCAAGTTCACGTCCTGAGCATCTAGCACAGCTGGACACACACACAAGACACTTGTCAGATGGCTGGGGGAGGTGGGGTGGGGGAAAAGAAATTCTTGAATTTACCCTGGTACTATATGCTTGTTAATTGTTTAGACACACACCTCCCAGCTTCCTATGACAATTTCCATTTTGATATCTATTTGGACATTTGCTAAATGAAGCCATCCACTTATTTTAATGAATTACTATATTTATAATAAATATAATTTAACAAATAAATTATGGGGAGTATTATTTATTTTAATCGTCCTGTAGAACTGTATTCAAGAGTATCTACACAAGGGGTGTTCAGTCCTTGTTTGCCTGCATAACTCTCCTGAACACAAAATGTTACTTCTGGGAGCCTCCCTTCTGTGCATGACCAGTGTCATGTGGAAGACCACCCTCTCCGATGGTGGGCTCAAGGTTCTATGTCTGAAGTCCAGAGGCACTTCATTTGGATGGCAGCATCAAGATTTCAAGCTTGGTAATAAATGAAGAGAGG
The DNA here is from genome assembly GCF_000001405.40 of Homo sapiens. NCBI lineage: Eukaryota > Metazoa > Chordata > Mammalia > Primates > Hominidae > Homo > Homo sapiens. Next base: position 99,809,481 of record NC_000013.11, read on the forward strand.
GTTCCCAAAGTGTCTTGTGAAAGTTGGGGGAAGGCATTCCCCTTCTGTGAGACAGAGCTGTGTCTTCCTGCCTGGCTTCCTCTTTTGGCACCTTTCCCCTCATGGGGGAATGGATCCTGAAGCGAAGAAAGGGATGGCTGCAGGCCCCTTGGCTGTCACGCTGTTAGCGATTAGCTGTTTTCAGCAATTATGCCCTTCCATCGAGGGTGTGACGGCTGGCGCCTCTGGTAATGAGCTGCCTTCCAAGGCTCCCTCCCGGCCTTCACTTGCTGCTCTCCTTAGTGGCCTCAGAGTCTGCTGACATTATTGCCAATGTGACATGTTCCTCTTGGCCAACTCGGGAAGACATGCCAGTCTGCCAGTGAGAGAGCCTGAAGGAACTTCAGGAGAGAAACATGAAGCTGGATGAAGCCACCAAGCAGACTTGTCCCCAGGGAATGGGGACATCAGCTCATCCATCCCGACTAGCTCAAAACGCTCAAGAATAACCTATGCCCAAGTTTTGCTGGCAAGTGGAAATGTCCATTCTACATTAGAATAGCATAGGAGGATTTTTTTATTATTATCACATGGGAGTTACATTGTTGGTGAAGTCATACTAGCTAGATAAATGATTAACTCGGTAACTCATCAAATAATGATTGAGAAACCACTTTGTGGCAACACAAGGCTATCACTAGAGGTGACAGAGGTGGGGAAAGTAAGTGTAGCTCCTCTCCTCTCCGGGCTTATGGCTGGTGAGACAGACATACATCATTCCAGTGGCCACTCACATCAATGTTTGGTTGTGAACTGTCCTATGTGATGGGAAGAGAAAATACAAGAGAGTGTAAAACAGGACTCCAGGGTGGAGAGAGGGAATCCCTGTGGAAATGCCATTTGAACTAGGAGCTGAAGGATGGAGAGGAGGTAACTAGACAAAGTGTGGGGTACAGTGGGGAGTGGAGCAGAGAGAGAGGCTGTGGGTGGAGGGGGAGGCACATGCCAAAGCCGAGGGGTGACAAGAAGCTGGGCACTGCCAAGAAACTGTGAGAAGCGAAGCTTGGCTGGAGCGGCCAGAGCCCAGGGTCATGCAGGATGAGCCTAGAGAGGAAGGCAGGGGCCTGGTGATCCTGGACTTGGACTGCAGTGAGGATTTTAGATGTATTCTAAGGGTAATGGAAGGCTACTAAGGGTTTCAAGCAGCAGAGATATGTGTCTTGCAAAATAGCATTCTGAATGCAGCAGAATGGATTTGAGCTGGGCAGGTGTGGACGGGGAGGCCATCACCATGGTCAATGAGAAGAGTGGAGGGTGATGAGGAAGACAGAGGACATCAGAGACTGAATTCCCTTTCCTTCCTTCCCTCCTTCCCCTCCAAACGTAGCCCTCCTGTCAGCTCCAAAAGGCAGAAGTGGGTTCTTTTTCTTAGAAGACCATTCCAGTTTTCTAAGCAAAATTCCGTTCTCTTCTCCTTCCTAAGAAAGTTTACAAAGAAACAGAAGCCTACAATCCCATGGCAGATAAAAAATTTTAGGAGAGCCACGTTCCGGTTCTGAAGGAGCAAAGACCTCTTCCACACACACAGTGGACCCTGTGGTGCCACTCTAAAACCCATACCTCCAGGCCCATTAGAACCCCCAAAGTGACCTGATTTCCATCAATCCCAAAGCCAGCCAAGCAAGGTTACGTTTATAGGACTCCCTCCTGGTGACAGTCCAGAAAACAATAAAAACAGATGCAAGTCCCACTGTGGTACAGAAGCCCACTTTGGAAACCAGGGGGTCAAGTGCCCATTATCCAGGTAAGCAGGCTCTCCCTAGGAGACCAAAAATGCATGTCAACATGCCAAGTGGAGAGGGGCTGGAAGCCACAGGGGCCACCTGGGAAGGGAGGCCTCAGCCAGGCAGTAATAATAAAACCGGACAATGCCACAGAGCTGGCGTGGCTCAGCCAGGAGCCAGGGAAGGATGGGGGTGGGAGGAAGGGCCTCCCTTCCTCCAAAATCAATGTCCCTGTTAACTTGGGCAGAAGAAAATCTGACAGCTCTGGAAACCTGCCCATCTGATGAGAAGGAGGAAGCTGAGAAGCGGCTGGAGCCAGAGAAAGCCCAGAAATGGCAGGCGGGATCAGTTGCCCATTGGGGACCTGGTGGCAGGAGCTCTCTGCATTGCTTTTACTGACGCCCAGGAGGACAGGTGCCACTGCCAGTCCCCACACGACCTCCAGCTGCCTCCTAAAGCAGCCCGCCCCTCTGATGATCCTGGCTGGATTTGTTTTATGAAAAATCCACGAAACAAACAGGGCACTCAGCTTCTGAACCCAGTTCCCTGGGGGCTATTCCATTTTGTTATCTGGAATATAACCGACTGAGAGGCAACTGGAATAACTGAAATCTACAGAGAAATACAAGTCTTGACAAGTTTCAGGAAAAACCACCCTTCTTATTGATAAAGCAATACCAGCCAACTAGTCACTGATATTTATTTAATGCCTCCCATATGAAGAGAGTAGCATGAATCCACAATCCTGTATCCACTATTCCAAAATCCAAAAAGCTGAAAATCAAAAGTTTTATTATTAAGTTTGCAGCCGACATATTGGGCAGCAAAGCCTGACCTAAACTGCTGTGAGACTGAGACTTCTTCCTCATAGTGTGACTGTTCCTACATTTTGCTCCAGGTTTTGGGGAGGGGAGATATTAAATAGACTGTCTAGGTGCCATCTAACCATTTTAAAGTCCAAAAACTTCTTAAGTCCAAAACACATTTGTCTAGAGTTTTCTAACAAGGGATTGCACACTCCTATTGTTATGGGTTTGAGGACTCACAGTCCAGTAGAAAAACAAGAAATCCCAGAGAAGACTCAATAGAACCCTTTGCACTATAAATATTTTATAGACATATAGATGTTTGGGGTTACAGAATTACATAATTCCCTTCTGTGTAGTCTGAGTACAGTTTCCAATGGAGACAGCCTGCAGTGAGGAAAACATGGGTTTGGGAATCAGAAGGTGGCTGGGCCAGTATTAAATGCCCCTGTGGCCTTGGGCAGGACTTTTCTCCTCCCTGGACCTCATCCATAAAATGAAAGAATGGGACAAGATGATTTCTACACACACTTCCGGTTTTCAGATTTCTGTGTTCTATGACCTCCCTATAGGAGGGATAAAGGACCAGGGAGCAAGAAGCTCAGAAAAGGTCTCTTTTCCACATGAAGTGGGAAAAGGAAAAGCGTAATCACGTGCTGGACCCTGACTGGAGATGGAAGTAACACCAGCCGGTTAACTGGGGTGACTCATGTCACCAGTTATGGAACTACTCAGATCCTTGGGTGCTGAGTGACCAATACCCAGCCTCTGGATGGTAGCAGCCCTGGAGACAAGTGGGGCCAAGGGGGGGCCCTGTCATGCCAAAGCTGTGATATCACATACTGCTGAAATTGATTTGGCTCCATTTCCTGCATACCTAGCAGATTTACCAGATTGTGAAAATGAATGTTTTCTATGCGCGTGGCTGATTTTTGCATGCATCTGTTCACTCATCTAAACCTTAGTTACATCCTGCTAGGAGAATGAAAGGCTATAATTTCTTCTTCTTTAATCTGGAATAGTTAGAAACACCATGATTTTTGCTTTAAAATTCTGCACCAAAATGGTGAACCATTTTTATTTTTGTCTCAGGAAAAAAAAATGAAATGATACTGCCGTATTTTTTTCTAGATTTGCAAATGATCCTGACCTTAATGGGGGTCCCATGCCTGAGAACATGGCCCTTGGAATAGAAATATCCAGTGGAATGCAAACATGAGTATCTAAACATATCATTTGCATCTGACATTAATAAGCCCTTTCTGGCTTTCACGTTTCCATTTTAGATGACAGTGCCGTCTTCACATGTCAGGGGTCAAGTGCAAGAACAGTAATACTAGTATTTATTTAGTACTTTGCATTTCTGGGGTGCTTTTATTGCCCTTAATTAGTAAACCACAAATAATTTCTGCTCAGTAGCTTGGTACTGCAATCTTCAGTGTTCATGGGGACAGTGTGCTGTAGTGACTAACAGGATAGACTTTGGAGTCAGTCAAACTCAGATTTGGGCTCTGCCTCTGCCACTAACTTACTGACTAACCACTTACCACTTACTAACTTACCACTAACTAACTGACTTCAGCAAGCTTCGGTGTCTTCATCTGTAAAATGGGGATAGCGACAGGCTTGTCACACAGAGTGGATATGAGGATTAAATCAGAATATGCATGTAAAATGCTTAACGTAATGCCTGACAGTAGTACTGTATATATATACTTATATATAAGTGCTCCATATGCCTTCCCTGTAAACTAGATGTTGGATACGTTGCCGTCCGCAAGTCCTTCTGCCTCTGAGAATCACATCATAGCCCAATAAGCTACTTAAAATGGAAAAGTCCATAGGCCATCCCCGTGGACCAAAGTCCTGCCACCTTTCTGGACTCTGAACTCCCTCTCCCTTTCCTTCTCCAACTGCCAAAGCCTCTTCATTCTTCCTACTTCATTTTGCACAGAAATTTGGTTTCTTTCACTAATCCTTTCCAGCCTTACTCTGAGGGCTCTCTTTCCACTCACAAGTGGCCCAACAAGGTTTTGTTTGTTTTCTTGTTTTAACTGAACAGAAGATCATTCTTTCCACCCTAAGTTTTTCTATACAAATTATATTGAAGATGATTATTACAATGACATTTTCAAAAAGACAATTCTCTCCCTAAAGAATTCCGATACCTGCTTTTAAATTGCCATTCCCCTCTCCTCATGGTATAGATATTATAGTTTACAACAAGCCCAGGTTCAAGGGCTGGTAAACCCACTGAAAAATCAAAGAACTCACCCAAGATCATGTAGTCAGAAACAGAGACTGAATTCAGGGCATGGGAACTTAACCTCCTAGAGTTTTCCCAAAAGCATTGTTTGCCCCTTTGAACATGGAAACAAAAAATAGGGAGAAGACCAGACACAGTGGCTTATAATTGTAATTCCTGCACTTTGGGAGGCCAAGGCAAGAGGATCGCTTGAGCCCAGGAGTTTGAGACCGGCCTGGGCAACATGGTGAGAGAGATCCCTTCTCTGCAAAAAAATTAAAAAACTAGCCAGGCATAGTAGCATTCACCTGTGGCCCCAGCCACTTGGGAGGCTGAGACAGGAGGACTGCTTGAACCTAGGAGGTCAAGGCTGCAGTAAACTGTGAGCACACCACTGTATTCCAGACTGGGCAACAGAACAAGACCCTGTCTCAGAAAAAAAAAAAAAAAAGGAGTCTGGGCGTGGTGGCTAAAGCCTATAATCCCAGCACTTTGGGAGGCTGAGGCAGGAGGATTGCTTGAGTCCAAAAGTTTGAGACTGGCCTGGGCAACATAGTGAGACCTCATCTCTACAAAAAATCAAAAATTAGCCCAGCATAATGGTGCATGCCTGTGGGTCCCAGCTGCTCAGGAAGCTGAGGCAGGAGAATGGAGCCCAGGAGGTCAAGACTGCGGTGAGCCATGATCACACCACTACACTTAGCTTGGGCAACAGATTGAGACCCCATCTCAAAGAGCAAGCCAGGGTGGGCCTCTTAAAGCACAGGTTTCTTGAGTGGTCCCAGAGGTAACACACCCCACATGGTCTCACTCTGCCTCTAGGGGAGGCACTTCAGAACCCACTGTTAATCAGGACAAAGGATCCCTCCGTGGAACAATTCTGGGGAGCTGCATTCCCAAGAACAGCAGATTAAAAATCAAATCCGGGAAAGGAGCTAAAACCTTGCGTGCTGCAAGATATAACTCATGTGTACGTGTTTGTGAATGGCGTGTGGGGATGGTGCATGGGGATGGTGTAGATGAGGGGATGGATGGACCTATGAAAAGCTCAGAGATCTATCAGAGCAAGCCTGGGCAAAATAGCGAGACTCCATCTCTACCAAAAGAAAAAAATTAGCCAGATGTAGCAAAAGAAAAAATAAATAGCTGGGTATGGTGGCATGCACCTGCAGTCCAGCTACTTGCAGGGCTGAGGACAGAGGATTCCTTGAGCTGAGGAGTTCAAGACCACAGTGGGCGATGATGGCGCCACCGCATTCCAGCTTGAGTGACAGAGCAAGACCTTGTCTCTAAAAATAAATAAAAAATTGGCCAGGCACGGTGGCTCAGGCCTGTAATCCCAATACTTTGGGAGGCCGAGGCAGGCGGATCACTTGAGGCCAGGAGTTCAAGACAAACATGGTGAAACCTCGTCTCTACTAAAAATACAAAAATTAGCCATGCATGATTGTGTGCACCTGTAATCTCAGCTACTCTGGAGGCTGAAGCAGGAGAGTCACTTGAACCCAAGAGGCAGAGGTTGCAGTGAGCCAAGATCGCGCCACTGCACTCCAGCCTGGGTGACGGGGAGTGAGAGCCTGTCTCAAAAATAATAATAATTAACTAAAATTTAATTAAAAATTTTAAAATTTTTTGTTAAAGATCTATCAGCAGAGCAGCCTGGCTGCATTTTGTATAGGTACAGTTATCCATACTTCAATTGTTTCTGAATTCCAGTCAAACAACTTAACATAGTAATTATATTCGCAATGACTAACTTAGTATTTACCAAGTGCCCAAATGTTCAAGGCATTGCACTGGTTAGATTTGGCAGAGGACAGAGAAATATGAAATAGCAATTTTCTTTTTCACATTGTCCAGTCTAAGCTCTGGCTATAACTTCTATATTTGGCATAAACAACAGTCACCAGAGACCAATAAGACTTGGTCATTTGTTCTGATTTGAACTCATTTGTTTAACAAATGAGAAGATTTAACATCAAAATGCCAACCTTGGGACAGATATCTGTTTTCCAAGATGCTGAAGCTTACCACCAAATGATATTTTGATGTGCTATTTAGGATGTTTTTGCTTGAAACTGGCTCTCAATGACTGTGCCCTTACTTTTGCTGGTCAGGAGCACAGTGAAATTGCTCTGAAAACAAGCAAGTGTCTTAGAACCCCAAGAATGAGGCAGTAGCCTCGTAAAATGGGCCCTGCTATGACCTGAATGTATGTGTCACCCTCAAATTCATGTGTTGAAACCTCAATGTGATGGTATTTGGAAGTGGGGCCTTTGAGGAGTGATTAGGTCATGAGATGGAGCCCACATGAACTGGACTAGCGCCCATATGAAAGAGGCTCCTCAGAGCTCCCTTGCCCCTTGGGCCCTGGGTGGACACAGTGAGAAAGTTCCATCTATGAACCAGGAAGCAAGTCCTCACCAAACACCGAATTTGCCAGTGCCTTGATCTTGGACTTCCCAGCCTCCAGAACTGTGAGAAAGAAATTTTTATTGTTTATAAGCCACCCAGTCTATGGTATTTTGTTATAGAAGCCCACATGGACTAAGGCTCCCAAGAAGATAAATATGCCAACTGTTTTCTAGTGCCTTCAGGCTGGGGCTTCATGGAAGTGGTGGGGAGCCTGAACGTGCGCTGCGGATAGGGTTTTACTTCCTGCTACCCATCAACCATGGGATAATGCCTGACAAAGATGCGAATGACCCCGGAAATGTGAGTGAAGGCCATGTAATTATGTAGGCTTTCACTCCTTCTTTCTCAGCCGATTCAGCTCTTAGCCAGATTCTCTTGTTCCATCACCAGGTTTTATCCCTGCTAACTTTCTTTCCCCAGGAATGATTTTCATTGAGATCGTAGTGTGTTTCCTCAAAAGAAGACTAGATTGTAATTGGGTGTCCTTAGATGTAGAACAACTCTCCTGTTTAGATTTCAACATATATATCTTTAGCTTTAATGTGTGTATGAGAGAGAGAGAAAGGAGAGGAAAGGAGACGAGAGGAGAGGAGACGAAAGGAGAGGGGAGGAGAGTGGAGGAGAGGGAAAGTGATTAAGAGAGAGAAGATGTGAAAACTTAAGCACTGGCCGGGTGCAGTGGCTCACGCCTGTAATCCCAGCACTTTGGGAGGCCGAGGCGGGCGGATCACGAGGTCAGGAGATTGAGACCATCCTGGCTAACACGAAACCCCGTCTCTACTAAAAATACAAAAACTTAGCCGGGCGTGGTGGCAGGTGCCTGTAGTCCCAGCTACTCAGGAGGCTGAGGCAGGAGAATGGCGTGAACCCGGGAGGCAGAGCTTGCAGTGAGCAGAGACGGCGCCACTGCACTCCAGCCTGGGCAACAGAGCGAGACTCTGTCTCAAAAAAAAAAAAAAAAAAAGAAAAGAAAAAAGAAAAGCACTGAGCTAAAGTAAAGAAAAACCACTGGGCAGGACATGGTGGCTCATGCCTATAATCCTAGCACTTCGGGAGGCCAAGGCAGGAGGATTGCTTGAACCCAGGAGTTTAAGACCAGTCTCAGCAACATGGTGAAACCCCATATCTACAAAAAAATTTTAAAATTAGTCGGGCGTGGTGGCACACACCTCTAGTCTTAGCTACATGGGAGTCTGAGGCAGGAGGATCGCTTGAGCCTGGGAGGTCAAGGCTGCAGTAAGCTGTGATCACACCACTGCACTCAGCCTGGGTGACAGAGTGAGAACTTGTCTCAAAAGGAAGGAAGGAAGAGAAGGAAGGAAGGAAGGGAGGGAGGGAAGAAGTGACGGAAGAAGTGAGGGAAGGAGGAAGGGAGAAAAAAAAAAGGAAAGACCTGGATTCCAATTCTTGCCCTATTTCTGATCAGATATGAGAACTTATGTGGCAGAGATCAGTCAGCTGGTTACCAGAACCCATTTCCTCTTCCTCCTGGCACACAGATCTACTTCCACCCCTCCTCTGCAGTTATCTGTCACCTTAGGATTACACTTTGGCTGATAGCATGTGAGTAGAAAGGATGTTTACTACTTCTAGCTCCTGCCCACAAAACTTTTCACTCTCTGTGTTCTTTCTCCGTCCTCGGGTTGATTGTTAATAGAGAAAGACTGTGGGAGTTACGGGTTAAAGATGATAAAGCCACTGGCAGCCAGGACCCCTGAAGATCACATGGAGCAGAAAACACACACACACACACACACACACACACACACACACACGGACACACACTGCCACACTGCCACTGATCAGATTCGACATGAACAGGAAAGGCACTACTATTATGCTAATCCTCTTTAATTGTGGGGTTTCTCTGTTACAACAACTCATACTGCTGGAGCTGAAATGTGTTGCGAAGTCATTTTAACCTCTTCTGTTTCTATAGCTGTGATGTAGGATTTGCTTTTTACAAAGCTTCACTTAATCCACTTGAGATTGAAATGTGGTGTGTGTAAAAAAGCTTTCCTTATTCCATGTTCTTTTCCAGCCCTTCCCTGGGCGTTTGTACTTAGTTGCAGTAACAGTTTAAATATAATTTTACATTAGCTCTTTTTCACTTAGCACACCAGAAGCATTTTTCCGCATCTCCACAGTCTTCATAATTATAAATGTTAATGACTGCTTAATATTCCATCAAGCTGATGCACTGTAATTGTCTAAAACAAGTGTGAGATGTTGCTGTTATATCCTGCTTTGAGAAAATCCAACTTATCAAGACAAAAAAATTCTCTACAAGGGGACTTTTATATATTGAGTGCCTTACGTTTCCAAGGTATAATTTAAATTACACAAATTTAATAGGCCAGGCGTGGTGGCTCACACCTGTAATTCCAGCACTTTGGGAGGCTGAGGCGGGAGAATCGCTTGAGGCCAGGAGTTTGAAACCAGCCTGGTCAACATAATATCTCTACAAAAGAAAATTTTTTAAAAAATTAGCCAGGTATGGTAGCACATGCCTGTAGTTCCAGCTTCTGGGGAGGCTGAGGCAGGAGGATCACTGGAGCCCAGGAATTTGAGGCTACAGTTAACTATGATTATGCCACTGCACTCCAGTCTGGGTGACAGTGAAACCCTGTCTCAAAAAAAAAATTAATAGACCCTCAGTCACCTACTATACAGAGCAAAGTACTTGTATTATCACTGGGAAAAAATTTATATATATATATATATATATATATATATATATATATATATATATATATATAATATTTGTCAGGGTTGTCTGGGGGACAGAACCAATAGGATATATATAGATATATAAGAGGGGATTTATTATGGGAATTGGCTAACGTGGTTAGGGAGGCTGGAAAGTTCTGCGATCTGCTGTCTGCAAACGGAAGACCTAGAAAAGCAGGTGGTGTGATTCATCTGAATCCAAAAGCCTGAGAACCAGGGAGGCCACATATGTAAGTCTCCAGATCTGAAGGCCCCGCAGCCAGGAGCTCTGAAGTCAGGAAAAGATAGATGCCCCAACTCAGGAAGAGCGAGAATTTGTCCTTTGCATTCTACTCACCTTTTTATTCTATTTAAGCCCTCAACAGATTGGATGATGCCTGCCCACCTTGGTGAGGGCAGATCTTTTTTACTTAGTCTATTGATTCGAATGCTAATGTCTCCCAAAAACACCCTCACAGGTATACCTAGGAATGTTTTACCAGTGATCTGGGCATTCCTTAGCCCAGCCAAGTTGACACATAAAATTAACCATCACGGATTTATACCTATAAAGTTGGACATTTGCACTCAGTGGCTGCTGGTTGCAGAGAATCCCAGCTTCCCTAAAGCAGACCTCACCCAGGTGATTTTCCCCAAGTGTCGGGCCCTCTCCATCTGTTGTCCCATCTATGCTGTGTCTCGCGGAGGCTGCTGTGTCTGTTTCTTAGCATAGGATGAGGGAGCTGACACTTCTGCATGAGCTCAGAGGTCAAAGGGCAGTTTGCCTTGTCAGGTGGCAAGGCACCTGGGCTTTAAGGTGAACATTGCACACGGTCCGCCCAGGCACTGAGGAGTGTCTAGGGGGCAGTGAGGGGGTCCTGCACTCCCGTGCACTCACACTTATATTTGCATCCATTGTTTTTGTACATGCTCATATTTAAAAATTTTTGTCTTTATTGCACAAACAAGAGTGAAACAATCACTCAGAAACTTACCATAGTAACAGCCCAGCAATCAATGGACTGCTTCCATATACTCTGTTTGCCTACCTCCCCCCGACTCCCCACCCCCACCCAAAGAATGTCTACCTAGCTGTATTTGTCTGAGACAGTTTTGTTTTCTCCTTTGGTCCTGTAACCCTCTGCAGGGATCATTGTCATGTTGCTTCACAGTCTCAATCTTAGGACAAGATTAATATTGCACCATCTACATTCTCACCGTTGGAGTAGTCACTCTAACAATTTGCAGAAATATTTAACCCAGAATTCACCATCTGGATCAAAATTCTGACAATTTGCATGTGTGTGCTGGGAAAAACATTTAGGTTTCGTGTGAACTCAGATTAGAGGAGCGGAAGGAGCTCAGCTGTTCTCCGGTCGGGATGGCACCATGTGTTGTTTAAATGTGTGCATTATCGTGAGCGTCCATCCTGTGTTATTAAGTGAAAATGTCTTCCAAGAAGGATCCTTAGCATGTTGTTTCATTGTTTATGTACATTACCATACATGTTTAATATGGCAGAGAAGGAAAACATAAATTGTGTCTACTACTGTACAGTATCTTATAGTGTACAAAATGCAATGAGTGCCCATTCCATGTTAAATAATTAGGTGATTTGTGTTTTAAATGCTTTATATGATGTAGAAATACTTTATGTGATGTAGAAACTGCTTGGTGGAAGCAATTAAGCTTTCTAATATTATTTGAGGGAATTGATTGGGGTTTCCGGATGGGCTGGGAACACAGTAATCTTGGTCCTATTCCTAATAATGGAATACAGGCTCCCACTATCCAAACTTACCATTTTCAGGAATGGGTTAGATTTTTGGTACTGAGGGATGTCTATATTTATCGGTATCCTCGACTTGGCTTTGAGCATCATAAGATCAGGAACTTAATGTACTCATCTTTGGATGCCCAGCACCTAACCGTGCCTGGCATTTAGTTGGTTTAATTCACATTATTCTGTGACTACACCAATGAACAGATGTGTCACAATTTATCAAAAATTGCTCCTGTTATTGGATAAATATACACTTAATTTTCTTTTCTTTGTTTTTCTTTTGATGGAAAATTAGGCTTTTTGCTGTCTGTGAAGGGCATAGCCAAGGAATTTTGATGCGTGTTGCAAGGCACACCAAGATACTACATATATGTGGTCAAAGCTCTCCTCTTCTCCCCAGCTCTCACAGGTCTGGCTTAGCCCAATGGTATTGAGTCCAGACTCAGGAGGACTTAGTTCTCTTCATAAAAAGTTGATCACCTTTGCTTTCTCCTTTGCATGGGCAATAAAGAAGTGAAAAATAAATTCCCAGTGAGCTTGCATTCTGCTTGGGAACAACATAGCACATCCATTTTCTAGAGAGCTGTCCAGTCCCCATTTGAGGGCTGCTAGCCACATGTCAAGCAGGAACCCAGAGTATAACCAGGAAAATGTCTGTGGTAGACCCCAGTGATTCATGCCTCCCATCTCCACACCCTCCTGTAGTCCCCTCCCACGCTGATTCTGGACTAGGCCACATGGCTTGGCCAGTGGAACACATGCAGGCTTGCACGTCTGGAACTCTGCCACCTAATTTAGGATCCCAGACTCTCCTACTGGAGACACAGGTCCTTAGTGACAGTCTGCACCACCATTCAGACAAGTCAGTAGGGCCATCTTAGATCATCCAGCCCTAGTCAAGCCACCAGATAACTGTACCCACATAAGTGACCCCTGGCGAGACCAGCAGGAGAATCATGCCAATGGGCCAATATACATTCTGACCCACAGTTTCATAATAAAATAAAATGGTTGTGGTTGTAAGCCACTATGTTTCAGAGTGGTTTGTTACACAGCAATAAATAACTAATATAGTAGGCATACCATCAAGTCCAAAGTAGGTAGAGAAGAATGTAAATAGCAGAGCAAAACAGCATGACTGGTGGCTGGGAGGCTTAAAACTGGGACAGGATCAGAGTCATGAAAGAAGTCAAAGAAATGGTTCAGAAGTAAGGCTGAGACTGACTTACAAAAGCTGAAAGTCCCTTTAAGTTGGTGTTTGGTGCATTGGCAGGGGCAGGTATGGTGACTTAAAAGAGCCATGCTCAACAAGATCAAGCACAACACAATCACGGGTCACCCCAGCAGACCTTAGCGAGTCTAGCCATTTCTTTGGTGGTGGTCACAGTCATGCTTCAGCCCAGTTTCCACTTGGACAAATGGTACATATTTTCAATGAGATGAAAATTAAGATACAATCCATGTGCTCAGAGAGTGATCACAGCTCTGACTAAACACTGTGCCCCAAAGTGTTGAGGAATTGGGAAAACCTAGCTGAGTTAGTGGTCTCTTTTCTGTTACAATAAAGCTCATAATGAAAATTAGCCTTCTTTGTTCTTCCCCAAGTCTTTCTTTCTAGACGAAACTACTTTCAACTGTTTTAACTTCCTTACTGTTAACTTCCATATTTCTAGATAGTATGGTCAGACTGTTATTTCTTGACTTTTAAATGTAAGATATTATCTACTGACTTCCTTCTATGTAAGATGAGGATTGAGCTCTCTTACCCTTCTCCCATTTCCTCATCCTTCCAACATAAATATATTTTGGGATTATATCAACATTCAATGTTACTTAAAGTGACCTTGTAAATATTTTCACAACTGAGCCATGTTTGATTTGTATACTTATGTTTACTTTACTGTTTTTCCTGAAGTTAATAATTGCCTTGAATTTATTTATTTCTTTAAAAATGTTTCATTACTCAGGACTGTAGTTTACATTACGATTCTTTGTGTTATACAGTTGATGGGTTTCTTTTCTTTCTTAATTTCTTTAAAAAATAGAGATGGGGTCTTACTATATTACCCAGGCTGGTCTTGAAGTCCTGGGCTCAAGTGATCTTCCTGTCTCAGCCTACCAAGTAGCTGAGACTATAGGTGCAAAAAAGCCACTATACCTGGCTAGTTTACAGGTTTTAACAAATGCATTATGCCACGTATCCATTATTACAGGATCACACAAGATATTTTCATTACCCTGAAAGCATCCCTGTGTTCCACCAATTCATCCTGCCTCCATGAGCCGCTGGCAACCACTGATCTCTATAGTTTTGCCTTTTCTAAAATGTCATATAATTGGAATCATACAGTCTGTAGCATTTTCAGACTAGCTTTTAAAATTTGGCAATATGCATTTAAGGTTCCTCCTTAAATGTGAAGGGCATAGCCAATGTGGCTTGATAGCTCATTTCTTTTTATTGGTGAATATTTCATTGTCTGGATGTTCCACAGTTTGTTTATCCATTCACCTATTCAATTTGCTTTTTTTCTGTGTATCTATCACTAATTCAATACTGGACTCTCCAACAGAGCCGTAAAGTGTCTTTAAATACATCAAGTAACCTATATGTTCTATTTTTCCCCAACAAGTTGTCATCCACTGCTCCATCTGAGCCGACTGCCCAGTAAATCGTTCTGGTAGTTTCCCATTCTGTCATCCAGGTAGTCCTTTTGCCTGATTTCTGAGTCGGGTCTTTTGCTTATTGGATCTCATGTCTTTTTCTTTCTTGGTTTATTCCTTCATTTTACTGGAGTACATCCTCTAGTCACTTCCTTGGAAAAGATATGGGAAATAATTTTGTAAAAAAAGATTTGGCAGGTCTGCAAGAAATATTTATTTTATCCTCACAGATCAGGCTTTTCTAGACTTAAATAAGTCCCAGTAGAAAAACGTCAGGTTGCTGGTGGCTTGGCATAAGCATACTTCCAAGAGATTCCGGAATGGTTGGAATTCTATTATTTCTTCTCTTTTTGGTCTAATTTTTTCTACTAGCTTGAAAGCCTTCTGACTAATAGCCCCCCCCACCCACCCCCAGCTAATCCTTTTGTGAATTGGTTTGAATTGGCCTCACTTCATTAGTTGAGCATGGGAAATGTTAACTTCTGTACAGAGATATGTATTATAGCATAAGAATGGTTATGGTCACTTGTTAGTATTTCTCTCCCCACTTTTGGATTGAAACAATTACAGAATAATTAGAGCAGAGACTATTTCTGGCAAATAAAACAGTTAATAGTTGGAAAGGTATGTTTTAGTGAAGATTGTTTATAAACACACCTCTTGCTGCCAGGATCTTAAAGTCTAATTAATTAGTATCAGCCCAGCCTGCCTCTCCTCTTCTGTCACTTGCTTTCATCTTCCTTCATGTACACACACGCACACTCACACGAGCACACACCCCTTGTTGTCTTGCCTTTTCTTTTCCTCTTTATCTCAGTCTGCACAAGTTTGCACACAGAATTGGCTTGCCTCCTAGCTGTTTTGTCCCCACACTCCATCAAAAAATATTTTCTGCATCTCTAATTTCATCAAGATATGCCTGACTGAGAATGTCAAAACCACTGAGCAGAAGTGTTTAATCCAAAGTTGGCTCCGCCGGTGATGATCAGCTGAGGAAACAACCTCGAATTTTTCCCTCATTATTTGTTAGGATGTCAGTTTTTCACTTTATGGAATAGGTTCACATCCTGCTTCTCACCCCCTGCCCCCCACTCTTCATTGGGCAGAGGCCTCCCACTGATTTCCAATAGAGCTCTCTGCACCCAAGAAAGACACATGGAGAAGAAATGGTACCTGGCCGTCTGTGGGTATGCCACCTTCAACAAAGATGTCCATAAGCAGACAGTCACTTCATGGTTTCTTGGACAGGCAGATCCTGGCCATGTTCATGTAATTCCATAAGGTAAGGCTGGAGAGGCTGAGCTGCCCACTTAACAAGCAACAAGCCCTGGGGGAGTCTGGGCAGCCCAAGGTAGAACTAGGGGTGGAAGATCCTTGCTTGGCCCTCGGATGGCTGTACGACGTCAGGACAGGCTGTTAACCCCTCTGAGCCTCAGTGCCGTCCTCTGTAAAATGGGAATAATATCAGCTACCTCCTAGGGTTGCTACAAGGATAAAAACCAAGTAAGTGCGTGTGAATGCCCTTTATCATGAATGAGAAGGTGCCCTGTAAATGTTGCTTATTAGCTGACCTTAGAGATAAGAATCAAAATGACACACTTTTGTTCCAGGTAGTTTTTCCCCTTTGGCTTAGTCCCCTTTTTTATGAGGGATGATCTGCTGTTTAAAGCATTTATTAATATAAAGATTATGAAGGGAAGGATTTAGAATGTAATTAGTGGGGAAGGGGGCCTGCTTCTCTGGGATGAGAACGCCATGACTTGTTGGCTCAGTACAGCACACTGGTAATCTTGTTTCCTGAGGCTCTGCACACGCTGAGAGCACATCGTGCTCACAGGCACACTTAGTGAATATCTGAGAATGTGGTGAGGGAGAACGTGTGTCAGGAACTGGGCAGGTGGGCGGCACAGATTGCCATTCCTGCACTGGCCGTGATTGTAGTAAGTCCCTCATGGACACTGGTAGAACCCGAATAGACATCATCAAATGGATGGGTCTTCCTGCCCGCTGTTTCAGTTTGCCTCCCAGTCCCCTCTCTGCCCACCATCCGCACAAGTTGCAGAATCTGCAGCCTCACCCCACTGGACAAAGGGCTACAGATCTGCCAGTATATCGTAACTCACATGGTAGGCAGTGGCTTATGGGATCTTTCTAGAAGGGAGAAGGCCAGACTCTTCAGGGCCTGAAGGCCTGTATTTAAATTTCTTCACAGTTTGGAAGAAAGCTACTGTGATGGTCAATTTTAAGTGTCAACTTAGATAGGCTATAGTACCCGGTTATTTAATCAAACACTAGATGTTTGATTAAAAGGAAGGTATTTTGTGAGTGTGGTCAACACTACAGTCAGTTGATTTATGTATAGGTGGTTGCCCTCCATAAGGTGAGTGGGCTTCCTCTGATTAGTTGAAGGTCCTACAAGCAAAACTGGGGTTTCCTGGAAAGGAAAATCTGCCTCAGAACCATGACATCAATGCCTACCTGAGTTTTCAGCCTGCCAGCTTGTCCTGCAGATTTCAGACTTGTCAATCCACAGTCTCATGAGCCAATTACTTAAAATAAGTCTATCTATGTATCTGTGTATCTCTTATGGATCCTGTTTCTCTGGACAGCCCTGACTGATACAGCTGCTCTCTATCCAGAGATTACCTTTTTCTTTGACTCTATTGCAATCCAACTCTCAGCAGTCCAGAAAATGAAACATTTTCTTTTCACTAGGAAAACCAACTGTGTTACTGGAACAACAAACCAGGCAAATGAATCCCAAATCATAGTCCAACTCTGATCTTGAAATCTACTAAGCTTTGATAAAACTAAGATACATATTTTATCTTTTAAAAATCTTGATCCATTTTACCTCATCAGAAGTGGGGAGTTCAAATCATCTGCATTCTAATCCCATATCTGTCTTGGTTCTCATCACTGTTCAGCCTCTCCTTACTCCCTGAGATGCTCGCCCTGTTGGAACACATGCCCCTTGGCGAGGAATCTCCATACACCACCGAGCTGGAGTTGTCTCGGGGCCCGAGGCAGTGGGACTCACGTTGTAAGCTTTAGGTGTCAATGAAGGTGTCTTTCCTTGAAAGACACTAAAACTTGAAAAAGTTGTCATCTCATAATTCCAGGTGCCAAGATCACTCAGGAGAGAAATGCTCCTCCCTGTTTAAGTTATTATTTTTATCTCCAGGGTCATTTCTGGAACCCTTCATATACATTTTAATCACTTTAAGTCTGAATCACAAACATTACAAGGCTCACCTTTGGCCATTCCCAGGCAGATGAGGCAGGGTCTGGGTTCCGTGAGTCATTTACCACAGACTCCAGTTGGAAGCAGTTCCCAGTGGGGTTACGTGTGAGCCTTTTCAATTGTCCGTGACTGTGTTCCGTATACACATATCGATTCCCCTCTCTAATTCCCAGAGCTAGTGCCCTGCCCTTCTGTCTGGCTTGGGTGGAGCCCCTGAGGGGTGGGGAAAGGACCTGGCGCCACTGAGCAGACGTCCCTTAATGGTAATCCTCCAGTGAGTCAATGGCCTCCAAAGAGACCATGAGCGTGGTCTTGTTGATGAGGAATGTAGTCACAGTCACACAAAAAAGTCCCCAGTCTCTGCCTCAGGACCCCATGCATGGCCCATCATCCCCGCTGCAGAAAGAAACTGGACAGGACCTCCCCTTAGGAGCCTGTCAGCCCTTGTCAGTAATCAGCCCAGGGGCTACTCAGAATGACTGGAGGCACTCACATCCACCCCCTACCAACCACACTGCCCGCTCTCAGCCCCTGCCACCTGGGGAGCCCCACACCAGGGCAGGGCAATCAAGCTTGGCTTCTGCATGCCGTGCAAAGCTTGCCAGCAGCCAAGCTCTTGAAATATTTATATTTATACATGCAAGGCTCAGACTCTCGCTTTGTCCCGACAGGCGCCATCGTATGTGGGGATGGGGTATGGTTCGGGAGGGTTCATTCATCCCATGCTAGCGTGCCTACCCGCCAAGGCTCACTTGCGCAGAGGAGGAGGGATCTCACCAGAATAGTCAAAAAGTTGGCCATTGTCATGAATCAAATCCATGTGTTGGAAGAAATATACATTAGAAAATTGCATAGTCTCCCCTTCCCTTTGATTCAGAGATTTTCGTTTCATTTGTGCACAGGGAAGAGTTGAAATGCCCCTCCTGAGGGGTGCCCTTCTGGGGATGCAGGACCCACGGATTGCAGGGTGTACAAACACAATATATGTATTTATTTTCAAAGACAACATGAAATAACACCATAGAGTTTTTGTGGCTACCTGTTCTCTTTTGAAGAACTGTTCAAAAACTAGATGATGGGCAAAAACTCTATAGAGGGGAAAGGAGGCAGGAAGAGCCACAGTTTCAGCTAAGTCAGACGGGTGCACTCGAGACTCAATTAGCAATTGTTCCCATATATTTCAACACACACACCTTAAACACAGGTTTTCTGAGTGAAGTCAGTGATGAAAGCCTGTGGGTTAGGGGAATTTTCCCATGGTAGCGACAGCTGTTCCCACAGAAACAGCTCAATTTATCTCAGAGATGAAGGTTTCACTAGCTTGGGCCTCTCATCAAATTGCATGCATGGGAATTATTTTTAAGCACTCTAAAATGGTATCATTTCCTAGTGGCAAATTATTTGGGTGTATTTTGAAACTAATTAAAAGGGAAATGTCCTATTTTGTAAAGAGCAGCATTTCTACATTTTAAAAATCAGATGTTCTCAGTGGGGAGCAGGGTTTTCTCTTCGTCAGTGTTGGCTATTGCTAAGTGCGTCCCAGATTGAAAACCTAAATGAAATAACTACAAGGAAAGGCATGGGGTAAGCTTATGTTGGAAAAGGTGGAGGGAGACACACATATATAATACATACACCATTTATCTGGGAATTTAGAAAGCCTTTTCATGTCATCTTTTTTTCTTTCTTGCTCATTGCTTGTTATTTCACTGTGAGCCTTGCAAATATGGAGGGCGGCAGAGGTGCCAGGCTCCATCACGGTGTCCAAAAATTGGCTTTGTACATATGCTGAATTAGAGATTGGCTGGCAGAAGCAGTGTGCAGACCCTAGATTGGCAGGGATTCCTCGTGACGGAAGACAGGGCTATGAACCCACGGGATGTACTCTGAAGCCAGCAGCCATGCAACGTGCTGCATCCCCACATGCCAAAACCTGTTTTCAAATACATTCAGAATCTGCATCAGGCATCAGATCCCACCCAGGTAACGCCCTCCAAAACTCGAATCCCCTTTCCTTTCTCATGAGGAAGGGAATGTGTTGAACCTGTCACAGGACAGAGATTTGAAATTTTTCACCCAAGGCTCCAGGTCATTTTAGTCACCACCTCTTGTGAATAGGCACCGTAGCATCCAAGGAGGAAGGTAGGAATCTTGCAGATGCAAACCTTCCTGTTTTTTTTCTTCCTTGGAAATAAGCAAACTGCCAAGGCGGTTCTGATGCAGGAAGAATGAATGCAGTGAAGGAACACGTTAAGACAGCCGGAGCAGGGAAGTCCATGCCAAAAAGATCCGCCATCTGGGGCTTTTTTCTCACTGTGTCAACCAGAAAATGCCTCTCTCATGTACAAGTAGCTAGTTGGTGGCTTTACTCTTCCCAAGAGATCTACTTTATTTTATGGGCAATGATGAGTTTTAATAAAAGCAGGGTTGTTGTTGTTGTTGTCATTACTGATCTTGGGTTTCTGGTTTATCTTAGAATTGAGCACTAGAAAGGAAGTGAGGAGAATTATTTTCTAGACCAATAGGTGCTTTTGACTCAAATGATGACATTGGACACTTCTAGGAACCTTTAAAGTAGGGACATTAGCTCCAGTTACGTCACCTTTCCTCTAAGGGTACAGTGAAGGATCAGGAGCTGAACAAGCTGACCTCAGTCCCAATCAACTCCGAAATGTGACAGCTGATTAGAGCCTTGCAGCCTTTCAGGTACTGTTTAATCATTTACTCGCTTGAGTGTATAAGCTCCGTGAGAGCGGAGAGCCTGTCTGCCCATAGCACACACTCAGGAAATATTGTTGAATATGATCATTGGGTTGATGGTCTCACGGGGTGGCACCAAGGGGGCCAGCATGTCAAGCGTAATTCACACCGGAGCAAGCTTTGGGTCACATTCTGAATCATATGTGATGTAGTGAACAAGCTCTCGGATGGGCTTCAGGGGATGTGCGTTCAAGTCCTGGCTCTCCCCCCGGCATCAGAGTGACCTTCAGTCATTTGTTGATCTCTCTCTCGGACTTTTGTCTCCTTGTTTCTAAAATGACTAGATAATTGTAGAGCTTTCTTCAGCCCTAAAATTCTGTGATTCTGAAACTCAGCCAGTCATCTAAAAATGCATTTTCTGCATGATGAAAGATATTTATTAGGCCTAAGTGGAAGAGCCAGCATTCTTGATGAAAAGAATTACTCTATGCACACATCCTAAGGACAGTGGTTTAGATCAGTGCCCTCCTGGTAGAGATGAACAACACAACGGGAAGGACAGGCACTGACGCACATAAAGATGAGGAGGCTGAGCGTGGTTCCAGGCACCACTGCGGTATAGAAAGTGGCACCTAGAGCCAGCCAAGGACATAAAGATGGACTTGGAGACACTGGAGCAGTGTGGGTGCCCCTCAGCCCAGGAATGTTGCAGAGAGGAGTCATATGTGAGATTAGGGTTGCCCCAAGTTACCTCTAAGTTCTGTCCAACTCAACTACTCTGTGAGTCTGTGACAGTCCCTAGCTCTGTGTCCTAGGACACAGTGACACCCCTAGAGATCTTACCAAAGACCTCAAATAGTCCAGGCACTGTTCCTCTTAAGGGATGTAGAGAGGAGAGGGAGAGATGGAAAAGGGAGAACTCACCTTTGTTAACATACTGCTTTCTAATAACTCTTTTAAAGAAGTGTTCATTCCATTGTTCATGGAATATGCTTCCAGTCGTGGATTGCATTGAAAAGATAAGTCCATGTCCTAATCCCTGGGACCTGTGAATGTGACCTTATTTGGAAAAATGGTCTTTGCCGATGAAGTTAAGGATCTCGAGAAAAGACCATCATGGATTATCTGGGTGGGCCCAAAATCCAATGACAAGTGTCTTTTTAAGAGAAATCAGAGACACACAGAGGAGAAGACAGACACAGAAGAGAAGTCAGACACAGAAGAGAAGTCAGACACAGAGGAGAAGACAGACACAGAGGAGAAGGGCACATGAAGGAAGAGGCAGGGGTTGGGTGGCGGCAGCTGCAGGGACTGCCAGCAGCCAGCAGGAGCTGCAGGAGGCAAGGAGGATCCGCTAGAGAGGGACTGCGCCCTGCACACACCTCAAGTCCACATTTCTGGGCTCCAGAACTATGAAAGAATACATTTTTGTTGTTTTAAGCTGCCAATTTTATGGTCATTTGTTATGGTGGCCCTAAGAAACTAATACACCTCAGATATATTATCATTGATACCATTAATCAGGAGCTGCAAGGTCTCTTTTCCTAATTAACATCATGGTTGTTCTTACTAATAATAAGAATAAAAGAACTCTCAGGGAGGCAGGTGGAGGGAGAGCATCAGGATAAATAGCTAATGCATGCTGGGCCTAATACCTAGGTGATGGGTTGATAGGTGCGGCAAACCACCTTGGCACATGTTTACCTATGCAACAAACCTGCACATATATCCCGGAACTTAAAATAAAATTTAAAAAATGAACAAATAAATAAATAAATAAAATAACTCTATCTTAAAACACATTAACAATATTATTGAAGAATAATATTAGATCTTTTGAAGTAAGCATTTTTTTTTGCCCGTGTAATAGCTGTCTGTAAATACCCGCTTCTTGAGTGAACCACCATTTTCTTTCTTTTTTTTTTTTTTGTAGAAGGAAACACACGCTACCAGAAAAAAAGGGGCCCCATTTTGATATCCCTCCATCCCTGGCCTTGTTTTGGTAACTTTGTTTCTGTACCAGATCCACACTCAATCAACCTGTCTGGTTTAGGGTATTTTTAGCTTCATAGAGCAATAGTATCAATACAATTCTGCTGTTTTATTATACATTTATCAAACAGTTCACTATCTGGTCTTTTGGCCAGAATTTCTTGGCCTCTTCTCAGAGCTCTGTCTCAATAGATCTTTTGATAACTGTTTTCCAACACAGTCTTCATTTCAATGTTAGAATATGATGTTAATGAATTTACTAGCTTCCAGTCGAGGATGAATAGCTTACAGTGTTTGCGGCAATATTGGATGTATTTATTTCCAAGGGAATGATTTTTAACAGCACATTGTGTTCTTATTTGCTTTTCACAATCCAGTTCCAGCATCTGAGAAACTTTGCTTTGATGGTTGACTCCCATTAGGGAAACACTGAAAACAATTATCCTGTAGTGGTCTCGGTTCTTCCTGGCAGCTTTGCATTTCCATGGTGCGAGACCACTGGGTCGTACCACTTGTTTCTCCCTCCACGTCCTCAAATGATCTCTTAAAAGAACCCACTTTAGACCTCATTGTTACCTTCCCTCTACTTCTTTTTCTTCTTATTGAATTCAATTCAACAACATGTATTAAATACTTACAACCTGGTACCCAGGTAGAAGAAGCCAACGTATAGACAGGGCATGTCATTGGATAGTGATAAGATCTGATGGGGTGAGTATCTAGGCAACTTAGACTGGGTGTGGGGTTGAACCAGCATATTTAAATTTATGTAAAAACTGAGAAACACCCTGAAAAGGACTTTTATTGTTGGACATAATTCTCTAGTCCTGAAGTTATCATTCAAGGGAGTTCAAGAACTCATCCCTTAAGTGGACTGGGCAAGCTGGCCATTTACCACTTGTCACAGTTAGAATTAGGAACTTGGCTTTCATATTATCCATTGGTGTCACAGAGTGGGAGGAAAACATCAGTAATGGATCCATAGGACCACCAGTGGAGGCAAATTGAATTTGGGATATGTTATATCAAATCTGTTAAAGGGAAAAAAAAGAAAGAAAAGGAGGGGAGAGAAGGAAGAAAAGAAAAAATAAAAGAAAAAAACCCAAAAGAATTCATTATATAACCATTATATGTTAATGGTACAGTTTAAGAG
Source organism: Homo sapiens (assembly GCF_000001405.40). Lineage (NCBI taxonomy): Eukaryota > Metazoa > Chordata > Mammalia > Primates > Hominidae > Homo > Homo sapiens. Next base: position 99,832,952 of record NC_000013.11, read on the forward strand.
ATTTTGAAGTATTGTCATATATCATTTCATTAAGTAGTATATACATACATACATACATATATATATATATATATATATATTTTTTTTTTTTTTTTTTTTTTTTTTTTGAGATGGAGTTTCGCTCTTTTTGCCCAGGCTGGAGTACAATGGCACGATCTTAGCTCACTGCAACCTCCACCTCCCAGGTTCAAGCGATTCTCCTGCCTCAGCCTCCCAAGTAGCTGGGATTACAGGCACCTGCCACCACACCTGGCTAATTTTTTGTATTTTTAGTAGAGACGGGGTTTCACCATGTTGGCCAGGATGGTCTCGATCTCTTGACTTCATGATCCAGCTACCTCAGCCTTCCAAAGTGCTGGGATTACAGGCATGAGCCACTGTGCCCGGCCAGTAGTTTATATTTTTATTCCACCAATTCTTATTCTTAAAGGAAAGAAGGATTAAATAAGCCCTAAATGTTATATTACATTAGAATCTTTGAATTGCTGCCATAGCTACATAATGGTGTGGAAAGTAGTAAACCCATTTTTCCCAACTTATGGGAAAGTACAAACTAAAAATGAGTGAATGAATTAATGCATAAATAAGTCATTAGAACTCTGCCATCAGAGTCCTCCAGTCACCTCCCCCAACACATACTCAAAGACAGAACCATCCCTGAGTGCCTAGGTATTTGGCACTGCCAGAGCCCCTGAGCACCAAATGTGACAGGAAGCGGGGTTACCGTGTTGCTTTTTTTTTTTTTTTTTTTTTTTTTTAGATGGAGTCTCACTCTGTCGCCAGGCTAGAGTGCAGTGGCGCAATCTCGGCTCACTGCAACCTCCAACTCCCTGGTTCAAGTGCCTGGTTCAAGTGAGTCTCCTTCCTCAGCCTCCCGAATAGCTGGGATTCAGGCACACACCACCACACCCAGCTAATTTTTGAATTTTTAGTAGAGATGGGGTTTCACTGTGTTGGCCAGGATGGTCTCGGTCTCCTGATATCGTGATCTGCCCACCTCAGCCTGCCAAAGTGCTGGGATTACAGGTGTGAGTCACCATGCGCAGCCCTGTGTTGCTTATTTTGAGGACACCTGGGCACTTCCAGCCCTGCCTCCTTGGAAGTGGGAGGGATAACTGGCGAGAGAGGTGGGCATGGCTGAGCATGCAGTGGGAGGCAGAACAAAGCCAGAGTCCCACAGGTAACCTTCTGGCCAGTGCCTGGTTCACGCAGCTTTAAGGTGCTCCAAGAGGACTGGGAGACCCCTCAGGACCACGGGAGCCTTGGGAGAAAATAAAGTAATGCCTGCCAAGGTGCCAAGCCAGTGTCAAGCAGGTGGGCCCAGGAAGTAACTCAGTCTCAACCTGCTTATGCCAGGACTCCTGGTGAGCCCACAGCCTGGGAGGGCATACGAGTAGGTCCTGTCCCATAATAGATTACTCAGTCCTGACTCATATAGGGGGCTTATGAGAGAAGGAATCCTAAGGCCTTCCCAGGTGGCCTGCAGGAGCCTCAAAGTCAGCATTGCAGGGAACACTCATTCCCCCTTCCTGAAGTTTCTTTCCTTCAGGAGGGAGCTCCACTGGTGCAGTGCTGTGGTTCTCCCACCCCAGCCCACATCTCCGCAGAGCCAGGGTGATGCACCCAGTGGCTATCCTGGCATATGTAGCTCTGCCTCCTCCTTTTTCCTTCCTCGAGGGTGTGGGCTGCCCACAGGCAGTGTGACTGATTCCCTGCTCCCCGGGGCCCACTCTCTGCCACACAGGATGTTCTCGGTCCTCTGCAGCCTGATGATAAGTCAGTCTAACTCTATGGCCCAGTATTAAAAGACCATGTGGCTCTTTCACTCACTTCTGTCCTCAACCCAGCCTTTATCAGAAATGAAGGAAATGTTCTAATTCTCCTCCTGCTGACACTTTTGTCTTATTGTTCAATTGGTTCAGAATTTTGACGGTCAAGAGGTGATGTGATCGAGATCCTAAGCAAACACCTCTAAACTAAAACAATCATGTACACTTACCCCCAAATTCTACCTATTGTTCTTCCCTCTATTGTTGGAACACACCTCCCTCTTCCTAACACACACAGTGAGAAAGGGAATTCTCCAAGATCAGTAAAAAGATTGCCAAGTAGTGCCAAAGCCCAGAGCCTGTCTCTCTGTGGTTACCTCTTTCCAGATGCTTTTCTTGCTCCTGCCACTACTCTGTTCTCACCGTCGCCTCTACCCTCTATGAGCGGCTGATTCATCTCTGCTTTTGTGTCAGCGTGCAGGCTAAGCTGCTACAACAGAAAAGACACAAAGCAACAGCAGCTCAAACCAAATGAAGTTTATTTCTCTCTCACCCAACAGCACAGAAAGAGGTAGCCGGGTGGTCCAAGGCAGGTGGGAAGTGCTCCTCCTCCATGTTCATTCAGAGACCCACGTTGCGTCTGCCCTGTTGCTCTGACATCCTCATCTGCATGGCTGATGCCGGCTCACCCTACCATGTTTGAGTTCCAGCATCGGAGATGGAGGAAGAGAGAGTGGAGGGCAGGTGGCTTCCTTTTAAGGGTTAAATGTTGCCTACACCACTTCTGTTCCATTCGCATGCTAGCTGCAAGTGGGTCTGGGATATGCAGGCTTTAAGAAGTGCCAAAACTCAAAGGAAAAGGAAGAATGGTTGCTGTGAGCCATCAGCTGTCTCTGCCACACCCCTGTGCAACCACATGTGATATCTGCACATCACCCTGCACTGCATTTTTGCATTGCTCTTTATTGCATTTTTGCATCCCCAGGACCTAGAACAGTGCCTAACACAGCTGAGTAGTTGAACAGCTGAGTGAATGATGAAGGCCTTTTTCCCCCAGCAAGCCAAATCCCAGACCCAGGTAAGAGTAAAACAGAACTAACAGAGACAAGACTTGAGGATGCTGTGAAGGTATCACTGTGCACAGTTAACCAGGAAGTCCAGGGTAGGTGGTAGATTGGCAAGAAAATCTGACAGTGAGCTGACCGCCCAGGGGCCAGGACTTGGAAGACAGGGGAAGGTAAACCAGATGACAACGACAAGGGGCAGCTCAGGGAGGAGCTGTCATTAGAGAGGTGGATTTCAGGGCTTGAGAGTTCGGGATGAGGCAATTTTGAGAAAAGTGAGGCCAAAGTATGACCAAGTCCTCAGGGTGGGTGTTGGGGAACATGCAGTCATGAGATGGGATTTCTCCTGGCGCTGCTTGGAGAAGCTTCCAGCCGTGAGTATGAGGGGGACTTGAAAGGGTGACACAGTCAGACAGTGTGGACTCTGCCAGGGGGAGCGTTGGTTGGTGAGGCGAAGGAGGACAGAGACGCAGATCTAGAAGATGTCTCCCTCTACCCCTGGCCCTGCATACAGGGGAGTGAGGCGTTTCTTCCCCTGGAGAGGGTGGTGACACAAAGCAGGACAAAGCCAAGCCTCAGTTCCAGCACACAGAGTGGACAGTGTTCCAGGGAGTGGCTGCTTATGTGAGGGAATTTGTAACCTTCCAGAAGCTACAGTGCAGTAAGGTAGGAGGTAGGGCCAGGAGGAAATAGGCCCGCACCAAATGCAGGTGTATGAAGAATGGACTTAACCATTGTCACAGTGTCTAGTAACTACCGATTCAGAGGACAAAGTCCCAGTTTCAGGGCTCTGCATGGTGATGCCACGGTGCCACAGTGTGATGGATTACAGGGATCTGTTAAAATACTTATATGCACTTTCCTATGTTTAAGCTTTTTCTATAAAAAGTATATATTGCTTTTATAGTCAGAAAACAATGCCACTTAAATCATTAAATTCTTCCAAGATGGTGGTGCTAGAGAGATTATTTCATTTCTGTGGTCCTTGCTTAGCTGTAAAAGGAGAGTTGGAACCAAACACCGCATGTTCTCACTCATAGGTGGGAATTGAACAATGAGAACACATGAACACAGGAAGGGGAACATCACACACCGGGGACTGTTGTGGGGTGGGGGAAGGGGGAGGGATAGCATTAGGAGATACACCTAATGCTAAATGACAAGTTAATGGGTGCAGCACACCAACATGGCACATGTATACATATGTAACAAACCTGCACGTTGTGCACATGTACCCTAAAACTTAAAGTATAATAATTAAAAAAAAAAGGAGAGTTGGCCTCAGAGGTCCCCACTTAATGCATATCATTGTCTTCCTGCTCAGCTCTCATAGGATTCTTGCCTTCAGTGCACAGGTGGGAACTGGAAAAATAAGGGTCAGGGCCAGGTGTGGTGGCTCACATCTGTAATCCCAGCACTCTGGGAGGCCAAGACAGGAGGATCGCTTGAGCCCAGGAGTTTGCGACCAGCCTGGGCAACACAGTGAGATCCTGTCTATACAAAAAGTAAAGAAAAATTAACCAGGTATGGTGGCACACACCTGTACCCTCAACTAATTGTGGGGGTGAGGTGGGTGGATCGTTTGGGCCTGGAAAGTTGAAGCTGCAGTGAGCACCGTAATTGCATCACTGCACTCCAGCCTGGGTGACAGAGCGAGACCCTGTCTCGAAAATAAAATAAAATGTTTAAAAAACAGTCATGATATAGGTCACCAACCAAGAGCAGAAATTATCATGATTTCAAGTTGCTTTAGCCACAATATTTGCCAGTAGTGTTGCAAGTAGAAATGTCACCTAGTAAAATGGAGCTACCTCGTGGAGATCTGTGTGATGGGAAAATGCTCTGTGAGGATTCATGGCACGTGCTCAAGGGGCTGCTGAGTTCCTCTTCTCAGGCAGGTCTTTCTTCTCTGTGCTTTGGGCACTGTTTGCCCAATAGGCGAGGCATTTATGTGTGCACCAGCGCAGCAGCTTTTCAACCCTGGCCGTCCAGCAGGGTCACAAGGGGAGCCTTTAGAAGCACGTGTCCGAGCCCCACCACACACCCATCAAACCAAATAAAGTGGATATCCCCAAGAAGAGTGGAGACAGAAATCTCTACATACCAAAACGTGTACTAAGCTTCTTAACCATAAATGAGAAACATTTTTGTAAATTACAAATATTATTTTTTACATGATATCTCTGGTTTTCCCTCCTCTCTGTCAAGTGGTTTTAAGTTCTCAAAATCCCAATGCTTTTATATCTGTGAATGCTTCTTGAATACAGTTTAAAAATGATAGTTTTTATCTATTCTTCAAATATGCATAAGTAATTATATATTAGATGTATTTATAAAGGTAAATATTAAGTTTCAGCTAACTTTTTAAAACATAATTTTTATCAAAAATGACAAAGATTGAAAGCTTTTATATTTAAAACTAAGGGATACTCAAAACATTAGATATTTTGCATTTTCCTACCATAAGATGCATAGTAAGTTGACATATTAGGCCAGCAATATGTTATTTTTATTCAAAAAGAAGTAACAAAAGTGAGTATCTCTACTGTTTGGAGGAGGGGGGTTCTTTCGAGATAACTGATCAGAGGAGGGTTATACAGAGAATGTTGGATGTTAAAGCCAGAAAGAACCTTAGAGTTTATCTTGCATTTGTAGAAACTGAGGCCCCGATGCCTACAATTTTTATCTCAGAAATGCCACCGTGTGTGGCATATTTTTCAAGGCACATAAAAATGGGTTGCTGAAAAATTCTCAATCCATGTATTGTTTTTCAGCTTCAGAAGAATGCTAACACTGACTTTTGTTAAATGCTGTAATCTTCCCATATTACTATAAATTGTCAAACATTTCACATTCTTTTTCTTTTTTTGAAACGGAGTCTCATGCTGTCACCCAGGCTGGAGTGCAGTGGCGCAATCTTGGCTCACTGCAAGCTCCGCCTCCCAGGTTCACGCCATTCTCCTGCCTCAGCCTCCCGAGTAGCTGGGACTACAGGTGTCCGCCACCACGCCTGGCTAATTTTTTGTGTGTGTTTTTAGTAGAGACAGGGTTTCACTGTGTTAGCCAGTATGGTCTCAATCTCCTGACCTCGTGATCCACCCGCCTCGGCCTCCCAAAGTGCTGGGATTACAGGCGTGAACCACGGCGCCTGGCCTACATTTCACATTCTTAAAAGCCTTTTGGAAAACTGAGCAACTGGTATTAAGAATGGTTAGATTTGAGAAGACTACCCTAAAGACCATATTGTTAAGCATATTGAGCAGATGAAGAGTTACATTTGTAATCAACTAAACCTTTTTATCAATCTCCATGTGAGTCAACAGTGTAGCCAGCCAGCCAGGAATTAATGCACTTACAGGTGGGGCATAGCATCTGGAAGAGCAGTGGGAGCGCCTGCTCAGAGTTTAGAAGGGGCATCACCAAACCTGGGTATGTCCAGAGCAGGGCAACTCAAGAGGGCAGAGGATGTTGAAAGTGTATCAGAGGGTTTCAGAGAGACAATGATCAGAACTAGGAGGGTTCGAAGACAGAAGACCCAGGGAAACATACGGACCACACTTACATATCTGAAGGTCCATCCAGTGGCTGTGTTTACACAGAAACAGATCATCAGTTGCCAAGAGGATGGCAGGGCTCTTGCCTTGGCCAGAGCTCCTGAGGTAACTATGAAGACTCTTCCCAACTCCAAGACTCTGATTCTGTGATTCTCACTCCAGGACCTAACCTGCTGATGATGTTTACAAAATACAAGAAAGAATCCTAGCTATACGAATCTGACAGACATGAGGAAATAATGCTTCGTGTGTGTGTGTGACACACCATTGGGTGTGTGTATGGGTGACAGAGAGACAGAACAGAGTGGTGGGGAGGGGCATGGAATTTTAAAAGATTAATCTTTTAAAAATTTTTTGTGGGTACATAGTAGGTATATATATATTTATGGGGTACATGAGATACTTTGATTCAGGCATGCAAAAAGCAGTAATCACATCACGGAAAATGGGGTATCCATCTCCTTCAAGCCTTTATCCTTTGTATTACAAACAATCCAGTTATACCCTTCTAGTTATTTTTAAATGTGCAATTAAAAATAGTTACCCTGCTGTGCTATCAAATACTTGGTCTTATTCATTCATATTTTTTTTTGTACTCATTAACCAACCCCACTTCCCCACCCACCCACCCGCACTCCCCACACCCCTTCCCAGCCTCTGGTAACCATCCTTCTATTCTCTATCTTACAAGCATATAGTTCCCAGGAAGGGTAGCTACTCTGTGCCCCACCCCACGCTGGGAACTCTGAGGGCTTCAAACACAGTCCCAACCTCAATGTCTGTCTCATCTATCTGGTTATAGAGACAAGACTAACAACCCTGCGATGGTCAGAGACACCAGGAGACCTCGGGAACTCTGTCCTTGTGGTCCTCATCCCTTCATTCTCCTCCTGAGCCCTTACTCTCCTTTCCTTAAAAAAAAAAAAAATCACTATATACAATTCACCCATCTTAATCATAACCACCTCCATTCAAAAAGGTTACATATGCAGGCCAGGCACGGTGGCTCATGCGTGTAATCCCAATACTTTGGGAGGCTGAGGTGGGAGGATCACTGGGGGCCAAGAGTTCAAGACCAGCCTGGGCAACATAGCGACAGCCTGTCTCTATTAAAAATAAATTTAACAAAAACCAAAAGGCCAGATGCAGTGGCTCACACCTGTAATCCCAGCACTTTGGGAGGTTGAGGCAGGGGAATTGCTTGGGCACAAGAGTTAGAGACCAGCCTAGGCAATATGGCGAAAACCTGTCTCTACAAAAAATTAGCCAGGCGTGGGGGCATGCGCCTGTAGTCCCAGCTACCTGGAAGGCTGAAGTGGAAGGATCACTTGAGCCCAGGAGGTCAAGGCTGCAGTGAGCTGTGATCGTACCACTGCACTCCAGTCTGGGTGACAGAGTGAGACCCTTGTCTCAAAAAAAAAAAAAAAAAAAAAAAAAAAAAAGGGTTACATATGCATATGAAAAAAGGCAGAAAACCGTATTCCCTACTGCCTTCTTAGTTAAACAGTACCAAGGTAGTGTTTGTTGCCCAAACATATTAAATATGGCTTATGAAGTCAGCTTACACGCAGTCCAGATTTACATCCTTTTAAAATCATTTCTCTCACCTAAACCATAACAGCAGCAGATGGACAGAGGAAGAAATGGAATGTGGTCACATTCCATACTAATATTATGAAGTACTTTCACACTGCAATGAGTAAAGGACCATCTGCAACCTATAGCCTGTGTTTCTGCTGAGAAACTGATTCCGGACTTAAGGTTTCTAATTTGGAACAAAAGCACTGAGCAGGTTGCTCTTTGTAATTTTTTATCGAGAGGTGGAGAGCATACTAGGCCTACCTGGATTCCTGAAGAATTCAGCAACCTGAAGAGCACGGCGCACGGAGGAAAGTAGACTCTAGATCTTTAAGATCTGATTTCATACAAAATGAGAGGTCTAAAACTAGATGCCATAGGAGAGAAAAAGTAATACGTTTTCCTCACACATCTTAAGGTTCGTGACTGAGGTACCTATAATGAAAGACAGATTAACAGGAGAAAAACACATACATACTTTTTTTTTTTATTTATTTATTTTTAAGACAGTCTCAGCCTGTCACCCAGGCTGAAGTGCAGTGGTGTAGTCTCAGCTCACTGCAACCTCCGCCTCCCGGGTTCAAGCAATTCTCCTGCCTCAGCCTCGCGAGTAGCTGGTACTACAGGCGCGTGCCACCACGCCTGGCTAATTTTTATATTTTTAGTAGAGATGGGGTTTCGCCATGTTGGCCAGGCTGGTCTTGAACTCCTGACCTCAGGTGATCTGCCTGCCTCAGGCTCCCAAAGTGCCGGCATCACAGGCGTGAGCCACTGCGCCCGGCCACACACATTACTTTAAGCTTTACGTGACAACGTGGGAACCTTCCTAAATAAGACCCAAAGAAACAGGAACACCTATGTATTTTTTTTCTTTCTTTTCTTTTCTTTTCTTTTCCTTTTTTTTTTTTTTTTTTTCTGAGACAGGGTCTCACTTTGTCACCGAGGGTGGAGTGCATTGGCTTGATCTCAGCTCACTGCAACCTCCACCTCCCAGGTTCAAGAGATTCTCCTGCCTCAGCCTCCTGAGTAGCTGGGATTACAGGTGCACACCACCACACCCAGGGCTAATTTTTATATTTTCAATAGAGACAGGGTTTCACCATGTTGACCAGGCTGGTCTCCAATTCCTGACCTCAGGTGATCTGCCCACCTTGGCCTCCCTAAGTGCTGGGATTACAGGCGTGAGCCACCGTGCCCAGCTGGAACACCTATGTATTTTTATGCTTAGATTTGATGCAAGTCGACAGTCGTGTAGAAGTGTGATTGGATGAGGGGGCATGATCTAGCAGTAATAAACCGAGGGGAATTTGGCAAGGCCTGTTTGTTCAGGTTCTTCTTGGCATCTCTGTGTCTTCAAGGATAAGGATGTTCCTTTCCTTTAGGGATAGAGAGGGCACCTCTGGAATGAAAGTTTTTGACTGCTTTGGGGAGAAGGGTGGGGGAAAGGTGAGAGAAAGACCTTCCTGCTTCTGCTGTTTTCTCAAATGTACATTTTGGGTAGTGTGTCCTGAACCCCATCAATGAACAGGCTGCCTCTCGTTGTCTGTGAGTTGATTTGCCCCCTCTAGGACTCTCTCCTGGTGCCAAAAGACTAGCTTCCTGTTCTTTCCTTTTGGTCAGGCACTAGGGACACAAGAGCTATAAATAAGCTACCTTCCCAGTCCTCAATGTGGTCAGAGTGCTGGTGTAAGGACATCTGGTTACTGAAAACAGGGCCAACCTAATATGAACTCAGAACCAACCCCAAGTGGGTGTGCACAGGAAATGGGAGTTTAAATCTGTACAGCCCTTTTTTTTAAAAAAAAAAGCAATTTTAGTTTACATGTTAAAATAGGGATATATTAGCCAGACCATGTGGTGTCAGCCTGTGGTCCCAGCTACTCTGGAGGCTGTAGCAGGAGGATCCCTCGAGCCCAGGAGTTTGAGGCAGCAGCAAGCTGTCATGGTGCTTATAAATAGCCGCTACCCTCCAGTCTGGGCAACATAGCAAAACCCTATCCCTTTGCGGGGGGAAAAAAAGGCATTTTTTTTTAACCTAACATTTATTAACCACTTACGTTATATGATTTCAATACTCACCAACCCTTGAGTCAAGCACTATTCTTATCCCCATCTTTCACATGAGGAAACTGAGGCACAGTGAGGTTAAGAGACTGTCCCTGTCTCGTACACAGGCAGCCATCAGCACAGTGAGGACTTGAAGCAGGATGGCTTGCAGGAGGCTGTGAGAGTTGGAGCCTCATGGTCATTCCTTTGGAGCCTCAGTGAGCAGGTAATTTGGCCTGGCATTTCCACTTCCAGGATTTGTCCTAAGGGATCAGTCAGACAAAAGGACTCTAAGATGAATGTTCTGGGATATTTGTTGCAGCTAGGTTTATCATCTTTCGGGAATCAGGGCAACTGTCACATCCCCAAAGAAGCTGTCTTGCCACCTTGTCTCAGTCGCTACACCCCCATCACTCCTATCCCATTAGTTAATTCTGCTATCTTCATAGTTTCACAGTCTACAATTGTTTATTGGCTTACTTGTTTCTTAGCTGTTTTCCTGACTGGAATATAAGTTCCATGTAGGCAGGGAGCTGTTCTCTCCATTACCTAAAATGGTAGCTGACACATAAAGCATATTCAGTAAATATTTCTTGAATGAAATGAACATATTAATGGCAAACAGCTGGGGAAAAATTAATCTTTTTTTTTTTTTTTAAGACAGAGCCTTGCTCTGTCACCCAGGCTGGAGTGCAGTGGTATGATCTTGGCTCACTGCAACCTCTGCCTCCTGGATTCAAGCGATTCTCCTGCCTCAGCCTCCCACGTAGCTGAGATTACAGGCGTGCGCCACCACTTCTGGCTAATTTTTGTATATTTAGTAGAGATGGGGTTTCGCCCTCTTGGCCAGGCTGGTCTCGAACTCCTGACCTCAGGTGATCTGCCCACCTCGGCCTCCCAAAGTGCTGAGATTACAGGTGTGAGCCACCATGCCTGGCCAAAAAATTAAATCTTACTCCATAGGGAATTGGCCTATCCATGCAATAGAATACTTGGAAGTCATTACAAATGATTGTGCGGATCATGTCGAGCATAAACAGATACCCTGCCTGTGGCTGAGTAAAAAAGGCCGGTGACAGAATGCATGTGCAGTGTGGTTGCCGTACTGGCCGGGGCTGCTGGCAGCTAACCACAGAATTTCGTTTACTGAGTGTAAGCAGAAAACAAAACAGTTTATTACAGGCTATCGGGTAACTCACCGACCCTCGAGGGTGTAAGGAAGGGTTCTGCAGACAAATGCAAGATTGGGAGCCCAAGATGGGAGTTCTGCCTCACCTCAAGTGCTGCCTAGTTGTCTGGATTCCAGAGAAGTCTCCTAACCTCTCTGTTCTTCAGGCAGATGTGGATAATAAAATCTGTGCTGTCCACACTGCAGGACTGTTGTGAGGGCAAATGAGATCACAGGCATGAAAGCCCTTTGAAAAGTTAGAAGAGGACTGTGTATATATTGACATCATCGTTATCAGGTGATTTTGAACGTTGGAACACATGTATTTTGTCCCCAAGCCCCTGGTGTTGGCACACCATTGGGACACCATTGGTCCTCTCTGTTAGCTGCCTGCACATCACTCAGTGTTAAGATCCCCCTGGCAGTGGTCTGGATAAAAAGGCCGGTGATTCTGGCAGTCGTGTTTGCTAAGCTTGTCCTCAAATCATCTTCGGTGTCCTCTTGTGACTTCAGTCACTCTCCCTGTGGGGTGACCTGTGTCTCAGCTTCGGGCCTGCCCTTCTCTTGAGGCACACTAATCTTGCCATCTTCGAAAACAGGCTGTTCTCATCTCGGGTCTACACTGTGGCAGCCACAAAGCTCGGCTTTTTCCCTGAAAGTCTTCCCCATAGCCTGAGAGCTGACACCTAGCGCGTGGGCATTCAAAGTCACTGTCAACCAGGGCTTCATGCATGGTTCAAGCCATTGACTAGGTATCAAAGACCGGATTCAATGAGGTTTTAAATTTCCGTACAATTCCATTTTTTCCATCCTCTTTTTATGTTTTTTAAAAATCCTTCATTGCCTACCTACCATCAGAGGAAAACAGCGTTGTGATATGATGGGGGATTTTAACCAGGTACTAATATTGTGAAAGAGAACGTTAGTGGTCCTGAAACTAGGCATATGTTGTAAGGTGGGGTGATTTTCCCACTTCCTGTATGTCCAGAGGCCCTTCCTGGCAGAACTTCCAGCCCAGGAGACTTTCATCTTCATCTCGCATGAAGGATACAATTTCGTTTTGACGCACGGTTTAGAGAAGCCGTTGAACGTCCACACAATCTGTTATGCTAAATCACACCTGGTGTCTGCACAGAGAAGGCTCTGGCAAGAGTTTTTGCCACTGGGACCAAGGCCTCTGACTCAGAAGCCAAAACATGGCAGTGTTGCAGGGCGCCTGGCTCAACGGCACGGGAAATTAACCTGCTTGTTCTCACGTTAAATGCTTTATGAAAATTCACCGGGCGCAAAAAGAGGGAAGAAAACCCAAGTGGTTGTGCAGTGCGCCTGCCTGGCACCAGTGAAGGAATGAAGCTGCGGAAAAAGTCAATGTGAAGAGCTGGCAGGAGGAGAAGGTGGAAAGCGCGATGGAAATCAAATGCGGTGCCAGCCACGGCATTGTTTTATTAGCATTTGCTCGAGGAAAACATTTAATTATAGAAGATCGGAAGCTCCCAGTGTTTGTGAGCTAGGTGACATGACGCAGGCTCTGCCACTTGCTCCACGATACACATCTTCAGAGGAACTGTGGCACACCGCGACAGGCTGCGAAGAGAAGCCACCTCCCGGGGGCCTGGTCCTTGCTGGGGGGCCCTTAGCTGTAACAGCCTCTGTTCTCCAGCGATCCTCAGTCTGCCTTTTTTAAAAAATTAAGTGTCCTGCTGGCCGTCCTTCTTCTCCTTCGTTTTCTGGTTTTTCCACATTATATTTTTCTTTTCCTTGTTGATTTTTGAAGAAAATAAAATTGACAAAGAATAGGATGGAAAAGTACTACCCTTAAAAATGCTTATATATTTGCCACCTAAAAAAAAAACAAAGCCATTTTTCAGTTATAGTTTTCTTTGGGAAATAATTAGGAAGCAAAACAACCAAGAATAAAAAAAAATAAATGGGGGAGCATGAGGCTGTAGTGAACTCTGTTTGTGCCTGTGAATAGCCACTGCACTCCAGCCTGGGCCAGCAGAGCAAGACCCTGTCTCTACAAAATACATAAGTAAAATAAATGATCTAAAGGACTCAGTATATATTTAAGCAACAGAAATGAAAACATGCAAAGGTGGAACCAACATTACGAATGTTGATGGATATTACCAATATTACCAAATATTGTGTGGAGATTTTTTTTTTTTTTTTTTTTTTTGAGACGGGGTCTTACTCTGTCACCCAGGCTGGAGTGCAGTGTCATGATCTCAGCTCACTGCAAGCTCCGCCTGTGTGGAGATATTTTTTATTCCTTTTTGTTTTAAAGCCCTGTCTACTTTAAAAATAGTTTGTGAAAATAATGATGCAGTATCACGTACCTGCAGGAAGTATTTCTTTGTGTTCCATTCCTGCCATCACATAGCTGATTGTATTACCTGATTTCTTCATTCGTGTCTGCCAGGAAGACTAATTAATGTGCTGCTGAATATAAAGAATCCTTGTTTGGGATGCTGCCCTGCCACACAAGGCAGTGCTTCCTCCAGAAGACAAGAAGTCAAGGACTGGCTTCTGCCGCTGGCTGAAATTAGCATTGGCTCAGTTTGTTTAGTTGCAAGGCTATGTGTGTCTTGTCATTAGACATTTATACTTCTGTGGATAAACTTTATAATCTACTTATGGAGACAAGATTCTTTATGTCAGCACCTTAGAGAAGTGTTGTAGAAGCAGTTGGCATGCAGACAGGAGTCTCCTACAGCAACGTGGGCACAGCTGAGTCGGTCTTAACCCACCTTAGGGCATCCTCATACCTGCCCAACTCATACCTGCAGAAATTGATGATGGGCAGGGAAATAAGTGTTTTCCTCCACAGAAATGAAAAAAAGTTTGCTTTTTTTTAACAAATTGGTTTTTGATATCTGTGTGAAGGGGACAATTTGGATCGGCTTCCAGTAATGTGTATCAGGTCAGCTGGAGAACTAGAGGGAGTCACTGGCTGAAAGATGTTGTGAACATCACTCTAAACTGCTCAGGCCAGGGACAGGTGACACGTCTGTTATCTGATGTGTATCTGGAACCATGGTAAGGCTGCCCCATTAAATTATGAGCCAATCACTCTTGATTTACCGTTAAAAAGAGTGAAAGGCTGGCGGACCCTGCCCTGCACAGGTAATTCATGGCACCTTTGGAAAAAGGCACGTTTTCATCCTCATAATGAAGAAAGCTAGGTACGAGGTCCTTTGATGACACTGTTCCCTTTTGCTTGTTTACTTTTATTCTCCCACGCAGACTGAGACCCAGCAGGAGGCTTTTAAACCAAAACAGTTAATTACCTCCTCTAACCCGGAGAAGTGGGGAAACATAAATATAGCGAGTTAAGAGGGAGAGAGCAGCTTTGCTCCTGACTGTACTTTGTACCAGTCGGTTGGGGAAGGCAGCTACCTTCTCTTTCCTCACTGAGCCCGGGCTAAGCGAGACCAATTAGAAGGCACGTGCCAGGGAGTGGGTCCACATGCTACCATACTGTTGGGCTTCCAGAATTCTTTCAGTGCTCTGGAGAGGAGCCCACCTGAGAAACCCACGTACAGATACCCATTCCAAAGACAACATTGAGTAGCTTTGGGGCTCTGGACCCTCCTTCGAAGGAAGGAACTCTTGGGCAGGTGGAGTGAGCAGGGACCCCCAACTTGAGGATGGATCCTCCCGAAGGCAGGCAGGGCTGCAGGGCAGCTTCTCAGAGATACTTCTCAACTGAGCTGTGAGTCATGACCTGTCACCACCATGGTCCTTTCTCCCCAATGGAACGGAGCGTCATTCCTTGTGTCTCCAAGCCCTGGGCTGCCCCTGCCCTTCAGGGCTCTCCATTGTCTGCCTGTCTGTCTGTCTGCCTGTCTGTCTGTCTCCTGGTTCAAGCTCCCTCCCTCCATAGCCTCATATGTACAAATCATCACCTTGCTGTGTTCCCTCACTGTTCCTGCCGCTGCCCTGCTGCTGTCCTTTGCCCATTTCTGGCTCTCTCACCTCCTCTGCACTTACTGAAATCCTGTTCAGTCTTCAGAGGCCACCCGAGTCCCAGACTCCCCTCCTCCAACCCCCTTCTCAGCTTGAGGTGCCGTCCCCTGCTTCTAAGTCCCAAGGGCCCCAGGATCTGTTCCACTGACTCCAACTGTTACTTCACTTCTCATTATATGGGGCTTTCATCGCCACAACTGGATGATAAATTCCCAGACTTCAACAGGGAGTGATTTATGGATCTTTTCCCTATGTCCCACACCTGTCCCCAGCACCTGGTGCAGTGGATTGCATTTAATTAATCCCTCTGGATAAAAAGTTTTAAATGTACCAGACCAGCATCATCAGGCAGAATCTGGGCATGGTATTCAGGAAGTTTTCTCTTGGGAATCACAAACATTCTTTAAAAAAGGGCACATCCCCTGTTACCTAAATGCCTTCAAGTATCTGGATGTTTGGCCATAAGTACATAAAACAACCAGATGAGTGATTGTGTTTTTCAGTTTTCCTCTGGATCCTTCTGCCACCTATTCCCTGGGACCCCTCGGAGACAGTGGGCACCACTCCCCATTCCTCTGCCCACAGATTGTCCCGGCTCCCTGTGCCCCTTGCTGCCCTGCTAGAAACCAGAAATTCTAACTTTGCCCCTCTGAGGCTGTGAAAACACAGAGTAAAAGTGGGAAGAGCCATGAGCTAGCAGATTCCACAACCACAGACAAATCTGAGCATGGCGGTGGTTAATAGTATTGGGAAAGATGGCTGAGTACCGTGGCTCACGCCGAAAATCCCAGCACTTTGGGAGACCGAGGCAGGCAGATCACCTGAGGCTTGGAGTTTGAGACCAGCCTGGCCAACGTGGTGAAACCCCATGTCTACTAAAAATACAAAAATTAGCTGGGCGTGGTGGCAGTCACATGTAATCCCAGCTACTTGGGAGGCTGAGGCTGGAGAATCGCTTGAACCCAGGAGGTGGAGGCTGCAGTGAGCCGAGATCGTGCCATTACACTCCAGCCTAAGAGACACGTGAGACTCCATCTCAAAAAAAGAAAAAAGAAAAAAAAAACACTATTGAGAAAGACAGTGTAAGCTTGTGGTACGTAAATACTCTGTCTTTTTTAAAAGTTGTGTGTAGCCGAGTGTGGTGGTGCATGTCTGTAGTCCCAGTTAGTCGGGAGGCCGTGGTGGGAGGATTGCTTGAGCCCAGGAGTTTAAGACCAGCCTGGGCAACATAGTGAGACACTGTATCTACAAAAAATACAAATAATTATCTGGGTATGGTGGTGCATGCCTGTAGTCACAGCTACTCAGGAGGCCAAGGCGAGCGGATTGCTGGGGCCTAGGAGTTCGAGGCAGCAGTGAGCCATGATCCTGCCACTGCACTCCAGCCTGGCTGACACAGCAAGACCCTGTCTCTTAAAAAAAGTCTGTGCAAAGTGTACGTCAAAGCCACACTACTGAATCATAAAACATCGGCAGTGCCCGCCCACCAAGGGCATCTTCTCAGCACCAGCTCCACATTGTCCTATGAGTTTGAGTCAGAGGTGCCTCAGAGGCCCATAAGGATGCCTGTCAAGGTCTTCGCAGAAATACCAAAGGCCTGGCACATATAGTTAAGGAAAATCCACCAGGAGGAGATGGAAAAAGGGCAAGGTAAAGAGGAGGAAGAGAGGGGAAGGTGACGGATAGGGCTATGGCAGCAGAGAGCCAGCACCAGCCAGTTGCCAGTCAGGGCCAGGGCAAGGCAGCCAAGGAGGCAGACAGAAGTAAGCCCCTTCTTTCCACTGGAGTTTTCTCTTTCCTGGGAATTTCATTGTATTTTGTTGAAAAATAAGGTGTGAAAATACAAAACAAAAATATCACGATCCCCCCAATCCACACCATATACAAATATATATACTCAAAATGTATTAAAGACCTAAATGTTATAGCTAAAACTATTAAACTCCTAGAGAAAGACATAGGTATATATCTCATGACCTTCGATTAGGCAGTCAGTGGTCTCAAGATGATAGCAAAAGTGCAATCAACAGAAGAAAAATAGATAATTGGACTTTAGTAAAATTGTAACTTCTGTGCTTCATAGGACACCATCAAGAAAATGAAAAGATAGCTTCAGAATGGAAGAAAATATTTTCAAGTCATCTATCTGGTAAGGATTTGATATCCAGAATATCTAAAGAACTGTTATTTTGTTGTTGTTATAACTCAACAACAAAAAGACAAACAGGCCTGTTTAAAAGTGGGCAAGGGACTTGAATAGACATTATCCAAAGAAGATAAACAGATGGCCAATAAGCACACACAGAGATGCTCAGCATCATTAGCCATTGGAGAAATGCAAAACAAAACCCATTGAGCATGCACATCACACCACTAGGATGGCTGTGACCAAAAACAAACCCTGTATCAATAAAATAGAAAATAGCAAGTGTTGGTGAGGATGTGGAGAAATATGAATCCTGGTGCATTGCCGATGGGAAGGCAAAATGGTACAGCCGCTGTGGAAAACAGTTTGGCAGTTCCTCAAAAAGCTAAACGCAGAATTACTATATGATCCAGCAATTCTACTCCTAGGTATATACCCAAAAGAATTGAAAAGAGGGACTCAAAGAGAAACCCATATGCCAATGTTCATAGCAGCATTATTCACAATAACCAATTGTGAAACAATCCAAATGTCTACCAACAAATGAATGGATAAACAAAATGTGGAATAGACATAAAATGGAATATTATTCAGCCATAAAAAGGAATGAAGTTTGGATACATGCTGTGACATGAATGAACCTTAAAACATTATTATGCTTAGCGAAATAACCAGAACCAAAGAACAAGTATTATTTCACTCATAGGAAATATATAGAATAGACAAATTCATGGGTACAGAAAGTAAATTAGAGGTTACCAGGAGCTAGGGGCAGGGGAAAATAGGGAGTTGATGCTTAATGGTTATGGAGTTTCTGTTTGAGGTGATTAGAAGTTTTGGAAATAGGCCAGGTGTGGTGGCTCATGCCTATAATCCCAGCACTTTGGGAGGCTGAGTGGGTCACCTGAGGTCAGGAGTTTGAGACCAGCCTGGCCAACATGGCGAAACCCTGCCTCTACTAAAAATACAAAATTAGCTGGGTGTGGTGGTGGATGCCTGTAATCCCAGCTACTCGGGAGGCTGAGGCAGGAGAATCACTTGAGTACGGGAGGCGGAGGTTGCAGTGAGCCGAGATCATGCCATTGCACTCCAGCCTGGGCAACAAGAGTGAAAGTCCACCTCAAAAAAAAAAAAAAAAAAAAAAAGGTTTGGAAATAGTGGTGATGGTTGACAATGTTGCATAAGTAATTGGTGCCACATTGTACATTTAAAGAAGATTTAAAAGGAAAACTTTGTTTTATATATATATTGCCCCCATTTTTTAACGGGCTAAGGATGTAAATAGACAGTTCACCAAAGTAGATATAAAAATGGCCAATAAGCACATGAAAGGATTCTCAACATCATTAGTCATGAGAGAAACACAAATCAAAACTACAATGAGAGACCACTTGGTGATACCCACGAGGATGACTAGAATAAGAAAGACATGTGGTAGTAAGTTTCGGCGAGCATGTGGAGCAGTTGGAAAGGAACCCTCAACACACAGCTGGCAGGAGCAGAAACTGGCTTAGCCACTTTGGAAAACAGCGGACAGTTTCTTAAAAGGTCAGACATACAGTTACCATATGACCCAGGAATTCTACTTTCTCTTAAGTATATGCCCAAGAGAAATGAAAACCTATGTCCATATAAAAACCTGTATTGAATGTCCACGGCAGCATTTCTCATAATAGCCACAAAGTGGAAACCAGCCAGGTGTCCATTAACTAACAATGGACAAAATGTGACCTATCCATACAATAGAATATAATTTGGCAATAAAAAAGAATAAGTATGGATAGGTGCTACAACATGAATGAATCTTGAAACATACTAAGTGAAAGAAGGCAGTCAGAGAAGACTACCTATTGCATGGTTCCATTTATACATTCCAGAATAAGCAAATCTATAGAGGCAGAAGGTAGAATAGTGGTTGCCTAGGTCTGGAGGGTTGGGGAAACGGGAGTGACTTGCTAAGAAGTATGAGGTTTCTTTTCGGGGTGATACATACCTTCTTTTTTTGTTGTTTTTGAGACAGTCTTGCTTTGTCATCCAGCCTAGAATGCAGTGGTGCAATCACAGCTTACTGTAGCCTCAAACTCCTGGGCTCAAGTGATCCTCCCACTGCAGCCTCCCAAGCAGCTGAGACTACAGCTGTGTGCCACCACGCCTGGCTTATGTTCTAAAATTGATTGTGGTAATGGCTGTACAACTCTATGAATACACTAACAGCCACTGAATTGTACACTTAGGTAAACTGTATGTCATGTGAACTTTATCTCATTAAAGCTGTTATCAAAATCACAAACCTAAAAATAATTTTCACCAAAATGATTTCCCACAAATAACAACTAAAGCGATGTTTCAGTCATTAACTAGAATAGTTTTTAACTTTTTATTGTGGAAATATTCAAATATATACAAATGTAAAGAGAGTAGTATAAAGAACTCCCATATACTCATCAATCAGCTCCAAAAATTGTCAGTGTTTTAGGGTGCTTTCCCCCCTACACTTTATTAAAAAAATTTCAAGCATCAGAAAAGTTGGAAGATTGTACAGTAGAAACCAATATACTATACACACCTCCTATATTCTCCCATTAATGTTTACTCTGCCTGACTTAATCTGTATCTGACCATCCATTCGTCCCTCTCTCCATCCATCGATTTGCTTTGTATTAATATATCCATTTCAAAGTAAATTGCAGACAGCAGTACACTTCCCCTTAGGTACTCCTGCATGCATATGAATGACTAGAGTTCAATATTTGTTTACAGTTCTCTTTGTGTTTTTGAGGTGAAATTTATATACAATGAAATGCACAAATTTAAAGTATATGTTCTATGAATTCTGACAAATGTATAGGTTTGCATGACTCAAAGCCATTGTTCTAACATCTTTAAAAAATATTTTTAATTGGTTGGAGACCTTCAAAACAAATTCTTTTCATAGGTTTATTGTGTTTTAGTGTTGGAGTTTTTTGGTAAGGTTTTCTCTTTTTCAATTATATCTCTGAAGGGCAGAAATACCAATTATATATTATAAGCTACCCATCTATACACATCCTCAGCCTTCTTAGTCTTTTGAATGAAAGCCAATTTAGCATTTCACTATAAACCTGTGTTTTAATGTATGTTTCATGATTAACATATCAAAAACTTTGCTCTGCCAAAATCTACATTTTCAGAGTAAACAGGGTGCCTGGCATGTAACGCTTTGTAAGATGAATCAGCACATACAATTTTAAGCCAGTTAACCTACAGTATGCTCAATATTGTTATAGGTTTTCTTTTTTTCAAAAACAGGCAAACTAAGTTTTCTTTTTCATGTGGAAAAAATAACAGGATAGAAAACTCAACACTCACCTTGCCTGTTGAAACATACTACCAGGTTGTAATAATCTGAGAATTCATTTGCCTTTTTTTTTCAGTGCAGTCACTACAACAGTCTCTGATCATTATTACAGTAAATTTTTACACATTTATGAGAAAAATCCAATATAATTGACTGGTGAGGATGGTCTATGTCCTAAGCAATGCTGTTTTTAAATACAAATTGATAAAAAGTTATATGAAAAAGGCCGTCCTTAAATAGAATAAATTCGTTCCGTTTTTTATTTTAAACCAAACTTGATCTTGACATTTTCAATAAGATTTTCATAGAGATGCTCCTGGGGCCTTCTGCTAAAAATTTGGACCACTTCATGCCCGTGACATGACATCATTTTACACATTAGATGAAATGAAAATCAGATGAGATGGACACATTCAGAAGGGATAGAATTTACTGTCGTTTTTGAATACGTGGCATGGCAATTGCCTTTTGCAGGATGAAAATATTCATTGTACTTTTCTTTCATCACAAATGTTGTGGATCTCCCTGGAGTCTAGAAAGTCTTTCCTATTTCTTAATTACCAAATCTTGGGTCGCACATAGCTTTCTCGTTGTTCCTGTTGCACCCAGGGCTGTCTCTGCCATTTCCTCTGAAAACAACTATACATTAACATTCAAGGTTTGAGTCGGGGGCTGGGAGGCGAAGGGAAAGGTGATAATTCAGATGTTATGAAACTGTGATAATGCTATTATTTAAGGCACTTACTTGGGTATGTTTATACTTTGTAGTTTTATAAATAAGCCCAAGGGGCTCCTCTTGGTTGTCACAATCCCCCTTGAATCTCGTATCCTGTCTGTCTCATCCTATCCGACAGTAGAATTGATGCCGCTCTAATCCCTGGAAGTTTGGAACTAATGAACTGACTGCTGAGCTGCCGCCACGGAGCTTGGTCCCAAACTATACTGTACTTCACACTCGATTTATTCTCCAGATGGCGAGACTGTGCCGCCCTGCCGCGAGGGACCACCTCTTCCACTGGAGTGTAAAAGTGGACGGATGTTGTTTTCTTTGCAGATTTGATCATTCTGAGCTAGAAACTTGCGAGGATGATTAGTTATTAGCTTTAATGGGTGCCAATTGAACCAACTGCACGCATATTTTCTCCTTTAATTTCAGAGTCTGCAGGTTTTGGTGATGGTTGATTTCTCCGCTTTCTTACGTCACCAGAGCGTGTCTCTTCCCCAGGTGATAGGAATCCAGTCTCTGAAATCATAGCACGCCTTGGTTCCTGGCCCAGACAGAGTCACCTAATACGGTGGCTTATGGATAAGGACAAGTTTATTAGCCACTGGTCCACTGCACTGAGCAGCATGGCACGAAATATCGATTGAATGCGGCAACTTTGGGAACACCATTTTTTAGAATGGGGGCCTGCAAAGATTGTAATCTGTGCCAACTTCCTCTATGACCTGGGCAGAGTCCACCTCTGGATCAAACATGATCCAGAACACGCTATGGTAATTAGTCTCTTCGAAGTTCTAATGTAACTGTTGATAAAGGCCTTAATTCCATTATTCAGTCATTTCCAGCTTGTCAGATCTTGGGGGACAAGTTCATTCCACAGTGAGAATGGCTCACCAAGGCTGTCCTGTAGTGTTAACACATTTAGAATGCAGTCCCTCTCAAACCTCATTTTAAACAACCTGTATTACTCCTAGGATATAAAAGCCCCCATAAAAGCTCTTTTTGGGGTGACCGCTTTTACCTTAATTTCCTTTTTCTCCTTCCTCCAGGAAGCACTTACCTCCCAATAGTCGTAGCAGGTCACCCTGAGAGCCCTTCTGAGAGCTGGGGTCAGCCAGGCAGCCTCTTGCTAATCCACCTAAGATGGATATTGGAGGGATGGTCAGAGCCAACCAGGAGCCAAAGAAAGAGAGAAAGAAAAAGAAGGAAAGTGTGAAGCGTGAAGGATGAGGTGGTGGAGATGAGAGAGCTGAGAGCGCTGTTAGCAAGAAGTACAGTGTGTGTGGCAGAGAGAGGGAAAAAGAGAATAAAATGAACAGAATTTCTTTCTTTTCACAACTGGGTGGACTGTGACTCTCTCGAACTGAACACCCAGAACTAAACTTAATTGTTCTTAGAAACTGCCTTCCTCCCAACCCAACAGATGGCATGGGCGTGTTTGCTAGCACAGTCAAATACTTCACCCTGAAAATACCAAAAAGAAAAAAAAAAATTCAACATGCTCGCTGGTTGGGGTAAATTCACTGAAGTTGTTGAGTGTTTTGGGATATATACCAGAGGGATGCACACTTGGTTTATGTAAATTGTAACAAGCAACAGCCGGTTAATAAGGGTGTCGTATGGCAACTTACCTCAAAAGCCATCCTCTGTTTTTGGAAATGTACAGAATGATGAAGTGTAAAGAGCTTGGTTTCCATTCTGAGCCAAAATTTTTTAAATGCTGAGTATTCACTGCTCATTATTATAATATGAAAAGTACTAATCAGATTATGCCTAAAATTGGAAGTAGGTACTTCATTTGCAGCCAATTTCACAAGGGCCGAATTTTGCTAAGTAAACTGGAATGTGCTGAAACCATGGCAATCCGACTTTAGATAAAAATCAAACAGGTTTAGAACATGAGCTTTGAACAAACAAGTCCCTTCAAATCCAAGTGAAACCAAACAGCTTCAAGATCAGATTTTGTTTGACACCAGCCAACATTAACAATTTAGGAAGTTGATGTTGCCAGGGATCCTGCGTTCTTGAGCACACATGCAGATTAGAGGATGGAGATGATGACTCAAATAATTTAAGCTTTAAAATGCAGTATGGCCTAAAAAACTGAGTGAGTTCCCTTCAATTTTCCATTCATACTGTCCCAGTAGACTCTTTGCAAGGCTGACTTAGCTATTAAAAGGGAACCTGGAAGTCACATTGACAAACTCCAGCAATCTTATCTCGTTTTTTTGTAGCTGCATAGGCTACACAGAGAAGAACATGCTTTAGGTTCTCCACAGCCATGGATCTAAATGTGCCTTCCAAAAAGCTGAAAGTATTTCAGTTTTTTGGTTTGTTTGTTTTCGCTTTTGAGATGGAGTCTCGCTCTGTGTCCTATGCTGGAGTGCAGAGGTACAGTCTCGGCTCACTGCAACCTCTACCTCCTGGGTTCAAACGATTCTCCTGCCTCAGCCTCCCGAGTAGCTGGAACTACAGGTATGTGCCACTACACCCGGCTAATTTTTGCATTTTTAGTAGAGATGGGGTTTCACCATGTTGGCCAGGCTGGTCTTGAACTCTTGACCTCAGGTGATCCACCCCCTCAGCCTCTCAAAGGGCTGGGATTACAGGTGTGAGGCACCATGCCCAGCCAGAGCTCAAGTATTTCTCCCAGCAGCTCTAGACAGCTTTAGAGCCAAGATACTGAGCCAACTTCTGCTCTTCACCTTTAAGATTTTCGTATTTAGGGCCGGGCACCGTGGCTCACACCTGTAATCCCAGCACTTTGGGAGGCTGAGGCGGGTGGATCACCTGAGATCAGGAGTTCAAGGTCAGCCTGGCCAACACAGTGAAACCCTGTCTCTACTAAAAATACAAAAATTAGCTGGGTGTGGTGGCGGGTGCCTGTAGTCCTAGCTACTCAGGGGGCTGAGGCAGGAGAATCACTTGAACTCAGGAGGCAGAGATTGCAGTGAGCCGAGATTGCGCCACTGCACTCCAGCCTGGGTGACAGAGTGAGACTGTGTCTCAAAAAAAAGAGAAGATTTTCGTATTTAATGGCTGTAATAAAGAATGCATGGTAGAGCAAGTGGGCGAGTTTTATATCTATGGAATAAAACAAAGGTATGATGTGGAACCAAGCCATTGCTGGCTGCATCATCTCTGACTTTAGCTAGTCTGAGCTCTCTCTTGCTTTTGTCTAAGTTGGCCTAATTATTGGCAGATGAAGCTCTGTAAATCAGGACTTCACAGAGCAGTCCTAAACTGTCTTAGGTACTCTTCCCATCTGACCCGACAACTCTAAGCTACCGTTTCCTCACATTGTTTAACTCAGACCACATTTGGAAGCATTCCTTGCTTCTCCCCGCTCATAGACCCACATCTGTCTGGTTTAAATCTGCTGTCCTGGGTTGTCTTGTTGCTGGGACTTAGACTCAATATTTGGCTTAAATAATTCTTTTTTGTCTCTGCTTTGGTTTGCTATTTTCCTAGATCAGTATTGCTTTTCAAATGGTTATATATTATTGAGACCTTTTTTGTAAACTACATTCATCAGCAGTGAGAAGCTTTAAAGTTTTATTAGTATCATAAAAACCCTTCCCAAATGAAACTACTTTTGATAAGTGTTCATTCTGACAATGAGAATTTGTTGAGGGCTGTTGGCAAGTTGGAGGAGTTGGCTTTTGAAACTGAAATTGGCAGGAAGTAATGACCCCCAGTGCTTTCTTTCTCTTGACTCCAGCCTCACCCTTTCCATGCACTTCTTTCTCTCCCCAACCCCACCTTCATTGCCCCCAAGCCAAAGCCAAGAAATAACATACTTGGTTTCATATAGTTTTTCTGGGGACAATTCAAATACTGAAGCAGACTTTCAGCCTTTCAGCTTTTCTGAACTGTGGAGCAAAGCCTGTCAAGTCAAAGAAAAAAAAAGTATTTGTCAAGCACTTCATGAAGGGATTCCTTGCCTTCCACCTGAAGAAGTGGGAGCTTTTCTTGTAGTACACATTGTCAGATTCCTGTGAGCATCTTCTTAATTGAATGTCAAGATTCAACTCAGTTGCAAAAAAATAGTGAGTAAAAAAAGCATGATGCCTGTGGAAAAAGAAAAATCCTTATTTTTTCCCTAATGTGAAGAAGCTGACAGACGAGATGGCCACAATCTAGATGTTAGCCAATTTCTTATGTTTATTAAATGAGAAAGTGCAGGGAAAGAACATAGAACCATGCTTAGCACTTAATGCTCAATCAGTGAAAACTTACCCATTAACTATTTTCCCCTTCCCATTGGGAAGTAATGCTAATGAGAAAGACGACACTTCCATACAGAAGCACACCCATGTGCACTGCGGTGCGTCTCGGCTATGTTATAGCTATCGCGAATGAAACCTAAAAATCAACTGCTCACCTTTCAGACTGGATGACTCCTTTCAAATATTATTTATTTGGTGGACAGGAAATGTGTAGATAGAATAATGGTGCTCAGACTCTGAATCCACATAACAGTTTCATCAACCATTTGATGGTGCTCCCCTCAATGATAAAAATAAACAATAAACTTTTTATTGACACTTACAGAATGAAGCTCGACTGAGAATTGTAAAAACTCTTGAAGACATTGATCTGGGCCCTACTGAAAAATGTGTGAGAGTCAACTCAGTTTCCAGTGGTCTGGCGGAAGAAGACCTAGAGACCCTTTTGCAATCCCGGGTCCTTCCTTCCAGCCTGATGCTACCAAAGGTGGAAAGTCCTGAAGAAATCCAGTGGGTGAGTAGCTAATGCTTTGCCTTAAGACTCAGGAGCAGCTAAGGAGGAGTAGCAGGAAGAAGGGATCTGGGTGCCACAGGTTTGGAAAATGCATGCAGAGAGCAGAGAGGAAGGGAATTGAGAAAAAGCAGTAAGCTCAAGTATCCGTTTCTTTTACACAAGGAAAACTCGCCTTTGCCCAAAGTGTTCTATGAAACAACTGCACTTTTGAAATGATGCTTCGCTTCCTAATTGGATGTGTGGTTTGGCCAGAACAGCCTCCTCAGTAGCCCTCCCAGAGTAATCCCTGGAAACTAGGTTGCCCGAGAATCTCATCCCTTCCTCCACCCTGCCCGGCCCTAAGCCAAGGCCTCCACCTGGAAGAGCAGTGACGTAAATGGCCCTTACTGAGATTCATCTGAAATCATCCCAGGCAGGGAGGGCACATTTGCCGCATATGAAAAAATGAACCCAAAGAAGGGGAGGAAAAGGTCACTCTTTAGGGCAACTGGAGGAATGAACAGGAAGCTTTTAACTAGTGGTTTCAATTAGCACTGATATTATTTCCTGAACAGTTCTCTAGTGCATCCTTTTTAAATTGCTGACAGGTGTGTTTGTGTTTCATGACAGACTTTTCAGCCAATAAAAACCTGAAATGTAAAGTGGTTGGCATGTCAAATTACTTAAGAAAACTTTTGAAATAGGCCTAATTACACTATGATTGTTTTAATTGACAAAGGGTGGAGGGGCTAGATTTTATTTGAGGGTCGCTATTATTCTGCAGATCTCTACTGAATAAAATAACATTTCACTGTGTTGTTCTGGGACAGAAAATGTGTCATTCTGGGCCCTGTGAGGTGTGAAAACTGGAAGCGTTTGTGGTCGGGGCGAGTGGGCAGTGGTGGTTTCATGGAAGCCACATCTAGTATTATCTCTGAGGCTGTGGCTGCCACCACAGCAATACCCTGAGTTGTTGTAACACCTACGAAACTGCTCACCTGCTGAATGCACCCGATGTGTGAGGTCTGCGTTGCCCAGTGCCACGGCCACTATGACATGTGGCTTCTGAGCATTGAAACGTGGCCAGCACAAATGGAGATGTGCTGGAAGTGCAAAATACACACTCGATTTTGAAGACTCGGGACTCACTGAGGGGACAAAAAGAGAATGTAAACTATCTCGATAATTTTTATATTGATTACACATTGAAATAATATTTGGGATCTATTGGGCTAAATACAAGATACTATTAAAATTAAATTCACCTGTTTCAGTTTACCCTCAATGTAGCTACGAGATAATTTAAAATTATTATATGTAGCTGCTGCTATACAGTTTCTTTTGGACAGCTCTGTGTTGGATCCTTCTTGAAGACCCGTATTCAAGGACCAGTTATTTATTGACTAAGCTGGAGTTCTTCTCTCCAGGGTTACCCTCAGAAGCTGGGAGATACTAGTTAAGAGTATGTTAATATCCTGGAGGGTCCTGAGCCCATTCAGATATGTCTTAAGTTGATTGAAATGGACTCTGAAGTCACTGTTCCCTTTTGGTTTCATAGTTAATGCCTATTTATCACCGTTATTACCTTTAACTTAAGATGGGGGAGGGGGAGACCCAGCCAGCCTTCCGCTATGGCTTCTGTTCACTGTTTTAAATCCTTGGAAGTGAGACACATACAGAAATTTAAATAGAACTTCTAGTTAACAGAAGTCCTTTTGGCTGTTTATTTTTTCCTCTCCGTTTGTATTTATGCGAAGCATAAAACCCAGAGCCTGATGCACAACTGAAAGATGGGCTTACTTGTTTTCTTTTGTGTGAGAATCTCTTGCTCGCCTTTTGTCGCTAGTGTGGGTTCTTGTTTGACTGGCACGGCTTATTGGACTATAACAAGCGTAACCCTGCCTCCTTTGTCATGGGACAATTCTCCCACAAATCCCGAACAGTGTGCATTCTTCCAACACACTATTGGGTGTGCACTGGAATTGAAAGAATCGCTGAGCCCTGCTACTTCATCTCCTCCCCAATCTCTTTGTGATTTCTCCCCCTTCTTCTCCTCCCCCTACCCCAGTCCCCTCCACCTCGCTGAAATGAACACTTTACCAGGCCGGAAACATTTAATCGTCTCCTTTTGAAAAAATTAATTGAAACTTCTCCACTAGTTACCTTTTGTGTTAGTACTTAGTGCAATTTTTTAAGAAAGAGGGGGAGGAGGAGGAGGAGGAGGATGGGCTAGAATATTTAATTTTTAAATGCCCCTATTGGCTTAAAAACAAAAGGCATTGGGGTGTTCTCACTAAGAACAGGGAATATATTGTAAAGTGTTGACTTGGTTTTAAAGTCCATGATTTTTGTAGTTATAACTGTCATCACAAAGAATGGGGCAAGTCACTTCACAAGTTTTCTTTTTTAATGAGAAAAAATATCCCTACTACATTTTTAACACCAAAACCACTAATACTGTGCTACCACTTTCTAGCATAAATGAGAAATAAATTATATTTTATTTTCATCTACATCAAATACTATACATTTTATCCCCTTAAATTGTCACCCCCTGCTCCTTCTTGCTATTTTGGTTGAGTTATTCCTTCCCTTGAAAAGTTACTAAGGAGGTGATGATGATGCCCTTTGAAGGGGGGGCAGTGGGAGCAACTGGGAATAATTCTTCATTACTGAAAGCTGTGATTTATTTTAGCCTAATTGTAAAGTTACTGCAAATTGCTCAAAAGCTTTTTAAAGATCCCAGTGATTAGATTTTTTAGGGGGGTGGTGCACCGGCAAGGAGGGGGCAGCTAGAAGGGGAAATAACACCTCTAATCCCGCTTCTGGTAAATAGGCTGCCAGCTTTTCAAATGAGTTTCCTTTCTATTAGTCAGAATATTATGCTAAGCCTTAAGCATTAGTTTTTTTATGTTGCCATAGCAGCCTTATTCCTGCAGGGTGGTGACCTGTGATGATTACAGTACAAAGCTTATAGGGTCTTGAAACCCCCTTTGAAGATGAAAAGTCTTTGATGGTTTATATTTATGCAAATCTCTTAGATATGATTTACCCAACTGAGACTGAATGGAGAGATGATTAAAATTCCCTTTTCCTTTGATATCTATTAATGGCTGAATATTCCTTAAATTTAAAATGGATATATATGTTTTCATCTTTATTTACAAAAATACCTTTATCATACCTGTGTTTCTTCTCTATCTATCTCCCCACATCTTATTAGATCTAGATAGACATAATAGATTTACAATTTAGAGTGTGTTTTTTTCCCCCTTTTGAAGAGGGGGAGGAATCTGGGCAAGAGCTTTTGTATGTTTCCAGATGATAGATTTTGGAATTTGGGCTACCCCACTGGCAGCACAGAGCTAGCTGTGAACTGGTCTCATGGAAAAAATTGGCGAGCTTTGGTCTTCAAAGAATTAAACTTCCTTTTTAAGGTCTTCCTAGGTAAGCTAAAAAATTATGAAGAAAAACCTTCTGAACAAAGGGTAATGGTGCTATAATGAATAATATGGACTCCACGTAGAAGGCTGCTGAACAGTTGCACTGATGTCAGTGCTGGGCACGAAACAAAAACAGAATGGCAGGTAGAGGAAGAGTTCATTGTTTTAAGGGCCTACCATTTGCATTTAACGAAGCGAGGGCAAGAGGTCTTAAGTAAATGCGTTTTCAGGGAAAGCGTTTATACTCTCTCCTTCCAGTTCTAACTCCTAGGCCTCAAGTTGCTCCTTTGGGAGAAAAAAATTGTAATGCTTAGGATTTTACTATTTAGTTTGGTGGGAACTTCATTACCTTTTTCTTTGGACTTTCTTCTTATTTTTTTAAAAAAATTCTTTTGTGTGGACGAAAGAGGCTTGGATATTACTTCCTCAGGTCAAAGACTTAAATACTACTTCTGGGTCTACATTTCCGTGATTGTACATTTTTTCCCCACTAATCACCTATGACACTTCTGATTTTAGTTTGCAGACAAATTTTCATTCCACTTAAAAGGCCGAAAACTTGAACAACCAATGAATTTAATCCCTTTTGTGGAAACTGCAATGGGTTTGCTCAATTTTAAGGTAAGGAAGCCATAATACGGTTAATAAGTTAGCATTTTATTTATCACCTAAAGAGAACTTTTGCTTTCAATTTTAACATCTTCTTAAAATGTGTTTCTAGAAAGATTTATAAGCAAAGGAAATGTTGAGCACCATTTGTTATCTGTAATAGTCCAAAAACCAGGTTGCCAGCATCTTAGAAAACAATGAAATCAGTTAGGTAGAAGGAAAAGCTTCCCAGTCCAAAATATTTAAATGAAGCATTTGTATATTCCTAGTAACAATTTTAACTAATCACTGTGTAATTATATGCTTTGAATTATTGCATTTATAGACTAAATGTACATGAAAATTTGTCACCCTTATGAATTAACTTTGAAATGTTCTTTTCTATCAAATGTCTTTTCAGTGGGAAATGTTCTGCCCTCTCTGTAGCAACATTATCAGTAATGTCTAGCAGAGAAGATTATTGTTTGTAAGTTCATGCACACAAATAATTTGCAGTACAGTTTTTCAGTTTGCCACATTAGAATATCTTCTAATATACATGCGGGAATATTGGCTGAGCCAAGTGTTTTCAGCCGTTGTGTGGTTGCACTAAACTACCGGTCTTAACAAATTCAGAGCTAGCTCGTTTTTTCTCGTTTATCAGGGGGCATTTATATTATTTTCCAAAATATGCCTCTCATTCCACCTGACCTGCGAACATCAATCTAGCACCCCCTTTCAGAGTTCCTAGATTCCCTTCCCCCACCCCAGCCCCCACAGAGGGCAGGAGAAAAGAAATCACTAAAAACAACAGAAAAAACATAGTCGAACTGTACTGGAGAGAGAATGTGTGAGCGGCAACTTTGAGGCCTTGGGATGTGCAGAAGGGGTCGAGTGCAAATGTTTGGGGACCTGCTTCAAACCTTGTCCTGTGAGCAGCTTGTTTACACAACTAACCATACATTCTTCCAGCCAGCCCCAGAATCCTGAGAATATAATCAAAAGCATATCCCTAAGATGCAACCAGATTCATCCAGTGATTTAATTTTAAGCACTGCTTCGCCATTTTATTCCATAATGTACTTAGAAGCACTTACAATGTCTGAAATTAATCAACAGTGTCCCCACCGGTTCCTCGTTTCTTTCCCACCCACGTATATTATTAGCAGGTTATATCTCCACCTTTCAAGATTCACGGTTATGTCTACGACGAATGGTATTTGCCTTGACTTTCATATATAAATGTCGAAGTTGCTTTATGAACACATCTTGGATGACTTGTTGCATTTTTATTTTCCCCTCCGGAGTTGCAGGTTTTTGTGCTGTCTTTAATCCTGAGACCATGTGCTTGATCCTAATGCAAATAATTCAATTAGTTTGATTTTAAAATTCCTTCCTTCTCCCCTGTGGTTTTACGAGAGTCTCTTAAAGCAAAAACGAATTCTGGAAAGATATAAATAACTTATAGTGCAAGCAAAATGAGTTAACTCAAAGTTTCTCCAAAAATGAGATGAACTACAATTTGAACATTATAACTATATTCATATAATCCATTAAACAAAGCAAATATATACAATATACTTATCTTGGATGATATTAAATACCTTTTGAAAGGGGTAAATTTGGGCTGCGTTTTTAGGACTGCTTTCAGCCAAACTGTGTTAAGAGTCAGGTCGTCCTGTTACTGAAATGCACCGTGCCTCTTCCCTCTGACGCACGCGTTTCCGTGAGACTTAGTTCTGTTCTGCTCTTTTACAGGCAGTGTGTGAAGAAACCCTGAAGGTCGGGCCTCAAGTAGGTCTCTTTCTAGATGCAGTCGTTTTTGGAGGAGAAGACTTTCGAGCCAGCATAGGTGTCAAAGACATCTCTCTCTCTCTTTTTCTGTGTGTGTGTGTGTATATGTGTGTATATATTTTTTCTTTGCCCCTCAAGGATGGACATTTACATAACAATGTATATTTGCCAACCATGACAATGGTTTTTCATGACAATGGAATGGACACTACTTCCTGATAATTTAGGGCTCCTCATAGCTGCCCTGCTTCTAGAGCACTGCATTATTACTTCTGTTCATTTATAAAAGACACGAGCAATAGAAAGCCTGTTGCAGCCCCAGGCATGCTCAGGAATATATGGCATCTCCTTTGCTCCTAATAAATATATTATGTGAACAGCCTCACCGTTGCTTCAGTATTTTGTTTTCATATCAGTCTGTGGGCTGTCTAGATTTCTAACGCAAATTTAAGGCAATTTCACATTTGCCTTAATGAATTGTTTTCTACAGAATATGCGGTAGGTAAATATTATTTTAAATGGATCTTAAATTTCTCTTACAATATGTTTCGAACTCTTAGTATTAAATGTGCTGATTTTCACCGATTCTCACCATCCCTTGTGAGCTGCACTTGAGGGGTCTGCATGTTTGACTGGAGACCGTGAAGCATTTAGAAAAGAGGCCGAGGCCACAGAAACCAGCCCCAGTGACCTGAAGACAGGCACTTTCCCTAGGCAGGGAGTGGCATGTTCCAAATGTAAACAGGGACACTTCCCTCCCCTCAGGGTGAAAAAACTGAATTTATTTGAATACGAGTCTTTCCAGGAGACTTGTGTATCCAACGGTTCAGCGGGCTACAGAAGGCATATCGATGCTTTCCAGCCCTCTCAAAACAAGTGCCCTCCCGTCTCCCCAAGTTCTCCATCCAGACAGACCCTGAAGCTGAAGCATTTGGCTCAGAACTTCAGTTTGGACAGGGCAATCGCAGCACACACAGTTCTGTGCTTGCTGTGAAACACGAACCATTGCCCTGCATAGCTGCTGGGCCACCCTTTGTGGTGCTGTCTTTGGACTGGCACTTTTCAAGCGATGATAAGAAGGAAAAAAATATATCAGGAGTCCCTTGCGACCCTGACCCAGCCTCCCAGAATGGGGAAGGGGCCTTCTCTTAATGCAGGTAGAAGTAATTCTATTGAAAGATGCCTTGTCAGTTAAACAGACACATTCGAGGTTTAACTTGGCCTCCACGCGTCCCTGTCTTCATTTGTATTTCAATAATTTTATTTTGCGGAGGAGCAATTTCCAGGGAGGTTTAGATATCTGTACAAACTGAGGTTTTATAATAAATATCTGGGTGCGGTTTCCAAAGTTAAAGCCTCCTTTTTCTGTTAACATCCCATTTTCAGGTGCAACAAGTAGTAAAGAAACCCTGGATATTCTCTACGCCCGGCAAAAGATTGTTGTCATAGCGAAAGCCTTTGGTCTCCAAGCCATAGATCTGGTGTACATTGACTTTCGAGATGGAGCTGGGCTGCTTAGACAGTCACGAGAAGGAGCCGCCATGGGCTTCACTGGTATGATTCCTGTCTTAGAAAGCAGTGTCTAAATTAGCAAGCATTCCAGAAAAATAGAAA
This sequence comes from Homo sapiens, assembly GCF_000001405.40. Taxonomy (NCBI): domain Eukaryota; kingdom Metazoa; phylum Chordata; class Mammalia; order Primates; family Hominidae; genus Homo; species Homo sapiens. The sequence continues at coordinate 99,866,468 of NC_000013.11, forward strand.
TTTGACCCGAAAACACCCCTAATCTCATCAGATATCTCCCATACTTACTCCACTATTTGAAATATGAGCAAGTCACACAGGGGAAGAACTTGCCAGACACATTGTCATGGTTTTCCTTGGCCCTGCAAGTCAACAAATCACTCATTTTATTTCCTCTTTATATTAGTTGCTTTTTTTTTTTTCTCTCCATCCTCTTAATCATTTTGTTGTAGTCTTGGCTGACCTGTAGGGAGGGATGAGGCTGCTCAAAAAGTGTTTTTGAGTGAACCGCCATAAGAATTTTGGTTGATGGACAGAAGAAAAATCTCCTAGAATATCCAAAATTTAATTCATTTCTGAAAAAAAATGTTGGTGATATTGTCTTTGGTTTTTGTTTTGTTTTTTACTCATAACTAGTTTTTTGCTCTTCTGCCACTCCAAGCCCCTCCTCTCTCTCCCACCTCCCAGTAAGTGTCCGTGTACCTGGCGACACCTACGGGCATAGGCTGGCACTAGGATCAGCGGGTCCCTTGCAGTCCGGTCTGGGGCACAGGCGGGTATCTGTTGATTGGTGTGCCTGGTCACTCAGGTCCCCATGAGCCAGGGGAGCAACAGAAAATTGTGTTTTTACAACAGAGATCTATTTTTCGAAAAACCACAATAGGAGTCTACACACAAACATACACATGGAGTTGCACACACACAAACTGACAACCATGGGAAAAACACAGTGCACTCCTTCACTCTTACCTGTTCTTCTGTTGTTGAAAGTTCTAAGAATATTAATATCAGAAAGGCACCCGAATAATTAGGAAAAGAGACGAGCATCCTGATATTCCTGTTATAACTGTTTTTGAAATATATCTAGGTAGCGGTTACCGAAAGAAAGGTTTCATAAAGCAGGCTTAAACGTGAAAAATATCTTAATGGATGATGATTTAGTCCAAAATAAAACTGAATGACCTAAGAAGCTATTCTAGTGTTATATTCAAATTAAATAAAGCTCTGAGTTTGTTCTTGTGTTTTTTACACAAAGAGCTAAAATAAATATGACCCCCCCCAATTTTTTAAATAAGTGTGATCTCGTATAGGGAAATACTCTTCAATTATCTGAACTATTAATAAACGAATTCTCCCTGCGTTTCATAGCGACTGAGGAAGAAAGGAGTCCTCTGCCACATCCATGCAATTGTGCTTGTTCCTGCCTCTTTCCAACGGCTGGTTAGGATGTGACCCAAATGGAAAAGTTGGAGAAAAACTCCATGAAATTTATCTAATAGACCCTGATGTTGTTGGCCTGCAATGTATGGCACTGGCTGCCAGGTGGCCAGATGTTGCTCTGAAATGGGAACTAATTCGATAAAAAAGAGAAAGCACTGCATCGACACTGGCCCCTCCACCATCACCCAGCAGAATCTGAGTTTCCTCTGCCTCCTCTGGGGTAAATGTTTGCCCCAGAACTTCTCTGGGAGCTGGAGAGTGTCTCCAAGATACAGGACTGAATTAACTTGGCCCCTAATTCAATCGCAGAAGACAGGCTATTTCAAATCAGGTTTAAATTTCTAGACTGTGCCCAGCTCAGCACGAGAAGCTTATGGACCTGGCACTATTGTTTCTCCACGACGGGGAGTATTAAATCGCTAAAAAAAAAGGGGGGAAGCGAGGATAATGGGAAGGCACAGAGGGCACAGTGCCCATTATATATTCAAGGGAACGAGGCCATAACTAGGGAGCCACACTTCGTAGGCAGTTTGCAATTTTTAGAAAGTCTTTGTTGCCCCAATTATATTTCTGCATACCAATAAGAGGTAATCAATCTGATAATAAGATAGATTATTTGTAGTCATTTTTTAAATAAATGTTTTTTAATGAGTACTTTAGACCACTCAGGATGTTTGTCCTAGTTGTTTGGCATTTGATTGCCATACCTTGGGCCTTGCACAAGGAGAAGAAAAAGAAGGAAAGAAAAAAAAGGAAAGGAAAAGTGGGGAGGAGAGAGGGAGGGATGGAGGAAGGAAGACATGTCTTATCTGAAGCAGGTGGTTGAAAGGTTTAAAATCCAATGAAAGTATTGTGTTATCCATAACGCTGGTAAGGAAGACTAAGTCTGTGCTATAAGGATTGCCTTTACTTTTAAAAATGATACATATTTTTAATGAGTTGTAGTTTTTAAAAGTTAGCTGTAGTTTCTTTTCTGCGGTCGTTTCCCAGAGTCACAGTCCATGTCGATTGATTTTAAATCAATGCATTGGCTGTATAAATGGCCATTAACTTTAGGAAATTTTTTATAAAAAAGAAACCAAAACTAAATCTTGGAATAAAGCTTTAACAGCTGACTTAGTCATTACAGTTACTCCAGTGCTACATGCTGAGAAGAAAGATTATAAATATGAAGCACTATAGGTTTTCTTCTTTTTTGCAGTCTATTGTAGAAGACAAAAATGACACCATCATACAGTTACCTAAAAGACTTGACAGGTATTGATTTAAAGCACGATATATCAAGCGGTACTGTAAAAAGGATTTCATGGTCATAAATTTTAATGTCTTCCAATTTTGCACCCTCTCAGTAACTTGTCAATAACAACTCTTTTGTATAAAATATTTGCCTGGTTCCCACATGCCATTAAAGTCTGCTATACAGTTGTTGGAATATATAAGATGTGACAAAAGAGAACTTCACATATGAACGTTCACACATTTCTAAAACCTAACATGTATCTTAAAATTAGCCTCATTGCCCAAATATAGGTACTGGAGGATGGAGAGCTAGCAGTGATTTCACAGTATTTTAAGTAGTTTATGTTTTGCTCCTCAAATTATAGTGCATGTACCAAGAAGTTCCCATGAAATCTGGCTTTTTACGCATTGGTGTAAATTATGTACATAAATTATGAAATTCAGGGCTAACAATTAGGAGGAAATGACTACCAGAACTGACATCCTTTATTAACAATATCCCGACAACTATTAAATTACTTAAATATAATCTCGATACCTACTACCGAAAAAAGCCCTCTTGTCATCCCTCATGTTATTCGTTCCCAGAAATTATTCCTCAGGTAATTTAAGGAATCTTTACTTATATAAGTGTTTAACATTTTATTAGTATGCTGACAGAAAAGAATGAAATAGCAATGTGAGGATGTTTTAATTATGCCATTGGAAAGAAAAGATATTATTATATTTATCCACTTAAACTCTTTTACATGAAACACTAAAAATATGTTTTTACAAGCATCATTCCTTTTTTCATTCTAATAGAATAATGACAATAGGAATTGACAGCAAGGATATAAAACATCAAGGATATAATTTCTACTGTCTAAATGTTAAAATAACTATTTCAAAAGCAAAGCAAACTGATATACCAACAAATATATTCAGCAGAGTAAATGATCATTAAGTGTACATTCATTTTTAAAGAGCCAATTATGTTCATAACTTTATCACGTAACAATATAATCTCATCATTATTATAACATTAAATTATGTTGCATTTTATTAATGATCTGATTGGATTCTACACTTCCCTGATTGTTAAATTGTTTTTTTAATGACTGCATTATTTCACAAAATCCTGTGGCTCTTATCTTTGTGTGATGTTTTCATTTAAAATCTTTCAACTATAAAAAGAATCATAAATCTTTTTGGAAGGTATTTCTACAGAGATAAGATTTCTTCTGGGATATGTAGGGTGCTATAAAGAGGGAAATACCCAGTCTTGATTCTATAAGCCAAAAGGGAAAATCTGGGTATATTTTTGGACAGAGAAACTTTAAGTATTTATTTTTTAATTTTTAAATGGAGTAATCTAAGGCTGCAGTGTTCAAATCTGCCTTCTATTTTACCATACTGAATAAAATATTTTCATTCAAATCCAATTTTCTATTGGGGGTTAGAATTGACACATAAACTGTTCATTTAAAAGAAAAACAATTAAATATACTATTGTAAAGCTGTATTTGATAGTAATATAGTTGTAATGACTGCCTCTGTAAGCTTTATGAAAACCAGCAGACCATTTCTAAGAGAAATCATGGAAAGAGGTATAATTCTACAAAGAAAGCAAAAGACACCTTATAAAATTTGAGAGAATTCTCATTTAATTTTTTTCTACTTCAACTCAAAATAATCCCTCTAATTTGCAGACATTATCCTTTAAAGTCCCAGCCAAAGCAGTTATTCAACAAGCTGCCTAGTCAGCCCACCTGTAACTAAAAATAAGAGATTATCTGCCCTAAGGTGGCATTTCTATAGGATCGGAAACACAATTACTTCCATTGTTGTAGTTGTGCTTCTGTGGTATTCTGGAAAAGCCTGTCTGATTGCAGGTTTTGTTTGTTTTGTTTTGTTTACTCAATAAAAAGTTTTAAATTAGTTATTTAACATACAGTCTATGAGGCCTTCAGGAACCTCACGCGATAGAAACATTTTGTTTGAACATCTGTTCGTTGTTTCGTGGTTCCGATGTTATTAATATTCTTGTAGGTAAGCAGGTGATTCACCCTAACCAAATTGCCGTGGTCCAGGAGCAGTTTTCTCCTTCCCCTGAAAAAATTAAGTGGGCTGAAGAACTGATTGCTGCCTTTAAAGAACATCAACAATTAGGAAAGGTAAATGTTTTGTTAATGCCTTGGGTGAGAGCAGTATTGAAAATATTGTCGGGAAGAATGAAACAAATATGTTGTGTGAATGGTTTAAGAAAACTCATCGTATCTGGAGAGGGGGGAAAGGGAGGGAACACAACATTCACCAGTGAGAAAATTGCTTGAGATAGATTTGCCCTGCCCATGTTCCTAAATACTTCACTAACTGGCTCTCAAGTCCCTCATTTTATTCTTTTCATAAAATATATTGGCAGCCTTAGAGAAAATAGAAGTCTGTTTAGTTTTTCTCTACAGACTTCTATGCAGCATTCATATGAAAATAATCCTAGATCAAAGTGAGAACAAGTTGTAATGAAATAAACACAGTTTGACTAAATGGTTCTTGTGGAGGAAAGAAATAAATTGCAAGTTATTTTAATTTGGGGGGAAAAAAGTACAGAAATCTCCTCCGGTTTAGTCATTTAAGAGTGGGAGGTTGTATATGTGTTTGTACCAATTTCTGGACCTGAGATTTGGATGGAATGGAAAGCAAATTAACACTGGAGTACGGTTGTTCCTAATTTAGTGCATCATTGAGCCTCGCGTTTCCTGCTCTGTGGGTTTCTGCTATGTAAATATTGCAGTGGTAATGCACAATCTGTCTCCACTTTGTGCCAGTAACACTTAAATTAGGTGTCGCCTGAAGGAAGATTTTATGCTAGTTGCAGCATTGTCAGTTAATTATCTTAAAGGTTATTTGCAATAATACCGTTTGCCTCTTTTTAAGAGGATAGGAGGGAAAGTTACATTTATAAATCTATCCTAGAGGTAATCTCTAAACTCAGCCTGTGACTTCCAGAAGGAGTAAAGTTTTGATACCTATAATGCAAAATTACTTAGGAGAAAGAATATTGAAAATTTATTACAGTTCTGAATATTAAACATTCCCCCCTGCAAAAAAAAAAAAAAAAGAAAAAGAAAAACTGGTTTTTAGTGGTGACCCTGAACCTGTGACATCCATGTGAGACATGTCCCTCGCACTTTTCACTGGCAGCAAGGACACCTGAAAATCCCAGGACTTGCCAAAGTGGGCAACAATATTAAATGGGTCATTCCCTAAGGATGTCCACATTCAACCCATGCACACATGGGCACACTCACACACCAGCAGGCTCATCTTTGTACAAACTCACACTTAATCTCCAAAGGCAGAATATATTACGTTGGAAATACCCAATTTGGACTTACACCAATTTCATGATAAATAGCATCTTTCCATTTCCCATCAACAGTGGCCATCAGAAAAGTAATGCATTTCATAGAAACAATATTTTAAGTTGACCTTGTGTTTAGTGTCCATTTTTGTGTCTTAACCCCAGATCAAGATTCCCATGAGTAAATCTATTCACCTAGAACGAAGAGCCACGGACTCTCATTCACATGTCCATCCATCCCCTTCCCTTGCATACCTGCCCACGCATACCCACACCGAATGCTCTATACCTCTGCTACAAGCCTTGTGCCAGCTGAGGACAGGCATGTCATAAACACCTCCTGGTGAAATAGGAAACTGAGGCAGCATGTGGACCATTGAAACGAGAGAGCAGAGTTCCAGTCTGGGCCAGCACTGTGTCTATGACCCATCCCAGCTGGGTTTCACATTGGGTAGCATCAAAGGAGGGCAGTTGGCATTGTAAGCAGATAGGGGTGTGGGAGAGTTTACCCTGAATTTCAGTAGCCAACAAACAGAAGTCAAACCAGAAACACTTGCTTTGCTCAGCATTTAAGTTTTTGAATGAGGAAAATGGCCCTTTTCCATTGTATCTTGAAAAGCGTTGTTCCCTGGGAAAACGCTCCCAAAGTTTTCACACCTTTTGATGATGGCAACTTAAATGTTCAATTCTGGACTTTTTTTTTTTTTAAATAAGAAATGCCCTCTCGTTGGGGCATAAGCTCTCACAACAGTGTGGCAGGATGGCTTTTCTTAACACAGAACCATAGAAATTAGAGCAGAGGGGAGACTAACTATTAGGTAATTTCTTCCCTGCCCCATTTGTGGAGGTTTGTTTCCTATAGCAAATTCTCCTGGTGTTTTGTCCAGCAAGGTTGAAATGATTCAAGTAATGGGGCTTCCAGTAGGGACATATGGTTATTTTATCCAGTTAGCATGTTTCTTTCACTTTGCCTATAAACTGGCCGGTCACAGAAATTGGATCTGCAGGTAGGTGACTCTGGATCTTGAGGGGATCTTGGGGTTTAAATAATGTGGGTTCTGTTTGTAAAGATTTTGTGTAAATAGGTTGCACAATTATATAAAGTATTGCTTCCAACAAACATCTAGTCTGTTTTATGTCAAATGTGAATCACTGATGAACACGTGAACCCTCAGATATTTTGTCCAAAGCACAGATGACTCTCTCAAAGATAGGAAACTGATGGTTTGTGTCCTAGTGTGACAGTCACAAATTTCCAAAAGACCTTTTTCCTCCCTCTGATGAAAATTTCATTCAAGTAATGCTTTTAAGTAGAAATGACCCAAGAAGGAAAAATTATGTATCTTTGCTTTTCTGCACTTCTTCCTGCTCTCATCTTAAATTATATCCTGCCCAAACATAAAGGTATAGCTGAAGTTCACAGTTAGCCAAACATAAAGGTATAGCTGAAGTTCACAGTTAGTGCTGAGCCATTTGTGTTTTCTATAGTAATAATCATTACTATTATTCAAACATAAAAGCTCTACCCTTTCTTCCTGTCCTGTCCAAATGGCAAAATTCATGGGACTACTTAGACCATGAGCAGATAAATTATTGGAGTTCAGACTTTGGTATTACAGAATTTTGGGGATGTTTATTTTAATTAAAAGTCCTAAGGAAATAAAGTTTGGTGTCCTTGGTATAATGTTGGTTGACAATCACTTTACATTAAAACAAATAACAATCAGCTCATATCATCTGTCCCTGTTTGGCAGGCAGCGATTCTTGTGGCTGCTTTGTTTCAGGAAACTGAAAGATATTTTCAGGCTAAAAAATTTTGCTTGGCACCGTAGTCCAGTAATCAGAGTTAGGGCTAGAGACTGACACTGGGGACTCTAGGTTATCTTATCTTATTAAAATCTGTTGGAAAAAGTTTAAAGATTCCAAATAATCTCTGCTCCTATGTTAATTCCCAGAAACTAAAATGTTTTTAATTTAGCTGACATCAGCTGTAAGGTTTCCATCCACAATATTAATCAAACTGACTTTCTTCCATCCTTCCAGAAAAATGTTTTTTGAGATACAACGTGCATACCATTAATTATTTTAGTTTCAAATTATTTGGTAAAATGCTTTAGGCAGGATAAATCATTTCCACATGATTTGTTTTAAATTTATAAAGGATTTTCTTAAAAGTTAATTCCATTTTTATGTCTTTTTTTATAATAATGGTGATTCCATTAATATTTGAAAATTCTTCATTCAGAACTGAATTTAATATGCTTATTAAAGTAATAGGATTTCAACAGTTCTTTTTTATCAATAAAGAATTTTATATACTGTAAAAATTGGATACTTGAAAACATCTCAAGCAAATAATCATCTAATATTGATATCAATAGAAATAATTTTATATAAACACATATAGCATACATGTTTATACAACATATAAACATTCAAGTATGTATGATAACGTGTATTTCCTCAAATCTATATTATGAGCTTAGTGCTAAAGTTTTTATCTTTCCATATTCATCACTCTTAGGCAAAAATGACAGCTAAAGGAAACAGTCAGTTGCTTTTTTAAAACAGTCACTAATCACAGGAAATGTTAATATAGGAATTTACTATTTCTTTCCAAATGGAGACTCTAACAGAAGAATGCGAAGGAATAGCACAATATATTACGTGTGTCAAAATTTTAAAGATACTCTGCTAGAATATTCATATTTTGCAGTATCTGGCTACAAATATGGCTTTGCTTCATTTTCAGTTTTCCAGACATTCTCTTTGATTCATATCATGGCTGTACGTGCTTTGTTTGGTTTTGGAAGGATTTTGTTTGGCTTTTTCAATATTTCTCCTTCGTTATAGCTTCACAAGTTGGCTAAAGACTGAGGAAGGGGAAGTATTCATCTTTAAATTCTAGGTTCAATTAACAATTACAAATGTCAGAAACAAGATCACTACCTGGCCTAACAACTGTAAGCATCACGCAACCAACATTCTCATTTCACTCAGGAGAGAAAAACAGTGCAAGCTGATAAGTTCACATTAGTAAGCACATCTTCTGCTGGAATATAAACTGGAAACATCTCTTAATAAAGAAAGAAAAAGGAAAGTAAGAGTTTTTTTCCTTATGTAAGTCTCTTCATCTAGAAACTTTACAAACAGTAATACATCCCTCCTCCCAAAATATTGAAAGCCCATCATTTTCATAGGTGTCTGATTGCTGCTCGCACACCTTTCATTTCTGTTTCCAAATGCAAGGCTTTACAAAAGAAATATTGCTTGGTCCAGATGGCCTTCTAGAAGCCTCCCTGAGAGAACTCAGGAGAAGTTTCTCTAGCCAAAAATATTGTTTCCGCTTATTCAAGTGCCAGAAATCCCACTGCCACTCTTTCACGCAGATCAAATAAACCATCTAAAGACGTGGTTGTTGTCTTTGTCAACTGAAAGGGTTGATTCCACTATTAGACAACAGTGTATCCTCCCACACCCATCCAGCCCACGACCCACAGCCTTCCCTCTGGATTTATGAGCAGGAACACGAAAATCAGAGCTGAGAGGTTTGTAGTGAAAATGAAAGATAAAGGGACATAACTCTGTTTTAGAGATTCTTAGTAATTGCACTTTTCTCTTTATTTCCCTGCTCATTTAACATTTTCAGAAAGATCGGCCATAATTTTGATTTTTAAAAGTCCAGTTCTTAGAAAATCTGAGTCTGCCAATGATGACTTTAAGATTGGATGGATTAACACAAAATTGCGAAATTTTAAACATTTAAAGCAAAGTAATGAATTGCTACAAAGTATTGAAATCATATCATATTCTATTTCACTTTTTTTTTTTTTTTTTTTTTTAGTGGCAAATGGCTGGTTTGGTATTAGAAGATAAGAGTGTTTTTAATAGGCCGGGTGCAGTGGTTCACACCTGTAATCCCAGCACTTTGAGAGGCCGAGGTGGGCAGATCACAAGGTCAGGAGTTTGAGACCAGCCTTGCCAACATAGTAAAACCCCGTCTCTACCAAAAATACAAAAAATCAGCTGGGTGTGGTAGCGGGTGACTGTAATCCCAGCTACTTGAGAGGCTGAGGCAGGAGAATCACTTGAACCTGGGAGGCAAAGGTTGCAGTGAGCCAAGATCACACCACTGCAATCCAGCCTGGGTGACAGAACAAGACTCCGTCTCAAAAAAAAAAAAAAAAAAAAAGAGTGTTTTTAATGTAGATTAAATCGGACAATGTTTTAAATTGTTTGCTTTGTCCTTAATTTATAACACACTCTTAAGGATATTTTAATCAAAATATTCTTTATCCAGGTTCATATTTTTCCGGGTTTTATTTGCTCAATTTTGATTTTAAATATGTCATTATTTTAGCTGGATGAAATCTCAGAAATCTTTTAGTCAGATGCCTTCAGTTTATGACTTAATGCACAGAAACCCAGCAAGGCTTCAGAAGCTGCCCAGTATCACTCACAGCCAAGGTGGAGAGAGGGCTGCGAGCAGAATTCAGGGCTTAGTTTGTAAGTAAAGATATGGAATATCATAAATGTGTCTTCAGTTGAATATTACAGTGAATACCCACACTCATGACCAAAACGAGATAGAGCCTTAAATGCACTCAGTCACAATCAAAATCTGGATTTGGGTAGTTCCAATGTATGTCTTTTCTTGAGGATAAGCAGAAACCAATGAGGAAAGAGAGAAACCAGGGTCTCCACGTGCCGTTCCCCACACGCCTCCCTGCTCAGTGCTGCCCTGCCCTCATCCCCCAGCCCTGCCCCAGGAAGCCTTCTAGGCTCTGTTCACTGCAAACCCCACTTCACATCATTAGTTATCAGTCGTTCAGTCTCCCAACATAGATTGGAAACTCCCAGAGCAAGCCTGGGGAGCCTTTGGCAGAGAGGCCATATTTACTCCAAAGCCCAGTGTCATCTCAAGGACATCAAAGGACAGGTCCCCAGAGTCACACTCTCAGTTACACCTGTGACCACACACACCCCATGGTGTTCAGTGCCTATGGCAGCAAGATCGAAGTGATGGCCAGGAGAGGATCATTTTGTTCCTTGGACACCTTTCCCTCTCTTTCCTCTTCCTGTATTTCTCCCTCTAAGGATGGATGGGTCTGTGTGTGTATCTTTCTGTTCCACCCTCATTTTCCTTGCCCTGAATTCTCCATTTCCTCTTTTTCTTTACATCTTTTTCTTTCTCACTACATCATCTCCACACCCCAGGCCATCCCTCACCTTCTTTCCTGTAGCTAATTACATTAGAGACTTTCAGAGCATTCTTTTATTTATTTATTTTTTGGTTGTATTAATTAAAGAATTTTGTAATTCTTTTTTTTTTTTTTTTTTTTTTTAAGACAGTGTCTTGCTCTGCCAGCCAGGCTGGAGTGCAATGGCGTGATCTCGGCTCCCTGCAACCTCCGCCTCCCGGGTTCAAGTGATTCTCCTGCCTCAGCCTCCTGAGTAGCTAGGATTACAGGCGCACAACATGCCTGGCTAATTTTTGTATTTTTAGTAGAGACGGTGTTTCACCATTTTGGTCAGGCTGGTCTCAAACTCCTGACCTCATGATCTGCCCACCTCCGCCTCCCAAAGTGCTGGGATTACAGGCGTAAGCCACCGCGCCCAGCCCAGAATTTTGTAGTTCTTTTTATACTGAATTTTATTAAAAATACAAAGCAACCATTTCTATAATTGTCTTTTTTTTCCCCCACTTTAGGTCAGTGGGCCTCAAAAAAAAAGTGAGGCAATTTCTTACCACTACCTTAGGGAATAAAGAATTCTCTCTACCGTAGCACGCACCTCCCTGCAGCATCTTGGGCAGAAATAGGTACACGAAACACATTTAGTAAACATTATTTAGCTAACTGGTTTCCAAATTCCTGACAATGCTAAAAAAAAATTTATTAGATGTACTTTTAACAGTATATATGACATACTTCTGCTGCCTTCTAGAAAAATTGAAAGAAGATGTTTCCATCAATTATTTCATCAGTTGTTATTCATCAATTGTGCTTTGAAAAAATGTACCAGTATTTTAGTAAATCTTTCAGTCTCTTCTAGTTAATGTTAACTCATTAAATCTGTTTTCCAAAGAAAGAATAAGCCTGCATTATTGGTCTTAGCTACAAACTGCTATAAATGGCATTCATTGTTTGCTTTTCTCATAGGCAATAGGAGCTTAAATTTGATGTCAAACATTTTTAAATAAAGACATTTAAACATTTGGCATGTTACACATTTGTCTTGGTTTTAAAAATAATTTTTAAAAATCTTTAAAGAAGATTTCTGGTTTCAAAAAGAAATCTGAGATGGAGGTGATAGTAGCGGAACTCTACATAATTACTAAAAAATCAATGACTTATGCACGTACAATGGGTGGATTTTATGGTATGCAAATCGTACCTCAATAAAGCCACTTTAAAAATTGAGAAAATTAAGCACAAAACCTAATTTGATGGCAAATGTGTTAACTCCCTTAGATTTTGATACACTTGTAAATCCAATTGTCTTCACCTCAATACATAGCTTTCTACATAGCATACTTGGCTTTATTTTTCCAGATTTCCTTGTGAAAAGATATCGAAAACAAAGACTTGCCTACTCTTGCCTGATTATTCTGCCTGAATATTTTTAAAGAGAAATCTTGCCATCTACATGTTTAGACCCCGAGGAAAGTTTTAAAAATAGAAGGCTACCTTGGTCTCTCGGATCAGCGTTTAAAGTAAGCATGGCTCTGGTCCGTGGAGACCCAGACCTGGGCAAGTAGATGATTCGGGATGGTCACATATGCAGATAACTGGCACACACATGCACCTCAGCTCTCCTCCCTGTTGTTCAGCCGCCTCGACCTTTCCTGCCCTGCTCCTGCCAAATCCATCTTCCAAGCCTTCTACTGCTTCTCCTTCCCCATTGCACCCCCGACTTCCTGGAACTCTTGGTAAAGTCCTGAATTAGTCTTGCCAAGAACAACACACAAATCTTTCTATTTTCTAGCCCCATCTTTCCATTTATTTAGCTAAAGCTAAATAATTTCATCCTGCCTTTGTAAAAAGCAGAATGTTAACGCTGTCTATTCATTTTACATCCACTCAATTTCCACATTCCAAGAAATGTCCTCCCTTTTGAACAAATGTGTCTAGCTATCATCTTTGCTACACCTCTTCCTTTTCTGGTCCATCATCTGCTGAAAGAACGGTGTCCTGCGTTTCAGTACCTCCTCCTCCGTGTAAGCCAAGCTCTGGACTTCAGATCATCTGCATTTGATTAGCGTCTGTCCTCTGCTGATATTCTAAGTTTTTTAATTTTTCTAAATTTATTTGTTTTCCTCCTGAGGCGCTGCCAAATATATAGCATCCCTGAGTCTAGTTTCTTAAGGAGACAACTAAATCTATGATTTATAAGAGTTTAGAGGGGACAGGAAGCTTCAGGCATGAGCCTGTTTCTATTCATTGTATTTTCAAAAACACTGATGTTTCTCAAACTCTTGCAGGTCTTAAAACTACTCTGAAATCATAAAACCCACTTAGAATTCAAACAGTCTGCTTCTCACTGGGCCATTCTGTGATAAGTGGAATTAAATAATCTCTGGCCAGCAATAACAGTAGCAATACCAGTAGCAATGGTGGTAGCAGTAACCATGTGTGCCGTGGTCATGGGGCTGGTAATAATAACCAGAGGAGAGATCATCATACTCCTAACAGTAGTGGTGGCCATCATGACAGTGGTGTGGCCACAGTAGTGACAGTGCTGGTAGCATAACTGCTTCCATTTATATATATATAAAACATATTCCATATATGTGTGTATGTATATATATATATATATATTTTTTTTTTTTTTTTTGAGACAGAGTCTTGTTCTGTTGCCCAGGCTCGAGTACAATGGCGGGATCTTGGCTCACTGCAACCTCTGCCTCCTAGGTTCAAGCGATTCTCATGCTTCAGCCTCCCGAGTAGCTGGGATTACAGGCGCATGCCACTATGCCCGGCTCATTGTATTTTTGGTAGAGACGGGGTTTCACCATGTTGGCCAGGCTGGTCTCGAACTCCTGACCTCAAGTGATCTGCCCGCTTCGGCCTCCCAAAGTGTTGGGATTACAGGCATGAGCCACTGCACCTGGCCCTTGCATATATTACTTTATGTAATCCTCACAGCAGCCCTACAGGGGCGATATTATCCCCATTTTCCAGATGAAGAAATTAAGACTGGGAAAGGTAGCTTTATTCATTGTGGATCACACAGCTAGGAAAAGGCATTCCTGGATTCAAAGTCAGGTGTAATGGAGCCCAAAGTCCACATCCCTAACCTCTGCATGAAGCTGCTTCTAAGGGAAACCCCCAGAAAAGCCAGATCCTTTCTCTCCAGGGAGCTTCATTCCCCTTCATTGCAGCCACAGGCTACTGAGAGCCACAGCAGGCTGTGCCCATCCTGGAAAGTGTCCTGTTTCTGTGTGGAGAAGATGATCCCCCATGCCTGCTCAGACCATCACTGACCTGGCAGGTGGAGCTGCCCCAGGAACACAAGAGGCCTCCCTTCCGTGCCCCTCATGGCCCTGGCCTCTGAGTGACAGCCAGAGAGCTACAGGGGAAGGGACGGGAGGGATAAAGAGGAGCTTCTTCAGGCTTCTGCACCTTTCAGAGCTTGGAAAATGAATCCACTAACTGCCCAGGGTGCAGAATCCTCCCAACCTCCTGCACGACCCCCAAACTCAGCACCCTCTCTGAACCTGGGCTTTCCGGGGCCTTCCCCAGCTGCTCAGCATGCTGCTCCCGTCTGGCTTTTCACTGTGCTTCCCAGTCAGGTGCAACATGAATGCCACCCCATCCCACCCCAAACCCGATATTCCCACTGTTACATTCTTATGAATTATTTAAAGGGCTTCTCCATCAAAGGCCATGGAGTGTCTTCCGTCTGAATTCCATGATAGGTAACCATAGATTAGCACAATGTGAATTGGTGTCTGTGTTGAATGACTTCGGTTGAACTTTCAGAAATTTCATGTAGAGATACATTAGCATCCGTAAATTATCTGGCAATAGGAACGAATGGCTGCTGAATTTCAATTCAAAATATTATTAAAATACCGATGAAATTATCACTACAATTTAAAGTGTAAAAAGATGAAAAACACGTTCTATACTTTCTAAGTCTCCAGTCATATTCTTTTACTATCTTCCTGACAGTTGTTTATTTATTTAATTATTGAGACAGGGTCTCACTCTGTTGCTGGAGTGCAGTGGCATGATCATGGCTCACTTCAGCCTCGACCTCCTGGGCTCAAGTGATCCTTCCACCTCAGCCTCCCGAGTAGCTGGGACCACAGGTGCGTGTCACCACATCCAGTTAATTTTTTTTTTTTTTTTTGGAAAAGACAGAGTCTCACTATGTTGCCCAAGCTGGTCTCGAACTCCTGGGCTTAGGCGATCCTCCCGTCTTGGTCTCCCAAAGTGATTACAAGCGTTGAGCCACTGTGCCCAGCCTTCATTACAATTTTTAAAGATGTTTATCCATAAAACAAAGGGTTACTGATATTCAGATGTTATACAAGGACCAAATATCACTGCCTTCAATCCTCCTAACAACTGCTTTAGGTGTTTTTAAGACTTAAAATGTCACTCATATATTGTATTATTGAATTCTAGTATTTCTGGTATTGTAATAAATTATAGTAAGAACTTTCAAATGGAAGCCCAGGATGAAAAATGTTATAGTTTACTTTTGCCCAAATTCTCTTGTTAAAATTGCAGTTTCACGTATTTGCTTATCTGCACATTATCTGTATGTATTTTTAGCCTCATCTTATGTAATAATATTTCTGAAATAGTTTAGATATGCTATTTTTATAAATTACATTAAATATAATTTAAAATACATAGTATATACAAAATAAATATGTAGCTGTATTAGAACTTTATAATTATCCCAAATACCAGTTATCAGCCATACTTTGGGTTACAATGATTAATAAGAAGAATTTGAGATTTGGGGTAAAAAGCCTTAGATTCTAGTCTCGTCCTCTTAAGTTCCTTTATAAGATTAACTAGTACTGAACCCCATTGTTTGCACCTGTAAAACTAAATAATCATGCCTTCTGTACTATAGGTGAGAAAATGTCTTTGAAAATGTTTTGGGCCAGGCGCGGTGGCTCACAGCTATAATCTCAGCACTTTGGGAGGCCGCAGCAGGTGAATCACTTGAGATCAGGAGATCAAGACCAATCTGGACAACAGGGCAAAACCCCATCTCTACTAAAAATACAAAAAGTTAGCCAGGCTTGGTGGGGCATGCCTGTAGTCCCAGCTAGTCAGCTAGTGGGGAGGCTGAGGTGGGAGGACCACCTGAGCCCGGGAAGTCAAGGCTACGATGAGCTGTGATCGTGCCATTGCACTCCAGCCTGGGAGACGGGAGTGAGACCCTGTCTCAAAAAAAAAAAGAATATTTTGTAATAGTATAAAGTACTATCACATGAAACCTCTTTTTTGGGTAATGGGTCTTCCTAATAGAATTACCCTCCTCCAATTTTCAGTTTGGAAACTAATATTCCAGGGCTTACTGAGGGTATAGTTAACTAGAGTAGAGGTTATAGTTGCCAAGACAATCTTCCTATTTCCTCCTCAAGGAAACTGACATCCTTTCCCCTAGATCTACCCTTCCCCTGGCGCCCAGAAAGCTGTGCCAGACAATCCATCCATGCTGTCCCACTCGGAAGTAGGGCTGGGCCGGGCCAGGCCAGGCCAGCCCAGCCCAGCTCTTAGCTTCCCCATCGTTGGATCCTCGGACCACCTCTGGACAGAGGAAAAACACCCAGAGTGAAGAAAAGGAAACAGGTGGTTCAACTTCCTCTGCTTAGGGTCCAGGAAGGAGCAAACGTGGGCCCATCAGTGCATGTAGCAAGAACAGGAACCCCACCGGGTTTCAGTCCAGCTTCGTCTAATAGAGACTGTCTTTATGTGCTTTGTCATAAGAAAAGTCAAGCAGCTAATAAATAGCAGAACCGACCGGGCGCAGTGGCTTACCCCTGTAATCCCAGCACTTTGGGAGGCCGAGGCGGGTGGATCATGAGGTCAGGAGTTGAAGACCAGCCTGGCCAACATGGTGAAACCCCATCTCTACTAAAAATACAAAAATTAGCTGGGTGTGGTGGCGAGCGCCTGAAATCCCAGCTACTCAGGAGGCTGAGGCAGGAGAATCGTTTGAACCAGGGAGGCAGAGGTTCCAATGAGCCGAGATCATGCCATTGCACTCCAGCCTGGGCAACAGGGCTAGACTCCATCTCAAAAAAAAAAAAAAAATAGCAGAACCAATATTTTAAAATGTCATCTCTCTTCCAGATTGCTTTAATTTAGGCTGGAGTAGGCTGCGTGTCCTCAGGCTCTAGGAGACAGCTTTTGAGCCATAGACAGAGCCACAGAAAGATCCAGTGTCTCCTACCACACCCCTTAGTTTTGTGTGTCTGTTATGTCACTGGTGACCAGAGACACAAGGCTCCTGCAGAGCAAAGAAAACCGACTCCATGCACACTTCTCTGTGTCCCCTTCCAGTCCCCACGCCCCTCTCCTGTCTCCTGGCATCCCTGACCTTCTAAAGCTGACTTTTAAATACCTGTTCCTTGAAGCCCTTCCCTGGCCAAACCAGCACCATTGTGATAGCTCCTTCTCTCTGCAGCTCCTTGGCCCTGAAGCACCACAAACATCATAAACTCACTTGCCCTTTAACTGTTAAGTCATTTGCATGAGTTAACTTGAGCCCAAGCCAACATGAAAATTCTTTTTGTGAAAAGGTCTCACTCTGTCACCCAGGCTGGAGTGCAGTGGTGTGATCACAGCTCACTGCAGCCTTGACCAGGCTCAAGCGATCTTCCCCACTCAGCCCAAGAGTGCTGGGATTACACTACCACACTGGCCCCGACATTACCAGTTTTGAAGTCAGCCATGGTGTCCTACCAGAGGCTCAGCAAGTGTTGGCCAACTGACCAGTGAATATTACCAGATCAGGGGCACAGAGAGACATGTGCAGATAAAGGAGAGGAAAAGGGTGAGCTCAGAGCTGGAAAGCTTTGTGGAGACCTGGGGTGATTCTGTCTTCTCCTATCACTGTCCCCTCGATCACCCAGCTCACGCCCCAGAGAGAGCCATCATGTGCCCTGGTCTGTCTTCCTTCCCTCCTCCTGACCCTTTCCCCTGCTTAGCTGCTCCTCACCCTTCACATGTCAGTTTAAACATCACGTCCCACAGGATGCCCCACCTGATCAGGTTAGGTCCCCTATCAGTTACTCTTCAACTCCCCTGTGCCTTGCTTTTGGAGCAAACGTTCTAGTTCTTAAGTAATAGTCATTTCTATCACTGTCTATTTAATGTCCTTCCCGCCATTAGACTGGAAGCCCTGTGAGGTCAGGGACCACATCTGCCTTGTTGCCTGCTGTCGTAAGTCCCTGGGCCTGTGGCACGCCAGGTATGCAGTAGGCTCTGCATCCATGTCAATGCAGGGAGCTGATAGGCACAGGTGTGGGCCAGGGCATCCTGCAGAGTTTGATGGGGTGGGAGGCAGAGCCCCATATCCCTGAGACCAGCTGGGATGAAGCCTCACTGCACATTCCAGGTGACTTAAAGATTCAGCAGGGATGTGTGACAGCAAAGCTTTGCCCAGACAACTACAGTCCCTTCCCTAAGGTCCCAAATTAAAGAAAAAGAGTGACCCAAATCACCAACTACCGAACTTGTGTCCTTCTATTCAGGTAGGTCGGTATTGCTGCTCTTGGCTTTGCATTCAGCCTTTTCCATCATCACCAGGTCAGCGGTCACAGAGCATCTCCCGTGTACCTGGCAGGTACTGGGTGCTGGGTGCCAGGTCCTGGGAGTCAAAGGTACGTGAGGCCTGGCGCCTCCCCACAGGGGCCTCACAGTGTTGTGAAAGACAGCAATGTAAACAAATACTCTCACTAGATGGGAACACAGGCTATACAGAGAGCTGTACAGGGAAAGGGTGGAGAGGGATTTGCTCTACCAAGGAGGCCTCAAAACACTTCACAGAGGTGACACCTTGACATCTGGAAGCATCAGGAGGAGTTTGCCAGACAGGGAAAGGGCCTTCAGAGAGAGAACAGGGCATGCGGCAGAGCTGCAGCGTGGTGTGTGTTGGGGTACAGGCCTCAGGGGACTGGCAGGAGATGAGGCTGAGGGGGGAGGGTCCCATCATGGGCAGGCTTGGGTCTCCACTGAAGATATTGCACTTAATTCTGCAAGTCCAAAGAAAACCATGGCAGGGTTAAAGCAAGTGGATGATTCCATCAGATCTGTTTTAGAAAGATAACAGCACGCTCCCAACTAGAAAAGTGCCACTCCCTATAAACATCCTGGCACCATGTCCCTGAGAGCTCCAGGAGCCAGCTTTGGAGCCGGGAAGCCTCACTGAGCTGAGGGTGCCTGGCACCCAAACGGACATCCTTAAAATGAATGTCACAACAAAACTGAGAGGGAACCAAGGGCACACGAGGGCCTTTCTAAGGACTCTCCAAGTGGGAGAAGTTGCAAAATAGGAAAGAAGAATGAAACAGTGCCCATGAGAGTGTCTCCGGGAGCATCATCTTCCGCCTTTCCTGAGGAGTTTCAGGGCGCTGTTGACCTCGTAGGTAAGGAGGAGCCGTATCCCAGGAGGCCACAGCTGGGCTGAGAGATTTAGCAAGTGGAAGGCACAGCCAGGATCTCGAGGAGAAATTTGATCACGGCCAACACTGGCTGGAAGTTTAGGAATTCCCTGGGAACTGCTGTGAGGCCAGTCATTCATTCATTGAGCAGAAAGACTTAGCACCATATGGGAAAAGGGTGATACCCCAAAAAAGGACTCTAGCCGCTGTATTCAAATATTAGCGTTAATTCTCACAGAGAACTCCCTCTCAGGAAGCCACAGCAACACCGTCATCAGAATGTGCCAGAAGGAACCCCTTCAGTATCCACAGAAGTTAATTTGGAAACATAGTGAATAGGGAAAGACTTAGATCAATTTGTGGTTTCTAGAAAATTACTCTTTTAGGACTATGGAGAAAAAAGTCAAGTACTAAGTACCAGAAATGCAAAATATATGACAATTTCCCATAGATGTGATTACTATTGTCATCACGCCATCATCATCACCTTCACCATCAAATTGTAAGTCAGATTATGTCAGTGCTTATCTGATCCACGGGCAATGGCCGAGGTGTCAGAAAAACTACAGTTCGATGGTGACTGTTTCCTTCCTACGCGGAAGACACGTGTGCTATGGTGATACTGGCCTTCACCTCCAGGAGTCTGAAATCATAGACATATGTATAGTAAGATGTGCAAAGCAATTGACCAGTGATTTATTACAACAAATAACGCCATAGGTAACTGTCAAATAAAAGCCCATTGCGTCCGGAGTTCCACGGCAACGCGTGGAGATGCCTGGCATTGCTCTAGGTACCCAATGTCGTATCTGTGTGAGCAGTGCAGTCTCGCAAAGATGGCCCTGATTGGGAAGAAGTGCAGCCATGGCAGGCCCTCAGATCGTCCCTGTGCTCACCACCCTGGCCTTTTCTCCGATTCTTGTTGCATCAGGTAGCACCTGCTTCTTCCTTCCCTCTCCCCTCCAGCAAATGGTAAGCTCCCAGAGGGCAGGGCCAAGTCTCATCCTCTCACTGTCCCAAGTGACTCACCAGGGCCTGGCACAAGGGAGCTGCTCGGTCCATACTTGATGGATGAATGGATAAGTGGTGACTAACCTAAGGAAATTCTGCCATTTGGCATCTTGGGGATGCCTTACAAGAGAAAGGCATCATTTACAGAAGGCTGCAAGAGGACTCTTCAGTTTATAGACCTGCATATCCAAGCCAGCCTAACCATTTCTACCTGGGGGAGCTAAAACACGGAAGTTCTCAACGTGAATGTGCATTAGAATCACCAGAGGAGTCCTAGTCAACCTCTAGGTTTTCTGCACAAACCACGTGGCACTGGGCCCAGGAATCTGCATTTTAACAAGTCCCCCCCGCCCATTGTTCTGATTCAGGGGGTCACAGAACACACTCAGAGAACCCTTTTCAATCACCAGGCCCCTAAGAGCACAGGCTTGGCATTAGATAGAGTCAGCTTTATCCCTGTTCTATTATATCTTTACTAACTGCAGGGCTAAGTTGCACATGGTTCTTAAGCTCCTTCTGCCTCAGTTTCCTCAGTTATTAAAAGGGGATGAGTACAAACTCAGAGACAGAAAGGAGAATGGTGCTGAGCAGTGGCTCATGCCTTGTAATCCGAGCACTCTGGGAGGCCGAGGCAGGAGGATCACTTGAGCCTAGGAGACTGAGACCAGCTTGGGCAACATAGGGAGGCCTCGTCTCTACATAAAAAATTAGCTGGGCATGGTGGTGCACACCTATGGTCCCAGCCACATGGGAGGCTGAGGCAGGAGGATGGCCTGAGCCTGGGAGGTCGAGGCTGCAGTAAGCCGTGATGACGCCACTGCACTCCAGCCTGGGTGACAGAGTGAAACCCAAGGATTCTACTTTTGGGATCCTTGTCAAAAGTAGAATGGTGGTTGTTGAGGGCAGGGGGACATGGAAATGGAGAATTGTCTTATAGATACAGAGTTTCAGGGATTTGGGGTTTTTTTTTTTTTTTTAGGATGGAGTCTTGCTCTGTTACCTAGGCTGGAGTACAGCGGCATGATCTCAGCTCACTGCAACCTCTGCTTCCCAAGTTCAAGCAATTCTCGTGCCTCAACCTCCCGTGTAGCTGGGATTACAGGCACCCACGACCATGCCCAGCTAATTTTTGTATTTTTAGTAGAGACAGGGTTTCACCATGTTGGCCAGTCTGGTCTCGAACTCCTGACCTCAGGTGATCCATCCGCCTTGGCCTCCAAAGTGCTGGGATTACAGGCGTAAGCCACCATGCACAGGCTGCAGAGTTTCAGTTTTGCAAGAAGGAAAAGCTCTGGAGATCTGTAGCACAATGTACATAGAGTTAACACTACTGAACTGCACACTTAAAAATGTCTAAGATGGTGAATTTTATGTTTTATGTTTTTGCCACAACTAAAAAGAAAAAGTTTTACTGGGGTTGGATAATGGTATCTACTTCAAAGTGTTGTTATGAGCATTACATGAAATAATGTATGTAAAGTGCCAGGCAACAGGCCCCAGACTAGGAACTGCTCAAAAAATTATAGCTATTATTATTACAGTAGCATGGGTGTTAAAAAATTTAACCATGAGGCCATGCGCAGTGGCTCACACCTGTAATCCCAGCACTTTGGGAGGCCGAGGTGGGCAGATCAGCTGAGGCCAGGAGTTCGAGACCAGCCTGGACAACATGGTGAAACCCAGTCTCTACTAAAAATACAAAAAAAATTAGCCAAACGTGGTGGCACGCACCTGTAGTCCCAGCTAGTTGGGAGGCTGAGGCAGGAGAATCGAACCCGGGAGGCGGAGGTTGCAGTGAGCCGAGGTAACACCACTGCACTCCAGCCTGAGCAACAGAGCGAGACTCAGTCTCAAAAAATATATAATAAATATAAAATATAATCATTAAGGAAGATTTCAAACCCTCCTCAAAAATCCAAGTAGCTTTTTGATGAACTGCATTTTTCTAAATCCTGACCAATAGACTATTTTTCATCTCACCTATAGACCCACATGTTAAAAAAATACCACCTAAATTATAGGTGGCTATGTGAGAGCCTGGGGATATTCACGCTAGGCAGTCTCATTCATAACACTACCATCCTCCATTTGCAGTGATGCAGGAAACAAGAAAAATGCTACATTTCGTTTTGCACCTTAAGCTTCATTAAAGAAAATCAAGCAAAACCTGCGACCATAGAAGAAATAATCTCCCAGTCTTGAAAAACTACATGAAGTGTTTTTTATCTTTGATGTGCACATGGAACCCAAAGCAGGTTCGGGAACATGGCACAGACTCACAGCCACCGTTTGGATTCTCTGCGCACCGTTTTGATTTCCTGTGCATCTATGCTAATTTCGTCTCCCCAGCCTATTGTTTAAACCCTAGCAGGACAGATGTGCTGTTTTACAGGGCCATAACCCACTTGGTGGGTGGATAACCAAGAGGCCTTTGGTCTTCATCATTTACTCCAATAAGAAAACTAGACGATTGCCTTGTAAAACAGCATGTGACCCAGGCCCGGATTTCCACGTAACGCCAACCTACAGGACCACCTCGGAACTTCCAACCAAATTAGGAAAATTCCTCCTGGTCACAGAGGTGACCAAAATTAGCTCGAGGCTGAATGAAATTATGGAAAGGACAATCTAGGGGTAAAAACAGTAAAAACAAGAGGGCTGGGAAGTGACTTACAGTACAGGAATTTAGGTTTAGGCCACACAGGTGTTCATGTGAGTAAGAGTCATCATTTCTAAGGCTGAAAAGGTTGGCCACTGCTGGTAAAAATTCTAATCCTAGTAGGCTTAGAATCTCTCTCAATCAAAAGATAAATCCCAAAAGTCATTGCTAAGGATTCCCCCCATTTTTCTTTACCTCCATCCTATGTATAACCGTAAGTTACTACCTCTCAGCCCTCATCATGAGAGCCCAGCACTCCTGTCCCGGCAGCCCTGAGTGACATCAGCATTGACTGTTGGGAATTGGTACTTGTGAAATCCAGAAATGGGCTACAATAGATGCAAATGGACCATCATCAATGTGCATTAGGATTGCCCCAGCCACCCCCAGATCTCGAAGGACCCCTGCAACCCAGTCACACCAGCATCCTTGCCAACAGGTCGAAGCAGGGTGGATTAGGATGAAGGGATATCATCGTAAGCAGCAAAAGGAAGTGATGAAAAGAACACAAATAACCAGACATTAACTTTGGGTTCTGAGCATGCTGCTTTCTGTCCGTTTAATCTATCTTTTGCTGATGCACTTAAAGAAGCTACCTTGTCTTCTTAATGTGGGGATCTCTGATGAAGGCTTGAAGCTCTGAGACCCAAGCATCAGCCCCAGCTCTGGCTTTCCCTAGTCACATGACCTTGGAAGATCACTTCTTTTTTTTTCCTTCTTTTACTACTCTGAGCCTCAGTTTCCTCATCTAAAACAGGGCTTAGGTTACTTGACACAGTCTATATAAGTATGGTAGAAGTTTTTTAAAAAATGAGTCTGTAAAATGGGACTATTCCAAGAGATTTCAGAGATGCCTTCCCATCTTAACATTCAACAGATCTATGATTCCTTTGTTACAGCTCATGTCCCTGGTATTTCTTTCTTTTTTGAGATGGAGTCCCGCTCTGTCACTCATGCTGGAGTGCAGTGGTGTGACCTTGGCTCACTGCAACCTCCACCTCCTGGGTTCAAGCAATTCTTCTGCCTCAGCCTCCCGAGTAGCTGGGAGTACAGGCGTGCACCACTATGCCCAGCTAATTTTTTTGTATTTTTATTAGAGACAGGGTTTCACCGTGTTGGCCAGGCTGGTCTTGAACTCCTGACTTCAGGTGATCCGCCCGCCCCGGCCTCCCAAAGTGCTGGGATTACAGGTGTGAGCCACTGCGCCTGGCCGTCCCTGGTCACTCTAATCGTCTTCTGTATGGGTTTACCAACAGACTCATCTCTTTGTACCCTGTACAATCCTACCTTGCATTTTCTCATAACCTTATCATGTTACCTCTCAATTATGTTACAGCAAGGAGGTAAGATTTTGCCATTAGCCTGATGGTACAATTTTTTAAAACAATAATCAGTTGCCAGAATATATTCTTGCTTTTAAAGTTCTACATAATATTTCAAAAATATATAGGGAAGTATTTAGATTTTCCTTCCACAGCTGTTTTCTGCTTGATTTCAAGAGTTAACTGAACAGTTTGCTGTCTTGTGTCCAATGTGTTTCTCCTCTCCATTAAAATGCTGAAGATTTTTATTTTTTTCCCCTCTTTAGGGGGAAAAAAGAAGTGTTTCCTCTGTAATTTACTTTGGCTTTCTCAAAAGTTGGGCGGGAAAGTCAGTATAATTCAGGTGGAATCTAAAATGTTCTTGTTGCACAAGTGTGCACAGAAAGGAAACCTATAATTTCGAGTATTCTTTCAGGAAGTTTGTATTCTCTGTTTTCCAGGGGGCCTTTACTTTCCAAGGGAGTATGATCGACATGCCATTACTGAAGCAGGCCCAGAACACTGTTACGCTTGCCACCTCCATCAAGGAAAAATGATCTGTTAAATGAAGCTGTCATCAGGTGGGCTGAACATATACAGTGGGGTTCTTAAAGACAAACCACAATACTCAAAGCAACTTGTTAGGATGCCAGATTGGGACCTGACTCCATTTACAGTTCATGTTAATCACAATTTTGTTGTTGTTGTCTCACTGGCCAGTTATTCCCCTAAAAAAATGAACGCTTTTCCCTTTGGATCCAAGCTTATGATTTTATCATTTTTAGTGTATTACGAATATGGGCTTATGATTTCACAGGGAGGTAAGATCCTGGGGAAAGATGGGCTGTGAGGCGAAGGTAGGTCTTTAATGAAATGGATCTTTCCCAAATAGACATATTCCCTCCACCCTTCTCATGTTAGTAAATGTTTCCTGCTTGTTCATTTATACAGCTGACACCACAAATAATTTTAAGAAAAGCCAGGCCTTTAAAACATAGTAGCAACATTAAGGGGTCATCTCTATTTCACTAGTAATCTGATAAAACAACAGAGATGGCATCAAAAAAGAATACTAAGTATTATATTGGCTTAAAAAGACACTTTCTGAAAATAAACTTTCGAAACTGGTTACTATTAACCTCCACCCCTAAAACGAAACATCCATCTCCTTGAACCGCTAGACGATGAACACGAAAGCTGTCATCCTGGGTGAATGCTGTGAGTCAACCATTACCGGCAATTAAAAAATAAATGTGCAGAAACACAAGACCATCCATTCTCCCCCTTTATTTTCCCGTTTAACTGTTTGCCATTGAGGCTATTTCCCCCTGGAAATGTATGGCTGGGACAGGACTCCCTCAGTCATAAACTTGTAGCGTCTCAGAAGACACAATGCACCCGAGCTGGTGCATGTGGCCCCTGCGAGATTTGCATCACATTAGAGATGCGGCTGCAGGTCAGATGGGTGGTGTGGTTAACGGGCTTAGTAAAGCTGTTTTGAAGAGGTTAACCCAGCTTGTAGTAAGGGTAAATAAACATAACAACCAGCCATTGTTCCCTATTCAGCATGTACTCTTATATTGAAGGCTAAAGGGTATTGAAGCTGCAGAGGGATCAACTTGTGCTTGCCAGAGGACGCCAATGAAGTTTGAAACACCAACAATCAGAGATTTTGTTTCTGTTCCTCATTAAATCATGAGCTTTTGTGCCGAGACTCTGGACGACTGTTCCTTAAGAAATTAACAGAATGGGAAGTTTTAAACTCTACACCAACCTTTTCATGACCTACACAGCAGCAACGCTGCTACTCTTAGACAAACACCGCGGGGAAGGCTGTTCTGTTTATTTAAATTTGTAAATAGAAAACAGTTGTTTTTTACTTTCATTTTTCACCTCCTCCTACGCCCTTTTGGATTATTTCCTCTGCGGCCCCTAGCATGAGCCCCAACCAGGCCTCCCCTTTTCCCCACTTCTCTCAATTCCCACAGGAAGCCCGAGAGGTGAGGAGCTGAGGTTAGACACCAGGAGAGGCACCATCACACAAAAGCGCGGCCGCAGAGTCCCACCGCCACCAGGCGACCCCCACCCAGAGAGGGACAGACATGCGGGGAGCCAGCACCGGGCAAGATGGCTCTGGGGATCCTCATTCTGTGAAGACACCAACTCATTTCTCAAACACAGGATCCAGGAGACAGATAGCTCCTAAATGGAGATGGCACATGCTCCGTGGGGTCCCTCATAGAGGAGTGCCACCCTCCACACTGGCCACGCTGGGCTGCCCCAGAGCGGCCAGAAAGGAAGGTGGGAGCTAGCCCCATCCTCACTCAGAGGCCGGAAGGAGGAAGATGGCATCTCGCCAACTTCAGAGCCGAATGGCCTCTAGCCACACTGCTTCCAGACCCCAGACGGGGCAGCAGCAGCAGTTCCCAGAGGAGCACCCATTGTTGCAGCTAGGACCCACCAAGGATGGGACTCCTGGAGTCAGGTGCACACCAGGTAACCCAGGACCACGCTGTGCACCCCCAGTCTGCCCCTCTGCTCAGAACACAGAGGGATGGGAGGATGGCTTGGCAGTGGGAAGGCAAAAGAAGGCCTCTCTCACTCTGCCCCTGCCATACGCACCCGCTGAGGGTGTTAGAAGCAGTGGAGGCAGAGCTGGCCCTAAGCAAAAGAAGAAAATAAACCTCACCTTGTCCTTCCTATGGGCAGCCCTCACCCCAATCTAACTAACCTTCCCATCCTCCAGCCTAATCCAAAGAAGCCCTTGGCTTGAGGGGATGAAGGGCTTGCGTTCTAGTCTCCACCCCAGCCCCACAGGCAGCCAGCCAGCCAGCCCCACACAGAGGGGCCTCCTCAAGGCCTCACTGGGAGCCTCCTGTCCCCAGCCAAGGAGCCCTACAGACCTGGGGAAAAGCAGGCCCCTCCGCAAGGCCCCTGGGTGGTGCGGAGGCCGGACCGGCTAGGCCTCCCGCTGCTGGCCACTCCCAGGCCACGGGTTCCTAGGTCCCAACCACATTGGACTGCTCGCCACGCCACTGCCCTCATCCCAAACTGCTTTGTTCAAACAAAACCACCTTGTTTCAGTCTCCCCAAATGTCCAGTTCATTATCTTCCTCATAACCCATGGTCCCTATTAGGGTAGGATCATGAGACTAAGACCTATGAGAGCCACAAATCTGGACCAAAGTCCCATTCCCTGAACAGAGACCCAAACGACGAGGGTCCCAGAAGAGAGTTCAGTCCTGATCAGAAACCCATGGTGCCTTAGTCCTTGAAGAACAAAACTCTAGGAAGAAGATGCTGGAAGGCAAAGGGTATTCCCCCTCTTTCCCCACCCGCGTCTCTGTGGTGCCATGGGTGGGCCCAGGTACCCTGGGAAAGGTGGGAGAGCAGTCAAGGGTGGGTGTGTGATCTCCACTGGGCTCACTGGGCACCCCCGACACGGGGAAGTGAGAGCTGCCCGACTCCTGAGCCAGGCGTGGGTGACAGGAAGAGGACCTTGCAGCTAATCTGATTCATTAGAAACCATACCTGTTTATGTTTTGTGTAGCTCATCACAAGCCGCTTAGCCATATCACCCCCGTTATTAATTCTTGGGGTCTAAATTATGGGTAACACTATTAAAACATTATCAGAACTAATGAGAAACAATTACTTAGAAAATGAGCCGGGACAAGACTGAGTTGGGAACATCAGTGGTGATCACTGTAGATTAGTTTAATAAATCATCAGGTGCAAGGCAAGACTGACTGTATGTATGCAAAGCCCCGTCACGGGAAAATGAAATTGAGATTTTTTTTTTTTGCATAATTTTTTCATTAATCTCAATAGGACCCGTGTGGTGTAGATTGCTTTATTCCCCTAATACCTTGCCTGAGGCGGGGGGGGGGGGGGGTGCCCAATAATGTCTTCATTGTTTTACTGAGGTCTTAATGACAATCTGTGACAACCTCATTTTAATGTATAGAGGATTATATCAATACAGTCATGTTTTATTGAAATGGTGAAGGGAACTCCAGTCAGAGTCAGGCAGTGTCTGTGAGCACAAGTTAGGAAGTTTCTCGGCATCCGGGAGCGTTCCCGTCTGATGTCCCAGTGTTAGTCCTCCCGGCCGCCCTCCCCTCCTCTCCTCCAGGGACGGCTGGGAAAACAGTCCTGCGGGATGAAGACTTCACCGCCTCCGATTTGAATTTGAAAGTAACTCCTTCCGTGGCATATTTCGCTGGGCAGATAGAACAAACCATGTCGTTTTCCCCCGTCTCTAAAATAGACATATTATTATCATTCACACTTTTGCACCCGGTCGTTTTGCGGGAGTTCGGGAAACTGACTTTCTTCATTGGGGACATTGTAATTTTCTGAT
The DNA here is from genome assembly GCF_000001405.40 of Homo sapiens. NCBI lineage: Eukaryota > Metazoa > Chordata > Mammalia > Primates > Hominidae > Homo > Homo sapiens. The sequence continues at coordinate 99,895,220 of NC_000013.11, forward strand.
GATGCCACGAGGAGAAAAAAAATACGGGTTTGTTTTAATTGGAAGGACCTTCCGCTTTTATGATTTCGGTTTACCTTGGAAAACTGAATCTTCTGTGTTTTATTTCTTTCCTCTAGTACTAGAAAAGCAATGAATTAATTGCACAAAACAGGTTCTGAGACGGCCCGCAGGCCCCGAGCTCGTGGACGCGGCCGAGGGTCGGGTGTGACCCGCGGAGCCGCTGCCAGGCTTCCCAGCTCGTCTTCGCGGGGAGGCGGGAGGCAGGACCAGACCCCAGCATTTCAGCGTGAAAGTCTTCGCCTTTCTTTCCGCGCTGTCTTTCCCGCGGGCGGAGCGGCGTACCTGAGCGCGGTCCCCACGGAGGATCAGTGACTTTCCCAGACCCCGCGGGCGAGCCCGCGCTTGGGACCCGGCAGCTCTGCGCGGGCTGGTTTTGGAGGGGGTGGTGTTCGTTTGTTTAAATTCCAGTTGTTATTTGGCAGCATATCGCCTTCCGAGTCAGTAAGAATTGCCCACGACGTAAAGAGCGACTTGCAGGAAGGGGCCGAAGCCGTCGTTAGCGCCCGGGCGGCGGCGGCCACTCGAACCCCGTTTCCGCCAAGCGCGCTGCAACCTGCGGGGCGAGTTCGTTTTGTTTTGCCAAAATCATTTGGGGACTTCTTTGTCATTCATGCCCTTCCTTTTAAATGATTTTTATTTTTTTCCACTGTAAGTGACCGGCTGGGTTTGACTTTTGCTTCTTCCGACGGAAGGGCACCGCGAGCCGGGGTGGGCGGCCCCGCGGGCAGGAGGAGCGCGGGGTACACGCGGTGGCCGCAGACGCCGAGCCCTGCGGAGCCCCGAGGCCTCGTCGCCCGCGCCCCCGGTGCGCGCGGAGCCGGGGCCGAGGCCGGGCCAGGAGGAGTGTGGCGGCCCAGGAGGCCTGGACTGTGGGCCCTGCTCGCCCGCCCGCCGCGGGCCGCCCGGAGCCCGCGCGCCTGTCGCGCAGCCCGGCTGTAATGGTGGCAGATCAAAGGCGGCCCCGTGTCCCCGCGGAGCCCGGGACAATCCCGCGCCTTTGTGCGCTGTTGCTAGGAGCCCGAGAAACTAAGAGAAAGTGTCAGGAGCATGTTAATCAGACTCGTTACACTGTAACAATAACGTCTCTCTCGGGTCTCCCAGGCCCCAGTACCCCCGCGCACCCTGCGCGCAGGCCGGACACCTGCGCAGGGCCCTTGCGCCCGCCCTGGGGTCCCGCCGGCCCTGGGGTCCCTGCAGCCCCGAATCCGCACCCGAGCCACGCGGAACGACTAGCCCCGAGGGGCCCCGCAGGCTCCCGGTGCAGCTCCCTGGTCGTGGTCTCCTTGACCGAAGCCCCGGCCTCACACCGCCTGGCCGCGAGCCCGAGGGACGCAGGGACGATCCCGGTCCCCTGCTTTTCAGTCCTCCAGTCGAATCGCCCACTTTGTTCAATCACAGTATTCGAATCAAGAGGAAAATGAACATTCCCTTTATGGTAGCTTTTTGGTTATGAGTTTTGGCAAAACTGTTAAATCAACTTTGCCGATTTCCCTTGGGAATCCCTGGAGGCCACTCTAAGTGGTAATCCCAAGTTTAAGAAGGAAATGGGGAAATTTTGCTGAGAGTAAAGATGTCGCCGAACTTTTTGAAGGGATTTGCTTCATTCATTCATTTAGTCATTCAACAGACACCTGTTGAACCCGACTGGGTGCCAGAGGGGCCAGTCACAGGACTTATTCCAGATGAACTTTTCTTTTGAAATTAGAATGCCCTTGTGGAAGCCAAAGGAGGAGCAGAGGCCTAAAATAATGTCAAGTGTCAAAGCAAAAAGAAGTGCCATTGGCTACTACAGTGTGTGATGATAACAAGAGAGGTGCGAATTAGGAATTAAAAACGTTTGAAAAACTACAGGCCATATGCTTTGAAACCAGCCACTTTTTCCATCTTTCATCTCCCTCTCCCCTCCGGTTTTGGTGGGCAGGAGCTATGCCAGGCTGCAGTCCTCAACCCGTCAGAGGCCTGCCTGAGGTCTGAGGAGTGAGGCCAGGCCTTCTGTTTGTACACAGCCTTTCAAACGTGCAGAGAGACACACTCCATCCTGGCCCCATTCCCCCTTTGCTCATACGCAGGGAACTGGAAACCTGTCCTCAAGATTAGGGCTGAATTTGGCCAAGTTAAGGTGCTTTTCTCCCATACAAGCTCTTGTTCGAGAACAAACCCATTCTGGAAGGTATAGAAGGGGGCCAGACTTCCAGAGTCAAGCTACCCGCACCTAAGTCACAGGACAAAGCTGGCTGTCACCAGGATGGGTGTAAGACAGCCTCTCAACTCACCTGTGCCTACCATTGACTGAGGAGGAATCCCAAAACTGTGTGAGACTCCTCTGTCGGTGAAACTTTCTCTCTTTCACCGTTGCATGCAACATGTAAACATATAGAAAACTGGGTCGGGTGCAGTGACTTACGCCTGTAATCCCAGCACTTTGGGAGGCTGAGGTGGGCAGATCACTTAAGGTCAGGAGTTCAAGACCAGCCTGGCCAACATGGTGAAACCCCGTCTCTACTAAAAATACAAAAAATTAGCTGGGTGTGGTGGCGCATGCTTGTAATCCCAGCTACCCGAAAGGCTGAGGCAGGAGAATCGCTTGACCCGGGAGGCAGAGGTTGCCCAAGATCCTGCCACTGCACTCCAGCCTGGGCAACAAGGGCGAAATGCCGTCTCAAAAAAAAGAAAGAAAGAAAGAAAGAAAACTGGGCAGGTTCCCTGGGGATTGGAGCCCCAGGCCTGGAAGGAACTTTAGAGATTCCTTTCATTACATAAATAAAGGAGTTGATACGCTGAAAACTCCATCTTACAAAAAACAAGAGAGGCCGAACACTGGCTATGTGATGATGATAAAATAGCTGGCTAAAGGGGAGAGATTCAGTGACAAGAAACTGGATTTCTTTGGTTTACATAACGCCAAATAGCTGGTTTGGCTGGGTTCTGTTTTGTTTTTAAACACAGAATCAAATTTCCTTCATAATCAGACACACTAATAGAATCAAGAGAAAAATGAACATTCCATTTTAGAGAGCTTTGTGGTAGAGAGTTTCTTCCAAAGACTCCATACTCTAGGCATCTGGCTTAATGTTAAAAAGGGGCAGGGGGATGGTCTTTTGAGTTCTGTGAAAGGAAGAACGTAAAAACCAACATGAACTTCTGGCTTCGATTTTCTGGGAGAACTGTGCTGGCTAATAACCCAAACCCCCAAATGAGGACAAGGGCACATCCATTTTTCCCCATCTAATTTCCAGGGCCTGGAATTCGTGCGGTGGCTCTCGGGAGCTTCTCCCAGGCTGGCAGAAGGGAGCTCCAGCTACTGCCTGCCCCCGCCCCTGTGTACCCACATCAGTGACAGCATGGCTCTCTCAAGAGGCCCTGGCCACTGTCCACACTGATCTTTTCCGAAGCCTTTGCACAAGCTGTAACCCTCCCTCTCTATGACACCCAACAAACGCCAAAGCATTCTTTAAGACACAGCTTGAAAGCCACTCCTGAGAGATCCTCCCAGCTCCCCTAGAGACAACTTGCTGCTCTTCCCTTAGTCCTTCTGTTGCACGGATTGGACTTTCATTATAGTGGTTGTTTAGATGTGTGTGTCCCCAAAAAATAGTGTGGATGCCTTGAATATTGAACATTGTCACACATCTCTGATCCCTCTCCTGCTCTCGCCTCTCATCCCCAGCATGAGCTTGTGGAAAATGTATTCATTAAAATCAGGACCTGAGTCTCCCTCCTCCACTTAGGTTCTGATGCTGGCTCTACCACTAATGGGTTAGGTTACGTGCAGACAGAAGAAGAAGCCATTTATTCTCTCTGAACATCAGTCTCTTCAGCTACCCAAATAAAAACACCTAACTCCAAGAGTTCCTATGAGGATGTGGTAGTCAGAGAGATGCGCCACTTCCAGGATCCCCACTTGCCGGGCTGGGGAGATGCAGTCAGCAGACAGCTCCCCACCCCGCTGCCTTGCCCAAGACCCTTCCAGGGCCCCCCACCATTTTGGCCAGAGGTGGGACACACATGCCAGAGTTTCCAGTGGGGTTAGCCAAGACTTTGTTGGGTCTGCTTGGCCATTCAACTTCTCCTTCACACTAATCCTGAATTCTCCTTCCTTTCCTGGATGTTGTTCCCTGGCATCTTGCACCGTAGACTCTGTCTGAGCATCTGCTTCTAGAGCTCCTAACCTGTGGCAGAGGATTAAATGAACTACTGTATTCAAAAGCACCTGGCATATGGTGGTTGTCAGGGTTGGGGGTGGGGCAATGGGGAGTTACTGTTTAATGGGTACTGAGTTTCATTTTTGCAAGATGAAAAAAGTTCTGGAGAAGAGGAGGGCTATGGTGGCACAACGATACGAATGTACTTAATGCCACAGTGCTTAAAATTGTAAATCTTGTTTCTTATATTTTACCATAATTTTTTAAAATAATTTTTTTAAAAGAATGAATGTAAAATAAAGAGGAAAAACTAATAAATAAATACAGTATTTTTAAAGCACCTAGCATCATGCTTGGCACGTAGTAGGCATTCAGTAAAGATCAAGTGACTTCCACCCAGGGGCCAAACCTGCGCACAGTAGAGTTTGGGAATCCCACTGCGCAGAGCTGGTTGGAATATGCATTTCTACGCAGCGAACCCCATTTTCTCCTTTATTTTTATTTTTATTTATTTATTTTTTTTGAGACAGGGTCTCACTCCTTCACCCATGCTGGAGTGTAGTGGTGAGATATTGGCTCACTGCAACCTCTGCCTCCTGGGTTCAAGCAATTCTCCTGCCTCAGCCTCCTAAGTAGCTGGGATTACAGGGGCACACCACAACAACCTGCTAATTTTTGTATTTTTAGTAGAGATGGGGTTTCACCATGTTGGCCAGGCTGGACTCGAGCTCCTAACCTCAGGTGATCCACCCGCCTCGGCCTCCCAAAGTGCTGGGATTACACACATGAGCCACCTGGCCTGGCCTTCATATTTACTTTCATTACTAGATGAAGTATATGCTCTCACAGGAAAACGTGTTCAAATTCTGGGACATACCAGAAAGGGCGGCACACTCCCACAGCCACGTGCATTTTGGGGAGCTGCATTGCTCTTTTGTTGTTGTCGTTGTTATTAACAGTCTCCTAGCTCCACTGCTGGCCTATGGAAGTTTCTCTCGGTGCTGGAGATGTTCTGACTGTAAACTCTTATCTGATCATTTTGTCCCGTCCCCTGATCTTGCAGACCCTTAAGGGCTGGAGGATTATGCAGTACCAACTCCTGGCTGAAGGGGGCACCATCCACATAGAAAAAATGCAATGCTAGGGGCACCTTCTGGAGTTGTGCAACTATTGGACCTGCTAGGGGACTTGCTCAAGGTCACACTGCTGGCAAAACCAAGACTACCACTAAACTCTCCAAATTCTCTCCACTAAACCACACAGCTTCCTCCTCCCTCGAGCTCCTCAGATTCGTGCTTCCACATCAGGTTCCCCAGTTCATCAGTGCTGCAGGGTGAGCAAGCTCCAAATGTGTGTTTTGAAACAATGAGAAAAATAACAAAGCCTCCTTTTCAGCAACTGCCTCCCTCAGAGACAGTGCCTGACCCCAGCAAAGATACTCGAATTCATCACAATTCAAACAACCAGTCATCAAAAACACAGCCAGGAAGCTCTGCCACCAGGCCAGTGCCACCTCGCAATACACCTTGATGTCCCCCGGCCCCTGTAGGTCCCTGAGCACCTGCCTCCCAGACTCAACATGCCCCTGCACATTTTGCAGGATTTTCTGCTGGGGGCTGGTCTGAATGGCTGGAAAATGTCTTGGGTTGTCTGAGGGAAGAAGGCCCGGGGCAGGCATGATGTGGATGCCAGCGCCAAGGACAGAGGCTGCAGCGCCATGCTGAGCTGGCTCCCTCGACACCACCTCTTGGCCGCGGGCCTCACTCCCAAGCTCCATCCCCCATGGGCACCGTTCTTTGCATCATCTCTCCTTCCATCTAGTCCTGCTAGATTCTTCCTTCTGCCTTGTAATTTTACCTTCTCTTCCTTCCTCCCCTTACAATTCCAAAAGCAAAAATAACAAATGTAGGAAAGAAAACAACAACACGGGCAAACTATGTTTTTCTAATTCTGTGTGTGTTTTGGAGGTAAATCGAATGTCTTAGGCCATGAGCTGCTTGCAGGACATTCCGCAATCCTTCCTCGACTGTGGGCTTGGCACAGGACATTTACGGTGTCCATTTTACCAGAGAGACCCCGAGAGAGACCCCGAGTGCACAGACAGATAATACTGTACTTTGGGAATCAAAGTAGAAATGTCAGTGAGGCTGCTTAATTAGTTAGTAAATTAAATTTTGCTGCCAAAGTTGCTATTTCTTTGTTTTTGGTTTTTTGGATTTTTTTGTTTTTTTTTTTTGTTTGTTTGTTTGTTTGTTTGAGATGGAGTCTTGCTCTGTCACCCAGGCTGGAGTCCAGTGGCGCAATTTCAGCTCACTGCAACCTCCACCTCCCGGGTTTAAGTGATTCTCCTGCCTCAGCCTCCACAGTACCTCGGATTACAAGCACACGCCACCATGCCTGGCTAATTTTTGTATTTTTAGTAGAGACGGGGTTTCATCATGTTGGCCAGGCTGGTCTCGAATTCCTGACCTCAAGTGATCCACCCACCTTGGCCTCCCAAAGTCAAAGCTGCTATTCCCAATATCCTGCCTTTGATCATGCTGTCTTAATGCAAAGCCAACATTCAGCTTTTATGTAAGTCATAAGGAAGATGATGATCTGCAAATTGGTGATTGAAACTCATTTGAGAGCCTAGAGTGATGCTTAGAAATGAGAAAGTTTAACTTCACATCAAGTTTACATGTACATACAAACTCATAAAGTGTACCTTTTATAACAGTATAAACTCATAAAATGTAATTTCTATCCTATTCTTAACCTTATTCCTTTTGGGGGAGATATTACCAGAAAGGTAACAACAAATGATTAGTATAAAAACAGATATTTTCAAATTATGAGAAACATTCCATTTTAGGTTATAAGAATGTGACCCAAGATGATAATTTTCATAATTTTGCCTCATAAAAGCGTTTTTAAAATATGATCAGTCTTTGTGTCATATAAGGAATTTTAAATTGTCAAATATATGAGAATACTTAAGGTAAATGTTTTCAAAATAAATAGCCAATGAATGGGCTATGAATTTGCATGCACACTGCCTATGAAAATCAGCATATTTTAAACTGGTTTGTTCAGAGGGCGCCACTGGCCTTTTTTCTCTTCCTTCTCAAAGGGCATATGTGTTAGATTAGTGCTCAGAAAAGAGAACATGTTTTCATAGCCTCCAGTGTAGCGTTTATAAAAATTGTGATGATTTTAGGACTGCACCTTCATTTTTTGAATTTTCAAAACTTGTCCCTTTTTACTTTTATTTTCTTTCAACAAAACGAAGACCTAAGAACCCCTTTAAGAAATGTTATCCATTCCCACAGAGTCCCAGTTTGTTGACCTTCAGGCCACAGAGTAAAACCTTCCTTTTAAGTGAAGCATTCCCCATTGGGAAGCACTCCAGCTTTTTCTTTTTATGAGGAACTTTAACTGCTGGACTTAATTTAATTATTGTATTTTGTACATACTCCCAGAAGCCCCAGGGCATGAGCTTTACTTTTTTCAAAACTTTCAAATAAATATCTTTTAGGATCGCACATTTCTGATGGCAGTGTTCCGTCTTTGACTTGTATTTCTAATCCAAATACTGAACTTGGATCTTTCTATTTCCTGTGACCTATCAATGGACGGGTTTCAACCATAGCATCACTTTGCCACAGACCGTCTTCATGAGCAGACATAGGCATGCAGTCATTTGAGTTCTTAGTGCAGGAGCCTCGATTTCATAACAAGAAAATAAAAACCATCTCCAAAGTTGAACTACATTTTAAAACCTGGCTAGTTCTGGAGACATGGTCTTCAATAAGGAGGGTTGCTAGGCAGACATTGCCATGAAATCAGGAGCCTGCTGGCCCCATGGCCGCAGTCTGCCACCATCTGTCTTTAAAGTTCCTTGAAGGTGCTCCCCCAGCACTGGCTACTCCTCCCCCATCCCAGCAGAGGCTCATTGCAAACACACTGGCACACACACACGCACGCACACTGACACACACATACACTCACACACTCGCACACGCACACACACATGCACACAGGGAATTGTCATCCTTAGCAAATAGCAAAAAGTCAGTATCTCTATTTCTTATCTCTCTCTATCCGTAAACATTTCTTTTTGATCCTTTCGATTTCCATGATTTCCACCTGGAAATTAAAAACTTTGACATCTTGACTCTTAAAGGTGAAAAATAAATTTGTTTTGGATAACTGGCTTAAAACTCACTTAGGAATATAAAAATGTGAAGCAAACACAACTTTTCTAAATTCGTAAGATCTGCCCAAAATACTCCGTGAGGTTCGCGTCCCGTATGAAGCAAGTTTAATTTGTGGACTTCCATGAAATCTGAATTTAGGAAGAAGATGTTTTTAAGTAGCATTATCTGCAAAATGAATCTGATTTCCTTACTTACTTTTGTTTAAAAATTTAAATTACAGTCTGAGCAGCAAAGCAAGACCCCATCTCTACAAAATAAAATTAAATTTAAGAAAATTAGGCTGGCATGGTGGCACACATCTGTGGTCCCAGCTACTCAGGAGGCTGATGCGGGAGGAGCACTTGAGCCCAAGAGTTCAAGGCTGCAGTGAGCTGTGATCGTGCCACTGCACTCCAGCCTGGATGACAGAGTGAGACCCCTCTCTTAAAAAAAAAAACAAAAACAAAAAAACCCCACACCTTTTTAATTATAAAAAGCACAGCATTTTGTTGCCAAAGAAGGACTTAGAGGTCACCTAAGCCAATGGACTGGATCTTGGCTGATATTAGAATTATTTCTTGGGCTTTTAGTAAATACTAATATCTGGGCCCCACCCCAAACTAATTCAATCAGACTCTAGTCTAACCCCTCATTTTGCAGATTAAAAAGAGAAACAGCCAGACAGAACTCCCAGACCTCGAAAGGCGAAATGTGGCCCCTTCCATTTGCAGTCAAAGGGACAACATTGTAACATGATTTGGGAATTCCTGGCTATGCTAAACTTTAAAAAGCAAAGTTCAAACCAGTTTCCATAATTATGTTTGGGTCTCATGAATTGATTTGATAAGGAAGAGTTGATTGATTCCTCACACATGACCTAATTTCTAATTTTATACACATTCACATCCCTGAATGATTGCAGAAGAGGCTGAAATAGCCATCATGTTGAAATGTCTCATGCTATAATTTTCGAAATCAGCCACACGTGTATGGATGGCTGTCCTATAAATGTCACCTAAAAGAAATGTGTGGCCTCTAAAATGGCAGCGTCGTGCTTCAAACTAATATTCCATAATTTAATTTTTCTCATATATACTTAAAGCATATAAGTAAAAAGCAGTATTTTTCCCAGTGTCAGCTCAAAACTGTACAGTTTTTATGAAAATGAAGGCAAAGACGTCAAGTAACAGCTCAGCCAAGTGAGTCCCACAGCCCCGCAAGGCAGAGGTGAGCGTAGCTGCCCTCCCTGGGGGTCTCAAGAGAGCAAAAGAGGCCCTGAAAGGGCAGCCTCCCTCTTGTAAGAAGCTCAACTGGGAGCTCAGCGGGCTTTGAGCCATCTTTGCAGAGACAGCTTTTCCCACCCTGCCTCCCCCAGAACAGTACACCTCCCCCACCTTTTCTGCTCCCCCACATCTGCCTCCTTTGCCTCTTTCCCCACAGGGCTGGCCTGCTCACAGGTCTCAGAGGGAAAGGGGGTGCTTCACACTGGAGGGTCTGGTCCTAGGCCATTCTCTCCAGCCGAGGACCTCCTGGGAGAGATCCAGAAAGCTTTGATCACAACTATCTGCCTTGGGCTAAAAGACCTCTGGTTGGTCACTCCTCTAGGATCTTAATAAGGCCAGGACCTAGGATCACAGATGCATACCTGTTTTTCTTTTTTTTTAATAAAGGGAATGCTGAGCTGCAATGACCATTACTGTAGAGTTACAACAAGAGGGTAAAGTTCATACATGGCGACCTGTGTCAAATCCGTCCATTGATCTGCCCTCCAGCACACATTTACTGAGCTTCTGTTACGTGCCTGTGGTGAGTGACATGACATCACTGTGTTAGTGACTGGCCAAAAGGGTGTCTTGAAGCCGCCCTAGGGCCCTTCTGGCCCTGTTCTAGGAAGTGAAAGCTGGGGGCAGTGGAGCCCTTTCTTATTCTGTCCACCCTCCCCCACCTCCATTCTGTTCCAATTATTCTTCATTATCCTTCAAAGCAAACTTGCAAGTCAGCCAAGAACCGAGCTCCAGGTGTGAGACCAAAAAAAGAAAGAAAAGGGGGAAGAAATCTAAAAGTACCTTAGATGGAAATTTTCATGCAGCCATAAAAAAGTGTTTTTTGGTTGTTGTTTTTGCTTTTTTTTTTTTAGATCAAACATGTTTTGTTGTTGTTGTGGTGGTGGTTGTGGTTGTTTTTGAGACAGGGTCTCTGTCTGTCGCCCAGACTGGAGTACAGCTGCACGATCTCGGCTCACTGCAGCCTCGACCTCCCCTGCTCAAGCCATCCTCCCACCTCAGCCAGGACCCCACCCAAGTAGCAGGAACTACAGGCCTGTGCCACCACTCCCAGATGATTTTTGTATTTTTTGTAGAAACGGGGTCTCACCATGTTGCCCAGTCTGTTCTTGAACTCCTGGGCTCAAGTGATCCACCTGCCTCAGCCTCCCAAAGTGCTAGGATTACAGGCATGAGCCATGACACTCTGCCAGATTCAACATGTTTAATGGCAAAAGGGAAAATGCTGAGAAGTTTGCCTCCATTTGGTTATTTCACTTTGTTCCTTTTATACTTTCCTGTACATTCCAAATGGACTACAATGAGCACCTGTCACTGTGATCATCAAGAAATAAAATAAACAATAAAATAAGTAAATGTCACTACAGGGGATTTTGGAGTTTCCCTATTTTCTAAAATGGACATTTAAAAGTTTTCAAATCAGAAAAATGTCTGTTAAGATTTCATTTTATTGTTGTTTTACATAAGAATAATCAGATATGAGGAAAATAAGTGTGAGTGAAAATCAGAATTTGAATGGGAACTGAAGGACCCCCAGAGCTTTTTTGAGTTTTCTTTTTTTTTTCTTTTTTGAGACAAAGTCTTGCTCGGTCACCCAGTGGCGCGATCTCGGCTCAATACCACCTCCGCCTCCCGGGTTCAAGCAATTCTCCTGTCTCAGCCTCCTGAGTAGCTGGGATTACAGGTGCCTGCCACCACACCCAGCTAATTTTTGTATTTTTAGTAGAAATGGGGTTTCTCCATGTTGGCCAGGCTGGTCTCGAGCTCCTGACCTCAGGTGATCCACCCTCCTCAGCCTCCCAAAGTGCTGGGCTTACAGGCGTGAGCCACCGTGCCCGGCCTTGAGTTCTTATTATTACAAGATGACTCAGATTTGGGCTGGAGAGCATTTTAAAACATTAAAACATCTTCTGCCTAACAAATGCATTAATCCTTTCTTGAGGATTAAGAAAGAATTAATCCCTCCAAGGATGGGCAGCCCCACAGCGGGTGGCTTGGAAAATACTTGGCTTCGTGCATCTGCAGACTTACTGTTTTCTTTGACCCTTTGCGTCTACATCTGGGAATTTATCCTAAAGAAATTCTGTAATCCAGAATATCAAAAAAGCCTCATTGGCAAATACTACTTTATTCACAGTTGCATCATGTAAATTACAGAGGTATGGCTAAGTCAATCGGGAGACATTTACTTGATGGAATATTAGACAGCCACTAAAACTGGTGCTTCTGAAGGTGATAAGAAAGTGCTTTTCCTATAAAGTCAAGTTCTGATGCATACCAAGCTGCAAATGCGAGTCTGGAGCTGAACTGCCTGGCTCTCCTGCTTCTTAGGCTTCTTAGCTAAGTAACCTTGAGCAAGATCCTAACATCCCTGTGCCTCAGTCTTATTATCTGTGAAATGGGGGTAATAATACTACCTACCTCCTAAGGTTTCTTTTGAGCCTGAAATGAGTTAATACATACAAAGCACAGTGGCCTGGCACACTGTAGGCACTGGACAAGTGTTGGTTCCTATAATTATTATCTGTGATTATAACCATGTTAAAAAGAAATCACAACACTGGAAAAAAAAAACAATAAAATGTTAGCAATTGTAGTGTTTGGGTGATAAGACTACTGGTGATTTTTATTTTTTCTTCTTTTTACATTTTTGTATTTCCAAATTTTTCACTAACTATACATCAATTTTTTTTAATTGGGCATGATGGGTCACACCTGTAATCCCAGAGACTCAGGAGGCTGAACCAGGAGGATTGCCTGAGGCCAAGAGTTCAAAACCAGCCTGGCAACGTAGCATGACCCCTCTATCTCTAAAAAATAAATAAATAAAGCTGGGCATGGTAGTGCTTGCTTGTAGTCCCAGCTACTCAGGAGACTGAGGTGGGAGGATCAGTTTGAGCTCAGGAGTTTGAGGCCAGCCTGGCCAGCATAGCAAGACTCCATCTCAAAAACAATTAAAAAGACCCTGAATAGAGAGCCGCAGCACGTGGTTTCATATGATTTGAAACATCCAGGTGCCAAGACTTTGGGCATGGGCTTGCGAGGGACTCCTCCTGACTGCACCCCATGGGCACCTCTCATCCCGGGGAGGACGGTCAGGCTGTGCTGAGTGGTGAACAGCACTCGGATTGGCAAAAAAGTAACCTGAGCTCCAGTCACCTGTTCCCTGCAGGTTCTTGGAAAGAGCTTTTTCCTTCTCTACAAGGAGGAATCTGATGCAACTGACATCCTCAATAGCTACAGAGAACTTGCAAAGGAGTAGAGAGAATGTTTGAGGTCCAGCCTTGGTGTAGAGAAGCGGCAGAAACAGAAATCCCAAAAGGTGTCATGCTTGGCTCCAGCTCTGTGCTCTCAGAACTCCCTTCCCTCTGGGCAGAGGCCCATCTGCTCTGTTTACACACCTGGACCTGGTGTGAAGGGAGGTTTGGAGGAGGGTAGCTCCCTGACCATTTGTGGAATCGTTCCTGCTTCCAAGCAGCATGCTACAGGCCAGCCTTCAAAGAAAGACCAGAAGCCAAGTGTACTCTGTCATCACTTAATAATGCTTGAAGCTTTTCATATAACAAAAGGAATGAAGCAGCCCCGCCTCGCAGTGTGGAAGCCTGATCATTCTTCCATCAGCTCTGCACCAAAAAGCTTTTCCTGAGCTTTGAATATTAGATCTGACCAATATGGGTAACCAATGCCCTTAGGTAAGGTAAAATAGGAATAAAATAGCTGTTTGCAATGTTATTTCACCACACAGTGTGGTAGGGAGGGAACTGATATGTTGCAATGCAAAGTAATCTAGTAGTACTGTTTGTAGAACAGACAAGTGTGTCCAATTTAAAGAATATCAACATCATTTTTCTATATCATACTCTTGTGAGGTTGGATTTAACCACAGAGGCAGAAAGTTGGTCTACTTTGCTCGTTCCTGGCAACTAGCATGGTGCCTGCCCCTAATACATTTTCACTGAATGAATGAATCAGTGAGTTAATGAATAAATAAACAAATGGGAGGTGTTCTCCTTTATATTGTGTTAGAGGCTGAGGATATAGAAATATGTAACTCAGAGTCCCATTCCACAAGCCCATGCTAGTGAGCCAACACAAACAAAAAACAACTCAAATTCAATGTGATTAATTCCTAAAATCATAGCACTAACATTCAGTAGTCATGTCCAGCTCTTCCTTTATGTCAGGTACCTAGACATAGCGGAACAGAAAACCCTTCAAAAGTTCAGTCTAGTCTGGAAAACAAACATGAAGCAAAGAAGGCACAACACCATATGGAAAAGCAAGACAGAAATATGTACAGGGCAGAGAGGCTGCACTGTGTCATTTAATCACGAAGACTCTGTTATTAGACTGCTCGAATACACAAAGCTGTGTTACCTTGGACATGTTACTTCACCTCTCTGGGCTTCAGTTGTCTCATTCTGTAAAATGGTGATATTACTGGAACTCATCTCATAGGGTTGTTAGTGAGTGAATGTTTGTAAAACAGGATAGTGCCCAGCACATACTAGTAACAAATGTAAAATACATGAAACAAATAAATATTTCCTGTGTCCTCTGAACTTTAAACTCTCATCAAGAACTCTCTGTTTGGCTTTGCCTTTGTAAATGACTGATTTTTCTCCTGTGATAGGACTCATGACCCAACACCACTCCAGTGCTGTGGACTCAGGTTAATAAGAGAAGGAACAGTTAGATTGCTATCTGTTTGTGGAAAATAATGAGTATTTGTCAGAAGAAGAAAACTGTCAATGCTGAAAAATACCTATACATGGATTGTAAATACATTCTAAACAACTGCTACTCCCCTCTGGGTCAAGGGCAGACATTGCTAATTACCCTCAGTATCCTTTCCAACTGCATCTAGATTCAGGCTCAGTATCCTTTCCAACTGCATCTAGATTCAGGCTCAGAATCCTTTCCAACTATGTCTAGATTCAGGCTCAGAATCCTTTCCAACTATGTCTAGATTCAGGCTCAGAATCCTTTCCAACTATGTCTAGATTCAGGCTCAGTATCCTCTCTAACTGTGTCTAGATTCAGACTCAGAATCCTTTTACAAACAGGGTCCCAAGTAGTGACTACTAATCAGGACTTGCTGGTGTCTCTGAACTAAACCTTATCTGTATGTTCAGCCTCAGGGTTGTTTTCTTCATCGGACACACTGGGCTGCCTTCCAAGCTCCCTGCTGCCAGGAGCCACGTTGCAACTGCCTATCTCCCATGACTGATGCCCAGCTTCCCAAATGCCCTTCTGGGCCCCACTCCCGAGAGAACAGCAATAGAGTAGGTTCTACCTTTAGGGAGAAGAGCAATAGAGTAGGTTCTACCTGGTCTTTCCTTACAGATTCTTCAGTTTGCAGAAGAAAGAGCATAGGCTTTGAGTACAGTCCTGCAGCCACTATCTAACTCTGTGACCTTAGCCAAGCAAGCTGCTTAACCTTTCTGAGCCTCAGATTCCTCCTGGGTAAATAAGACCTCCCTGTGGGGATTGCTGCAAGGATTAAGTGCAATAATGTTTGTACACGGACCAGCTGGGATGGGCTCTCCAGAAATGGTAGAGCCATGATCAATAATCCAGCCTGGCTTCCCACCAGTCAGGAACAAGGCCCTCAAGACTTCCTCCCTGGGGTCCCGGCATAAACAGGAGCCATGGCCAAGAGAGGGCTGGATGCTCCTGGTGAAGCCACTCTTGCCCACAACTCACACACAGCATTGGCTGTAGATAAAGCCAGATCATAGGGGCTCAGACAGTTGGGAAGCAGTGAAAGCTGGTGGGGCTGGGAAGGGAGGGAACCTTGGGCGGGAGGGAGGGAACCTTGGGCGGGAGGGAGGGAACCTGGGGTGGGGAGGGAGGGAACCTTAGGAAATGATGGGAGTGGGCATTGGAGTGGGCATTTTCCTCCCATAAGTGGAGAGGGTGCCCTCTGGCATGGACTAGGGGCAAGATGAGGTGGACAGTGTCTCTCCACTGGCCTTCTCCAGCTCTTCTAATGCAGGGCCCATTTACCTGAGATGCTTTATTCTGGAGCCACTCTCATTACCTCCTCCCAGCTGGCCCTCTGTGTGGACAACTCAGTAATAAGTTCCTGTCCCCCCTCCAACTGGAAAGTTGTTCCTGAGAAGCTTTGACTTGGCCTCCTCCCTCGGACTCTGCCTCTGACTACTAATTCAGCCTCCTCCCTCTGACTCTGTCTCCAACCTCTAATTCAATCTCCTCCCTCTGACTCTGTCTCCGACCTCTAATCAGCCTCCTCCCTCTGATTCTGCCTCCAACCTCTAATTCAGTCTCCTCCCTCTGACTCTGCCTTTGACCTCTGACTCTCTCTCCAACCTCTAATTTAGTCTCCTCCCTCTGACTCTACCTGTGACTTCTGACTCTGTCTCTGACCTCTAATTCAGCCTCCTCCCTCTGACTCTGTCTCTGACCTTCAATTCAGCCTCCTCCCTCTGGCTCTGTCTCCTCTCTCTGACTCCACCTCCTCCTTCCAACTTGTTTCTCCCCTCTGACTCTTTCTCCTCCCTGTTTCTCCCTCTGATTCAGCCTCCTCCCTCTGATTCTGCCTCTTCCCTAGAACTTGCCTCCTCCCTCTGACTCTGCCTCCCTCTGACCTCTCACTCTGTCTTGGCCTGCTGTCACCAGGTGTATGCCTACTCTCCCCCACCACCACATCCTCTTGCTCCCTGTTCCAGAGGAATTGGCCCTGCACTCTTCAAACCCAGGCAATGCTCAAGCACAGCGCAGGCATCTCTCGGTCATCCTGGGGACGGTCATCCCCGGGACGGTCATCCCCAGGACAGCCGCGAGAGCCTCCTCTCCTCCCCACGTGAGCTGGTGTAGGATTGACTCTTATCTGTTGGTCAAGAGTCGCTGAGGCAAACATCACACCCAGCCACTCTTCCTCGGCCCAGCCTGCCATTCAACAACTGCAGCCCAGCGCCCTACGTGTAAAAGGCGCTGTCAACATTTCCATTATAGGGTTCTCTTCCGAGAGTTTACAAGCCAACTGGGAAAACAAAATGAGCCCAGGTGGAAAGTTTGCCTTACAAGGGAGCAAATCTATGCAAAAAAGAGCACGGTGCAGCTGCGTTCTTGGAGACCAGGAGACTCTGCATTGAAATCTCAGCCAATTTAATGTCTACATTAAAAACGGATTTGTGTGAAATGCAGCCGCTTCTTTTAATTGCTCCAAATAAATATCCTGGGTAATTTTAAGAAAGGCTTCTGCGGTGGCTTCCCAGCAATGCAAGCCATCTCTTACCAGGAAGTGCTTTGGGGTATTGTCTGCTGAGAAAGGTGTTACATAAATTGAAACTCCTTTTGCTCAGAGCTGAGTCCTGAAAGTTCATGCAGTGAGAAACATTTCTCACCGTGCACAAACTGTGAATTGTATATCAAATTAAACTTTCTGATTAAAATCTGCATTGTCGGACCTCCTGCTGGTTGCCACCATTTTGCTGAAATAAGATACTATTTGGGGTAATGGCAGCCAGGGAAAGCTGTTATCATTGATTGTAAACTGGCTTCACTCCCTCCACTTGAAAATCTGGTGGGCTTCATTGTGCAAACATTGCATCTTCCATACAAATATTACAGAGCAAAGCTCCGCTACTGATCCATCAGCTGGAGTAAGCAGGTTTATAGTCTGACCCCAACAGCTCTTACGTCTCCTACACCCCAACACTGGGCTGCAGGAGGATCCTGCAAGGTGGGAGACCCAGCAGGAGAATTCAAGAAGCATATATCAAAGTCTGCTGGTTTTTAATTTAAAAAAAAAAAAAAATACAGGGTCTCACTCTGTCGCCCAGACTGGAGTACGCCACTATGCCTGGCTAATTTTTTGTATTTTTACAGAGACAGGGTCTTGCTATGTTGCTCAGGCTGCTCTGCAACTCCTGGACTCAAGCGTTCCTCCTGCCTTGGCCTCCCAAATTGCTGGGATTGCGGGCGTGAGCCACCATGCGCAGCCCAGTTTTTAATTTTAAAAATATTTGTAGCTGAGCGAGGTGGCATGCACCTGTAGTTCCAGCTACTTTGGAGGCTGAGGCAGGAAGATTGCTTGAGCCCAGGAGTTTGAGTCCAGCCTGGGTAACATAGTAAGAACCCTGTCTTTATAAAAAATTAAATAAAATAAGATAAATATTTTTTCTTCACAAGGACATTATTATTTGAGAGAGGAAAGGAGATAAAGGAAAAAATGAGGCCTAGCAGGAGTTCAAATTCCCCAGGACCCCGGGCCCAGGACACCCTCAGCAGCTCCTTAGAGGGACTCACTTGCCTTCCCCGCAAACCTTCACCCCTTCCCACCAACCTCCAAGCCCCAGCTCTGAGGCTTAGGCTTATGAAAGTCAACTGGGAACTCTGCACAGCATTACTGACAGAGGGGTCCAAGCTATTAGCTTCTTTTTACAGATACAGACTCTAAAACAAAAAAACAAAGAAGATTATTTTTGGCCCAAGAGGCTGTCCAGCAGAACACCAGAGGCTGGCCTCCCATGGCTCAGTTCCCCAGCTTTCAGCTTTCAGTTGGAGCGCGCGCTCTCCAAAAGTCAGCATCAGCCAGGCTCGTGTAAATATTTGTTATTGCCATCTAACCGTTAGAATAGATTGTCCCTGTCTCTCATTTTGTAAATCATTTTGTTGCTCACGTAATGCAAAATAGCTTTGACTTACAAAGACAGACAGGAGTGGGAGAAGGAGAAAGATTTAGTAAAATGATCAGTCCGTAGCGTTGTAGCTCATATTTTGGCAAATAAAATGAAGACAGCACAGACCAATTTCTAAAAGAACAACCCAGTCTGAATACAACGAACCTCACCAAATCCTTTTCTAGAAAACAGCACTAAAGGTTACAGGCAAAGCCCGTGCTAGAGTAGATGCCGCTTCCTCAGAGGGAGCAAGTGCTGGGGAAGGTGGCTTGTGGCCGGGTGCGTGGGCACTCAAAGCCCAGAAGTTCAAAGGCATCGCCCAGCTGGCGGGCACCTCAGCAAATGGGGGGAATCATACCCCCCCCGCCACCCCACGGAGGGTGCAGGATGTCCTTCTGCAGCGTGTTTTCCCTAAAAGTCAACGCCGGACATTCATAGTCACTAGCCTAAGCTGGTTTCACCTGTAGGGAAAATACCAAGGAGGGAATCAGCAAGTGCCTGGTGGAGGTGCTGGCCCGACCCCCTGTGTACTGCCTTGCCTGCAAAATTATTATGCCTGCTTCTGTTTCAGTTGCATGAAGATTAAATAAAATAATTTACAGATCCATGAATTAGCTATCTTTGAAAATTATTCTGCTGGCTTTCTTTCCTCACTCTAACCTTCTTTTACATCTCCTAGTCTTGCAGAGTTTCCACAACTATAATCTGAACCTATGTTTCCTACGTGGTCATACAGTTTTTTAAAACAAAATCGGTTTTCCCATTTTCTCTTCTTACTTACCATCCATATACATACCCTCTAGTCAAAAACCAATAACAAAATCAATTGCAATATTCCATTCATTCATTCATTCAATAACTATACTTTGAATTTACTGGGAGCTAAGTGCTAGACCATTATCCCCCTTTCACTCAAGAGTTCTGTCAGCCTGGGGATTACATCAGAAATCCCAGTTTTGGCCGGGCACAGTGGCTCATGCCTGTAATTTCAGCAGACTTTGCAAGGCCAAGGCGGGCAGATCGCTTGAGGTAAGGAGTTTGAGACCAGCCTGGCCAACATGGTGAAACCCCACCTCTACTAAAAAAACAAAAGTTAGCTGGGCATGGTGGGCACCTGTAATCCCAGCTACTTGGGAGGGTGAGGCAGGAGAATCGCTTGAACCTGGGAGGCGGAGGTTTCAGTGAGCCGAGATCTCGCCACTGCACTCCAGCCTGGGCAACAGAGCGAGACTCTGTCAAAAAAAAAAAAAAAAAAAAAGGAAGTAAGAAAAGAAATCCCAGCTTTACTGGCTTTGGGTTTTTTGGTTTTGTGTGTGTGTGTGTGGTTGTTCTTGTTTTAAGGCAGGGTCTCCCTCTATTGCCCAGGATGGAGTGCAGTGGCACAATCAGAGTGGCCTCCAACACCTGGGCTTAAGTGATCCTCCCTCCTCAGCCTCCCGAGTAGCTGGGACTACAGAAACATGCCAACACTCATGGCTCTTTACTGGCTTTTGAACTAGGATTTGAAAAACCCAAGATAATCTACAAAAGAAACTTGCTGCTGAAGGTGCTTCCTTTTCCCAGCTTCACTCCCGTCCTGTGCCTCCCCACAGCCTCCTTCCAGGAAACCAGGGTAACCAGGTCCCCTCCCCAGCCCCACAGGGCTCAGGCACCCAAAGGATTTCCTCCCATGGCTCCATGGTCTCCACTAACCCTGACCAAAGATGGAGCGCTCTGCCTCCCTGTGTCTCTGCCCAAATTTGCCCACCTTTTTACTCCTAGCTGCCATCAGTTTCTATGAATAGTCATCAATTTTTTGTTTCTTTTCCCTTTTTTTTTTTTTTTTTTTTGAGACAGAGTTTCTCTCTTGACCCCTAGGCTGGAGTACAATGGTGCAATCTTGGCTCCCTGCAACCTCTGCCTTCCGAGTTCAAGCGATTCTCCCGCCACAGGCTCCCAAGTAGCTGGGATTACAGGCGTGCACCACCACGCCCAGCTAATTTTTGTATTTTTAGTAGAGATGGGGTTTCACCATGTTGGCCAGGCTGGTCTCAAACTCCTGACCTCAGGTGATCTGCCTGCCTTGGCGTCCCAAAGTGCTGGGATTACAGGTGTGAGCCACCATGCCCAGCCAATGGTCTTTCTGTAAGAAAAATTATCAACAATTTCCACAGACTTGCCATAGTTTGTGGCAAGAAAATGTAATGCCTGCTCTCGTGTAGGGCATCAAAAGTCAATGACAGGATAGGCACATCAGAAGATGATACAAGATGTAATAACAGGCTGGCTGGGCTCACCACACCCTGCTCCCCCGGGTGCCTGGCAAACATGGCAAAGCCCAGACACGGGCCCAGAGGGGAGGAGCCGGGTGCCCCAGGCTAGGCCATGAGAAGTACATTTGAGGTTATTGGTGGGTTTCCCTAAGGAGAATGAAAATCCTGGTCTCCATCCTAGACACAGGTGGGTCCTCAGGCAGTAGCTGCCATTCTGAGGGTGGAGGGCTGGACTCAGTTCCCTGTGGGGGAAGAAATTCCCCCTCTCCATCATGCTCTCTGGGGCTGCCCTCCTGGCATGATGTTCTTGAGAGAGCTCCAAAGGGCCACAGTCTAAAATGGCCACTGCTACCAGGTGTGAAGACCCCTGCAGTGGACAACCAGCGAATTCCCCTTCACCATCCCTGTACTTTTAATAATGTCATAACTGCCAAGAGTTTCCCCCAAGGACAAGGGCTATTTCCCTCCCACTCCCAGTCCCAGGGACATTCTCCTATTCAGCCAAACCTGAAGGATGGGACTATGGGTGGCCATCACCCAGCTCATTTCCCCAGCGGTTCCCTGCAGAGAATGGCCAGGTCCCACCCCCCCGATGAGCCTACTTCTCCATCACAAATCACAGAGGCCCCAGACTCATCAGGCAAATAGCCCTGGAGGTGTCACTTTCCTCCTCAGACAGGAAGAGTAGTTGGAATCCTGTCACTCACCCAAGAGAAGAAGGTCCAACGGGCAGAGGACACCAAGCTCATTCCCTTCCTCCCTCTTCATCCCCCAACCTCTCCATCTTTATCTTTCTCCCGATGGGGAGCACCTTCTACCTTCCTTCTACATCTCATCGCCTTCCTAAGTTCTAGTTCTTTCTTTTGGGTTGGCAGACACCAGAGGGCAACATAATCTCACCTACTTGCCAGTTCTCCCATTTCACCAGTAGAGGGAAGAGTTTGAGAGAACCTACATCCACCAGGAGTATGTGGAAATTATTTTGAAATATGGAATTAGCCAGAGCAATAGAATAGCTCTCTCAAAGGCATCCCGTGCCAAAGCATTCTGTTCCCGTTGGTAAATAATCTGTTATAAAACTGGTTAAATGCATATTAACTCACCAGAGCAAGACACTGGCAAAATTTCCCCCCAGGCTGTATTTTGCAAAGAAAGCACTTTCACATGATGTCAGACCTGAGATTCAACTAACACAAGTCACATATTTTCTAAGGTAGTACTGACGCTCCATCCCTCGCCCACCATTTAGTCTTTTGAGATCTGGTTATTATTTTGGTTCACAAATAGTTGGTAAGGCGTTGAGCCCTGACTGTCTCGTTGTTTTCGATACATGTCATTTCAGCAATACGGGTGCTTCCAGGGGGCATATGGGCAAGTGAAGATGAGTGGCTTAGAACTGATTATGCACTGGGTGGCAGAGTCCTTGAGACAATAGGTACCCAGGCAGCCACTGTCAATCTTGGAAGTCCGTGCAAGAGCACACCTCACCACACGCTCCCCATTCCGCCATGCATACCGAGAAAACTAGAGAAGGGTCCCTCCCGGGGAAAAATGTTTGGAAGGAGGGATACAGAAATAAAACTTGTGCCATTGACTATTTACCAAATTATTATCCTGACCAAGTTAACATCAGGACCTTTAAAAAGTAGCCAACACGGAGCCGAGCGATCTGCTCAACCATTGCAATGTGCTCGATTGTTTGGATCTAATGACCTGACCTGGATATTTTCTGCTTGGTATCCCTAGCATTTGAACCACTTCCAAAGCCAGAGGTTTATGGAGCCTTTGAATGCCCTAAGAGTCTGTGATTCTCTCCTTCTTTAGATGGACTTTTTAAATCCTAGTTGCTGAATTTATTCAAGTGAATTGGCCTTCATTTCTTCATCAACACCCTTTCTTTAATAATCTCCAACCAAGGTTCTTATCATAAGATCCAAAATTAGATGAGCATTTTGGCCAGGCATAGTGGCTCATATCTGTAATCCCAGCACTTTGGGAGGCTGAAGCGGGCAGGTCACTTAAGGCCAGGGGTTCAAGACCAGCCTGGTCAACATGGTGAAACTCCATCTCTACTAAAAATATAAAAATTAGCCAGGCATGATGGCATTGCAGGTGTGTACCTGCAATCCTAGCTACTCGGGAGGCTGAGGCATGAGAATCACTTGAACCTGGGAGGTGGAGGTTGCAGTGAGCCAAGATTACACCACTGCACTCCAGCCTGAGTGACAGAGTGAGACTCTGTCTCAAAATAAAAATAAATTAAAGAAGTAGATGAGCATTTTCATAAATCCCTTGAAACAGTGAGCACAATTGTATGTGTGTGTCACATTTGTGGGCTTTCTGGGGAGAAGGCCCATAACTTCCATCAGATTCTCAAAGGGCTCCACGACCCTGGCTTTTCACTATGTATTTCTGACGTTGACTAGACCAGAACTTCCCAGTCAGTGTGCAGGATGGGTTACAGGTGTGTGCCTGAGCTGCTGATCCCTACAGCCCTTGGGTCAGGAATGGCAGGGACTTCCAAGCTGGTCATCTCTTGCCAAGAGCCGCCCAGTTGCCATCAAATATTATTTTCTCTGTGTGCCCCACTACAGTAAACTCCTCACTTCTAACCCCTCTGGCATCTTCGTTCTCTGTGTCTCTTCCTCATCTCCACGGCCTTCATCATCCAGCGGGAAGCTTGGCATCGGCCTGGCTCCCTCTAGTGTAATCTGCACTTGGTATACTTTGTCAAGAAAGGGCAGGGGTGTGGTGGTCTCCCCTTCCTAGAAGCACCGCTACCCTCATCTTGGGGATCTGCCTCACCTGCCATATAGTGGTACAAGAGACCAGCTCATTTCATCGCCTAAATTACCCCTCTCACTCTAATCCCACATATCTGCCCGTTTTCTGTGGTAGCTATCCTTTGCCTATGTGTCTAGAAGAATCTCTATGCCAGTTCCCTACTTGGCTCCCAGCTTTGTTACAAATATTCCTCAGTGCACATTTATGCAGAGGCTTTTTCCAACTAAGACACTTAAATCTTACGCAGAATCCACGTAGAGCCAAATTCAAACACAAATATGACAAACCAGCTGGACATGGTGGCTCAAGCCTGTAATCTCAGCACTTTGGGAGGCAGAGGTGGGCAGATCACCTGAGGTCAGGAGTTCAAGACCAGCCTGGCCAACATGGCAAAACTCTGTCTCTACTAAAAATACAAAAATTAGCCATGCATGGTGGTGGTGCCTGAAATCCCAGCTACTTGGGAGGCTGAGTCAGGAGAATCACTTGAACCTGGGAGGTGGAGGTTGCAGTGAGCCAACATTGTGCCACTGCACTCCAGCCTGGGCGACAGAGCGAGACTCCGTCTCAAAAACAAACAAACAAAAACCAAATATGACAAACGGGGCAGGCAAATTCCCATGACTTCCTGACTAATAGAGCACCCCCAAAATACTGTCACCTTCCAGACCCTGCCCAACCTCCAAACACACAGAGTCCTCATGTTCCGTGACCAAACAGGCCACCCAGGGTTAGTCTGATCACCAGATGCTCAGGTTACAGCATTCTGCTCTCAGCAATTCCATAATTCTGGCAAGCTAAAAAGCATGTCACTCATTTAGAATTAATTTATGATTCAGATATGTATATGAATGACTTCAACAAAATGTTGGCAACTGTCTCCTGCACTTCAACTGTCCATATCAAAGGCTCAATCACTGAATTCTTCAGTATTCTTCTAACCCACATCACAATTTTGTGAGAAAAAACTGTCTTTCTTCATTTTTCCAGTAAACCAAGCTGATAGCCCAAAATGTCAAAGTCAGGTTTCTAAATAGCATCAAAACTTTCTTCCTTCCTTCCTGTCTGAACAACCTGATCCTAGACACAGCCCTGACCCCTCACTTTCTAGTCAATACTTCCTTTCAAAAATATCTCACTTCCAAGAGAACGAGGTTGCTGCTCAGCCATGAGGAACTATAAGCGCATGTTTCTTTTTCTTTTTTTTTTTTTTTTTGAGACAGAGTCTCGCTCTGTCTGTCGCCCAGGCTGGAGTACAGTGGTGCGATCTCGGCTCACTGCAACCTCTGCCTACCAGGTTCAAGCGATTCTCCTGCTTCAGCCTCCTGAGTAGATGGGACTACAGGTGTGCACCACCACGCCTGGCTAATTTTTTGTATTTTTAGTAGAGATGGGATTTCACCATGTTGGCCAGGCTGGTCTCGAACTCCTGACCTCGTGATCCACCTGCCTTAGCCTCCCAAAGTGCTGGGATTACAGGCGTGAGCCACCATGCCCAGCCTAAATGCATGGTTCTTAAATGTGTAAGTATAGTGTTACTAGACAGAAGGCCATGTGAAATAAGAAATGTGAGGTTGAGAAGGATGAGAAGAGAGCCCCAAGGTTTGCGAATTTCACTTTGCTACCCAGGAAAAATTACAAGCCCACAAAGACGTTTTATCTTAAAACCTACCACTAGTAACTCTAAAATAGCATTAATTTTTCTTAGAATATTTCCAACTGTCGTTAGAAAGGTCTTCCATCTGGGCGCTCCTTGAAAGCATGGCTCCTTGAAAGCAATGTCCGCGTTACGGGGCATTGGAGAATATTTAGACCAAGATGAGCGACTTCCTTCCTAATGAAACTGACAACCAGACTGAGTTCAGGATCACTTTACTCAAAGGATATAATCTCGGTAAATCCTTTAAGAAAGCAGTCATATCACGTTTTTATGTATTTTTGAAGTAGGAGGAAATGTTTGAATAAATACCTGAAAATCACTCATGTTGAAACCTATTTTTAAGCTAATATCTGGAGTTACAAAAAACGATATGATAGGATCCCCCAAATTTTAAAAATATAAAATGTTAAATTTTCTTTTCAGAACAACAAAATAATGTGTGGATTTACAAGTCGCAAATTTTTTAAAATCATTTTTTGTTGTTTTTTTTGTTTTGTTTCGTTTTTTTTGAGACGGAGTCTCGCTCTGTAGCCCGGGCTGGAGTGCAGTGGTGCCATCTCGGCTCACTGCAGGCTCCGCCTCCTGGGTTCATGCCATTCTCCTGCCTCAGCCTCCCAAGTAGCTGGGACTACAGGCGCCCGCCACCGTGCCCGGCTAATTTTTTTTTTTTTTTGGTATTTTTTTTTAGTAGAGATGGGGTTTCACCGTGTTAGCCAGGATGGCCTCGATCTCCTTGACCTCATGATCCGCCCACCTCGGCCTCCCAAAGTGCTGGGATTACAGGCGTGAGCCACCACGCCCGGCTTTAACCTTGTTTTTCTTTTTTTTTATTATTATACTTTAAGTTTTAGGGTACATGTGCACAACGTGCAGGTTAGTTACATATGTATACATGTGCCATGTTGGTGTGCTGCACCCAGTAACTCGTCATTTAACATTAGGTGTACCTCCAAATGCTATCCCTCCCCCCTCCCCCCTCCCCCCAATCTTGTTTTTCAAATATTTGCCAAGTTGAAAGAAGATGAAAGGCTGAGCTCCTGTCTGCAGCCATTATAATAGCATATTTTACTATTATTATTCCTAACCTTAAGCATGTACCAACTTTCAAGGGAGAGAGGAAAACGTTTGGGGAAAAAAAAAAAAAAATATATATATATATATATATACACACACACACACATATATATACACACATATATATATACACATATATATATATACAGTAGAGATTTGCAGGATGAAAATAAACACTTCTATAACCACACCTCGAAACCAATGTCTTATTCGAGTCATATATAATAAATATCATACTGTTTTCACTTGATTTGGATATCCAGACCCCAATTTTTCAAGGACCTGAAAAATTATGTATTAATAATACTAACAGTTAACAATATTCCTTATTTTGTCAATGGAAACCATTCGCATTGAGATGCTGGTGATGTTTGTTTTCATTTCCTATAATTTTAATGGCAAAAGTTTGTCCACAGTGTTAAGTTTCCTTCTCCTTTGGTATCTTTCGTTTACTTGAGTTTAAAAGTTTTACTTTTTACTCATGAGTTTTGTTGTTGTTGTTGTTTGTTTGTTTGCTTGTTTTTGAGATGGAGTTTCCCTTTGTCGCCCAGGCTGGAGTGCAGTGGTGCAATCTCGGCTCACTGCAACCTCCACCTCTCGGGTTCAAGCCATTCTCCTGACTCAGCCTCCTGAGGAGCTGTGATTACAGGTGCCCGCCACCACGCCTGGCTAATTTTGTATTTTCAGTAGAGACAGAGTTTCACCATGTTGGCCAGGCTGGTCTTGAACTCCTGAGCTCAGGTGATCCACCCACCTCGGCCTCCCAAAGTGTTGGGATTACAGGCATGAGCCACTGCACCTGGCCTGTTTGGCCATCTCTAAGTAAATAAGAAGTGTTTCCTACTTGACACTAACCTAAAACATTTTCCAACACTGGATTTTCCAAGCTTCATAACCATCAATTTGCAAATAAATCCCCCAACAATCCCATGAGGAAAAAGCCACAGGGACACATGGAAAATGACAGATATGGCGGGAGACTCGGCAGAACGGAGGTCTGCAGGAACCCCTGCTGATGGCTCTTCATTAGCCAACAGATTTTCCTCTTCAAACATAAATGCAGCGCAGGAAAACGAAGTTGAGAAATAATTGTGTATTGAATGGTATGGTGGGTTCCTAGACTCTGGCAGGACCCGAACCCCAGTGATGTCATGTTGTTCCTTGGTTGAGTAAGCTGCGTGTCACCTCCTCTTTGAAGCCTTCCCTGACCACCCTCCCCAGCCACTGCTTTGTGCTCCCACTGGACCCCGTGCAGCCTTCGCTTACAGAACCCGTGAACTGTCCGCACTCATTGGCTTCTATATTTGAATCCCTGGCTATAGAGCAAACACCTTGAGAGTGGCAGTGAGCGTCTCTGTCACTCCCCATCCACTGCCACTCCTGGTCGTCCTTGTAGAGAATGTTGAATGAACAGAAGCTTGGGTTCTCCAGAATCCTTGTTTTGCTCTCTAAATCCCATTTAGCACATTTAGCCTCGAGCTACTTGCCATTTCCAACAAGGATGAATCAAGCCTTTGGATTTTCTAACAAAGACGTGTATGGTGGGAAATACAGGCCATTGATACCCAACATCAGGGAGGAAGCCAGGAGTGAAGAAGAGCGTGGGCGTGCTGGGAGAGGGTGGAAAGTGGGCAGATGGGAGGAGGCAATGCTGAAGATGTCACTGGAGTGAGTGGAAGTCGTGCAAAGGTATGGGGAAGCCACATGGGGATCGGAGAGGGAGTGGGGGATGTTTCCCCCTGTTGCAGCTGGTGCTTCAGGCACACAGGTGTTGGTCCTGAACAACCCATACCCAGGCCGTCTGGGGCCTTCCCTTCTGCCCCGGCCTGCCTGGTCTCTGCTGCCAGAGCAAGGTCTGCAGCTTCCGATCTCCCCGCCTTTCCCAAATATGCACGCCCTGTACCGCCGTCCCAGGCTCCGTGCCAGGCGGCAGCAGCCACTGTGCTCACACTCATGTGTCGTGTCTCTCCTCCCAGGTAACTTGTTTCCGTGTTAACAGGTAATCTTCCTGCTGAGGATGTCAGGCAACATGCCAACCTGGGAACGACCACCTTTGGGGCCAGATGGACATTTTGGTGCCCATGCAATCCCATTGCCAAGGTTACCACCTGTCTTCAAATAGGGCCCACCCAACAGAGTGAAGAATCTAGCGAGCGACCACTTGGTCCTACACACTCGAAGTATGAGTTCCTTAACAGAGGGACAATTATTCAGACTGGTGTCTTTTGTTTAGAGATGGACTCTTTAATGATGCCCTTACAGCCAGCCTCCCTCAATAAGTTACCACTTCGCACCCATTCGGGTGGCTATTTTCAGAAAAATGAAAAATAAGTGTTGGCAAGGATGTGGAGAAATTGGAACCTTTGTGCACTACTGGCCAGAATGTAAAATGGTGCAGCTAGGCACACAGTGGCTCATGCCTGTATTCCCAGCACTTTAGGAGGCCAGGGTGGGAGGATCACTTGAAGCCAGGAGTTCAAGACCAGCCCAGGCAACATAACAAGACCCGTGTCTCAAAAAAAAAAAAAAAAAAAAAAAGCTGCAGCTGCTTTGGAGAATAGTATGGCAGCTCCTCAAAAAATTAAACATAGAATTACCATATAATCTAGCAATTCTACCTCTGAGAATATACTCAAAATAACCGAAAGCAGGGACTCAAACAGATATCTGTACACCCACGTTCATAGCAACATTATTCACAGTAGCCAAAAGGTAGAAGCAACCCAGGTGTCTATTGATGGATGGAGAAACAAAATGTGGTATACACATACAATGGAATATTATACAGCCTTAAAAAGGAAGGAAGTTCTGATGCACACTACAACACAGATGAGCCTTGATTGAAGACATGATGCTATGGGAAGCAAGCCAGGCACAAAAGGACAGAGACTGTATGATTCGAGTTATATGAGGTAACTATAGTAGGCAGATTCATAGAGACAGAAAGTAAGATCGTGGCTGCCAGGAGCTGGAGGAAGAATGAATGGCAGTTGTTGTTTAAAGGGAACAGAGCTTCAGTTTGGGATCATAAAAAACTTCTGGAAACAGATAGTGAGGATGGTTGCTCAACAGTGTGAATGTACGCAATGGCAATGAACTGTACTCTTAAAAATGGTTAAACTGGGTTTTGTTTGGGGTTGGTTGGTTTGTTTTGAAACAGTCTCACTTTGTCGCCCAGGCTGAACTGCAGTGGTATGATCTCAGCTCACTGCAGCCTCAACTTCCAGGCTCAGGTGATCCTCCTGCCTCAGCCTCCAAAGTAGCTAGGACTACAGGTACACACTATCATGCCTGGCTAATTTTTCTATTTTTTTATAGAGATGGCATTTCACTATGTTGCTCAGGCTGGTCTCAAACTCCTGGAGTCAAGCAAGTCACCTGCTTCGGCCTCCCAAAGTGCTGGGATTACAGGTATGAGCCACCACACCTGTTCTAAACTGGTGATTTTTATGTTATGCTTTTTTTTTTTCTTTTTTTTTTTTTTTTTTTTTGAGTGGCTCACTGCAGCCTTGACCTCCTGGGCTCAGGTGATCCTCCCACCTCGGCCTCCCAAGTAGCTGAGACCACAGGCATGCACCACCATGCTTGGCTAATTTTTTTTATTTATTTTAGAGATAAGGTCTCACTATGTTGCCCAGGCTGATCTCGAACTCCTGGACTCAAGCGATCCTCCCACCTCAGTCTCTCAAAATGCTAGGGTTACAGGTGTAAACCACCATGCCTGGCCTGTTGCAAATATTTTATCACTGTAAAAAAAATTTTTAAACATCAATACCCCTTCTTTGCAGCCCTAAACCCAATTTGACTGTCCATGTGCCCTCCCAGAGCAATCATCTGGGGCCTGACACCCCACCCACAGCCCTCCAGGTGCCCTGCCTGCCTCTAGCATGGAGTGGGCCTCTCTGCCCCATGATTCTGGCCATCCCAGCTGGGGCTGTTGCCCATCTCTGGAGGGTTGAAACCTCAGCCTTCCCCACAGACCTCGCAGTGGCCTGGGCTTCTGCCTCTGTGGCCTGTGCTCGTGCTCCAACTCCAGCCCCTAAAGCCCAGGAGTAGACCTTATGAGACACTCAAACACAATTTCCATCTTCATCCTCCGATAATGCCCTAGACATGTGTTCAGTGCTTATTATGGGTTAGGCACAGTACTGAACCTCATTTAATTCTCACAACAATCCAACAAACTAGTTCTTATTGTTACCATCATCCCATTTTACAGATGAAAAACCCGAGGCTTGGAGACTCAGTAATTTGCCCAAGGTCCCAAAGCCAGGAAGGGGCCAATTCAGGATATGAAACGAGCATTCTCTTTCATGGCCCATGTTCAGCTAGGGTCCCACACCATGAGAAATCATTCATAAACTTAAATCCTGACGGGATCATCTTAATGCTTGCCCCCACTGATGCTAACATGCATATTTAGGAGAAAAGAGAAAATGTTTGCTATACTCTGGCTAGTGCTCACTCCTGAAAAAGAGATTGCAGAAGACGAGATGCAAACTAGAAGTCCCAATCTGTATAGAAATAACAAGTCCCCACATGACCAGATCATAATAGCCCACTCTAGGAAATTCCAAGGCTACAGGCTCAAAGCTGATTATTTCTGAGTTTTCAACAACAGCTTCATCGGCCTGTTAGCCTGAAACCCCAGCATCTAATTTGTGATCTTAGGAAAGCTTGTTAGGAAAGCTAGTTAGAGGAAAGCAGCAAGTACAATCCAACTCCGGTCTTTCCCAAACACAGATCGGTGTGACCCAGCTGCCTCACCGGCGAGCAGGCAGCACGCAGGTGTTTAATTTGGAATTTGATAGCTGCCTAAATTTCAAGGTCTCCTGTA
Organism: Homo sapiens; assembly: GCF_000001405.40. Classification (NCBI taxonomy): domain Eukaryota; kingdom Metazoa; phylum Chordata; class Mammalia; order Primates; family Hominidae; genus Homo; species Homo sapiens. The sequence goes on from NC_000013.11 coordinate 99,926,138, forward strand.
GGTGCACAAAAAGTACTCAATGGCCACTGGCAGAAATTCTTAGAAAAACAACCCTCCCCGTTGTTGGAATCACAACCGCCACTTTCACTCCCCGCCTCCCTGTCGGTGAAGAGGCTGTTTCGGCTTGAATTACGGGGGCCCGTGTGGACTACCTGCGGTACCAATACGCCTGTGACAATGGATACCCTTTTGCCGGCCATCCGGTGTTATTTCAGACACTGTTGGACAGATGGGCTGTGTTCCGAGTGGGGAAGAGTGGAAATGTTTTATAGGGCTTGTCAGCTCACTGCACACAAAATGTGTTCTGCCGCGTTTCCAGGATGGGGGCTGAATTGGGGCAGAAGGCTTCTGGATATGAAAAATGGTTTCTTCCCTGGCGTCTTCTCTGTGGTCTCTGGGCCTGGGCATCACTGTGGGGGTCTGTTTTCCGCTGGGTCCCCGCACAGCCCGCGTCTCTGCCTTGTGCTGGGCATGTGTTTGCAGCTTGGCGGCTGTTGGACACAAGACATCCATTCTCGTACTGACACAGCCCAGTGACTCACGCGGGCTGGACGAGGAAGCACAGAGCATTTGACAAGCAGAAACAACTGAATTCCTTTTGGACCGGTGAGGAAATGATACCCCAATGGGCTTATCTCACCATTTGGTTTGAAGTGGGGAGCCCCCACGAGCTCACCATGGGAGGCCACCCGCATATCATCCCAGCCAGCCACCATCATTAATTCTAAGCAGAAGAGGAGCCAGGCAGGTGTTCAGGGAGCGGCAGGAAGAGGTGTAAGGAGATGATTGTTTTGAGACCATACTGGATGTGAAAAAAATAAATCATTCAAACCAAAGACTTGAAGGGAGAGGCAGTCTCATTTGCAGTCAGGAGCATAGGCTTTGGATTCAGACAGAACTGTGTCCAGAGCCCAGCTCCGCCACTTATGCTATGGCCAAGCTACGTAACTAAGCCTCTGTTTCCATTTCTGCAAAATGGGGGCAAAAACAAGACTCCTAACTGATGAGGCTGTTTCAGGAATGAATGGACGATTGTATATAGCACATGTATGTATAAAGCCTGGCATAAACAATTAATGATAGGTATTAATCATAATAGTATTTTTTTTGTAGAGATGGAGTCTCACTCTGTCACCCAGAGTGGAGTGCAGTGGCATGATGGTAGTTCACTGCAGCCTCCAACTCTTGAGCTCAAGCAATCCTCCCACCTCATCCTCCCAAAGCGCTGAGATTACAGGCATAAACCACCATGTCTGGCCAATAATAGTACAGTTTATTTTATTTTTTTGATAAAATAAAATAAAATGGGGTCTCACTCTGTCACCCAGGCTGGAGTGCAGTGGCATGATCATGGCTCACTGCAGCCTCAGCCTCCTTGGCTCAAGTGATCCTCCCACCCCAGCTACCCCAGCCTCCCAAGTAGCTGGTACCACAGGTGTATGTCACCATGCCCAGCTAATTTTTTGTATTTTTGGTAGAGATGGAGTTTCACTATGTTGCCCAGGCTGGTTTTGAACTCCTAGGCTCAAGCAATCCTCCCGCCTCAGCCTCCCAAAGTGCTAGGATTACAGGTGTGAGCCACCACACCCAGCCCAATAGAAGTACATTTTATTTATTTATTTATTTATTTTTGAGACAGGATCTTGCTCTGTCGCCCAAGCTGGAGTACAGTGGCGCCATCTCAGCTCACTGCAACCTCCACCTCCCAGATTCTCCTGCCTCAGCCTCTGAAGTAGGTGGGACTACAGGCACGTGCCACCACTCCCAGCTTATTTTTGTATTTTTAGCTGAGACGGGGTTTTGCCATGTCCTGCCATGCTGGTCTCGAACTCCTGACCTCAAGTGATCCGCCCACCTCAGCCTCCCAAAGTGCTGGGATTACAGGTGTGAGCCACCGTGCCCAGCCTAATAGTACATTTTAAATAGAAGGAAATGAACTTTTCGTTTGTCCATTGTGCAGACAGGTAACACAGAATTCACATTGCGATAGCAAACCTAGCTCCTAAAACAGTGTGGAATCAAAACAAAGGACAGGAGGAATAAGTCCAAGTGCTGTGCTGAAGAGCACAGTGTCCATAGTCAACAGCAACCACCGCAGCCCTAAAAATCACTACGAGAGTAGATTTCAAGTGTCCTCACCACAAAAACTGATGACTATGTATTAGCCAATTTAACCATTCCTCAGTGTATACGTATTTCAGAACATTGTGCTGTACATGATGAATATATATAATTTTTGTCAAAAATAAATTTTTAAAAAACAAAACTTGATGACACCTACTGCCTCAAAACAGACTCTCACCAAGCCCCCCATGACTGTGGCCACCTGCATCAGAATACAGGTACCTGTGACACAAGGTGAGTTAGAGAACCATCTAGGGCTTCCAGGTGCCAGGACCTCACCAGACTCATTTTATTATTTTTTTTTTTTTTTGAGATAGCTCTCACACAGGCTGGAGCTAATTTTTTTTTCTTTTTCTTTTGAGAAACAGGGTCTCCCTATGTTGCCAGGCTGATCTCAAACTCCTGGCCTCAAGGGATCCTCCTGCCTTAGCTTCCCAAATTGCTGGGATTAGAGGATTGAGCCACCGTACCCAGCCCCCACCAGATTTTGTGTTCTGAATCAGATCTTAGGGAACACTGCCCTACCTAATGCAGAACACTTTTTTTTTTTTTGGAGACAGAGTCTCACTCTGTCGCCCAGGCTGGAGTGCAATGACTCAATCTCAGCTCACTACAACCTCTGCCTCCCAGGTTCAAGCCATTCTTGTGCCTCAGCGTCCCAAGTAGCTGGGACTACAGGCACTCGCCACTACAGTCAGTGGATTTTTGTATTTTCAGTAGAGACGGGATTTTGCCACGTTGCCCAGGCTGGTCTCGAACTCCTGACCTCAGGTGATCCACCTGCCTCGTCCTCCCAAAGTGCTGGGATTACAGGCGTGAGCCACCACACACTCGGCCTTAATGCGGAACACTAGTAAGCCCATGTCCCCACGTCATTTGCCTGAACTATACAGCATCGCCATGCACTATGCATGCATCTTCAGCCACCATGTTTGGGATATTTCATCCCAAGAACAAGCTGGACTGGATGTTGTGAAATATTCACTTGGAACAACTAACAGGTATCATATGCTACATCAAATACGAGGTGCACTCATCCCCCACAACAGTGAACTCCACTTGTGAACTGCACCCACTGATGAGTTTCAGTTCCATTTGGACACCTAAAGTCTGCCTATCACAACCCCCACCTAGCCTCCTCCTTTCACAGGACAGGGAGAAATGGCTTATTCACTCCAGCCATGTAAACCAGTACATCAACCAGTGAGTCATGGATGGGGTACTTTATAAGCAATGTGATAACGAGACCCACTGGGTCTGGCCAGCAGGAGACCACAACTAACTTTTTTATTTTATTTTATTTTTATTTTTTGAGAGAGAGTCTTATTCTGTCGGCCAGGCTGGAGTGCAGTGGCATGATCTCGGCTCACTGCAACCTCCGTCTCCTAGGCTCAAACAATTCTCCTGCCTCAGCCTCCCGAGTAGCTGGGATTACAGGTGTGTGCCACCATGCCCGGCTAATTTTTGTATTTTTAGTAGAGATGGGGTTTCACCATGTTGGTCAGGCTTGTCTCGAACTCCTGACCTCAGGTAATCTGCTCACCTCGGCCTCCCAAAGTGCTGGGATTATAGGCGTGAGCCACCGTGCCCAGTCAACTTTTATATTTTTTGTAGAGACAAGGTCTCCGCTATGTTGCCCAGGCTGGTCTCGAACTCCTGGGCTCAAATGATCTGCCTGCCTCCACTCCCAAAGTGCTGGGATTACAGGCCTGGGCCACCACCCCCAGCCCGCATTTTTTTCTTAATGACAAAAAGAATGCAGACATGCAGCATGGCATTCTCCGTGCCAGAGTGTGCCAGCAAACCTCAGAGCTCGCCTTCTTTCCAGGGCCCTGGTCCACACCAGCTCAGTCTCCACCGCTGCCACTCCTCACCTGCTCTGGCAGCCCTATACCCAGGGAGATTTCAAATCCTGCACTGCACTGGGGTAACTAGGAGCACACTAAACCCAGAGTCTCTAGCTTGCCCTTCAGCTTCCTCTTCCGATCCCCCTAACCCCATTGACTATTTATAGACACCAGTCAACACCAAGCTGTTTGAAGACAACAGGCCAGAAGAAATTCTAAGGGCTGCTGTTTCCTCCTACCTTCCTGAGAGCTGCCTTCCAGAACTTCAAGCAAGAGAATTATTGAAACACATCTCACTGATTTATTATTGATTGTCTCTTGGGCAGGCACAGGAAGTACCAAGCAGAGAAGGCAGGCATCACTTTGTGGTCACTGGAAAACTTTCATGCGTCTGCCCAGGTCCCAACTTTATGCCACAAACAGAAGAACCAAAAAGAGAAAACAAAAGTTCTGAGGCTTAGAGGTGCACTGGAGGGAAAGGGCCTGCTGAGACAGGGGTGCGTGCAGGAGCTGCAGCAGGAATGGGAGCTAAACCGGAAGCTTGCTAGGAAGGCGGTGGCCCAGGGAAGGAGGAGGAGGCCTTCTTGGGAACGAAGCCAAGGTCTGCTGTCCGGGTGTGGGGTCCAGAAAAATCTCACCAGTCCACATGAATAAGAGCCCACCAGCAGAAAGACGAACACGGCTCCCAGCTCAGGAAACAGTGACGGGGATGACCAAGACAAGCAGACCCTTATCCTTTGGGCAGAAGCCCAGCGACACACCTGGGCAAAAACATGTCACCAGAGAAGGAACACTGGGCAGCCAGGATGTTGCCACTGCCAGCAAGGCCGTCAGAACCACCCATCCATGGGAGAAAACAAGACATCTTGGGGAAGAAAAATCAGCACACGCATCCACACACACAGACACACACACACAGAGACACACACAGACTCATACACATAAAACACAGAGACACACACAAAGACACACATATAAACACACAGACACACACACACCTACACAAACACACACACAAACACACAGACACACACAGACGTACACAGGTACATATACATAAAACACAGAGACACACACAAAGACACACACATAGACACAAAGACACACACAGACACACATACACACACCATGAGAAAAGAAAAATGGCAACTTGCCACCTGACAACCCCCAAATAAGGCAGAGACGACGCCTCTTTCAACCAGACCTAGGAGGCCTCTTCCCCAAGACCGTTTGTTGTGGGCTGATTTCTATTTCCTGGCGCAATTTATTTGGGAAAAGAGGCCTTTCATCGTCGCTAGTCTAGGAATTGGCCAGAACCATACAGACAATAATAAGCAATACGAGCCTGATTCTGCAGAATCTGGAAAACGCCTCTAGGCTGTCACTCAGTATTTCCTTCCTGCTCGCCAGAATCCTCCATCTTTTGTTGATTAGCTTGGATGAGCCGCTTCTTAGGATGAGGAATTCAATCCAGCAGGAGATCCCGCAGGCCTCTCATGCCCCGAGAATCGCACAGGTGTGTTTGGGCGGCGTACTCTCCACGTGTACTGGGGGAGGGGCATTGTTTTTCTCTGTGGCAGACACGGTCCAGGTGCTTGTGTTTTTCTACTAACTCTTACTCTCCCATCCCCAGCGAGGCATCACTCATACTTTGCCTGACCTGTGTATGAAAGGCAGTAACACCCCTCTCAGGGAACTTGTCAAACCCAGGGCACTTTCAGACCACTGGATAGACATGAGATAAATCAAGTATTCCGGAATAAAAAAACATTTGCGGTGTCCATACTCAGTTAGCATCAATAGGGTGACCTCCTGGGAGACGAGGACCACCAGGTTGCCTAAGGAGGGGTGATGAACCGGCCAGGTCGGAATCGGAGCAAGTCCAAAATCCCACTCTGATCAGTAGTGGGATCATGCTTGTGAATACACACTGCACTCCAGCCTGGACAACACAGTGAGACCCTGTCTCTTTTTTTTTTTTTTTTTTTGAGACAGAGTTTCACTCTTGTTGCCCAGGCTGGAGTGCAATGGCATGATCTCGGCTCACCGCAACCTCCGCCTCCCAGGTTCAAGCGATTCTCCTGCCTCAGCCTCCTGAGTAGCTGGGATTACAGGCATGCACCACCACGCCCGACTAATTTTGTATTTTTTAGTAAAGACGGGGTTTCTCCATGTTGGTCAGGCTGGTCTCAAACTCCCGACCACAGGTAATCCACCTGCCTCAGCCTCCCAAAGTGCTGGGATTACAAGCGTGAGCCACCGTGCCTGGCCTGACCCTGTCTCTTAAATTTAAAAATAATAATAATAAAAATAAAAGATTTGGATGTTCTGTGAGATATATGTCTTTGAGTAGTATTATCAAGCTTCATCTCCCCTGAATACTATTTTTTTTTTGAGACAGAGTCTCTCTCTGTCGCCCAGACTGGAGTGCAGTGGTGTGATCTCCACTCACTGCAGCCTCTGCCTCCCGGGTTCAAGCGATTCTCCTGCCCCAGCCTCCCAAGTAGCTGGGATTACAGTCACCTACCACCAAGCCTGGCTAATTTTTGTATTTTTTTGTAGGGACAGGGTTTTGCCATGTTGGCCAGGCTGGTCTCGAACTCCTGACCTCTCAAGTGATCCACCCACCTCAGCCTCCCAAAGTGCTGGGATTACAGGCGCGAGCCACCAGGCCCAGCCTGAATACTAATTTTTTTTAAAAGACACAGAGTTCAGCCATAAAAGAGGAGATCCTGCCATTTGCAATAACTTGGAGGACATTATGTTAAGTGAAACAAGCCAGACACAGACAACGACTGTATGCTCTTACTCACATATGGGAGCTAAAGAAGTTGAACTCATGGAAGCAAAGAGTAGAACAGTGGTTGCGAGGGGATAGGCCATAGGGAAACGTTGGTCAAAGGGTACAAACTTTCAGTTACAGAAGTTGCTGAGTAAGTTCTGAGGCTCTAATGTACAGCATGAGTGGCGATGGATGTGTTCATTCATTTGGTTGTGGTCATCATTACGCAATGTATACATATATCAAATTGTTACAATGTAAACCTTGAATATATGCAACCTTTATTTGACAAATAAATATTTTTATTTATTTATTTTGAGACAACAGTCTCACTCTGTCACCCAGGCTAGAATGCAATGGCATGATCCTGGCTCACTGGGCAACATGGCAAAACCCCGCCTCTACAAAAAATAGAAAAATTAGCTGGACATGGTGGTGTGCACCTGTAGTCCCAGGTACTCGGGAGGCTAAGGTGGGAAGATCGCTTAAGCCCAGGAGGTAAACGCTGCAGTGAGCTGAGATCATGCCACTACACTCCAGCCTGGGCAATGGAGTGAGACTCTATTGCCAAAAAAGAAAAAAAAGTTAATATTTAAAAAAACAATAAGATGGGCCAGGCATGGTGGCTCACACCTGTAATCCCAGCAATTCGGAATGTCAAGGCGGGCAGATCACCTGAGCTCAGGAGTTGGAGACCAGCCTGGGCAACATGGCGCAACCCCATATCTACAAAAAAATACGCAAAAATTAACCAGGCGTGGTGGTGCATGCCTGTAGTTCCAGCTACTCAGAGGCTGAGGTAGGAGGATCACTTGAGCCTGGGAGGCAGAGGCTGCAGTAAGCCGAGATCACACCACTGCATTACAGCCTGGGTGACAGAGTGAGACCCTGTCTAAAAAAAATTAAAAAAAAGATGACCACAGGAGAACAAGCGTGGAAAGATGTAGAAATTGTTCGGGGCTGTATTAGTTTATTTTTATACTGTTATAAAGAAATACTCGAGACTGGGTAATTTATAAAGGAAAGAGGTTTCATTGACTCAGTTCGACATGACTGGGAGGCCTCAGGAAACTTACAATCATGGCAGAAGGTCAAGGGGAAGCAGGCACCTTCTTCACAAGGCAGCAGGAGAGAGAGAAGTGAGAATGCAGTAAAAAAAATTACCACTTTTAAAACCATCAGATCTCGTGAGAACTCACTCACTATCATGAGAACAGCATGGCGGAGACCACCCCCATGATACATCACCTTTCTCCCTTGAAACGTGGGGATTACAGGTCCCTCTCTTGACATGTGGGAATTACAATTCCAGATGAGATTTGGGTGGGGACACAGAGCCAAACAGTATCAGGGACTATTTTGCTTGTTTGCTTCCACGGACAGTTTTCACAGCAAACTCAGGGGTACTTTAATAAAAAGGGAATTCTAAAGAAAGGGTGTTATCACCAGCAATGTCCTCATAAATAAAGTGGTTTTGCCAATAGATGGCTGTTGCCTGGTTCTCCCAAAAGCACTGCCCTGTAGCACAGAATCGCTGATCAGAAATGTTCAGAGACAAAAGGAGGAGAGGAAGGAGAGAAAGAGGATGGCATATACTGAAGGCTTATAGGCAGCACCAGCTGTTTTCCATGAATGTCTACATTTCATACAGGAGGTGGCTACGTATTATAGCCTTTTTTTTTTTTTTTTTGAGTTTCACTCTGTTGCCCAGGCTGGAGTGCAGTGGCGCAATCTCGGCTCACTGAAACCTCCGCCCCCTGGGTTCAAGTGATTCTCCTGCCTCAGCCTCCCGAGTTGCTGGGATTACAGGTGCGCACCACAACACCCGGCTAATTTTTGTATTTTTAGTAGAGACGGGGTTTCTCCGTGTTGGCCAGGCTGGTCTCAAACTCCTGACCTCAAGTGATCCGCCCGCCTCAGCCTCCCAAAGTGCTGGGATTAAAAGTGTGAGCCACTGTGCCCGGTTATTAAATGATGAAGAAACTGAGTCTCACAGAGAGCAAATACTTTGTCCAAGGTCATGTGATGAAGACCTGATTTGTCTGTCTCCAGAGCCCAGGCTTTGTGCAAAATCATTTTGTCCCTCAACCTACAAAACCACGAAAGTGACAGCCAATGTTCCAGAACGCTAAAGTAGGCAGAATTTTTCTACCCTCTTTTGAGTGTTTGACTGCAATACAACCAGGTTGGAAAAGTGACCTCCAATGTATTCCCAGAGCTGAGATCCACCTGCCGCCCTGGAATGCTGTAGAAATGGGCCACAGGTTGCCAAGACCCGGAGTACCCCCCAGCCATTGGGGTGGCCAGGGTGCAGCCTGGGACACTGGAGTCCCTGGGCCCATGCCCCTTGGAGTGTGAGCAGCTTTGTCATTTCCCTGTGGTGCCAGAAAGCATCACTTCTGTGGGTGTCTCAGATGACGAACACTGGGGAGCAGTCTGCCTTGGGCTCCAAAGGCAACTGCCTAGATGAAAACACCAATGCCAGCACTTCAGAGCCACACAAGCTCACTTTGTACACCTCAGTTTCCTCATCTATAAAACGGGAATGAAAATAGAACTTACCTCATGGGATAGTTGTGAGAATTAAATAAGAAAAAAATAAGACTGGGGACAATGGCTCACACCTGTCATCCCAGCACTTTGGGAGGCTAAAGCAGGAGGGTTGCTTGAGGCCAGGAATTAGAGGCTGTAGTGAGCTATGATTGTGCCACTGCACTCCAGCCTGGATGAAAGGGTGACACCTCGTTTACATAAATAAATTTTTAAGATAAAATTTAAAAATTACCCATACATGGTGGCGTGAACCTGTAGTCACAGCTACTCAGGAGTGAGGTGGGAGGATCACTTGAGCCCAGGAGTTCAAGGCTGCAGTGAGTTATGATCACACCAGTGCACTCCAGCCTGGATTACAGAGTGAGACCCTACAGCTAAAAAAGGAAAAAGAAAAGATAAAAAACACAGGGCTCTCAGTATACTCTCCAGTAGCAATCACTCAACAATCATTAGCTGAGCCAATGGGTATGGCCACACAGCTATGCATGCTGCAACTCCAAGGCACCATTCATATTGTTGACTATGCTGTGAACAGCGCCCCCTGGACCTTGACCATTAGCTTTGTGTTTTCACCAAGTGCCCCTCACAGGTAAGCTCCAATTTACTTATCCTGCCTCATTACCTGCTATTAGCTCCCCAATCCTCAGCCCAGTGAACCTGTCACCCTGCGCTCAAACATAAGGACCCATTCATTGACAAGCCCTTGATCTTCACAAGTGCTCCTTCTGCCTGGAACATTCCTCTGACTCCTGCCTAGTACCACTTTTATTCATCCTTTAAGGCTCCTCCTAAAAGTCACCAGGTCTCAGAAGCTTTCTCGCAAGCAGGGTTGCTCTGTCCTCACTGTTCTGGAGCACTCTGTAAATATTAGAAACTGAGCACAGTTTTGTGCGGCTCACACAGTTCATCTGCATACAAGCCTCCTTTGCTGAGTTAACTGTGAGTTCCTTGTGGTGGGATGGAATCTTATTCCTCTTGGCATGAACTTGGGCTACTTGTGCTTGCTAGAAACACATATGCCAAAGACAGGTCTGAGTAGGACTCAATATCGTCAAAGACAGTTTGGGGCTGGGCATGGTGGCCCACACCTATAATCCCAGCACTTTGGGAGGCTGAGGAAGGAGGATCACTTGAGGCCAGAAGTTTGAGACCAGCTTGGGCAACATAATGAGGTCCCCATCTCTACTATTTAAAAAAAAAGAAAGTTCAGAATACCAGCACCCAGACCAACTTCAGGATCCAGAAAATACCATTGCCCACATCTGAGTACATCTTAGTGCCCTGAGAATGGCACTAAACACACCAAAAGGTGACGGGGCCTCTGAAAGATTGGGGCGTTAACGTATGTTCCCTGACATAACCAAGACAACAGACTGTACGATTATCTACACTGGGCTTTGATATGTGAGAATAAAAACCAGGACATGTAGCCCAGTTTCTCTTTTGAAATTCCTCCCGTCATTCAATTTGAATCTCATGTCTCTATGCTTTGTTTCAAACTAAATATCAAAAGTCTTCACTTCTGTTATCTCCCTGACAGTTCTTCAATACACTGTATTAAAAACTCTCTGAGGACCAAAAAAAAAAATACCCTTTTTTTTTTTTTTTTTTTGAGATGGAGTCTCGCTATCTCCCAGGCTGGAGTGCAGTGGCGCGATCTCGGCTCACTGCAAGCTCTGCCTCCTGGGATCATGCCATTCTCCTGCCTCAGCTTCCTGAGTAGCTGGGACTACAGGCATGTGCCACCACGCCCAGCTTTCTTTATTATTTTTATTTTTATTTTTTTTAGTAGAGACAGGGTTTCACCGTGTTAGCCAGGATGGTCTCGATCTCCTGACCTCATGATCCACCTGCCTTGGCCTCCCAAAGTGCTGGGATTACAGGCGTGAGCCACCGCGCCTGGCCAAAAAAAATGCACTTTCAAGTGATGTTTAGGAGCCCACCGCCCCTTGACGTTCTTCATTTCTGAACCTCTTGGATGCTTCATTAGACAAAGAAAAGTGCCAAGATGCGTTGCTTTTGTGCTAAATACTTAGAATGGATTCCTCTGTCTTATGGAGAAAACAATACATACCCAGATGTCTGACAATAGTCACATAATTCATACCTAATGCCAGTGGGCCACTCCATGTATCTGCACAAACTATCACACACATCACATGTCATTTCCATGCACAGTAATTACAGAAAATTACAGTATTTCCCTTTGCCAAAATACCCTCTCCTTACCTGCCTATCTCACTACATTGGGTAGCGACAGGACACCAATCTAATAGAAACTGTTTCCCTTTGCTCTTCTTTGGGTTATGTAAACAAGCTACAACTCAGGAGCAGGATTTCTGGGTTATTCAAATGCTTCTCTTGTAAATGTCATTCATTCATTCATTCACTTAGCTAATATTCATTGAGAATCTACTATGGATCCTACAAAGTCATTGATGAAAGAAATCCCTGCTTAGCCTCTGCATCAGGACTTCTCAACCTCAGCACTGTTGTTTGTTTGTTTGTTTGTTTTGAGATGGAGTTTCGCTCTTGTCGCCCAGGCTAGAGTGCAATGGCGCAATCTCGGCTCACCACAACCTCCGCCTCGTGGGTTCAAGCGATTCTTCTGCCTCAGCCTCCTGAGTAGCCGGGATTAAAGGCATGTGCCACCACGCCCGGCTATTTTTGTATTTTTAGTAGAGTTTCTCCATGTTGATCAGCCTGGTCTCAAACTCCCGACCTCAGGTGATCTGCCTGCCTTGGCCTCCCAAAGTGCTGGGATTATAGGCATGAGCCACGCGCCCGGCCAACCTCAGCACTGCTGATGTTTGGGGTCAGGGGTGCTCTGTAGGATGCTCAACAGCATCTCCGGCCTCTACCTGCTGGAGGTACCTCCACCCACTAGAGATGCCAGTAGCACCTCCACCCAGGTGTGACAATCAAAAATGTCTCCAGAAGACAATAAAAAAGATTAGCGGTTGTCCAGGCTCAGTGGCTTACACCTGTAATCCCAGCACTTCGGGAGGCCAAGGTGGAAGCATTGCCTAAGCCCAGGAATTCAAGACCAGCCTGGGCAACACGGCAAGACCCTGTCTTTACAAAAAATAATTTTTAAGAATTAGCTAGACGTGTTGACATGTGCCTATACCTACTTAGCTACTCAGGAGGCTGAAGTGGGAGGATCACTTAAGCCCAGGAGTTCCAGGCTGCAGTGAGCCATGGTTGTGCCACTGCACTCCAGTCTGGGTGACAGAGTGAGACCCTATCTCAAAAAAAAAAAACAAAACAAAGATCAGTGGTTGCCAAGGGTTGGGGGGAGGAGGGATGAATAGGCAGAGCACAGAGGATTTTTAGAGCTTTGAAACTATTCTGAATGACGCTATACTGGTGGACATATGGGACATGTATATAACTGCCAAAACCCAGAGAAAGTACAACACCGAGAGTCAGCCTGAATGTAAACCGTGCTCTGTGGGTGACAGCGACGTGTCGGCGCAGCTTCACCAGTTGTAACAAATGCCCCACTCTGGTGGGGGATGTTGATAGTAGGAGGGGCTTGGGGCCAAGCAGGGAAGTATATGGGAACTCTCTATACCTTCTGCTTCACTTTGCTGTGAACCTAAAACTGCTCTCCATAAATAAAGTCTATTTTTTAAATGATTAATTTTAAGCGAGAGAAAGGTCTCTAGACAGTGCTAAATATCCCTGGGGGAAAGGGAGCAAATTATTTTTTACCCTGGTATAGACATTATTCTGCTCTCGACAACCACATTTTTTAAACTGTGGTAAAATACACCCCACATAAACTTACCATGTTGACCGTTTCAGGTGTACATTTCCGTGGCATCAAGCACATTCACAATGTTGTAGGGCCATCACCACCATTCATCCCTAGAACTTTTTTGTCACCCCAAACTGAAACTCTGAGTCCATTAAACAATCATTTCCCACTCACCCCATTCCTCAGACCCTGGAAACTCCATTCTACTTTCTGTTTCCATGAAGTCGTCTACTCTAGGTACCTCATATAAGTGGAATCATACAGTATTTATCCGTTTTATTGTGACTGGCTTATTTCACTTAGCATAATGGCCTCAGGGTTCACCCGTGTTGCAGCATGTGTCAGAACCAGAATCCTTTCTAAGGCTGAATAGTAATACTCCGTTGCATGTGGATAGACCTCATTTTGCTTCTCCGTTCATCCACTGATGGACACGTGGGTTGCTTCCGTCCTTGGCTGTTGTGAATAGTGCCGCAACGAACATGAGTATGCAACTATCTGTTGGAGGCTCAGCTTTCTTTTTTTGAGACAGGGTCTCATTCTGTCACCCAGGCTGAAGTCCAGTGGTGCGATGACAGTTTACTGCAGCCTTGACCTCCCAGGCTCAAGCAATCCTCCCACCTCAGCCTCACGTGTAGCTGGGACTACAGACGCACACCACCATGCCCACCTTTTTTTTTTTTTTTTTTTTTGAGACAGAGTCTCACCCTGTCACCCAGGCTGGAAAGCAGTGGCGCAACCTCGGCTCACTGCAACCTCCACCTCCCGGGTTCACGTCATTCTCCTGCCTCAGCCTCCACGCCCGGCTAATTTTTTTGTATTTTTAGTAGAGACGGGTCACCGTGTTAGCCAGGATGGTCTCGATCTCCTGACCTCGTGATCCGCCCGCCTCGGCCTCCCAAAGTGCTGGGATTCCAGGTGTGAGCCACCGCGCCTGGCCCCCAGCTAATTTTTTTTAAGTAGAGACGGGGTCTCGCCATGTTGCCAGGCTGGTCTTGAACTCCTAGACTCAAGCAATCCTCCCACCTCGGCCTCCCAAAGTGCTAGGATTACAGGCATAAGCCACCGCCCCCAGCTTGGAGTCCTAGCTTTCATGTCTTGTGAGTATGTACTCAGAAGTGGAATTGCTAAATACCTTGAAATGCGATCGTTTTTCCCATCACTTTTTACAACAGAACGTGTGAGGTCGGGGTGAATTACTTGCTAGGCTAGCGGCAGACAGAGGGCAGTTGCCCTGTGGCTGCTCAGCTCTGGGCCGCAGCAGCAGACAACTGAGGGCTTCCATCTGCCCTCTGCCGTGCTCTGCCTAGGGCAAATTACTAAATCTCCCGACCGACCATTCAGTTTCCCACTGTACACAAAGAGGACGATGAAAACGGCTGGTTGCTTGGAGGCAGGACATGTGGTGCTCAGAGCACAGCTCCTGCTCACAGTGAATGGAGCATCAGTACCAGCTCTCCTGAGTCCTAAAGCAGCCCTGGAACACTCCCAGGCCTGGCCACCTTCTCCTCAGGACACGTGGTGCCACAGCAGACCCCGCGTGAAGCCAGCCCAGTGTCTAATCCTTCCTCCCCAGCTGCCCCATCCTGACCAAGTCTGCCCAGGAGAACACTCACCTCCCGCTGCCCTTGCAACTCGGCCTGGCCATGCCTCCCAATTCCAGCCAAGGAACCGAGAGAGAAAATGTGTAGGTGAGGCTGCTTTTCTTAAAACGATGTTTATTTCAGGGTTTGTTTGTTTGTTTGTTTGTTTGAGACTGAGTATCACTCGGTCATCCAGGCTGGAGTGCAGTGGTGTGATCTCGGCTCACTGCAGCCTCCTCCTCCCAGATTCAAGTCATTCTCCCAACTCAGCCTCCTGAGTAGCTGGGACTACAGGCATTTGTCACTACAACCGGCTAATTTTTTTTTTTTCATATTTTTAGTACAGATGGGGTTTCACCATGTTGGCCAGGCTGGTCTCAAACTCCTGGCCTTAAGTAATCCGCCCCAATTCCCAAAGTGCTGGGATTACAGGTGTGAGCCACTGCACCCTGCCTTTTATTTCAGTTTTTGAACAGGAAAGCACACATTTCAAAGTCCCAAGTACGAAAGGAGGTACGTGCACAGTTGGCTCGTTTCCCACCCCCGATCCCTTCTACCTGTCTCCCTCCTCTTCCAGCTTCACTTAAAGGCAAATATTTGCTTTTTTGTCTGCTTGTTTCCCTTGCAAATACAACCGAATGTGTGTGTGTCTATTTCCTTCCTTCTTTTCTTACCTATGAGGCTGCCTATCAGTACAGCTATATACTCTAGATCTCTACATGTTGTTCTTGTTCTTTATTACTTAATATTCTTGACTCTTGGAGATCACTCCATACCTGTATGCACAGTGCTCCTCATTTCTTTTTTACTGCACGGTATTTGGGGTTTTTTAGTTTTTAGAGACAGGGTCTCACTCTTCGCCCGTTCATAGTCCCACCGTGTTCCTCTGGCTGGTCTCGAAGAATTCCTGGGCTCAAGTAATCCTCCAGCCTCAGCCTCCCCAGGCACTGGGATTACAGGTGTGAGCCACGCACCTGGCCTCGCTGCACGGTATCTGATTGTGCAGCTATATTATAGATGATCCAAACAGTCCCTTGTTGACGAATACTTGGGTTACTCCCAGTGTCTTACGATCATAAATAATGCCACAGTGAAGAATTTTGTGCATGAGCCATTTTGTATTTATGCCTATCTGATACCACTGGGGATAGATTTCTAGAAGTGGGATTGCCAGGTTGAAGGGTGATGATAAAATATGACTGGACTATATGTTGCCAAATTCTCTGCCATGGAATTGTACCATTTGCCTTTGGGAAGCCTTTTGTTTTCCCTTTGCTCTTTTTCCATCTCCTTTCTTCCTGCCTTCCTGCCGGAAGTTGATGCTGGAAAGTACAGCAGCCATCTCACAACTATCAGGCTGCAAGCCACTCCCATGAATACCAGAGCTGGAAACCAGAAGAGCTCCCCAAGGCCTCGCCAGCCCACCGGCTCAGCCCTCCACTAACTGCCACTAAGCTTCTTGCCAGGGGAGGAATACAAACCCCTCACCCGTACAGCCCTGGTTATTCAGCTGCCTATTACATACAGCCAAAGGCAATATAATAATTTAAATATTGAGTAAGTTTAATTGAATTAAACTTTTTTTTTTTTTTTTGAGACAGAGTCTCGCTCTGTCGCCCAGGCTGGATGGAATGCAGTGGCGCGATCTCGGCTCACTGCAAGCTCTGCCTCCCGGGTTCACACCATTCTCCTGCCTTAGCCTCCCGAGTAGCTGGGACTACAGGCGCCTGCCACCACACCTGGCTAGTTTTTTGTATTTTTAGTAGAGACGGGGTTTCGCCGTGTTAACCAGAATGGTCTCGATCTCCTGACCTCGTGATCCGCCAGTCTCGGCCTCCCAAAGTGCTGGGATTACAGGTGTGAGCCACCGTGCCCAGCAAATTAAACTTGTTAAACAGTGCTAACAATGTTTAAATTAGAGAATATTAATTGGAAAGCCTGTAGCTCATTAGTGAGTTGGTACTTCCTACTGCAAGCTGAGCTGTCCAGTATGGTAGCCACTAGCCACGTGTGACCGTTTAAATTCAAGTTAAATAAAATTTAAAATCCAGTGCCTCAGTGGCACTAGCTACATTTCAAGAGTTCAGTGGGCGAGGATTCTTGTGGTTGCCATATTGGACAGTGCTTTATAGAACATCATCATGACGGCAGAAGGTTCTGCATTGCTGATATACAATTCAAGGTAGCACTAAGGGGTCACTCTAACTATTAATATTTAAGAGGCCAGGCACGGTGGCTCCTGCCTGTAATCCCAGAAATTTTGGGGGCTGAGGCGGGGGGATCACTTGAGTCCAGGAGGGAAAAAGAAAAGAAAAAAAAACATTAAAAAAATCTCCATCTTGCTGGGCGCGATGGCTCACACCTGTAATCCCAGCACTTTGGGAGGCCGAGGTGGGTGGATCACAAGGTCAGGAGATCAAGACCATCGTGGCTAACATGGTGAAACCCCATTTCTACTAAACATACAAAAAATTAGCCAGGCACAGTGGCGGGCACCTGTAGTCCCAGCTACTCAGGAAGCTGAGGCAGGAGATTGGCATGAGCCCGGGAGGCGGAGGTTGCAGTGAACCAAGATCATGCCACTGCACTCCAGCCTGGGTGACAGAGCAGGACTCTGTCTTTAAAAAAAAAAAAAAAAAATCTCCATCTTGATGACCTCCTGTGTCTTCTGAAGTAACTCTTTGTGATATTAGGCTTATCTATCAATTGGTAAATCCAAGATGTGATCCACCTCAGCTTCTTCCTTTTTTTTTTTTTTTTTTTTTTTTTTGAGATGGAGTTTCGCTCTTGTTGTCCAGGCTGGAGTACAATGGTGTGATTTCCGCTCACTGCAACCCTGCCTCCCAGGTTCAAGTGATTCTCCAGCCTCAGCCTCCCAAGTAGCTGGAATTACAGGTGCCCACCACCATGCCCAGCTAATTTTTGTATTTTTAGTAGAGACGGGGTTTCGCCATGTTGGCCAGGCTTGTCTCGAAGTCCTGACCTCAGGTGATCCACCCTCCTCGGCTTCCCAAAGTGCTGGAATTACAGGCATGAGCCACCGCGCCAGGCCAGCTTCTTCGATTATTAAAAAAAAAATAAATTCCCTGCAACTTGTTCCATCCTCATGAAGGGCATCTGTGCTGCAAAACCCAGCCCCACCAGCATTTCTCTCAAAGGTGTGGCTGTAACACAGTGCAAGTGCATCTTTCAGAAACAGAACTTATAGGCCAAGAATATACATATATGTGTAGACAAAACCAGGAAACACAATCCCCAGAAAGAATAAGCAGTATACTATAAAGAAGAGATGACTCCATCAATAAGGCAGAAAACAGCTTGGGACTATGAAAATCACCAGAGGACATTTCCGGGTGGAGAGCTCACAGCGGTTGAGAGAAGGCTTCCCATCTCCACTTCAGTTCTGCAGAGAAAGGCAAGAACTGAGATGCAGAAAGCAAGGAGGACGTTAGCAAGTTTCTGAAGCTTTGGGGGTTTTCACACAGTGAGGATGCCCATATTGTGTGATGAGATAAAGTGAAATCATCTGTCAGCCTGTCTGTTCGCATAGTTATGCTATTCATAGAAAATGTACCTCTTTCCCCATATAAAACACCATATGCCTCTTTTCTTACCTAATTAGGTGCAGACTGTGTGGGTATCCTAGGGACCCATAACGTTTTCCCAGGTCTACGGCATGTAGTAGGAGGAAGCCATGCCGGTGACTCAAGTGGCTGTTTTGGGTCCTTCTGTAGAACATTCTTCAGAGATGTCAGAGCAATTGGAAACCATATTAATGAATAAATAAAAAATGAGTTTTGACTCCTGCCATCTACAGCACCATGAGAAAGGAAAGGAATGAAGATATCAGCATTTTTTGGACTCCAAAGACACCATTGCACACCTCTTCCTGCCTCCACCTGCTTACAGAGCCCGAGTTCCATGATCCGCCCTTGTAATCACTACCTCACAACCACCCGTGACGCCCTTGCTGCCCCCTCCCTCGACAACCCTGTGTAACTCAGCCATCACCCACTCCGTGTCTGCACCTGAACACTGGTGGGAAAAACAACCTGTGGCTGCAAGGGGCTGCAGGAGGGAGAATTGATGCTATTGTCTAAGGAAGACAGAGTTTTGGTTTGGGAAGATGGACAAGTTCTGGAGCTGGATGGTGGTGATGGTGGCACAACAATGAGAATGTACTTGATGCCACTGAACTGTATGTTTGAAAATGGTTCAGGGCCGGTCACGGTGGCTCACACCTGTAATCCCAGCACTTTGGGAGGCCGAGGCAGGTGGATCACCTGAGGTCGGGAGTTCGAGACCAGCCTGGCCAACATAGTGAACCCTGTCTGTACAACAAAATTCAAAAATTAGCCGAGTGTGGTGGCACACCCCTGTTATCTCAGCTACTCAGGAGGCTGAGGCAGGTGAATCTCTTGAAACCAGGAGGCAGAGGTTGCAGTGAGCCAAGATCAAGCCACTGCCCTCCAACCTCTGGGTGACAGAGCGAGACTCCGTCTCAAGAAAAAAAAAACAAGGTAAATTTTATGTTATGTATATTTCGCCACAATTTGTAAACAGTTTTTAAAAAGACACTTGCTGGGCGCGGTGGCTCACGCCTGTAATCCCAGCACTTTGGGAGGCCAAGGCCGGCGGATCACGAAGTCAGGAGTTCGATACCAGCCTGGCCAACATGGTGAAACCCCATCTCTACTAAAGATACAAAAACTTAGCTGAACATGGTGGCGCACACCTATAATCCCAGCTACTTGGGAGGCTGGGGCAGGAGAATCGCTTGAACCCTGGAGGAGGAGGTTGAAGTGAGCTGAGATCATGCCATTGCACTCCAGCCTGGGCAACAGGGCAAGACTCTGTCTCAAAATAAACAAATAAAATAAAATAAAATAAAATAAAATAAAATAAAATAAAATAAAAAAATAAAAAGACACTCAACATTGTTGGCTGGTCTCATTTTAAATTCTGGTATATAAATAGGAAGTGGACCATTGACCCTGGCCATCAATACTAACATATTTCCTCAGTTTTTTCACTTTCCCACTCTCCAGATGACTATTTTACCCTTTCTCCTGTCTCCCTCCTACACCCTTATCTCTTTCTTCCCCCAACCCTTCAGTGAGAACATTGGAGCAATCCCACAGAAGCCCCCTCATCTTCCCATCCACAAAGCTACAAGCCCACCCTTACCTCCAGCCTTGGTCTATCCCTCCCTCTTGCTATTCGGGATGAAATGTCCTGCTCTTATTAAAAAAAAACCAGCCCGTTGAGGCCGGGCACAGTGGCTCACACCTATAATCCCAACACTGTGGGAGGCCAACGTGGAAGGATCACTTGAGCCTAGGAGTCTGAGCTATAGTGAGCTATGATTGTGCCACTGTGCTCCAGCTTGGGGAACAGAGCAAGACCCTGTCTCAAAAAAACAAAAAACAAAAAACCCCGGCCTTCAAGGTGGTGGGAGTAGGGGGTAGGGGGCAGCTGCTTACTGGTTACAGAGTATTTGGGTTTGGGGTGATGAAAAGATGTTGGAACTAGCACAATATGGTCATACTATATTGTGAATGTAATTAATGCCACTATTGTGTACACTTAAAAAGAGTCAAAATGCAAATTTCATGTTATATATATTTTACCACAAAAAAAAAAAAATCTTTAACCCTAGCCCCTTGACTTGGGCTCTGATCCCACCGTGCTCAAGGACTTGATTCCTACGTGGTTCTCTTTTGCTCCAGCACTGTCAACCTCTCCAGCTCTCTCTGCCTCCCCCTGCCCCTTGGAGGCCACTCGGACCAGGGCCAGCATACAAACACGCCCCACATCTCTTGCCTGTAAAAAACTCCTGCAATCTGCTTCCCCACAGTCTCCCACTTGGGCTCTGCCCCTTCCCAGCCCTCTGGGACAGTGTCCAGGTTTTACTGTCCCTGACTTCACCCACCCACCCAATCAGCCTTCCACCCTCACCTGTCCACAAACCATGCATAGCAGTGTCATTGGAAAACTCTGTGGCCCCCATCAAGGAAGCGCTCAGCCTTCCAGATACATTTTTTACTTCCATGACCTCATCCTTCCCTAGTTTATCTCCTGCCTCACAGACAGCTCCTCTGGATCTTTCTCTGGTCCTTCCACTTCCTGCTAAAATGCCTCCAGGACTCTCTGCTGGGCTTCTTCTCTTGTGGGCTCACAGAATATCCCTAGGTAATGTGAGTTTAAATACTCATGGTTTTAAATATCAATAAAAACCAATATGCCCTAAAGCTTCCAAACCTACACCTCCAGCCCTCACCTCTTCCTGGTCTCCAGAATTTTATATCCTCCCATCTAACTGGCACCTCCACATAAATAAATAACTTTCTGTCCCAAATTGGCTCCTGCCCCTACTCATGGCACGGCTCCTGCCACCAGGTGCTGGAGTCAGGTCAGGGTCCTTTCCTTCATCCTTCTCCACCGCACCTCTCCCTGTGTATTCAGCAAGCGCTGCCACCTGCTCATCTAAAACGTGGCCCAGACCTGTGCGCTGTTCTCCGTCCCCATTCCCCCATCATCTGGACCACTGCAATGGCTTGCTCCCAGGACATCCGGCCCCGAATCTCATCCCACACAACAGCCAGACCCCTCCTCCAAATATTAAATAACATTATTTCATGCCCCAGCTTAAACCCCTCCAGTGGCTTTCCCTGGCCCTAAAATAACATCTCAACTCACAATATGGTCACAGTCCAGCCTCCATCTCTCAGCCTCATCTTGAACCACACTCCTGTTCCCTGTGGTCTGGCCACATGGGCCATCCCTCTGGCCCCCTTACTCAGTGGTTTTCAATCAGAGGTGATTTTGCCTCACAGAGGGCATCTGGCAATGTCTGGAGAAATGTTTTCTCTTTTCTTTTCTTTTTTTTTTTTTTTTGAGACAGAATCTCATTCTGCCATCCAGGCTAGTGTGTAGTGGTGTGATCACAGCTCACTGCAGCCTCTACCTCCTGAGCTCAAGCCATCCTCCTGCCTCAGCCTCCCAAGGAGCTGAGACTATTTTTTTTGTAGAGATGGGGTCTTGCAATGTTGCCCAGGCTGGTCTCAAACTACCAGGCTGAAGCCATCCTCCCACCTCGGCTTCCCCAGGAATTACAGACATGAGCCACCATGCCCAGCCTGGAGACATTTTTGACTGTCACAGTTTGGAAGGGAGGAAGCTGTTGCTAGCATGTAGTCACTAGGGGCCAGGGATACTGCTAAACATCCTATAAGGCAGAGGAAAGCCCCCCCTTAAAGTGTTAGGTCGGTCTAACATCGATGTAACATATTATTATTATTACTATGATCATTTTTCTAAAAATCCCACCCAAGGCTTTACTCAGAGAAATATGATATGCCTTTTAATATAGATGAAAGGAATTAGAGAAGTTTGAAACTTATTTTTTACCTACACGTTTCAGAGAAGAGAAGGCAGGAGTGTGGCTGAGGGCTGGGACCTGGCCCTGGGCAGAGCCAGCCACACATCTGTTTCTGCAGCAGGTCAGGGAAGAACAGACCTTTGCCTAGGCAACATAGTGAGACATCGTCTTTACAAAAACAATTTAAAAAATTAGTCAGACACGGTGGTGTGCACCTGTGGTCCCAGCTACTTGGGAGGCTGAGGCAGGAGGACCGCTTGAGCCCGGGAGGTCAAGGCTACAGTGAGCCATGAGCACGCCACTGCACTTCAGCCTGGGCGACAGAGCAAGACTTTGGCTCAAAAACAAAAACAAAAAAAAAGTAAAAAAGGCAGAGCCAGAGGCAGGGTCCATCCCCAAAAGGAAATGCCAACAAAATAGCCTGTCCTCACTTATTGAATGGAAAAAATGATTTCCTTTCACTGTTTAGTCTAATAAGCAGGAATCTGGAAACCCTGGCTCCATCCTCTGCATTGTGATGTTGGGAAAAATTCTGCAGGACTTTCAAGCCATCAAAAGCCAAGAAAAAAAAATCCCAGAGAGGCAAAATTGGGGTGAGCTGTCACTAAGAATTTATTTAATTTGTGGCTATTTCAAGGTATGACATTCCATATTTTCTTAGCCTCATCCCAGCTTTCCTTTCTTTCCTCCCAATTATAAAACTAAGCAGAAGAGTGATACTCTCCTAGAAACAACAATTAAAGGGATTCTGAATGAACCGAGCAACTTTCACAGAAAAAGCACTGTCCTAACTATTGTGTGGTCCCCGAAGAAATGAGGTAGGAGGCCCATATCTTGCCTGAGAAGTCAGCACCTCTCACCTCCATGGGCTTTCACGCCCCTTACATGTATTGATTCATTATTCACACAGTGGAATATTACTCAGCCATAACAAGGAATGAAGTTCTGATGCATACGACAGCATGGATGAACCTTGAGGACATTATGCTGAGTGAAATAAGCCAGACACAAAGGAACAAATACTATATAATCCCACTTAGATGAGATCCCTAGAGTAGTCACATTCAGAGAGACAGAAAGTTGAATGGAGATTGCCAGGGGCTAGGGGAGAAGAAATGAGGAACTATCGTTTCATGGGTACAAAGATTCTGTTTGGGAAGAAGAAAACGTTGTGGAGACGGATGATGTGATGACTGCACAGGAATGTGAATGTACTCGACACCAGTGAATTGTACACTTAAAAGTTTTACTCCTTGCAGGTGCCCCAGGAGAGCGTTCCTGTATAAAGGTCAAGGTCAACAATGGCTGAGTGCCAACACTCAAAGCAGCCTTTGGTGTATAAGGAGACCACACCCAGGGGAGGAAGGGCAGAGCTAGGGCTGGGAAGGACTGAATTTGGAACCCAGGGTGGAATCAAGCTGAAGAAGGCCAAAGCTTCTGCTATCTTCTGGTCAAGAACACGATTAAGAGCCCAGGAGAAAAAGAAAGAAGGCCCCAGTGTCTCAGCTCTGTGGGGTGAAGAAAGTGGAAGACAGAGTGGGTGAGAACTAGCCTGAGCTAGGGAAAGTGTTAGGAAAAAAGTAGAGTCCAGAGAGGACAAAAGAAAGAAACTGTGGTGCAGTGGTGAGTGGGGGCTGAAAAGCTCCTGCTGGGGAGGGGAGGAGGCTGGGAGAGAAGAAAACAAGGCTGTGGGCTGTAGCAAGCACTGCTGGTGGCAGGAGGGGAGGAGGCTGGCTGTATGCTTGGCTGGCTACAGCCCAGATAACTTGAACTCAAAGGAGTCGTTTGAGTTTAATACTCCCCCAGGACTGTAGAAGAGGAAAAAAGGAAGGGAAAAAAAAGTCAAAAGTCTCCAGAGGCAGGAGCATTTTGTTTTAAAGGACTACCTCTTGGGCCTGTCCCTAATTTTCTGGGGTTTGTTCCTGGTTTAAAAGGAGAAGTTTTATGTCACCCGTGAGAGTCTGCATTTTTGTGGGATTCAAATATTTCTTAATTAGGTGTTGTCTCTTTACAGAAAGAAAAGACGCCTTTTATTTCCTTTTACTTTGCTATTTTAATTTACTCCCTTTCGTGTCTAATAACTAGGTAGGGGAATGTGAAACAGCTGCTGTAAAATATGACAAACCCTGCTCCCTGGGAACACTGAGAAGGAACTATCTCCCATCCCAGGGAAGAGCGCCTGCCTCCCCGCCCAATCCCGGACCCGACAAACCCTGTACAGCACTGTGGTCCCTCTCCCTGCTCTTATGGTTGGGGGGTGGGGGGATGTTTGAATGAGAAGGACAGTCACTGGGTTGCTGGGAATCATACATCCACCTTCCCCAAGTGGCCTGTCTGTCCCTTTGCTTAGGCGCCACCGTTCCCAGGAGGGTTGAGACTACTTTATCCAAAACTCGGGAATTTGCCCCCATGAAACTCCAGAAAATCAGGGAAAAAGAAAAAAAATCAGAACAAAAAAAGCAGCAGAAGTGGCCAGGAAATGTTTGACCTTGGTCTGCTGGGTACTGACTGGTGTTCTTACTGTGTTCTCGGTTTGAGAAAAATGACAGAAAAGGGAAAGGGGGTGGATGTCGCTTTTCTACTGCCACAAATGTAAGGGTGGGCATACACCCTATCTAGTTCGGGGTCAACCCTTCAGCAAAGGGTCAGTAGTTGTCCGTGAATTGCAGAAGCTTCCCAAGGGATCCGGAGCACAGATTTGCAGGGCAGCCCAGGGCACCGGTTTCCGTCTCCTGAGCTGTGTATGATGCTTATGCGCTCATTTTGCTGGCAAAAGAGCCTGTCATAAAATGTAATACTGACTATAAAACAAATCAGTGCTTTGAAACGACTTGTTTCAGATGTTTTCATAAATCCCTAATGGCTCAGGCACGGCCTGCTATTGATAATATCAATGTGTTAATAGTTCCTCTGAAGCAGGAGCACTGGGTAGGTCTGAACACACACACACACACACACACACACACACACACACACACACACACAAAGATGGGACGGCCATGAAACTGGAAGACAATGGTTTGGCTCTCCCTTGAATTCTAGCTGCACTTTGCTGACCTCGGAAAGCCACAGCCAAGTGAGAAAGCTGATAGTCTAAATCCATGGCTGGAGCTCCCCTTTAAAGTGTTTTAAATTGGTTCATAAAAAGTATATTATATAGGTACACATGTACATATAAAAGCATGTAAGCACACCAGTGTTCACAGCACCACTACTCACAGTAGCCAAAAGGTGGAAACAACCTGTGTCCATCAACAACAGGAGGAATCTACAAAATGTGGTCTATCCACACAGTGGACTACTACTCAGCCATAACGAAGAATGAAGTTCTAATGCATGCTACAGCAGGGATGAACCTTGAGGACATTACGCTGAGTGAAATAAGCCAGGCACAGAAGGACAAGTACTGAATGATCCCACTTAGATGAGATCCCTAGAGTCGTCACACTCAGAGACACAAAAAGTTGAATGCAGATTGCCAGAAGCTAGGGGAGAAGAAATGAGGAACTATTGTTTCATATACAAAGATTCAGTTTGGGAAGACTGAAACATTCTAGAGATGAATGGTGTGATGACTGCATGGGAATGGGAATGTACTCGATACCACTGAATTGTATGCTTAAAAATAGTTGAAGCCAGGTGTGGTGGCTCACACCTGCAGTCCCAGCTACTCAGGAGGCTGAGGCAGGAGGATCACTTGAGCCCAGGAGTTGGAGGCCAGCCTGGGCAACACAGTGAGACCCCATCTCTTAAAAATGATTGAAATGGTAAATTTTATGTTACATACATTTTACCACATTTTTTTTCTTTTTTGAGACAGAGTCTCACTCTGTTGTCCAGGCTGGAATGCAGTGGCACAATCTCAGCTCACTGCAACCTGCACCTCCTGGGTTCAAGCGATTCTTGTGCCTCAGCCTCCCGAGTAGCTGGGACTACAGGCGCAGACCACCACACCCAGCTAATTTTTTGTATTTTTAGTAGAGACTGGTTTTCACCGTGTTGGCCAAGCTGGTCTCAAACTCCTGGCTTCAAGTGATCTGATCTGCCTGCCTCGGCCTCCGAATGTGCTGGGATTACAGGTGTAAGCCACCATGCCTGGCCTTACCACAGTTTTTTTTTAAATGATGGGGAAAACATGCGAGCAATGGATATTAGGCTTCTCTACAACTTCCTGTGTCCTCTTCTACTGTGCCCCAAAATAGGGCCCACAGCTCTGTTTCTAGGGCCTCAGAGCACCCAGCTCCCAGGGAGGCTGTTACTCAGCTGAGCCTAAGAGGTTTTGTGTCTGCCGTTCCACAGACAGTCATGGGGCCAAGGAAACCTTCCTATTAAAAACTTCATTCCAATCTCAAAAGAAACTTAAGGGCCAAGCAGGATATTATACTTTTCATTATGCAATTTCTCTGCTTCTTTTTTTTTTGAAATCAAATCTAGTTCTGTCACCCAGGCTGGAGGGCAGTGGCACAATCTTGGCTCACGGCAGTCTCTGCTTCTTGAGTTCAAATGATTCTCGTGCCTCAGCCTCCCAAGTAGCTGGGACTACAGGCTTGCACCACCACACCCAGCTAATTTTTGTATTTTTAGCAGAGAGGCAGTTTCGCCATGTTGCCCAGGCTGGTCTTGAAATCCTGACAAAAAGCGATCTGCTGGCCTTGGCCTCCCAAAG
Organism: Homo sapiens; assembly: GCF_000001405.40. Classification (NCBI taxonomy): domain Eukaryota; kingdom Metazoa; phylum Chordata; class Mammalia; order Primates; family Hominidae; genus Homo; species Homo sapiens. The sequence goes on from NC_000013.11 coordinate 99,952,837, forward strand.
TGCTGGGATTACAGGCATGAGCCACCACACCCAGCTTCTGCTTCCTTCTTAACTGGCATCACTCCAATTGGAGGAGTCGGAGAAAAATAAATACTCCAATCTTGCCAGGGGCCAAAGACACTAATGTTATTGGAAGACACATTCCTGTCTCTGGACCACTCCAGCCCTCTGCTTTACAGAGTGGATATAAAGGATCTGGGCGTTGAAGGCTGGAAATAGCAGGAGGAGTGGCCAAGGAGGGGTGGCACTGGCTAACGGGCAGTGGTTCTCCTGGACTTGCCTCTGTGTCTCTAGGTGTTCTTTCTCCCTGAGAAGAGACTCCTGGAATCACCTCATGATTCTGTCCCTCACGGGTATGAACAGGGAACCAGCTGTGCTGCCGGTTGTGAGAACACAGAGCGGTGGCCCAGCAGCGGCCAGGACTCACCCAGAAGTTTCTGTCAGGAACACAACAGACTCTTGCCCTAGGCCACAGTTTGTTCTAATGCGTGCTCTTTCGGGTCAGTTTACTTAAGAAACGACCAGAGCAGTCAAACCTTTGCCCTCGCCCCTTAAAGGGGACAAACATTGGCATAGTTCCTCCCATTCCAAGGCTCCCCTGGGCCCTCCCTGAAATGTCCCATACATGTCATTATCCGAAATCAGCCTGCTACAAACTCCAGGCTCCCGCTGCATGGGTTTTTATGTCAGTGCCAAACGTTCTTCTTTGCGCCAGGTCAGGAGGATGAAACTCATGACTGGTGACAAGACAAGCCCTCCCAGAGAGAGGAGGACAGTCTGTGGGCATGATCCTGTTAGTTTTCAGACTGATGAGTCCAGTGGCAAGGACCCTGGAAGGGTCCCATACGCCCTGCATGGGGAGTTCTCCTGAAAGGGCACAAGGAACACAGCACGGGGCTCCCACTGATCCAAGGAGGACCTCAGGTGGGACTGCCAAGGAGCCTGCACCCCAATAAAGGCAGAATCAGAACAGAGCCTGATTAATAAACAGAACCTAGTCAGATATGACTTAAAAGCTATTAGGACTTGGATTGGGAAGAAAGAGGCATAATATGAATATCACTAAGAAAACTTCGCAGTCAGTATCCAGATTTTCTAAATCAACCACTTCAACAAATTCTCTGCCAGCTCATAAAATGTCTCCTGACGTGCCTTCCTTTCTCTAAACGATGCTATTTTATTAAATGGTGTAGGAGCTGGGAGAGAGGGGAGGAGTAGAGAGACAAGTCATGGGTGAATATTTCAATTTTATTTTCATTGTAGCTTTTCTCAGTCTTGCTTCCTTCAACACTGTCCTAAATTTGGCTAGGTCTGATAATTTCCAAGGTGGGATTTAGACATGCTATAATTGTGTGTGTGTGTGTGTGTGTGTGTGTGTGTGTGTGCACCTGTCTGATCAATATATATTTAACATGCACAAGTATTCTGTACACTGGAGCAGAAATGTGCACAACAGACTCAAAGGAGTATTTGTGTTTATCATGTTAGGCTCCCAGGTATTTTTAAGAAAATCATACTTGGCTTTATGCTTTAAGATTTCCTTTTCCTGGTAATTCTTCCTGAAGCCTGACCATTGTAACTTCTTCAGCACAGACTCACTGGGGATGGGGGAACAGGAGTATGCAAAGTTACAAACCACTTTTTATATTTTAAAAGGTGCTTCTCCCAGATTGTTGACCGGCTGGTTGATGGTCCTTATCCGGATCAATTTCCTGTTTTTCAGGCTGACCCAGACTCTCAGACCATGGCGGGGTGAGCAGCAGCTGGGCAGCTCAGGGAGCTCTGTCATGCTGGGGACGGGGGCTGAAGGGAAACCTTTTTTTTTTTTAGGCTGAGTCTTGCCCTATCGCCCAGGCTGGAGTGCAGTGGCACCATCTCCGCTCACTGCAACCTCCGCCTCCCTAGCTCAAACGATTCTTCTGCCTCAGCCTCCCAAGTAGCTGGAATGACAGGCGCACACCACCAGGCCCAGCTAATTTTTGTATAGTTTGTACAGATGGGGTTTCACCATGTTGCCCAAGCTGGTGCTGACCTCAAGCGATCCTCCCGCCTCAGCTTCCCAAAGGGCTGGGATTACAGGCGTGAGCCACCGCGCGAGGCCAAGAAAGCCTATTTTCAAACAGGATCCTAGCTGCTCCTGCCTCTCTCATCCTTGTGTCCTGCAAGCAAAGGATACCTAGGACCCTGGGGTAGAGGCCAAATGACCCGGGAGTCAACTTTGAGAAAAGGAGGCTAGGGAGAGGAACAGAATGGGTGTCTGATGGTGAGACCTGAGGAAAGGTGGAAGCAAGAAGACTGGGGGAGTGAGACAGCTGCAGGCTTAGGACACCCTCCTGAGAGCCCAGAGCACTGTGGCGGCGTTGGCTCCCCAGACTGGGGGCCTCAGGAGAGCTCGCGACAGGCTCCCCAGCAAGCTAAGCTCCCACTCCCGGGAGTACAACCGCCCTCGCGCAGGTGTACGCCCAGACACAGCCATAGCCAGCGGCCTCCAGGTCTGGGGCTGTCCAGAGAGGCCTGGGGGCCACACCCCAGCCCTCTGCCTCCCCACCCCCGCTCCAGGACGGACCCTGTCTCACCACAGGGCCACAGAACCCTCTTCAGTCCCACCAGAGAACAAACACTCCAGACACTGATTCGATCTGTACTGAAACCACTGGTTAGAAAATCCACAAGGCAACCACCGCCTTCGCACATTCCCTACCTGCAAGTATTGACCCCGATCAGCCAGGCCTGGCCGCCAGAACCAAGGTAGAAACTCAGGACCCGGTCCTCAGAAGCTCACAGCCCCAGGGAGTCTAAGAGACTGACCTCAAGGATCCCCAGGAGCCACTGTTTCTTCTGGAAGCCCTCTGGAGGAGCGTTTTTCCCCACGGCCTTTCCTCGCCTCACAGTTGTTCACACTCTCCTGCTCCTGGGGGAACCCAGGCCGGCTCATCAATGACCCCTCGCCTCCCCGCCCTCCTCCATTTCCTGAGCTGGGATAGCCCCAGAAGTTGAGCGTTTCCTATGCTGGAAGGACTTCCAGCTTGGAGCGGAAATCGGGGCCGGGGCAAGGACGCAGGGGCGTGTCGCCCACGTTTCTGGCCCGGCTAGCCGCAACTCCTTGGATGTAAACGAGATTTGGCCGGCGCTGCGGCGTGTGGGGAAAGATGATTACACTCGAAAGGAATCACGACTCCTTGCGGAGCCATTACTCGTGCCGCTCCGCACGCGCAGGTTCTGGCCCGGCTTTCAGCAACTCCCCGCTCCTCGCTAACCACTCGCTCGTAATTTGTGGGCCGCAGTGGAGCTGCGCCCGGGGCTGCAGCCCCCCAATTAAAGCACTTTTGCAGCTCGGACACCCAGAGAGCTGCCTCCGCGCACGCCAGGCCGGCACCTCCTGCTCCCACTCCCCTCTCCGCCCAGCCGTGGGCAGCTGAAATGGATGTGATTTCACGCACTTCCTGCGCGCGCACACACACATGCACACATGGACATACACTTGCACACACGCACAACGCGCATTCCCCCTCCAATGCCGCCCGCACACGTGCGCGAGCCTGGACGTTCCCCTTTTGTGCTCGTTTTGCAGGCCCAGAGCTCCTGCTGCTGGTTTTCTCCTTTCTCTCCTTCATCGCCTCTTCCTTCGCCACTTTCCTTCTGGACCCTCCGGGCTGGCTCCTGCCCCTCTGCCCCGGTGGCGCTCTCGCCTATTCCTCCCGGGAGGAGCCGGGGCCGCAGAGGTGCGCCCTGCACGCCCAGCGAGGGCCGAGTTCTGGGACGGCTGGGACCAAAGGGCTGGCCTCCGGCCTGCGCCCTGTTTGTTTTCCTTTCGCCCCCTGAATACTAGATTGAGACGTAAAGATTACCCGGGCCGAATAATGCCGGGAGTCAACACTCGAGCAAACAAAAGTGCTTGCACAACTAGTCAACCCCGCTGGGACCCGGGCCGCGGGCTGGGGGAGAGAACGCGCTCCTCGCTGCTAATTACAAATAAATGATGATGTGCTCACTAAGTAATTGATTTAATGAAGTTCCTATGAAACTATTAAACCCGGGTGGAGGTCAGGCTGGAGGCGCCCCAGAGCGCCCATTGTGGGCTGTTTAACTCCACCAGGCTCCTCGGAAAGACATCGGGGCTAATAGGTGAAGTCACAGCTGCTCGCGCTGACTTCTCGGAGCGCCCGGCTGGCCGCGGGCACCCTCGCGCCCTCTTCTTGTAGCGCCCTTGTGCCCCGCCGCCCGCGCCCCGCGCCGGCCAGCTTACCCACGCCACTCCCAGCCCTGTCGCCAGCTCCCGAGGGCCTCTCCAAAGGGATCCCGGGTCTCGTTAAGAGCGGGAAGTTGAGCACTGAACTTGTGCTCACCGCCAGCAGTCGGCGGCGTGCACCGCCGCCCACCCCTCCCTCCTCACTCCACCCCCGCCACTTCGTGCAGGAACTCCAACCAGTGTGCCACGCAGGGTGCTCGCGAGCTCTTGGCAAGGTGCCTGGATCCCGAGCGTGTGCCCAGTGCACTGGCTGGGGCTGGGCTGGGGGGGTTGAATTGCGCGTGAGCGTGTGTGTGGGGGGGGTGGTAGGGAGGTGGGTGTATGCGTACGAGAGAGAGTGCGTTCCGGGCCAAAAGGCCATCTTTCTGCATCCGTTATCCTGGCCTGGGCCCTGTTCATGCAAAAAAGTAGAGGAGGTAGGGACAGCAGAGAAGAGGAATGAGGAAAGATGTGCAAAACAGATCACTCAGGTAGGCGGTTGGGCCTGGGAACTCCAGTCCTAGGCTGTGCGGGAGTGGGCTGCTCTGGCGCGGCCCTCTCTCGCTGCCCCACCGCCCACCTCTGCCCGCGTCCTGACCCGGCCAGGCGTTCCTTGGCCCCAGAGCGACGCCTCCAGCTGCCAATGGGGCGTAGGGCCCCAGGCCCGCATCTCAGGGCTGTCTGAATGCGAGCTCTCCGGCCACCCATTGCGCTCAGATTCCAGTCTCTGCAGGAAGGGTAGGGACTAGTTCTCCTGCAACATGGCTCTTGGTGGAAACATGACCCGCCCCTTATCCAAAAGGCCAGAGGGAGCCCTGAATGGACACATTTTAAGATGGAGAATCAGACATTGCAAATGGATCAAAAGCTAAGGGTGCTAACCACACACACACACACACACACACACACACACACACACACACACACGGGGGTGGGGGTGGGGAGGGCATTTTACTGCATCTCCCCCCACCTACAAGGGGTCGTGTGGTAAAAGAGAAGGCCCACATCCAGGTGAAACGCCACATAGGGAGACGGGGGCGCCTGTTGGGCTTCTGGCTGCAGAAATCAATCTGCCGGGATGCCCTGCCCCCTCTGCCCAGCCAAATCTTGTCTCTCTTCATCAAGAACTGATAGTTAACAGAGTTTCTCAGAGCATGCATTTCATTTATGCCACAGTCAGTTGGCAGTAAGCTTCATTCCTTTTTTTATGTTAGGAATTTTCAACTGCTGAAACCAATTTCCATTTGACTTTGAATCAAACACTTGCAATGGGGGGCAGGGGAAAGGGACATTTTGGCGTGGTTGTTGGCGACTTTAAAGAGAACTCCACTCCCGCCTGGATCTTTGGTCTCAAAGAGGGTCTCAACCTCTGACTTCGGGGAATATTGACAAAAATCAATTTGAGTCTTGCTTGAGGTCTCAGTTTCGCCATCTGTAAAATTGGATCTGGAGATCCTTGGCTGAGGTCCTTTGGGCTTTATTTGTTTGTGATCTGTGAAGGGGACCGTAGGGAGAGGTGGAAGTCAGTCAAGACGCCTGTTTGCACCAAGCTTTTGTCTTTCTTTGTAGAAGCGAGTCCCTTTGTAAAATAACGCCCCGCCAGCCTGCCTAATGGATTTGTGCAGAGCTAGAGTTTTCATTTTCCCCACGCAGGAACGACGAAAGAGAGGGGGTCTTCCAACCCAGCGAGTCCCGCTTGGCCCCGGTTTGCCAGCGGCGCTCTCCAAAATGTGCCAAAAGCTGTGCTTGGGGCACTCTCTCGACCCCGCCCCGGGCAGCTGTTCCCATTTTGTTCCCGCCTTCCCTCCCCTCACCGCAGTCCCTCGTATTCCTTTAACGCCTGCTGCTGACTGCATCCCTGCTGCCCTTAATGTAGGATGGGCACTTCTCTTCAGCCTCCAAATGAGAAGTGACATTTGCACTCGGCTCAGCCAACGCGTGAGCAGAGCGCGGGGGCACAGGCCCATTGACCGAGCGCGGCCGAGGGGCCGGCCGGCTGGGCAGCATCCGAAGCTGCCTTAATTAATACCATCTTAAATAGTCCAGCAGCCACCGAAGACAAAGTTGAAGAAAGACTTTAAGGCTGAGTGCCCCTCGACAAGCTCTTTTTCCCGTGTCATTCAATATTTAATGCGCCCGCTTGTAATGCTACTACTGGTGTTCCTTTCTCAGCAAGGACATTATTTTTTCACGGTGCCCATAGCCAGGGAAAGCCCTTTAGGCAAAGAAAATCAAAATGTTTGTTGTTTTGGATGACTTATAACTCTTGTTTAACACAAGCACTTTCAGGAAAGTATAACAGGCGCAGCCTCCAAAGCAAACAACACAATCCTTGTGACAGAGTCGGACACAAAAAGCACATTGTCTTGCGGACTACCCCTTTTCTCTGGTGCTAGATGGGGGCCTGTCTCCGAATGAACACCACGATGCCATTTCACTTTTGAACTATTGTTTTTGAGTTATGCCATGTGGTCAAAAGGAGCGAGAAGGGGGTTGTTTCCAGGCTCATAAGACAAACGAGTTGCCTTTTCAATGAAATCCCCCCGCGATCCTTGAAAACGGAGTTTAAATGTCACCTCCGCCTTTCTAATGGGCACAGGGCTGGAGGCGACCCTTCAAAGCGCCTCGGTGATGAACGACCCTTATTAAATATGGCCCGAGCTGCTGGGAAAGTCCCGCGCCCGGCCGCGCGCCCTAGAGCGCCCCTCGCCGGTGGGCCCTGGAGGAGCCGGGCCTCCGCTGCCACCGAGCGGAGTCCGGGCCCGCAGAGCCCCAGCCCGGACTGGCGAGGGGGTGCAGAGGGAAGAAGAGGGAAGCCTGGACGAGGGGGGGCGTTGTAATACAACTTCTTATCTGCCGACCCCAACACGCCCGTGCGCCCCCAGCCCCAGAGCCTCGGCGTGAAAGGTTGGTGCGTTTCCCCCCTGACTCTTTTTGTCCGCAGCCGAGTGGCGTCTGCGAGTCTGAGCTGCAAAGTTACTGATTTGCAGGCTGCATGTTAAGGCAGCCCATGTAAGTAATTTCTCTGGGCACCCCAGCAAAGGAGAACAAATCGCTGACAAAGGCGAGCGCTTTCGATTCAGCGGCGTCGTTAAGGCAACCCCAAAGTATTCCTCCTATAATAAGTTCCACTTCAAAGGGTTTCTCATTCAGCGGTGACTGCTTCGCACTTTTATTAAGTCCGGGCTTTTTCACTCGGAGGAATCATCTGTTTGGTTATTTTTCATCGTGTTTATTTTTCACCATTCACACAGTACTTGTATTAAATAAACAAAGAACAATCGCTCTGCAAATAAAAGTACTTAGGTGGGGAGGGAAGGAAGAGGAGCTGGGGCTCTGGCGCCCCTGCCCCTCTCCCCCACCCTTCGAACATCACCCACTCCCCACCCCGACTCTCCTCCGCTCCTATCCTCCTTTCTTCATTCTTTCTCTCCCCTTTCTCTCAAGCTAGGAGGTTCTATGGAAGAATCTTAAACGCTGAATATATATATATATGTATATATGTGTATATATATATGTATATATGTGTGTATATATGTATATATATGTATATATGTGTATATATGTATATATATGTATATATGTGTATATATATGTATATGTGTATATATGTATATATATGTGTATATATATGTGTATATATGTGTATATATATATAAAATTTCTGATGAGGTGCAAGTGGACTGAAGTAACTTGGCATGAAAGTAAAAAGGTCACTGCAGCTGTGTCTCATCGACTGTCTCGAATCACAGTGGCCCCTCTGCCGGCGACTCCCCTGGCCCTGCCCACTGCCACAGCGATCCTGACGCTCCGCGTGGATGGACCATAGAAGCAGTAGTTTGAATTTCCAAAAGAAAAAAAACATGGCTTTGAACTTCTCCCTGCCTGATTAGGCACTTGCAGTGTATGTTAATGTGTGCTCGGGGAGTGCGTGGGTGTAGGGCTGAGTTTTTGTCTACAGAGGGGAAGTGTACTGGGGTCCCCAGGGCAGTTTCACCTAGGGTCCCCTGCCGGCCTGCCTGTGCCTCCAGACCTGGAAGGCTTCCGTGGCTGGGCATCCTGTTTTGCTACACTGTGGGTGGACTGGCAGGCCAGGAGTGATGTGAGGGGATGAAAGTGCCATTAATAATAAGCGGCTGGGTTGTTTTGTTTGCCTTGTGATCAGCCTTCTTTTCTGCTGGCTTAAGGTGATCACTTGAGAAACCAGATGTCTCCCCTGCCCCCTCCCCAGGAGCTGGATTTCCTAACCCAACTGGGATTTAAAAATACTAGTGGCCAGCACCTCTTGTCCCATTTCATAGACAGACAGAGAGATGACAGATGATAGATTACTGGGTGGGTAAAACCACAATGGTCTCCAAAACCTTCCCCAAAGTGGAAGAGATCACTTATGAGAGTGTAACATGTTTGCAGATAGTTGGGCCTCCTCTTTTCCTGTCCCCAGTGTTATGATGCTTGTGTGGCCATCTCCAACTCCTTAAGAGAATATAATTCCCACCCTCAAACTCTATGGAGTTTAGATTTTAGGACCATTAGCTTTACCAAGAGCATCCTGAATGGGGAAAATATATATACATAAATTTCAAATAATTGTGTGTTTGAAGATTCTCCTAGCCTGCAAAACAAAGGTAGATGATTTAAACAGTATTTGCAAGGGCCACGTTTTGCCTAGGGAAGATGAAGTCTTTGATGATAGCCAACTTAGTGTCAATAAGTGGCTTTCTTTGAGACATATTCAGATGGGAACGTCTTGCTTGCCAATTGCCATAGAAATCTTAACACACCATGAAGATTGTCCGAGCGCCAAGCCTTCCGTTCTGGACTAAATTACTTTGAAGTGGCGCAGTACGAGCAGTGGTCAATTTTAACTCTATAGACTGGACAGAGAATGCTGGGAGTGGGAGATTGTGCGTTTTAAAGCAGAAAATAAGAAGGGGAAACTTGTTTTATACACTCTATACAAGGTTCTGCTCATTGTCAGATATCTTTTATCTTTTATATTTCCCATGAATGATTCATGTCTTGGTGGCTTTGTGTCACCCTTCTTTTCACAAGAAACTTCATTAGAGAGCTATAAGTTTTCCCATTGATTGGGGCCCTCATTTATGAGTGTTTTTCTCCTTCGTGTGCTGGTTATTGTCATCTGAGTTAAAACAACTCTTTGCAACCTGTTTCACCTTTACTACATTTAACAAACCTGACTTTTAAAAGCCACTATAACCTTTCAGAGAAATGCTTATTGACATTACTAGCAGTTGCTTTTAACTATCTGACTTTTATCAGTTTTGTATCTGCTAACAAAAACACAAGCAAACATCCAGCCTTGTAAATGTGCATAGCCAAACACCTGCATTTAAGCCACTTGAATATTTTGCTGCCATGCAAGAATCTAATTGTTCAACACACCTGGCCCAAAATGCTGAGCTTAAATTACCAATAGCCACTCAACTTCCAGAACAAACTACAGTAAAATTGCATCTTGATCTCCCACGCCATAAGAGGCATTTGATGCCCACTACTCAATTTCATTCAATACCTATCTCAGCCCCTGACTGATTTTGCTTTCACCTTCTTTTTGTCTAGAAGCCTCACCGTCCCTTCCTCCACATTTTCTTTATTCTTTTTTTTCCTTTTGGAGGCTGGGCACCAAAGAAATGCTAAAATTCACTTTTTGGCTTTTCACTGATTAGAATCAATCAGGATATTACTTATTTTAACAAATAAATGCAGTAACCCAAAAGATTTATGCTACTGTAAGTATAACCTGCAAGGCTTAGTCTTCATAAATATCTGTGTTTCCTAGATAAGCTTGTAAGTTGTTAAGTTAAACCAGGCTGCAAAAATATTGTATTGCTTGGGGAGAGGCTGAGAAATCAAGAGACCAAGGGAAGACATTCACTCCATTAGCAACCTGTTCTATTTGTATGAGAGATATGCCATTATGTAAAACATAAGCAATAATAACAAGAATACCTTTATTAAATTTGTTACTTCATAATCATTCTTGCTTGCTCTCTATTGGAGGTACACATTTTTTTTTATTTTAGGTGTATCAAGAACCAATAAATCTGTGGCAAAGAGTTAACCTATGCATGGTAAAATACATAAAATACATATTCCTTTGTTTCATAATAAATAAACCTGTAGCATAATAAAGAATAGTGCAAACTACCATTGAAAAAGTTGTATAAATAAAACAACTCATTATACATCAGGAATATTTTGTTCTAATAAGTTTACGATACATAAATTATCCCCCCAAAAGTTCATACCTTTTCTATTTGAAAGGGCTTTGAAAGTGAATAATATGAAAATCAAATAAACTTTTAAAATGTAAAATTATCTCATATTCAAGTTTTAAGGTCTTTTTCTTTATAAAGGAGGGTCTGCATGTTTCATATTCATCACAACAATCTGAAGACAACATTGAAAGGCTTTCCAAGTGACAGCACCATGCACTGTACTAGTAATATAATATATCTATAAACTATATATAATCTTATCAACACAATGCAAAAAAGACATGCAGGAAGAGTCTTGGTTTTCACATTACGTTGTTCATTCAAGTAAGCTTAAAAATATATTTTTCCATTTTCTTTCCTTTTTTTTTTAAATAAACCATGGATCATAAATGACAATCTTTCACCAAAATGTATAATATAATTCTTTGGTGTGCTTTGAACTCTTCCAGGAAAGAAAAAAAAAAAGGATGATGTCTGAAAATAAATTAATTCAACTGTACAAATAATAGTGTTCACATACAAGTTATTAACAATGACAAGACTACATCAACCACTCACAGCACACAAAACAAATTTCTACAAACCCTGGGGAGGGGGTGTCTTCGGGGTCTCTAAGGATAAATTAGTGCTCTTTAGTGTATCTGTAGGATGTTTCTGATGGACTACATTTTGCACAGGAGATGTGTTGTACCAACCGAAAATAAATCGACTAAGAGTTATTGTCCTAGGTCCTTGACCTTTTTTATCCTAGCTTGACAGCTCTGGCAAAGGTCACACATTCATCAGTGTTTGGTGGTAACTATAAACCTTTTAAAAATTTTTAATATGTATGGCAACTCCCTCCCCTCTTTTAATGTAAATCATACACTTCACACACTGTCATTTTCAAATGGATTCCAGTTTGGTGTGCTCAGTGCTCAGGTGGAAGAAAATGCATTAAAATGCAGTTTCAGGCATTGAAAAATAGACTTTTTAAAAGGCTGATACAACAGTATAAAAGAGGTGTTGGCCTGTTTTAAAAACAACAGCTTTCCAAAAAAATAGGCATGATGCCATCATCACACCTCCTCAAGACTTGACTGTGAATGTTGGCATCCCAAAGAACTTAGGATCGAAAACAGAATCTCTTTATTACACAAGAAGTTTGGACACAGTTAGGAGGCAGTATCTGAGAATTCAGATAAAAAAAAAAAAACATATAGGAAAAAGAAAGCACTTGAATTTCTTCTATTTTATAAAATATCACAGTTTCACAGTTGTCTTTTGCAGCAGCTTTTCTTCTCTCCACTTTTGCTTGAACAATCACAGTAGCACAAGATATGGAGATATATTAAGGTTGCTGCATCTTTTTTTAAAATCACACAGTAGGATACTGAAGAAATAATCCTGTATAAAAATATTGTATTAAGCTAAGATCAGTAATAAAAGAGTGGAAATTAAAAATTACAAATATTAAACTCAAAGGGTTTTTACAAATGTTTTTGGACACAGGTACGGAACAGGATCTGTTGGCAATGCAGCAGGTGTGTGGTTTACAATCAAGAGGCCTTGGCAGAATTAGGGTCCAACAAGGAGGCTCAAAAGCAGCCCATGGTATGGTGTCAAAGGCATTTGAGAGGCACTCTGGGAAATGCAGAGGGCCTTGGTGCTGTGTTAAGTTCTGACTTAATGCTCTTTTTCTCCCCCTTTTAAAAAAAATAATATATATATATATGTATATATATATATATATATATATTGCATCGGCAGTGTGTATCGCCATTAACTAATCTCTCCATTCATTTTCCTTGGTACAATTTGCCCCCAGCCCCATCCTCCTGCAATGTACAAGTCCAGCTTGGTTGTTTTTTGTTTGTTTTTTAAGAAAAAAAAAAAAAAAAGCCCAAATATCTTAATTAAATTAATTAAATGTACAAACACCATAGGGTTTCATACTGAATAAATAGGGCTAATTAGACCCGGTGGCAAGTCTGAGTCACGGGTTTGTCTCAGGCTCGGCATTGTCTCAGGTTAGGATGTGGTCCAAGGACTCCCACTTATTATTTCACTTATTATTATTAATAATAAATTCTAATGTATCGTCCGCACAACTTCAGGGTTCCCGTAAATTTCCTCATCTTCAGTCTCAGAGGTGGTTCCGTTGCTGGAAGGGGTGTGGAGGTGGCTGGGGGCCCCACTGGCCTGGCAAACGTACCACTCATTGAGGTTGGTCACCTGAGGGGACAGAGTGCTGGAGTGACTCCTGGCTGGGTCCAGCACAGGGGACAAGGGGGCGCCCACTGGAGTCCCCACTGATGAGTAACCAAGGGGTCCTGGAGAAGGTGGCGGGGACTTGCAGTGAATCTTCATGTGCTTCCTCAGGGAGCTTGGGTGAGTGTAGGATTTGTCACAGCCTCGAATCTTGCAGTAGTAGGGCTTGTCACTGGTGTGGACATGGGAATGTTTCTTCCGATCACTGCTATTGGCAAACTTCCTGTCACAGCCATCAAATTCACATTTGAAAGGCTTTTCCCCTGCAAGGAAACACAGGAAAGGTCAACAATGGCTTTCCAAGACCCCTCTCTTGACAGAAATCTTGAAGCAGAACCAAGGTTGTGTTTTTCCTATTCTCCCAGAGACCAACTCCCAGCCTAATTCTTCTTCCTAATTCACAAAAGGGAAGGGATGCTTCAGGGATGGGCCTGGATTCTGCTGACCTGGTGGCTTTGCCTGGACCTGGGCTCCTGAGAGGCTGTCAGGCCCTGCAGTCCCAGAGGGATCAGGGTGAGATCCCTAGTGCTGAGCTAAGGGCCAGAATGTAACACTGAAACCCACCTGGGACCCGCAGACCCCCTCCCCCGACAGACACACTCCCCTCAGGGTCTGTACACTCAAAAACACAAGCAGGAGATCCTCCTGTCAAAATAAACACAAAATGATACTTCCAAAGCCACAGGCGGAAGTAAGCGTATAAGAAAAAGAGAAAAAAGCAAACACATACACTAAATTAAAAGTAAACTGGGGGGTACAGTCAAATTATAATAATGGCATTTCCTTTCAGTGTTCTCCAGGATTTCATTGAAGGAGAGGGGCATCAGGAGAGAACGTGGAGATGGGAAAGGGAAAGAGGTAAAACAAAACAATGTTTTTCTTTAGAAATAGAGGCACCTGTGAAACATACTCCCACCACTCGATTTTTACAGGGCTAGCTGGGCAGAGAACAGGCTGTTGACCTCTGCATTCTACAGCTTTCCTCACTACTTGCAGGGCAGTTAAGAGCACAGCAGATCGAGCTTTAACATACATTAATAAAGACCACAAGCCTTAGCAGAACCTACCTTTACTTTATGCCATAAGTATACTTACTCTCACAGCTCCCTACATTGCTTACTAGTCAAAAAGACCTTAAAAAAATTTAAAAAGGCCAGGGTCTTTTGGCTGTCACCTCCTTAAGCTGGCCTAACCACCCCACAAACACGCCTTTAAACACAAGGCCTCTAGTCCAGGAAATGGAAATACTTAATAAGACAACTAGAGAAATTCAGCCACACTACATTTTGGTGTTAAACAGCAAGAAAAGGAAGACAGCAGGTAACAGTCTAACTGAATTTTCCCTCTCCCCTTGGTATCTCTGAACTTGATAGAGTTGAGTCCATAATTAAACAAGTCATTTCATACATATTATTGAATTAATATTTTCCTCTTTTAGGTAAATAATTTAAAAATAAAGTTGAATTTCTCATATTTCAGCAGCTACTCTGGTGATACACTAGGTATGACATTTTCTTTTGTTTTGGATAACTTGTTTTCAAAAACAAACTGTTAAGCCTCAGCTTAGTGTACATACATTTCTGTGGTGACTTTTCTTACACCCTCTGCAGATATTTTACTGTAGTGAGTTTTTAAAAAATATTTCGCCAACGATAACTGCTTCCATGGCAGAGTATGCTAGCACATCTGAGAGTATTCAGGCAGATGCCTGGAATTTAACTTTCCCTACCTGGAAATACTGTTTAAAAACAGAATTAGACATTATTCAAATATGCCTCCTACAGTGATGTATAAAGAGAGAAAAAACAACCCCATGATAATCACAACCTCGAAAAATTCTCTGTAGATGAGCTTTAACAAAAACAAAGCTAATCCCTTTTTATCAAAACATCAGTGATTTGTCCTGATTTCTACATTACACTTTAAGTCGTAGATAAGACCAAGTTAACATCATATTCTTTTTAAGAAATTAAAATCAGCCTTTCTTCAATATGGAGGCGTAATTACATGGGTTTACTCATCCACCCTACGCGAAGGTGCAATGCTGTTTTTGAGCATGGTCGTTTCTGTTCAACCTACATATCCCGGGTTGTGAAGAAACGCTTTGAACACTGCTAACTCCTCCACTGCACATGAAAAAGGGGAACAATTAGACTCAGGAAAGGGACAGATGTCGTGGAAGGAAAGGTAGAACATTAGAGTTAAATAAAGGAAGAGGTGCACGGAGAAAACAGAAGAAAACAAGGCAAGGGCGATGGAAAGGCCTGTGTTGTTCAGGGGGCCTAAGGGGAATAAGCAAATTCTACCTAACTAGAAAGGCTGAGAGACCTCAGTGTTTACATTTAAGATTCTGATAGACGAGTCACGTCAGAATTTAACTATTTACAGAGTTTGAGAGCCTGGAGCCTGTGGGAAAGTAAGGAACTACTTGCGGACCCCGCCAGCTCCTAGCAGCTCCCTCTCCCGAGAGAGCGCGAGTCGGGCCCGCGGGACGGTTATAAACGGGACTGGGGGCACGTGGGTCAGGAAAGGGGCCTTCGGAAGTGGCCCGGGGATTAGTCCCTTTGATCAATCCGTTCCGGGATCCCGGATAACCCCCAAAAGGGAGAGCGGCGTGGCAGGGAGGGAAAGAAGTCCGGATGGGCCCTCTCAGAACACAATGTCCAATAGCTGAGCGGCCCAGGGACCGCCAGAAACACCAAGCGCGGGTTGGAGTCTGAACCCGAGGCGCCTGCGTCCCTCCCGCAGGGACCCCCACGCTCCACCGGGTGGGGCCCACGCGGCCGCCGGGAGGGGGCAGGAAATGCAACCGTCCGCGAGACGCAGAGCCAAAAACCCAAATGACCGCGGGTCCCCTCGCCGCCTGGGGTCCCCCGCGCCCCCCCCGACCCCACGCACGCGCGCGTGCCCCGGGAAGCCACCGGGGACAGTGCGCAGGGCGTGGCCTGTCCCGCCGGGGGCCCGGATCGGCTTCTGCGCCCGCAGCTCCCGGCAGCCGCCTAGGGAAGGCCGCTCCCCTCGCGAGGCCTGGGCAGGCGGGAAGGGCCCTAGGCCGCGCGCGGCCCCGCGCTTGGGAGTTCCCTTTCGGGGCCGGGCTGGGGAGCGGCTTCACGGTCCCTGGATCCTGCCCTGCCGAGAAGTGCTGGGCACAGGAGCGAGCAGCCGGCTTAGCGGGCCAGGGCGTTTTTACGAGAGCCTCCTGGGAAGTTTCTTCCTGGAAAAATCATTAAGGCGGACTGATCCCGATTAGAGAGAAAAGGGGCTCCTGGGAAAACGTGCTCCCCACCGGCCATCAGGCGGCCCGCAGGAGCCAAGCCAAGGCTCCCGCCTCGGGCCACCCCGACGCTGCTGCCCCCGCAGAGCCCCGAGCGCCCCCGGCCCGAGCGTGGGACCCGGCGGCTACCTCCTGGCCGCAGCAGCGCCGATAAATCTGCCAAGTGATTACTGAACGTAAACTCCAGTTACTTAAGTGTCCTCCGAGGGGTAATCGTATCTGTCCCTATAAATCCCGACTGCGTTCGCGCTCATCAGCGCTTCCGCCCGACGCGCTGGTCCGCTCAAAGGGGGCACACGACCCACAGGAGCCATCCACCGCCTCGCGCCGCAGCCGCCCTCCTCAGCGCTGTGGGATCCCCAGAGGCAGGGCTTGAGGTGGGGTGGGAGGGTCCCCACGACGCCGGTGGCTCCCCACCAATTCCACGACAGGGTAGGCCTCACCGATGGTGGGAGGCTCGGGTCCTCCTACAACTAGAACCTTCTCTAGAAAGGCAGATGTCAACTCCAGCACCCTCCAGGGCGAGTGTGATACTGCGTGTGAGAGGGCGCGTGGGGCGTGTAAATGATGTGAGTGTGAGGACACACAGGTGTCGCGGGAATGGGGTGCACGCGCAGGAGGATATGAGTGTGTAAAGTTGTGGGAGACGCACGCAGAAGAAGGTGTGCGTGAAGAGTGTGTCACGGTGGGCGAGTGCGAGTGGTCTCCGGGGTTCCGAAAGCGCATTCCTGTCTTCCCGGAGGGGTCCCTTCCCCTCCCGGAAGGCCTGCCTCGGGCGGCCCAAATCCGGCAGCAAATCCCACGCCCGGTCCTCGGAGCGCGGAGACTGCGCGGGGCCTACGACCCGGTGGGAAGAGAGGCGCTTGCCGGGGCGGCCCGGCCTCTCTTTCCATCGCCCTCCCAGACTTCCCAGGGCCGGGCGGGTGGGGACTGCCGACCGTCCTGGGCGCCTTCCTGCTCCAGCTGCTGCTGCGTCTGCTCCGAGGTGGCGGCGGCGGCGGCTGGCGCGCGTTGCGGGTCCCGGCCGAGGGGCTGCGGGCGCGCTGGAGACTCCGCCGTGTGGGAACCCAACGCGGGGCCTGTGTGTGCTATCGAATTACTTATTCATAGAAAAAAAAAAGGGGGGGAGAGAAAAAAAAAGAAGTCACATGTCCGGGTTATACGTATGCGAAGAGAAGCAGCAGAAGGAGAAAAAAATTAAGGCGAGCAGGAGGAGGAGGAGAAGCAGCGGCGGAAGCGGCGGCGGCGCAGGAGCTGGTGGCGGCGGCGGCGGCGCGGCCGGGGACAGACACCCACCTGTATGAGTACGCTTGTGGATCTTGAGGTTCTCGGAGCGCGCGAAGACCTTGCCGCAGCCGGGGAAAGGGCAGGGAAAGGGCTTCTCGCCGGTGTGCACGCGGATGTGGTTGATGAGCTTGTATTTGGCCTTGAAGGGCTTGCCCTCGCGCGGACAGTCCTCCCAGAAGCAGACGTGGCTGCTCTGCTCGGGGCCTCCCACGTGCTCCACCGTGACGTGATTCACCAGCTCGTGCATGGTGCCGAAAGTTTTGGAGCAGGGCTTGGCGCCGCCGGCCGGGGGCGGTGGCGGCGGCGGCGGCGGCGGCGGCGGCGGCGGCGGCAGCCCGGCCAGCTCGTCGGGGTCGATCCACTTGCAGATGAGCTCCTGCTTGATTGGCTGCCGCATGTAGCGCAGGAAGGCCCCAGCCGCCCCTGGGAGGTGGGGGTGGTGCTGGTGCGGGTGCTGCGCGGGCGCCGGCGGCGGCGGCGGCGCCGGGGGCGGCGCGTGGTGCTGCAGGTGGGGCCCGGGCCCGGCCGCTGCTGCGGCCGCCGCAGCCGCCAGGTTCAGGTTTAAGTTCACGGCTCCGTAGCCGTGCAGGGCGGCCGCCGCTGCGGCCGCAACCGCCCCGTAGTGCGCGTCCCCAGAGCGCGGCGCGAAGGGCGGTTCGGCGCGGCCGTACAGCTCAGCCGCCGCGGCTGCCGCTGCCGCCGCCAGCCCCAGGCGCATCTGGCCGTTGAGCGGGTGCGGGTGGCCGCCTGGGGCCCCCGGCGTGTCGTGCAGCGCGGGGAAGAGCGCCGGGCCGCCGCTGCCGTCCGGGCCCGCGTAGGTGCCGCTGGCGGAGATGAACATGCCGGCCGAGTGGGGAGGCGGGGCCGGGTGCTGGGGGGAGCCGGTGCCGGACCGCTGCTCCCCTCCGAGCGGGGCCCCGTGCATGGCCGCCGCGGGGGCCGTGGCGGAAAGGTCCCTCCGGAGGACGAAGTCCCTGCTGTGGCCTTTGCCGCTGCTGCCGCCGCCGCCACTGTTGGTGGTGGTGTAGCCCGAGAGGGCAGGAGGAGGAGGAGGCGGGGGAGGGGGAGGGGGTGAAGGGGTGGGAGGAAGAGGAGGGGCTGGGGGCGGGGGCGCGGAGGGCTGCGCGCCACTGCTGCCCCCGCCGCAGGGGTAGCTGCCCGCGCCGGGGTGCGCGACCAAGGCTGCAGCACGGGCGGCGGCTGCCGGAGCCTCCGGGTGTGCCGGGAACGCCTGGGAGGGAGGGCTGAGGCCCAGCGTGCTCGCCTGGGCCATGTGCTCGGGTCCGAGCGGAGTGGTGGCCACGCCGGGGTCAGCGCCCAGGTCCCGCAGGCGGAGGTGCGCGACGGCGGCCCGGAGTTGGGAGTGGGCGGGCGGGCCGGCCAGCGCCGGGAAGCCTGTCATATTCTGAAGCGGCTGGACCTGAGCCGTTGCCAAATCCGCTAATCTCAGCGCTGGCGGGTTCCTCTTGCTCAAAGGGGGCTCCATCAGAACTACACAATCAGGCCCATAGACCCTCACTGGGGGGACTTTATTCCCTCTGCCCGCCTTCAAAAACATGTATGTATTGGGCGCTCTTTAACTTCTTTTGTCCTGGCCTCTTAACTCTGCTTATTCCTGTTCCCACTCTATCCTCCAGCGATTGGCAGAGTGAACACCACATTTGAGCTGCACAGTGGGACCGAGATTTTGGAAATGGCACGGGTGGGATTGGAGGGAGCCGCGTGATTGGCAGTAGCCTCGGCTGCTCGATTGGCTCCCGTTCAGGCCCTCGACCCAGCGGGGATTCGCCCCCGTGCTTGCGGCCGCCTGCGCTTTCGCTT
Organism: Homo sapiens; assembly: GCF_000001405.40. Classification (NCBI taxonomy): domain Eukaryota; kingdom Metazoa; phylum Chordata; class Mammalia; order Primates; family Hominidae; genus Homo; species Homo sapiens. The sequence continues at coordinate 99,971,939 of NC_000013.11, forward strand.
CGCGCCCCCTCCTCCGCTGGAGCCACACGTCCCCGCCTCCCCGGGGATGCCCAAGTTGCACTTGCAGAAAGTTTGAGCCTGGCCTGCGCGCGCAGCGCCCCGCTCTTCCTTGACGCACCTCGCGGAGCGCGCGCCGGCACGCGGGCAGAGGGCGCGGGGTGGTGAGGGGCTGAGGACCCCCGAGGGGCAGTCCCAGTTTCAAAAACCTTGGCCTCACTTCTCTGTGTGCCTTCTGGCACCCAAGTACTTTCTGCCTCTACCTCCACCTCTCTTGTGGGGTGGAAGAGCCCTGGGCTGCTGTTTGGGAGAGAAGGGTGAATAGCCCGTCCTACCTGTAGTGGTGATGCTAGAAACTTCTTGTTTGGACACCCAACCTGCCTAGCGCTCACCTAGGGCGCATAGACAGTAGACGGAGTGAAGAAGATAAAGTCTATTGGTTGCAAGACAACTTGAGTGATTTGGCTCCGCGAAACACCAGGTGAAGTCAAAATAAGTCTTTCCCCCAAAGGAACCGTTTTACCTCGACTTTTTATCTCATGGAGAGTCCTTTTCAACATGGTTCAAAGGAGTTGGATGGAAGTGTAATCTCACTACTCATCGGTTCTAGATCTGCCACTTCCAATTAGATCTACAGTAGGGGCGGGGGAGAGGAGATCGGGCAGCGATTCTAACTTTTGCCTTTCGGAGATACAGTGGCGGGGCAGGCCAAACGGCATCTCTGCAGAGAGAAGCCGCTAAATAAGCACCGTCCTTTAAGTAGAATTTCTCCTTCCGGTCCAGATCCCAGTCCACAGTCCACATGTATGCCTCAGTTTCTTTGACTGATCCACAATTAGAACTGATCCAATAAAATATTATTTTGAAATCAAGAAATATCTTTGCTTTTTATTTACTGATAGAATAATCTTTCACCTTTTTATCGTTTTCTCATAAACCAGTCTACCTCTAAGATGTCTTATTTGAAAACCATAAAAACTGGCTTTTAAAAAAGCGAATCCCATCCCTTTCCAGAGGTTTGGTATCAAATCGATTTTTTAAAAATAGAAATTCCCTGCATCACTTTTTGGTGGGCGGAGAAATGTGGGACCCTCCCCCCAAATTAAGGATTTTACTGCCCCAAAAGTGTCCTTTTCAGATTTTAAAAGAAAGCATTTTTGAAATTTGTGATGTTACAAAATGCTCAAATATTAAAGCCAGGATTTTAAAATTTGTATTTTGCTGTCATCCGTAACATTACTTGTAAAAAAAAAAAAAGTGATAATGATTAGAATGTGATCTTTTTCTTTGGGGATACAATAAAATATGTTTCCAACTTAATTCATTTGCAGTCCAAGTAAAAGTAGACTGCACAAAGCCGTTATTGGGGAGATGGCCGTGGGAAGTAATCAGAAATATTCTGAAAAGAGTTGATTCGATAGTGCCATTCACATTGGTGTGAACGATGTTTAACAGGGGGCTTCGGTATGAGACTTAGGAATGTCATTTCTTTTATAAAACTGACAAGCAAACAAAGACAATGCTACCATCAAATTTCAAATGGACTTTTTCTTTAAGTTGCAATGAAGTTCAAATATGGGGAATTAAAGGCATGTGTGGAAACACAACGAAAAAATTTTAATAAACAGCAGTAACAAAATCTTCATCTCACTTTGGAAACGACGAGTCCTTTCACAATTTTTATGTCAAAGACTTAAAACATTTCAAGCCAACCAGGCAAAGGTTGATCGAGAGCTGTGCCATCTCTATGGATAGTTTATGGAGAAAGCATCATATTTGGAATTATCACTGTCATCGTTTCCTCTCTGAACATTTCCAATGAGTTTCCTTTATTTGAATTTCTTGGCAATAAGCATTAATTCTTGCAGTAATGGCAGCTTTGGGTTCAATCCTGCAGGTTATAAGTAAAAACAAAACAAAACAAAATGAATAAAGAAAGAAGAAAATAAACACAAGCTAGCCTTTAATATGGACTGTTGAGCATTTTTATTGTGCAATAAAATGGGTACCTCCACCCCCTTCAAAATAGCTTTTCGTCAAAATTATAACTGCTTTGTTTTATTGAATTGCTGAAATTTAATGGTTTAATGGGTGAAGGCATGAAGGAAAGGCTGTAAAAATGTGAATAATGGTGTAGCAGAGCCGTGCGGAATCTGGAACCCGCCTCCTTGTACAACTCTTGTTAAACACAGCGTGATATGTATCTGTCATCGATTTAATATGTCTTAATTCAAATATAGCTCCCTGATCAATTTCTTTTTATGGAAGCCTTAAAAAAGAAAAGACTTTCTTAGGAAATAATAGAGATTTGGGTAGCGATAGGAAAGAGGGATATTTACAAAGTGAGTTTAATGAATATTTGCAAATTTATGACCAAACCTAGACCCTAAAAAGATAATTGACTCAGGTAAATCGACTTGAGATGCTAATTCTTAAAAGAAAAGACTGGGAGCAAAATTTCAATCAACACCAATAAGGCGCCAATAAACCGCCTGCCAATTAAACCTGAGAATAGGCCTAGCTAGATGGTCATCAGGAAGGCTTGCAGTGGATTTCCGGGATTGCCTTTCTTTATAAAAGAGCTTTTTATTTTGTAGAAGCGCTTTTTGTTATTGTGATGACCCGCCTGACCCCAGGTGCGCTGTTTCTTTTTCAAGCTATTTGGGAGCCAAATCAAACCCCCTTAACATCCCAAGTTTCTGAAGACCCAATAATTCTGTCACACTTCCTAAATAAACACCAACAATTTCCAGGGCGCTGAAGGGAATAATAATACTAGTTTTAAAAGCAGGGGGCTGTGGAAGGCGTTATGCCAATTCTTCTGGGGGTTTGGCCCGCATATTTCGACGGTGGTGCTGGTCGTCAGGGCCAGTCCTCAAATCCATGCCCCTTTCTGCGTTTTGCAGCGGAGGTGCCTGCGTGGAGGCAGCAAAGTGGCAAGCCATGGAAATGTCCTTTCTGGAGTTAGCAAGGGCTCTTGCGGGGCGTGTATTTCCAGACCTCTAGGTTGCACCCCGAACCCCAACCTCCTTCCAACCCCAGACAAAGGCGCGAGTAGGTTGGGGAGGTGAGAGGCCCAGTAAATGGCCAGCTAACCAGAACCCAGGTTGGCTGAGTTAACCGCGCTCAGCTGCCTGGAGGCCACGGGACCCGATCTCTGGGGATGCTCGAGCTGGCGCTTGCGGCTTCCCGCTGCGCGTAGTGGGGGACTGAGGCTCCACCGCTCCCCCGGTGCCCTCTGTATGTCACCGAACACAGCCAAGTTTCCTGCGAGGGGTGTGGGCAATTAATAAACTCTAAGGGAAGTGAATTGGACATTTCCTGGCTTTTGAGCCTTTGTTTGATTGTTTCTGCAGGCGGAGGGAGGGGGATCTCGGGGACGGTGGGGTGGACAAGAAAGGAGCTGGGGGACCCACCGAACCGCCCTTTATTGCCCCTGCAATTGCTTTACGACTCGCTGGTCCCGCGTGGTTTCTGTGAGAGCGGCCTCCCTGCAGAAGGACTGGGTGTCGGCGGGTTTGGAGCATCTAGTGTCATTTAGGCCGCGCCAGGGGCGGGTTCAAGGGCGAATGGGGCACCCAAATTACTAGGGGAATCGAAGGACCTTTGAACCCCAGCCCAAGGGCGCCAATGGGTGCTTAACAGGCGCGGAAGTAGGGGGTTGCTAGCAGACACTGGAAAGGGCCTGATGGTCCACTGAGACCTTTCGTAAAAGCTAGGGCGGGGTGGGCAAAGGCACCGGCACAGCTGTATTTTAGTAGAGCTTCGCCAGGGCCGTAAGTGATGGTGACTTTGGGTTCAAGGGTTTTCCCAAATCAGGTTGGCCAGGCACTAGGCAGGGAGTTTCAGGGCAGCCTCTCCTGGCCGCCCGCCCCGTCTGCACGAGGCAGGGACCGGATCCCCCATCCCCACCTTCCGGCCTTGGCAACTCGCAATCTGACTTGCGTTGGGGGCTGCGACTGGCCCAAGGCCTTGGGGTGCTCAGAATCGCTCCGCAATTGGCAGCCCTCCCAGGGGCTCTCGGAGGGTTACTGCCCTCCTGAGGTGGCGCTGAGTCCTGAGGCTCCACGGATATGTGTGGAGCTAAAAGTATCCAGAAAAGTGCTTCTAATAGCCCTATCACACTTATGTAGACTTAATGAGGATGAAAAGGCAGAAGACTGGGGCTGTGTGGCCACGACTGATACGTTGGATTCTGTGGAGATTTGTTTTGTCTTGTTGTTTGTACAGTCATGAAGTGGGCCTATCCCATGTCCACCTCACCTTTGTGGTTGAAAGCCATTGAAAAACTATCACTCCCTTTACTTCCTTACTACTAAAGAATAAGTTCAATACAATTTGACTGTTATCAAATACTTTCATTTGGTTTGCAGTCATTTCTACCCTCAGAGATGGAGGTTGTTGGAGAAAGACCTTTGACCTACAGTTGACCATTAGGATTGACAATTTCTTGGGAAATGCATTATTGTTCTAAAATATGTTCCAGAAGGTCAAAACAACGACAGAACTCTCTTACATGTTCACAGTTCATATAACCACCCAATATTTATTTGTGTTGGCCCCTCGATGTGCTTCTCCTCCCCTTCATCTCTTATCCTTTAGGATGTTTTTGGATGGGAAATGAAGGAGAAGTAGAGTTTGTGCGGTTAAAAATAAAATCTCAAATTTCTTGGGTAGTTCCTCCCACTCCACACCCCTTCCAATATCTATACTTCAATATTTGAAGAAGCTGTTGAGATAAATCAAATAGTGACACGTTGATGGATTTACTTGTGTAAGCAATATGGTTGACATATGGCACTGTTATTTATGAATGACAGCATAAATTGTATTACAAAGTCTATTGCAATAATACTGCAGTTTATTGGAAAGCTGCTCGCCTGTCATCTGTATTCAATCTCTCTGGATATAGTTCGCCTGGGAGCCCAAAGGATAGGTCTTCAGAATAATTAAACACATTCACGTAAGCTAATGCCTCCTATTTTTTGTTGTTTGGTTTTGTTTGTTTTTCAGCAGTAGAATCACTCCCATCAGGAAGGAGAAGACAAGTAAGGACAATTAATTCTCTTCCTTTTGGAAAACCACAACCACTGACTATCACCATTGCAGGGGTAAAGGCCAGGGTGGTTGATGTCTTCTATTTTTTCTGAGTCCCTTTTGACAAATACACAAATATTTACATCCCTATCACTAAACTGCTGGTGAGCACATATTTTATATGGAGACTTTTTATAAGCCCAGTTACAGAACAGTAAATTTTAACTGTAGGAAGAAAAGACATTCTTTTAGCAAACTAGAGAGGGCCTTATCCTATCACAACCTCATTCAGCACCCCCACTTCTTAAAAATGGTATTTAAAAGTTACAACATTGGCTGAGATTTTCACAATTTCCCCTTCTTTTACATTACACTTCTCTAAAGCACTAACAAAGAACTTTTGTTCTAGGTGGATTTTATAGAGGGGGCTCCCGCACCACACATGTGGTCCTTCATGGGTCAGGGGTCACCCAGCCCAGGAGTGGCTGAGAAGGCGGAATCAAAGGTGCCTTGCAACTTAATATCCTGTTGATGATCTTGTTGAATTTATGAGTCTGTGATACAGATGATGGTGCTGGAATCCTATGAAATCCACCCCCCTGCTTTTTTTTTTTTTTTTTTGGTCACTTGTTTCTCTAATTTCTTCTCTCAACTCTTTCCCACTACCCCCGTTTCCACCTTCTTCCTTAAGAGGAAAATTACAAGTTTGAGTGGTGTGGCAACCGAGAGCTTCTGCTTTTCAATGTAAAGGTCAATTCTGTTTGCTTGTTCTTTGACTTCTCCTGTCCAGCAATGTATACCTATTTGTGTGTGAGGGTATAGTGTGTGCATACACGCTATATTTATGCATAGGTACACAAAACACACCCCATACCACAAAAGAACTCAGTCAACACTGTTCACAGAGGCCCACAAACCGCAACGAGGTGCTTTGGTTGATGGGCGCTCGGGTGTTTGGCGGGATTTTCTGGTTTTTGAAGACAACCCCAATTCTCCATCGCGCTGCCATTCCCTCTACTTGCCGAGAAATGAACACTGGCCCCCGCGGCCCTGAGCTGGATCCGCTCAAGCCCCGGCCTGCCGCCCAGTCGCACGCAGCCTCCGTAAGATTTCGGAAGCATAGTTTTGGGAAATTTACAAAGAGGGGACTTGTTTGCCGGATGGAGACAGTTGTGGGTCCTGCGGCCCTGACACTGCCACAGACGGGCCCTTCCAGAAACCTGTTGAAAAACTGAATTCACTCACACTGTGCATAACGCCGCTTGGCCGCTTTTTTCCTTCAGCCAAGGAACCCGAGTCTACTTTTAAGGCAGTAACTCTGAAAGCCTTTGCATGCTTTTTTTTTTCCCCTTGGTCTCTCTAGCTCTCTCTTCACTTTCCTTCCTTAAAAAAAAAAAGTCATGAAGTAAAGGGGTTTTGCGGTTTGTAGAGAAATAAAGCACTTCTGAGAAGGGACGGCGACGTGACTTTGAACTTGGCTCAGCTCTTCTGTGCCCTGCAGAGAGAGGAGAACTAGAGCCGGGAAAGAATAGCCAGGAGCGCCCAACCCGTAGGGTCTCCGGCGGGAATTAAGGCGTCCGCCCCACCGCCCGGCCGCGCGCGGCCCCTGGAATCCGGCGCGAGCGAGCGCCCAGCCGCGCGATCCCCAAACGCGGGAGCAGCAAAGGCGAAATCAAAGCGAAAGAGAGAATGGGTCAAAGAGGAGAGGGAGGGAGGACTGGGGAGGGGGTAAGACAGTGGGAAAGGAGGAAAACTTCGAAGTCTGATGGCCTGAAAGAAGGAAGGGAAGTGAGGTCTCTGCATGTGCAGGTCTGCTATTCTCATAACCAATCTCCAAGAAAACATTTTCCTTCGGAAATATTTTTGGAGTAAGCCCTTCCAAATACTCTCCTCTCGTGCTCGCCTCCCATTCCCATAAAAATTGATGAATAAAGCAAACAAGTGTGTAGTACAAAAATTGCACTAGGCAATTTTTAATGGATTCAACGTGGCAGGGCAGCCTTTCTGCCAAAGATGTTCTCTTTTCTCTCTGCGTCTATGTCTCAGGTCCCTTTAGGTCTAGGGGGCCAGTTTGGCTAGTGCCCTCCGCCCCCTTTTATGCACAGAGAGAGGGGTGTGGAAATGGGAACGTTTCCTCCTTTCAGGGAAGGTGAGAATCTCCATCTTCCAGGCAAACTGCCTTGCTTTCAGACAGGATGCCACAGCCTGCCTCCTTCTTGCACCCCCACCCCACCCCCAGGACAGGGAAGAATGGGACGGAGGGAGGGCACAGGGCTCCTTATGCAAGGGGCTGCGGCCAGCGCCAACCTGCAGAGACTCGCTTAAGCCGGGAGAGGCTGCCTGAGCCGGCGCAAGAGAGCCCGGGTTCTGCCAGCCATAGTGAGCTAGAGGATTCTTCCCGCGTTTTTGTTTATTTCATTTCAGAACATAATTCTGAAAAATTTATTATTTTCTCTTCGTTTAATTTTATTTCAACTCCTAGAGATTTATAAATAAAAGCAGTTCTCCAGGCCAGCCAGGAGAACACGCCCGAGGCGCTGGCCTCAGGCTGTCCCTTCACACCTCCGCAGCCTCTGGGCCCTCCGTTCCCTCTCTAGTTACCTCGGGAGCGCGAGATTTGGGCGGCGGGACAGGAAACGTCCGCAGCGGTCAGCCAGGCGCGGCGCCGGGAGCGGCCTCGCCGCTGGGCCACCGCCCGGGTGGTACTCCCTGCTCCTGGAGAAGGAGTGGATGGATATATATGCTTTCTAGAAGGTTTAAGCCCTGCCGTGTCTGACGGCTTCTTCTCCCGAGACCCTGAGCCTGACCCGCAGCCAAACTCCGGCCTGAGTCTCGCTTGGTCTCGGGCGTTCCCACACTTCTCAGCCCAAGGATGCGCGGCCCGGCTTCTGGGCATTTACCCTGAGGGTGACACTGTCTTTAAACGACTTCCGAACAACCCCCTTCCACGCAGGGGCCGCTGCCCAGTGTTTACTGCTGTAAACGGAGCAGGACGCAAGCGGCGGGTGGGGAGCTCAGCGCGCCGAGGGGCGGACGGGGACGCCGCGGGGGGCGGGGAAGGCGGTGTCTGGGTGGGCGTCCGGAGGGTGGGAAGAAGGGGCATGCCTGGCTTTCTCTGTGCCCACGGTCCTGCACCTGTGGTTTCAATGCCACAGAGCAAGTTTACAAAGGCGGGGTGAAAGTAGGGAGCGTGCCAAGCGGGCAGCAGACCAGCCCCCCGCCGCTCCTTGTGGCGCGCTCCCGGCGAGGCCCCGGGCCTGAAATGTCCCCGCGCGCAGAGCCTCCTGCCAGGCGACCCAGCTGTTAGCCACCTCTCGAGCGGCCTGGAGTGCTCGGGCCAGGCGTCCCCGGGGTTTTCGGTGTCCGCTGGGAGCTGCTCAGATCCCGGGGAAGTCGGTGGCCTACGCAGAAAGACTGGAGCGCTGGGTTGCCTCCCATTCCTGACCCGGCTGAGGGCGCCCTGACCCCGCGGCCCGGGCCCGCGTCCGAGCCACGCTGGACGCCCGGCTCCCGGGAGCGCCGCGGTCGGCCAGGACTAGAAGCCGCGGCGCCGAGGTCTCGGGAGAAGCGCGGCAGGATGGCAGGCCGGGCCCACGGGCACGTTCGGCGGCTGCCTGAGCCGGCAGCAGCTCAGGGAGCGCGAGGACTGAGGGGCGGGCCCGGCAGCGGGGCGGGGGCGCGGGACTGACTAGGCCGCGGCGGCCAATCGCGGCGCCGGGAGGGCGGGCGGGGCGGGAGCCGCCGTTAAAGGGGCGGTTTGACCGGGGGGGCCCGGCCTCGAGCTGGAGGGAGGGAGGGAGGCCGGGGCGGGAGACTAGGGGGTGCGGGGGGAGGGGAGAGGAAAAGGAGGAGACAAAAAATAAAAAATAAAAGGCTGCCGCTGCAGCGTTGGCGGCGCCCATCGAAATCAACGGAGGCGGTGGCGAACGCAGCCCACCGCAGCCGAGACCTGGGAGCCCGCCTGGGCCTCACACTCCCTCGGGTCGCGGACTGCGCTGGGTCCACGCGGCGCGGTCACTAGTTCCGGGCCCAGCGCCCAGGCCCGACCGGCGGGAGGGAGGAGGCGAGCGAGAGATCACTTTTTTATTGTTGTTATTGTTTTTCAGCCCAGCCTCCCCCTCCTCCCCTCCCCCTGCTCGCTTTCTCCCCTCCCACATCCCCCTCCCCCCTACTCCCCCGCCTCCTCCTCCGGCACAACTTAAAGAAAGGGGGAGCGGCGCGGCTGCTGCCTTCATCTGGGGAAATTCGTGGCCACTGCAAGTTTACTACGCGAGGCGCAGCCAATGCCAAGCGCCGAGGCCGAGGAGGGCTAAACACTGCGGCCGCGGCTCCGAACAATAACCGCCGCGCGCGGGGCGGCGCGAGTAGGGCCGCGGGGGAGGGAGCTGTCGCCGCAGAGCGCCGCGGAGAGGACGCCTGGACTCCGCCTGCCGCCCCGGCGCCCCCGCCGCGGTCAGGTGGAGCCGCTGGTGCGCTGGCCCCGGGTGCCGAGCGCGGAGCTCGCCTCGGTCCTCTCCTCGCCCGTCTGCCTGGCGTGCGCACGGCCGCCGCGGTTGTGACTGCATTCTACCGGCGCTGCTCGGTGCGGCCGGGCTCCGGGTCCGCTGGGCGTGCGAGTGAGTGTGTGCGTGCGCGCGCGGGTGCGCGCAGGGGTGGGGGCTGCGGCGCGGCGCTCGCCCCCCGGTAGCCCCCCTCTCCTCTCGGCTCCCCACACCTCCCTCCGGCTCCCTCCTCCCGCCCGCCCTCCCCTGCCCTGCCCGCCCGCCCCCGCCGCAGCTCCTTTAATACACTTTGGTTCTCCGCCTGGCTTTGGACTCTTCTCCTCCTCCACCTCCTCCTCCTCCTCCCGCGCCGCCGCCTCCTCCTCCTCTTCCTCTCCGCGCCTTCGCTACGCGCCCGGCCGCCCGAGGCAGATCCAGGCGGCGGCGGAGGCGGCGGGCGCAGGAGAGCGGCTCCCAGGGCTGAAGTGGCCGCCACCACCGCCGCCTGCGCCTGGAGCCCGGTGGCCGCCGGACGCACCGCGCGGATCGGGAGCGGGAGTCGAGGCGGCGCGGAGGCGCAGGGCTCGCAGGGGCGGGCGGGCGCGCTGGCCATGCTCCTGGACGCGGGTCCGCAGTTCCCGGCCATCGGGGTGGGCAGCTTCGCGCGCCACCATCACCACTCCGCCGCGGCGGCGGCGGCGGCTGCCGCCGAGATGCAGGACCGTGAACTGAGCCTGGCGGCGGCGCAGAACGGCTTCGTTGACTCCGCCGCCGCGCACATGGGAGCCTTCAAGCTCAACCCGGGCGCGCACGAGCTGTCCCCGGGCCAGAGCTCGGCGTTCACGTCGCAGGGCCCCGGCGCCTACCCCGGCTCCGCTGCGGCTGCCGCTGCGGCCGCAGCGCTCGGGCCCCACGCCGCGCACGTTGGCTCCTACTCTGGGCCGCCCTTCAACTCCACCCGGGACTTCCTGTTCCGCAGCCGCGGCTTCGGGGACTCGGCGCCGGGCGGCGGGCAGCACGGGCTGTTCGGGCCGGGCGCGGGCGGCCTGCACCACGCGCACTCGGACGCGCAGGGCCACCTCCTCTTCCCGGGCCTGCCAGAGCAGCACGGGCCGCACGGCTCGCAGAATGTGCTCAACGGGCAGATGCGCCTCGGGCTGCCCGGCGAGGTGTTCGGGCGCTCGGAGCAATACCGCCAGGTGGCCAGCCCGCGGACCGACCCCTACTCGGCGGCGCAACTCCACAACCAGTACGGCCCCATGAATATGAACATGGGTATGAACATGGCAGCAGCCGCGGCCCACCACCACCACCACCACCACCACCACCCCGGTGCCTTTTTCCGCTATATGCGGCAGCAGTGCATCAAGCAGGAGCTAATCTGCAAGTGGATCGACCCCGAGCAACTGAGCAATCCCAAGAAGAGCTGCAACAAAACTTTCAGCACCATGCACGAGCTGGTGACACACGTCTCGGTGGAGCACGTCGGCGGCCCGGAGCAGAGCAACCACGTCTGCTTCTGGGAGGAGTGTCCGCGCGAGGGCAAGCCCTTCAAGGCCAAATACAAACTGGTCAACCACATCCGCGTGCACACAGGCGAGAAACCCTTCCCCTGCCCCTTCCCGGGCTGTGGCAAAGTCTTCGCGCGCTCCGAGAACCTCAAGATCCACAAAAGGACCCACACAGGTAACCGCGGGCTGGGACAGGGACCAGGCGCGGAGGGGAGACACGCACAGGCTGAGACTCAGGCTGTGGGTGCCGACGCTGGGCGCAGACCGCCAGCCGGGGACCTGGGATGGGAGGTGTTTTTGCGTGTACGAAAGAGCCAGCAGCTTGTTTCTGTTGGACGATGACAATATTATTGGGCTAGGTTTTTCCATGTGCGGAAATCGAGTTTTGAATGATTAGCCTCACATCAAATGTATGCTTGGGTCATGCAATTGCTTCGTTTGCTCAGCCCCGGTTAATAATTTCCGTTTTAAGTAGAAAGCACAAAATAAAACTGCTCGCTAATTCGGTGCCCGGGAAGCGAGCCTAGAGAGGATTTTGCCAGCTTGTCTGAATGTGCTTTTCTGCTCGGAGTGTATGTCTGTCTGAGTGGTTTGTGTGTTTTCCCACTTCTTTTACTCGGGGTCCAAACGCCCTTCCCGGGACTGTTTCCCATGAAATGAGTCTGGTGTGAGCCGAAGCTGTAATGCGTTTCTCATTTTTAAAGTGTTTTTAAAGCCCGTCTCGGGGTGGGTCGCGGGGGCTTTACTGTGGTTTCGCAGCAGTTTGTGAAATTCTCTAATGGGCACCACAGAGTTTGCGATTCCCAACTTGGACCCAGGTCAGCTAGAGCCCCAGGTCAGCTAGAGCCCCAGGCAGCGCGGCCCCGCGGGGGGATCGCGTGAGAAGAGAGAGCCGCAAAAGAACGCGCCTCCCGCCTCATAGATTATTCATCTATGACCAGGTCTCAGCCAAAATCGTGCCAGACGATTTCCTAAAAGAAAGCCAAATGTTTTAGCAACTTCCCCCGTCAATATTTACTCCGAAGTGGGGATGCGCCAGCGGCCTATTGTTCTCTTCCGGGAAGGGAGGGAGCCGAGGTGCGAGACAAGCTTTTAACAAGGTTTAAAATTTGAGAAATTTATTTGCATGAAATGCTCGCTTTCGAGTCCTGTGTCTGAGCGGATGTCTTTAAGAAACAATTTAGGTGCTAATGGAATTTAACGTTAAACGGTCCCCTTTCCAAGTGGAACGACGTTTGAGTTCTCGCACCTCTAAATGACTCCAAGCATTTGGAATTCTGGCAACAGGATGCAGAGACAGCCAGAAAATTAAACGGGGAGGTTTTGAAAGGCTTTGCTGACTCCCCCAACCCTCGCCCACCAGCTTGTGCCTCTCCGCAGTCACTAGATGCTGCCTTATCTCTAATATTTACCTTTTCTTCAACTTATTTTTTTAAAGACGGGAGGTGAGACTAGAATTGTGGTTAATTCAATTTGCAGAATTTTGGATGAAAAATACTGGCTCAGTCACTCTCCACAGCCCGGCCCCCAAACAACACGTAGCAACTCCAAATGTAATTGCTTACTGGCCCTGGCGAGAAACCGACAGCAGCCCAGCAGCCTGTGTGATTTTGATAATGCCCCAAATATTTTGTCATAATAACAGCTTCTCCGTGGCGAGAGCAACTTGTTAGAAGCTGCAAATCCAAGAAGCCCTCTAGAAAGGCAGGCAGGGCTAGGAGCTTCCCCACATTCCTGAGAAATTTGAGGAGATGGACGTCAGCCTGGAAGAAAGTAAAATACGAAATAAATGAGCAGGACTGTCGGGCGGGAAGGCGGTTAATTTGATCTTAGTTCTGCCGCAGAGGGGATCGGACTGGTTTGAGGGACCCAGCCCCCTCAGGTCCTTCTCCCTCGCCGCGGCCCAGCCCCCTCGCAGCCTGAGTGGGGGCTCTGCAGGCTCTGGGTGTCTGCAGCCAGCGCCGATGTTTGCCGTCCACAGGGGAGAAGCCGTTCCAGTGTGAGTTTGAGGGCTGCGACCGGCGCTTCGCCAACAGCAGCGACAGGAAGAAGCACATGCACGTCCACACCTCCGATAAGCCCTATCTCTGCAAGATGTGCGACAAGTCCTACACGCACCCCAGCTCGCTGCGGAAGCACATGAAGGTACCACCGCGGCGGCCGGGAGGAGGGCGAGGCAGGCCGAGGCGCCGGTGCAGCACTGGCCCGGACCACCTCAGCCGGCCTGGGAGGGTCCCCAGGGGCCAGGGCGGCGGGGGGAACATTTCTGGGGGTGCTCTCCCCCAGGGGCCCGGCCCCACAGCAGCTGCACTCACACCCAGTCCCCTCTGGTCCCCCCTCCCGGCTTTTGTCTTGCAGGTCCATGAGTCCTCCCCGCAGGGCTCTGAATCCTCCCCGGCCGCCAGCTCCGGCTATGAGTCGTCCACGCCCCCGGGGCTGGTGTCCCCCAGCGCCGAGCCCCAGAGCAGCTCCAACCTGTCCCCAGCGGCGGCGGCAGCGGCGGCGGCGGCTGCGGCGGCGGCGGCCGCGGTGTCCGCGGTGCACCGGGGCGGAGGCTCGGGCAGTGGCGGCGCGGGAGGCGGCTCAGGCGGCGGCAGCGGCAGTGGCGGGGGCGGCGGCGGGGCGGGCGGCGGGGGCGGCGGCAGCTCTGGCGGGGGCAGCGGGACAGCCGGGGGTCACAGCGGCCTCTCCTCCAACTTCAATGAATGGTACGTGTGACGGGTCGGGGCCTCTCTCCCTCTCCCTGTCCCCACCCCAGCGCAGCAGCCCTCCCCGCAGCTAGCAGCGAGGGCACCTTGTGATCATGTTGTTAAAATTATGAATCTGATTTTTATGATGATGAAAATTTTACCAGCAGAAGGATTTTTTAAAGTTTTTTTTTTTTTTTTAATAATAATCTAGGCATGAAGAGCAAAAATATCCCTTCCGGAGTCTTTGAAGCTGAAAATATAAAACAAATAAAAAATAAAAAAATAAAAACCCACAAAAATGTTGAACCAAACCTCCCTGCTAATCTCCATGCCCACGTTCTTTCCCACCCTGTTCCCAGTCTTCTGACAAACTGTGTACATAGCGGACTCCTCCTTTCTCCTCCGAGGTGGTTTTAAAGGCTTTTTGGTGTATAGAAGTTTGTCCATTTGTAAAACTCCGGATTGCGTTCCTCCCCGCCTTCCGCCCCTTCCCTTCCCTAAAGTGATGGGCTTTCTCTTTTCTCTTTTTAGTTTACCCGGTTTCTTTTTAAGTAATGTGGAAGAAAATGGTTTATTTTGTATTGTGGTATTGAATATTGTGTTCCTTTTTATGAGGCAACCTGATTGTAAACTTCATGTAACTATAGACTGGAAAAAATGAGCCGTGCCAAAGTCTCCCTTCTGTTTCTTCAGCACATTGACCCATAGCACACACATACACACCACCACCAACAACGCTTGTGAATGTATTTTTCTGTTAGCTGGGTTTACATGTGATGTTTTAGTGCTTTTGCAAGTTCAATTTGTTAGTTCCTGTATGAAAGATTGTGGGGGAAAAATAAACGTCGTGCCGTTAGCTTTTTCCGTAATAACACCCTTCCTTCTGTAAATACCCGTTACCATATTTATCCATTTGTAATTAAATTATGGTATTAACTTGCTACAGAGGAAACAATATTTATAAAGAATGTTTCTTAACTATAAATATGTACAATTGTGGGCATAAACTGTTTCAGATTTTTTATTTGAAGGTTTTAAGTGGTTTGATCATTTCTTGTGATGTTTTGAGAGTAATGCATACAGAAATATAATAAAATGTGTTGAAACTGCATGAACATACTATTTTTTCTAGCAAAGTTATTAAAGAAAATGGGGGAAGAGGCAGCTGAGGATTGACCTGGGTACGCCTCAGCGAGCCTGAGTGGGCGGGAGGCACACGCGTTCTGGGGAGGAAGGTGTGTGTCTGCATAGAAACCAAGCCAAAGTGCCCGTTTGGCAGAAGGTCTCAAAATTATTTTCTTCGGCCTTTGTTTAATAGCTGAGAGTGAATTAAATTTTTGGAAAGCCCCTGTGAGGAATGGCGGCAGGAACCTTCAGAGCTTCTAATGGCTCCATTATCTGAGGGAATGCCTTTCTTTCTTTCAGCTATTTGGGCTGGATTTAAGAGCACTAAACATTTCCTTATTCTTTGTTTTCCCCCTTTCCTGCCCCCTTTCCTCTCCCTCCCTCTGAAAAGCTGAGGTACAGTTATTTTTAATTACACATTTAAAACTGTGCAGAGTACTTTCTTTTTGAACTTGGCCTAATGATTATAGTTTTAAGGGCCCGTTTGTACCAAAAGTTGCTTGAAATTTTAAGCAGAGAAACCTTGCTGAAGCAAAGCAGCTGTGTCCCAACAAGCAGGATGGTCAAGGGAAGGTGATAAATAGGCTATATTTTGATCTTCTTGGGGGAGGAGATTAGATAGGAAAGCAACAAACCGTTGGCCCCAAAGGAAAGAGAATCTCTTGAAGAATTCAGTAAAAATAGAATAAAATATCGAGACTAAAATTGCCAGGTGGAAGTGAGAGAGCCAGAGCCCCAGCCACCAGCTTTTCTCCCACGTTTACAGCCTTCCTACCTTCCCCGCAGGAGCTGATCGGAGTTTTCAAACAAGATACTCTAAGGAAGAAGGCAAAAATAATTGTAATAACGAAAGGGTAGGGATGGGGAAGATTATTTTTAAATTTCTGAGCCATCAAAATATCTCCCTCTCCCAGTAGCTCCAAGAGGCCTTGGGCAGTGCTGGACCTCCCCCCTCCAGCTCTCCCAGCTGGAAAAAGACTTGGGTGGTGGCAGCGACACCTCCAGAGGATCGCGCAGCACCGCCGTGGAGACGCAGAGCGCGGGTGGCGCGATGGCTGCGGCTTCCCTGCTCTCCTTTCCCTCCAGCCCTGGAATGAGCCTCTGGACCAGGCTGGCCAGGCCTGAGGGGTGCTTGGGGAGAGAGGGGCAGCCCTGACCTCCCGGAGGTCACAATACCTGTTCAGTGGGGAGGAAAGGCGTCCAGCCTTGGGTGGGGGAGTGACCAGAGGGTGACAGAGGCCAGGCTCGCCTTCCCCAGCGGCTCTGCGAACTGCCCAAGCGCCAACTCCTGAAGCAATCAGAGCCCCATTAAAATCAAATTTATAACCCCTAATAATATTAGGCGAAATTATTAAAATAATTGGCATATGTTACTGATCCTTGGGAGAGTTCATTGAACACATTATAAGCTGTGAGGAAAATCGTTTAGAGTTTTCCAAAGCACCCCCACCCCCATGGGGGGACGAAGGAGTCAAATGAAATATTTGTCATAACTTGTGCAAGAACAAAAAGGCCTATTGGAAATGTTTCAACTTTTTTAAAAATTTATTTATTTTTTATTTTTTGGTGGAAATTGGTTTTGAGAGAAGCCCCAAATCTAAGGAGAAGGACAAGATGGGGGTGGGGAAGGCAATTTTACCATGGGGTTTGGGGCTTTTCTTCCCATCTGGGGAAGAACAAAAAGGGCCAGAAGAGGTGGCCGATCTCACAGCCTTGAGTTGGTTCGATTGCTTTCCCCATCTGAAAGTCAGAGAGCCACCCGAGGCCCCTTCAGGTGCGGGGGCGCTGATCCTAGTTTTCAGCAGGAGAATAAAATATGAACGAGGAAGATCACAGCCTGGGAGTGGTCTCCGAGTCCACCCTAGGATGTGTGGAGCGGGCGGGAGCCGCTTTTCCTCGAAAGGGCTCCCAGTCCCTGGTCCCTCGCTTCCCAAGGCTTTGTCCAAACAAGTCACGGACCCGACAAGGTGGTCCATTCTCTCTCTTTGGCCTTTCTTTTCTGCCCTTCGAATCCGAAGGACTGGATGGAGGGGAGGGGATATGGCAATAGTGTAGAAGTGTCAAGATGTGAAAATTGCTCAACTGAGAACGCACGCGGGGGCTCGCGGCCCAACAGCCTGCACCACACTCAGGAGCCTGGGCCTGGGCCTGGGGGTGGGGTGGGGGGGACAGGCGTCCCCCCCACCCCAACCCCACCCCTATCCCTGCCCGGCTGTCTAAACGGACCTAAATGCTAACCTGCTGTTGCCTTGACTCCAGAGACACGAAACTGAAGCTAGCCCTCGCCCCTCTCTGGGATCCCGCGCTGCGCTGCGGGTAGCTGCCCGCAGGGAGGCCCAACCTGCCGCGGCTGGAGCACGGTTTCTGCTAGCCGCCGCCGTCAACTTGAACTTCAGTGAGCCTAGGCCGGCTTCCTTCGCGCTCACCTCCATCCACCACCTAAGAAGTCCCCTCAGCGCGAGCGTCGCTTTATCCGGAGGCAGCTGGAGCCCCCTCGGGAGGCCCGTCATTATTATTATTAATTATCGTGATCCTTACTGCATTATTAATGCCCAGGATGATAACCGGCATCGGTATCAGCTTTCCCTGGTTCAGTGATATCCCACGAAGTTCGGGGCGGGGAGGAAGTCACTCCAGGATCAGAGGCCGCGTCGGTTCTGCTTGGGGCATGGGCAGAGGGAGGCTGCTGGGGCCAAGCCCCGGCTGGACGCGAGGGAAGAAACTCGTCCCAGGACCCGCACGCCCATACCTGGCTGTCCCAGAGCTCTTCCCTAGGCCGGCACCTTCGCTCTTCCTCTTCCCCACCCCCTAGCCCTTTTGTCTCTTTTTCAGACGGATGTTTTCAGTCTCAAGTGGTTTTATTTTCCGCACAAAACCCTGAGATCAAGGGCAGATCACAGACTGTACCGGAGGCTCGGGTTTCCCTGGACTCTGTGCTGTTCTGCGTCCCAGGGTTGGCTAGGAAGGAAGGCCTGGGCCGGCGAGGTGACGGGTCTCCCGCCCAGGTCGGCAGGACGGGGGGAGGTGTGTCCCGGTAGGTCCCTGGTGAGCTCACCCGTGGCATCGGGGACCCGCGGGAACCCACCGGGCGCCCACTAGAGACTCGGGTCCTACCCTCCCCCACACTACTCCACCGAAATGATCGGAAGGGCGCGCTAGGCCTGCTTCCAAGGGCTCAGTGATAAAGGCCTCAAAATCACACTCCATCAAGACTTGGTTGAAGCTTTGGGTAGGTTTGTTGTTGTTGTTGTTGTTGTTTGTTTGTTTGTTTTAGCAGACACGTCCTGGAAAGAGGTCCTCAGAACCCAAAGGTTCAATAATGATTTGTGGATGGATTGATTATAGTCTGATATCGCTCTGGTTCCACAGAAACCCGGAGCTCCTTGGCCCACTGTTACCCCAGCAGACCTAAATGGACGGTTTCTGTTTTTCACTGGCAGCTCAGAACTGGACCGGAAGAAGTTCCCCTCCACTTCCCCCCTCCCGACACCAGATCATTGCTGGGTTTTTATTTTCGGGGGAAAAACAACAACAACAACAACAAAAAAAACACTAGGTCCTTCCAGACTGGATCAGGTGATCGGGCAAAAACCCTCAGGCTAGTCCGGCTGGGTGCCCGAGCATGAAAAGGCCTCCGTGGCCGTTTGAACAGGGTGTTGCAAATGAGAACTTTTGTAAGCCATAACCAGGGCATCCTGAGGGTCTGAGTTCACGGTCAAGGCTGTGGGCTACTAGGTCCAGCGAGTCCAGGCCTCGCCCCGCCCCCGAGCTGCCACAGCCAAGATCTTCGGCAGGGAATTCGAGACCAGGGTCCTCCCACTCCTGCCCCGCCCCGACAGTCCGAGAACTCTCGGTGCTGGGGCCACCTCGTCGCCCTCCCACGTTTCTCTTTTGTTCCCAGGAGCCGACGAGCTTTTGAAGAGGTGACACCTCGCTTCGCCTTCTCCTGCTCTAGGCCCTGCCCTCGTCCAGCATCCCTCCTGCCCCACGAAGCGAGAGGATGCTCAGCGCAGCTGCCAGGCAGAGAGTGTGTGGGGAGGTCCCTTGCCTTTGCGCGCGCGCACACACACAGACACGCACACACACAGACACACATACACACAACACACTCACACCATATGCTCACACACCCTCACCTCCTTCAGCTTCCGCACCTCCCAGCCACAGGCTCGCGTGAGTGGGAAGGACCTGAGGCCGCAGAAATGTGGGTTAGCGTGGGCAGCAGGAGATGCTCCCCGCACCCCTCCTCCCATTCCTACCTCCCCCAGCCCTTTCTAGCGCCTCTTGGAGGGGACCGGGCCTGCCCTGCGCTCTCAACCTAATTCGGCCTCGGAGGGTCCTCCCCCACCCAGGGCGGCACTCCCCAGGCCGGCACTCGCGCCACTGGCGTGGGACTAAGGCTCCCTGCAGTTGGGTCTCCCAAGCCCACTTCCAGGGGCTGAGAGAGGCCAGGCTGCCTTGCCTGCCCGCGCGCCCTCCAGCCCTCGGGTGTAGGGAGGGGAGCGCCCCCTCACCTCCAAGGAAATCTGGAGTAAGGGAAGAGCTGCCTGGCCCCCGCGTCCCCTGAACCTGGCCTCAACCTCTGCCTTTCCCAACCTCCCGGGCTAGGTTTATCTCTGTCCTAAAGGCCAAGCCGGTGGCCCTGGGGAGCAGAAGGGAGCTCAGAGCTGCTGGAGAAGGTGGGGGGTAGAAATAATAATAATGTCAGAGATAATCATCGCAGTTAACGCTCAGCGACTGGGCTGCTCCGCGGAGGCCGGCGGAGGCCTACAGAGGCTCCTGACTGGCAGAACTGGAGGTGTGGGTGTGGTTCCCTTTTCACCCCGGCTCTTATGTTGCCAGTCTCCCCCCTACCACCAGGCAAAGCCCCCCTAAACTTAGGGTCTGGAACAAGGCCGAGCCAGCGAGGGCCTGCCAGGAGCTGCGCTGGAGCCTCTCGCTGCATCCAGAGCTGGTTCTTGTTCTTTTCTCTCTCTTGGCCCACTGGGCCCACAGTGGTTAGGTGGCCGAGTGTGGTTTCCCGAAACTCTTTGGAGTCGCCTGGGTCTGCGTGCCCCTGGCCCCGTCCTCACCCCCGGGCTCGTCCCCCAGCCTCCGCCGGCCCGCCTGTGAATGGTGGATTTAATGAGCGTTTGTGTGGCGTTGGCCGGCGGTTCTGAAGATGCGCTGACCTGGAGGGAGGGCGCGAAAGGTCAGGCGCATGCCGGGCCCAACTTGGGCTCCTCCCAGGCCCACGCTGCTCCGATATTGATCCTGGGAGAAAGATAAACAGAAAAGCTGGACATTCAGTCATGAATACTAATGAGCCAGGGTAGGGGTTTTAATTGCTGTGGACTTCCTTTCTCCAGTTAATCCTTATTGCAAACTTCGCTGGAGTCAGCTTTCTCGGGCCTCCCGCCTCCTTGTATTTTCCTGTGAAATACCCAGGCGAAAGAGACCCGTGACAACTTGACTTTCTCCTCTTCGAGAGGCCCGTGTGAGCTCGAGAGCCCACAGCCCGTGTTTCCAGTGTGACTCTGTTTACTAATTATGGAAATATAGGGATCCTATAAAATAAATTGTTTCAATATGGCTTTGGCGAGTCTGCTTCTTGACTTCTTCACCCTTATTGTTTCAAAGACTTCGTGTGTCCTTGGCCTTTAAACTTCCTCTTGACAATTTCATCTTTTCTCCCGCCACGGAGCTCCTTTCTACTCCAAACGGTGCATTTTTTCCCCAAATGTTCACGTTTCTCAAGTCTCCAGGACTTGGCACTGGCTTTGCCAACCGCAGTGTCTAAGTATTTCAACCTAGCAGTGAATTCTTAGGCAAGCTAATTTACCACGTTACACAAATTTTGTGGTTTCTTTGGTACCTACAAGCAACATTGTAATATGAGACAGGAATCTAAAAGAATTGTCAGAAAGATTTCTGCCTCCATTCTTGATATGCATTTGATAACTTACGTATAATCACTTTTATAAAAATAAAGCCATTCTTGAGTGAGCTTTTTCTTGAAACTGCATTAAGTCGACTGTAAATTCTATAAAGCAGTTTTGGCTGTGTGATCAGGAGAGAAATATATAAGCCCATTTTTGTGACAGACTAGGTAGAAATGCGTTGAAACCCAAGCCAGAAAAAAAAAATCAGTTGTGCTAGAGAAATTTCCATTATTCTGATCCTTAAAGTTTTGAACAAAATAAGCCTGTATTTCACTTCATTGTCAATAGGTCCCAGCATTGAAATCTCCTGAGGATTCTGTTTCACTTACACTTTTCAGTCCAAACTTTTTTTTCTTTGCACAATGATTTATTATGTAGGTAATTTTAGGGGATGCAGTTTACAGCTTGAATTATTAGACTGAACACCTCTGGCTGACACCACGACGCCTTTTTTTTTTCTGCCTGCAGCTGTGAGTCACAACCCCATTTTCATACCCAACCGCTGCACATTCCTTCACAATGTATACTTCCTTCTTGCAAAGATCAAACATGCTTTGGTCAAAGTGTTTATTTTAAAATACAGGAAAATTAAAACTAAACACAGCTCTACTGAAAAATCCCCAAATGTATCATATTTTCCTCCTCCTGTGCCCACAAAAAAATTAACAAATTGCACCACTTTCTGGGGTAAAAAAAATGAATTGAAGGAGAACACACAGACACATAGAGACATAGTGTTCATTTTAGTGTTGAAACACACCAGAAAACTTCCCACTTCCATTCATATTTGGATTCCTGTTTGGATGTCTAGTTTTTACTATAAAAAATATCACAAACCAAACAACAACAACAATGTATCATTAAAAAGATGCTGACAGTTATGTATTTTATTCACCAACCTACACACTCCTCATTCCTACTTCATTTTTCCCCTCCTAGTGTTTTTCTTGTAATTATATCTTTCAGATTGTAACTTTCAGGGGAGAAGTATATTTTGAAATATTTTCTAAATAGAAAACAAAAGGTCTCAGTAACTCAGAAATAAGTTAACAATTCCTAAGCATCTCTGTGGGTCTTTGGCATGTGTGTGTGTTTTCTTTTTCCTTTCAAATTAAGATGAAAAAATTATAAGGGAGAATCACTCCATCTCAGCACCTAAATCCTGTAAAGTGGACTTTAACTGCAGATTTTGGTGGACAAGCTGCCCTTCTGCAGCACACTCTCTAACTGCATATTTCAGCTTCTCGATGCTCCCACTTGAAAGAGACATAGACCTCAGCCACCTCCTCTCTGAGGCAATTTACTCAGCTTCTCCAATCACACAGTTCTTTAACGGGGCAGAAATTGTTGGGTTGTTTTTAATCAAGTTTGGAAGCTGAATCTCTTTCCCCTGATGACTGTGCCCAGGGGTGGATCCGGCTGAATGTCTGGCGCTGCGGGCAGCGGGCTTGGCCACCCGTTTTTCAGACACAACACCAGAGAATGGCACTGAAATAATCGCGTGTAGCAGAAATGTTTAAAAACATTAACCTCTCTTATTTTCTATACTTGTGAATTAAAAGGCAAAAGAAGCTGAAAGGAAATCTGAAATGATACTCATTTACCTACTGAAGGCAGACCAAGAAACTGTAAAGATGCTTGATGCTTTGAAAATGTACTCTGTAAAATCTTTCAAATTAGATGCTGCTTAAGATCAATGGCAGTAAAAATATTTTTATGGTTTGATTGGTTAAAACATTTTTAGATATTAGTGATGATAAATTAACAGATCAGAAGTTTCTTTCTAGGAACAATTTGGGAGGGATATAGAAAGTAATCTAGTAATCTAATAATACTCTTCCTATTGTTTAAAGGGAGACAAATTATAGTACATACTATGTGGACTTTTTTAAACTTTAGATCAATAAAAATATTTGGCTTTCATATACTATTGAAAATTCTTTGCGAAAGTGGAGAATCAAGGATTTTAAAGACCAAGAACAAAACAAAGAATCAGATTACAGTCTTCCTCTAAAATACACTTCTTCCTTTGCTGGGTTTTCAAATGATATCATTGGTGATTCTTTGTTTATTTGAACAATCTCTTGAAATTAAAATGGATTGAATATTTCCCTCTAGGTAGTTCAACTTCAGACACACAAATATTTCTAAAAGTTCTAAATGTAAATCAAAGACTTTATAAAGCTTCAGCAACAACATTTCATATCATGGCAAAACCAATTTTATTGTGACATTCCTCTCATATCTGGCAGATTATCAGACACATCAAAAATTCTCACCTTGAAAATGCACTCTTCCAAAAATCATATACATTGGAGAAACTAATTTTTATAATGTGTAATTTGTGGTTTATTATCTCATTTCTGTTTTTAAATCCAAGTGAATTAATTTAAAAAGTAAATTTGGATTAGAGGGGAGACATTAGTGAAAAGTCTTATGTATTAATCAAATTCTTCTCAACTACCTCCAGTATGCACACACATCATTCACACACACCCTTCTTGAGAAGAAAAAAAATGTTCCAGCTGAAGAGAACAGTCATATCAGCCATTTGGCTTCAAATGCCTTATACAAAAGTTTAAAATAGCTATTTTGTAATATGGCAAAACTATCGTTTAATGTTTCAGGGTAACATTTTTCTAAATCTTCATGTGATAATTTACTTATTCAAAAATGTAACAAATGATTGACTTTATTGGGCAAAATATTGCTCTACATATTTGTTAAAGTAGATATCTCACATAGGGTGCCATTGTAACTTATGTAAGTCTCTTTTCCGTACAATTGTGTTCACTTGTAGGTAATCTACTATTCTCTTGTGCCTCCAACATTGTTGCACTTGAAAGTTGAATGTTGAGGACTCAAGGTTGGAAACCAAATCGAGTGCCTTGTGTGGAAGCAAAAGATGTTTTCCTCTGACAGATGCTACTTTGGGTGTCTTTTCTGCTAAGCAGATCTCCGCGTTAAATTAGCCTAATCATTTGCCTCTCTGTTTTTTCTAAAGGTCTGTGGTCCAAGTAGCAGTCATTCCTGCAATAGACGATAGGTTCTGTTCGGTAGCGGGAATGTCCTGTTTCTTTGCTTTAAGTTTCACTTTGTGATTAAAATGCAATAAAATAAGTCTGGAAAATCATTTTTAAGAGAACACTTTCAAGAAGCACTTCCTTTCCTAGTGCCAGACAACGGTGCTCCCCAACCACTTGGCTGGAACGCTTGCTTTCGATTTGTTTGTTTCGCGCATTTCCCTAAAGAGCCGGGCTCTTTGCGCTGTTTTAATTCTGCTTTAAAAATGCATCGCTTCTGCCCTGAATCCTTCTCTGAAACAAATTCCTATCGAAAGTGTATCAGATTCGTTCCAAATATGGGATATGGATCAATATTCCCATGCTACAAATATTTTTTAAATTGTTTTTGTCGTAGGAGTCCACACTTTTGCAATATATTTTTAATTGAAGTAGGGTTGCCTGTTATTTCTCATGATACACAAAAAAGTAGCAATTACCGTCTGCTTAGTCCTTCCTTTATTATTATTTTTAGCCCGTGTATCATTACCTAACTGGTATGCGTTCTTCTGCCCAGCTCCTGATGATCTAGTTGAATTCTAGACATTGTGCCAAGAAGTGTATTTGAAGCAGATAAGTACGTATAATACAAATGCGTCTTGTTAGACCTGATGGATGCTATTTTTCTTTTAATAGGTTTGTAGCAAACTAACACAATAACACAATGTATTCCTTTTCAAGATACATTGTTGAAACAGGTCTATTAAGAGCGCGTTGAGCTATTTCTCGCTTCCATTGAACAGTCTGTTGCTCAAACACAACAGCCAACAAACGCCAGCTGCCTCAACAAAAGTAGAAACCTAACCCTTTTATGTAATGTTTTAACAGAAAGGGTAGCTCTGTTTAATTAAAAACATTGATGATTCAGTGAAACAATAGAAACTCAAGTTCAAGTGGTGCTCTATTGATTTAAGATGATTTTTTACTAGCAATGGGTATAATTCATTTTTTTTCCAGTTCTCTCTTGTGTAAAGGGGTTCCTTCTGGGGGCATTATTTGGGTGAATAGGAAAAGACAGAGATGGCTATTGCCTTAGAAACCTGATTAACGTATATTGCTTTGAGGGTAAGGTGTTTAATTTATAAGTGCACCCCATATTTTTTGTCAGTTTATTCGCGGTGGGGAAGCTTTGAAAGTAGCTCCTCTCAGCAGGTTAAAAAGTGAAGTCTGCGTCCTGGCATTTAAATGTCTTTGTTATTGTGTCAGGCAAGTTGTTGAAAACTGCATGCCCGGAATATTAAGGTTGGGCGGCTAGAGGAGGCAAGTTGTGTGTGTGTGTGTGTGTGTGTGTGTGTGTGTGTGTGTGCGCGCGCGCGCCCCTGGGCGCAGGGCTGTGTGTGCGAGGACAATTATTTTCATCAGCTGCTTGCTAGCCCGCGCCCGACTGCTCCTCTTTGCAGAACCGACGGGCTTTCAACTCTGGAAGTGAAGCAGGACGAATTCCTCCATGGAGACTCCCTCCTTGGGAACGTCGAACTCTCTCTGCCTTGGGGAGTGGGGCTCGATAAAGGGTACCTAGGTCGCACCCTGGCAGGGGAGCACTAGAGGGCCGCGAGGTCCCGGGTTTCGCCATCCTGAGACCCCCGCGCGGATGGCCCAGGAGGGGCGCGGCGGCCCTGAGTCAAGGTGGGCGGGGGCAGGTGCTTCCCTCCACCGCGTTGTCCTATGCCGGCGCGGTCCCCACCGCCCGACCTAGCCCGGCGCCGGCCGAGCACGGCGGCCGCGCTTCGCACTCCTTCCTCCCACCGGGTCCGCAGGCCCGGCTTCACGATTCCCGGGCCCTCGGGCATGTGAGGGACTTGAGTGAATGCAGCTCCCTCAACTCACTCCCGCAAAACCACAGCCAAGAGGGCCTTAAGTCAGAGAACCCGGCCTAGGAGCCTCCCCTAGAGCCTCGGCGCGGGCCCCTTCCCCTTCCCCACATCGGTCGGCCGAGGGAGCCTAGAGCCGGTGGGAGACGGGCAGCGGCCTCTCCTGATCCTTTCCTGCGGTCATACAAGTTCCTAGGGTGGGCCGAGGACAGAGCGCCTCAGGCATCGTCGGCTTCCCACGGCTGCGGCCCAGGCCCAGCCTGCGGCCTTGGAGCCATTCGCTCCAAGCCCCGACAGGCCGCGACCGCCTCGAGGGCCGCACTTCCGCCTGCTACCGACTTTCCGCGCACCCAGGGGTCAAAAGGCACGGCCCGCCTCTACCCACTTCCGGGGTCCGGCCTCCCCAGGTCCGGCTGGCCCCCACCCAGCCCAGGGCCCCTGTGGGTCCCGGAAGCCGGAGGACCGCTGAGACCGAGGCCTGGAGCCCGTCGCCCTCCGGGCCCACCTTGGCGGATGACAGTCGGGGAGGCCGAGGCCAGAAAGGGACCCGCGGGGGAAACGTCCACAGGGGCCCCTTAGGCCTACAGTGAATTATTTAAGCTGTTCCTGGTGTTTAAAGAGGTTTTTCAGTTTTTAAAGAATGTTGTAAAAAAATATCAGTCCTTGTTAACTCCCTCATTACATGCTTTTTTTCCCTCAGCTGAACAAGCTCTATTTCCTGAGTCGCAGGAGTAATGTAAGTGTTTAAACGTGTGTCAAGTGTCTTATAAATAATACAAATTCATACAGAAGAGGAGGAGATTTAACTGATACCTGAAGGACTTGGCATAGCCACATTTGCTGTGCGGTTGTTTTTGGACAGGGACGTGTGGTCGGGAAACCGCCCTGACAGCGCCTGGTGGGGCTCTGTCCTCAGCTCAGCCCTGTGAGTCTGTCCCCACCCCTGTCTAGGAAAGCCCAGGAGGAGTTTGACCAGTTCGTGAGAGACGGTCCAGTGGTCTGCAGTTTCTATACTAGAGCGTCTATACTCAACTCAGTATTTTGGAGTTCCTTTTCTTATTTTTTATTTTTATTTTTTGAGACGGAGGTCTCACTCTGTCGCCCAGACTGGAGTGTATATAGTGGCTCAATCTCGGCTCACCGCAACCTCTGCCTCCCTGGTTTAAATGATTCTCCTGCCTCAGCCTCCCGAGTTGTTGGAACTACAGGCACCCGACACCACACCTGGCTAACTTTTGTATTTTTAGAAGAGAGACGGTTTCACCATGTTGGCCAGGCTGGTCTAGAACTCCTCACCTCAGGTGATCCACCTGCCTCAGCCTCCCAAAATGCTGGGATTACTGGCGTGAGCCACCGTGCCCAGCCCTGGAGTTGTTTTTCTGTCTTTTCCTTTCAGCCTCCTATCCTTTCTCCATTTTTCCTTTCTGGTCTTTCTCCTTCAAAGTGTCTGCTGCTGTGACATTGCTATGACATCCCTCCCTCCTTGTTAGAATGAGGGTTAGTGCTGCTTCTGGCAAAAAAAGACAGTAAGAGGGTTGAGGTCTGGGCTTTAATTTGAGATCTGGGCCACAAAACCATTTGTATTCATTCTCGTCCCTAGAAAGCTAAAATAATAATAAGGAGGTTTGGCCATACATGGCTCACGCCTGTAATCCCAGGACTTTGGGAGGCCGAGGCAAGTGGATTGCCTAAGGTTGGGAGTTCGAGACCAGCCTGAGCAACATGGAGAAACTCCGTCCCTAACTAAAAATACGAAATTAGCTGGGCCTGGTGGTGCATGCCTGTAATCCCAGCTACTCCGGAGGCTGAGTCAGGAAAATCACTTGAACCTGGAAGGTGGAGGTTGCAGTGAGCCGAGATTGCACCATTGCACTCCAGCCTGGGCAACAAGAGCGAAACTCTGTCTCAAAAATAAGAAGAAGAGGAAGGAGGATGTTTTCTTCTGAGGAAGGTAAGTACAAAGTATTATTTTATAGTAAAATGGTGTATACTGTGTGGAAATTAGATTAAACTTCAGCAGTACTCCCCTGCTTTAGTTCATTGGATGATATTTTTCATATTGGTTGTCATTCTGAGAAAGATTTCTCTGGACATTCTATTTCTAGCTGTTTTAAAATGTCTAAACTAGAGGGAAATGTAGGAGTTTTCAATTATTAAAATAACCAAATGCTTTTATAAAGTCAGAACTATCTTGATTTTAAAACATCATGCTCATAGTATAATTATCGTCAGTGTAGTAACAAAAATTGACTGGATTGTGGACTTAAGGAACAGGTTACAAATTCACTTCCTAAGTGGTATTCCCCCAGCAATTTTTATTTTTTATTTTTTATTTTTTAATTAATTTATTTTGAGATGGAGTCTCACTCCGTCCCTAAGCTGGAGTACAGTGGCACAATCTCGACTCACTGAAACCTGTGACTCCCTCATTCAAGGAATTCTCCTGCCTCAGCCTCCCAAGTAGCTGGGATTACAAGCACAAGCCACCATGCCCAGCTAACTTTTGTATTTTTAATAGAGACGGGTTTTCACCATATTGGCCAGAATGGTCTCGATCTCCTGACCTCATCTTCTGCCTGCCTCGGCCTCCCAAAGTGCTGGGATTACAGGCATGAGCCACCGTGCCCGGCCACAACATTCTTAATGTAAGGGTTTGAAGCCTCTCTCAATCCTTGACCAACTGTTAAATTAGGCCTGATTGTTTTGCTGTATGCATTAGCGATGCTCTTGCCCTTCTTAAAATGATACCCCAGCCTTTAGTAAAACCCCATCCGGATATTTCTAAGGTGTTCAAGAGATGTCTTAGGTATTTTTTTTTCTTTTTTGAGTTGGAGTCTCACTCTCTTGCCCAGGCTAGAGTGCAGTGGCGCGATCTTAGCTCACTGCAACCTCCATCTCCCTGGGTCATGCAATTTCCAGCTAATTTTTGTATTTTTAGTAGAGACGGGGTTTCACCATGTTGGCCAGGCTGGTCTCAAACTCCTGGCCTCGATTGAGCCCTGCCTCGGCCTCCCAAAGTGCTGGTATTGCAGACGTGAACTACTGCGCCTGGCCATCTCAGGTATTTTCAGTAGCAAGTCTGTTAGACTACTAGACTTAGTATATAATAGCATATTGCATTTTAAACCTCTTCTTGGCCCAGGCACGGTGGCTCACGCCTGTGATCCTAGCACTTTGGGAGGCTGAGGTGGGTAGATTACCTGAGGTCAGGAGTTCGGGACCAGCCTGACCAATGTGGTGAAACCCCATCTCTACTAAAAATACAAAATTAGCTGAGCATGGTGGCACATGCCTGTAATCTCAGCTACTTGGGAGGCTGAGGCAGGAGAATTGCTTGAACCCAGGAGGCGGAGGTTGCAGTGAGCCGAGATCGCGCCATTGCACTCCAGCCTGGGCAAACAAGAGTGAAACTCTCTCAACAACAGCAACAACAACAAAAACCTAAACCTCTTCTCCAACTATTTACCTTCTTCTGGTGATTTTGCCACACCCTGTGTTTTCATGCACTGTTGTTGTTGGTTTTTTTTCTTTTTTTTTTCTAGAGATAGATTCTCACTCTGTCACCCAGGTTGGAGTGCAGTGGCGCGATCTCAACTCACTGCAACCTCCGCCTCCCAGTCTCCAGCAATTCTCTTGCCTCAGCCTCCCTAGTAGCTGGGATTACAGGTGCATGCCACCACACCCGGCCTATTTTTGTATTTTAGTAGAGACGGGGTTTCACCATGTTGGCCAGGCTGGTCTCAAACTCCTGACCTCAGGTGATCCACCCACTTCGGTCTCCCAAAGTGCCGGGGTTACAGGTGTGAGCCACCGCGCCTGGCCTGCATACACTGATGATAGGTCTGCTGGGTGTTCCCCCTCTTGTCAGGCATCTCTTCTGTGTGCATTGTTGCTGCTTTTCCTGGTTACAGCTGGTGTTGACTGTATGGGTAATATAGAGATGCTAAAGCTCTGAGGTATTTATTGTTAATTATCTGTGCTGTACTGTCTCAAAGGGTTTCAAAATGGTTTGCAATGTATTTTGTTACTGGTTTTAATAGAAACAGATATTTTCATTTTTACTTATACCTCTCTCTTTTCTTAGAACCTAGATTTGAATCCAAAGTAGTTGTGGTAGAGATAATTTCCAGTATCAGGCACTATGGTACTTTCAAAATTACTCCACTAAGCACCAAAGCTTTGTTTCTTTTTCTTTTTCTTTTCTTTTTTTTTTTTTTTTTTTTGAGACAGAGTCTTGCTCTGTCGCCTGGGCTGGAGTACAGTGGCGCCATCTCCGCTCACTGCAAGCTCCGCCTCCTGGATTCACACCATTCTCCTGCCTCAGCCTCCAGAGTAGCTGTGACTACAGGCATCTGCCACCATGTCTGGCTAATTAGTGGAGATGGGGTTTCACCGTGTTAGCCAGGATGGTCTCGATCTCCTGACATCGTGATCTGCCTGCCTTGACCTCCCAAAGTGCTGTGATTACAGGCATGAGCCACCGCACCCCGCCCAAAGCTTTGTTTCTAAATGAAACTACTTGATCTTCTCTTGCTTAAGATAAGTTTACACCCAGGAGGCTTTTCAGTCTGTCATAGGAATACATTTCAGGTGGTTTTCTTCTTATGCTTTCAGAATTGCTCTCATATGTATGAACTCTAGTGATGGAAACAACTTAGATTTTATAGTTGGGGAGTAGTTGAGACTATTCCTCTTCCCAGTACACTCACGCAGACACAGATGTGTATACACACTGATAAACTCCTAAATTGGCAGGTGAAAACTTTGCTGAGCTTAACAAATACCTTTTTGATATGTAAACAGTTCCTAAGAATGCCAGCCATCTGCTGAAAGCCAGACAATAAATTATGAACAGAATAGTCAATG
Organism: Homo sapiens; assembly: GCF_000001405.40. NCBI lineage: Eukaryota > Metazoa > Chordata > Mammalia > Primates > Hominidae > Homo > Homo sapiens. The sequence continues at coordinate 100,002,440 of NC_000013.11, forward strand.
CATACATAACTTATTTATTTGTTCTTAAACATTAGCCATATCTAGGCAGTCTTTGAGATGAGCCTCTGTTGCTAAACTCAGATTCAGCATTTTGAACTTTTTTCTTTTTTGAGACGGAGTTTTGCCCTTGTTGCCCAGGTTGGAGTATAATGGCACGATCTCAGCTCACTGCAACCTCTGCCTCCTGGGTTAAAGCCATTCTCCTGCCTCAGCCTCTCAAGTAGCTGGAATTACAAGCACACACCACCATGCCCAGCTAATTTTTTATTTTTAGTAGAGACAGGGTTTCTTTTCTTTTCTTTCTTTTTTTTTTTTTTTTTTTTTTTTTTTTGAGACGGTGTTTCGCTCTTGTCACCCGGGCTGGAGTGCAATGGCGTGATCTCAGCTCACTGCAACCTCCGCCTCCCGGGTTCAAGTGATTTTCCTGCCTCAGCCTCCTGGGTAGCTGGGATTACAGGCACGCACCACCACGCCCAGCTAATCTTTATATTTTTAGTAGAGACGGGGTTTCACCATGTTGGCCAGGATGGTCTCAATCTC